>NC_000009.12:75095552-75720552 GCF_000001405.40 Homo sapiens
GAAATAATGCATCCTCCTGTCCACATTTGTCTAACTAAATAAGGGCTAAGCTTCTTTCAGAGAAGTCAAGGAAATTTGGTATGTGCACAGAGAACTGTGAACCAGATAATTTTCTCTGAATAAAGGGAAGGCCGTTTACCCAGTGTAACAGTTTGTGAAAAATGGTATTGCTCCACACAGAAAGCAAGAATTTAAATGCACACGTCAGCCCTCTTCACAGATTGCTTATCTGTTTCTCAGTGTTAACAGTTGCTGTAGGTGTTTAGTTTAGGGCAACGAGTTGAAGAGATTTAGCAACTGCAAATCAATTAAACAAGTTATTGGTGTGACTGCTGTGGCCCCCCTTTTTTTTTTTTTGAGATGGAGTCTTGCTCTGTCGCCCAGGCTGGAGTGCAGTGGCGCGATTTCGGCTCACTGCAACCTCCGCCTCCCGGGTTCACGCCATTCTCCTGCCTCAGCCTCCTGAGTGGCTGGGACTGCAGGCGCCCGCCACCACGCCTGGCTAATTTTTGGTATTTTTAGTAGAGTCAGGGTTTCACCGTGTTAGCCAGGATGGTCTCGATCTCCTGACCTCCGTGATCCACCCGCCTCGGCCTCCCAAAGTGCTGGGATTACAGGCGTGAGCCACCGCGCCTGGACATGCCCCCTCCTTTTTATTCTTCCAGTCATTTACCACTTTATGTCTGTGCATCTGTAGGATTTTTAGAAAGCCACAAGGCAAATTTCTCAGCTTACATTTGGGATTAGAGTTGGGGGATGGTTTTATATTTGTGCATTTTGATTGGCATGGAATTTAAAAGTCTTTAGCATCCCTTATAATTGGATAAGCTATTTTGGTTTTATATTCTTGGGACCGAAGAATGCATCTAATGTGGATCTTTTCTGCTGGGTGCTCCCAATTTCCAGGGAGCCTGAGGGCAATTTGAATTCAAATTAAGGGAGACCCTCTAACCAACTCAGTTTATACTCATGCTAGAGGGACTGTCTCAGGCCCTTTACAAGGGTCTCCCTGGCATCCCTACACTCCAGGAATTTTGCTTGGTTCTGAGAAACTCATGGATTCTATTTTAGGATTCTCGGCTTCCCAGCCAGGACTTACTGCCATGAGACAAAGAAATGACTACAACCTGGAGGTTATCTTGGAATGTGTGTGTGTCTTCGAGGAACTTCCTGACCAAATCCATATTTGGGGAGAAGACGCTTCCAAACTTTAGCTCGCTGAGTGTGGGTTAGACGGGGTTGGCTGAAAGAAGCCCCTCTAGGTTTTAGACACAGTTGGCAGGTATCTCAGACTCCAGAAGATTTGGAGGATCTCGGAGTCTCATCCTTCCTTATTTGAAAACCAAACTCTTATGCTTATGTCTGAAATGTTGACTACCCAGGTTCACAAGACTTTCTGGCTAGCACGTATTATTTCATTGCTTTTTTGGGCTTATTGTTTGGATGAGTCAGTGCTCAGATTTATCTGATGCTAGCCCTGCGAGGACTTCATCTGAAGGTATTCCTGCTGGTTTTTCAGGCAAGGAAAGTGTCCATGAAACTTTGCAACAGAAACCATTCCTGCCAAAGTTAATATTCTGAATGGTGTGCCAAACTTAAAATTGTTTTCGACCACATTTTTCTTTGGGGGAATAAATCATTCTCTTTGATCTCTCTGCATTCAGGTCATCCAAGCAACTGCTCACTAGAACCTGGGCCTATCCGAAGCTGAAATGTGAGGTAGGAGTCACTACTATGGTGACTGCCTGCTTCTGCTTTCAGGGAACCCTTCCCATCTGACAGGGCTTCTGGTCCTTGCCTAAGGCCTTTGCACTCTTGAAAACCTATTCTGTATCTAAATATTGGGGCTCTAAAGTGTAAACCAAAAATAAAACTCTAAGCTCCCCAACCAATGGAATGGACCCCTCCCCTCAGCCAGATTTAACCTGAAAAGCTAGTTCAGACCATGATAAACTGAGTTATAATCAAGTTTACATTTTCCAAACATCAAGTCTTCAGTGTCTTGATGGCCATTCATGAACAACCACATTTTTTGAGGATCTCATTGGAATCTGTGCATATAAAGCCCCAGACATATTTAGGTCTCCAGAGTTGGTATTACTGTTATAATCAACTTTACATTTTCCAAACATAAAAGTCTAATGGGGGTTGGACATGCTTCATTATGAGTGGGATGAACTTCTGGCCCTCGTGCCGTCCCCTCTTTTTTTTTTTTTTAAAGCAACAGCTCCATTAGCACCAATTTTGTAGTTAACTTGCTAGGTGACCTTTATAAGTCACTAGACTACTTTATGCCTCAGTTTTTTTTTTTTTTTTCTCTTTGAGGCAAGGGTCTGGCTCTGTTGCCCAGGCTGAGTGTGGTGTGATGATCTTGGGCTTACTGCAACCTCTGCTTCCTGGGCTCAAGTGATCCTCCCACCTTAGCCTTCCCAGGAGTTAGGACTGCAGTTGTGCATCACCATGCCTGGCTAATTTTTGTATTTTTTGTAGAGACACAGTTTTACCTTGTTGCTCAGGCTAGTTTCTTCATCTCATGCTAAATCTGATTTGAAATCTTCATGGCCTCGTACTGGCCTCTCAAATAATTTCTCACATTTCTGACTAATTTCATTTCGTGCTCCTTCTCCTAGACTCCTGGGCCATTTTCAATGATCCACTTCCCAACTCCCAGCTACTCAGTGCTCAGCAGCATGTGGATAGAAACATATGGAGGAATTAAACACACCAAGCAAAGGCTTTTCATAAGTCCAGATTTCCATGAGAAACAACAAAGAGATGGGAAAGGATAGGATGAGGGTTAGGAAGGGGGCATAATGTACTAATAATTAGGCCTGATCTGATTCACTTAGGCTCTCGCTACATAGGGCAGAATTTTTTTTTCTTTTCTTGTAGCTGTCTAGAGAAAGAGAACACTGGGGTCTCCCTGCAGGAATATGTCTGGGGCTTTATATGCACAGATTCCAAGGAGACCCTTGCAAAATGTGGTTGTTCTTGAATGGCCATCGAGATACTGAAGACTTTTATGTTTGGAAAATGTAAAGTTGGTTATAACTCAGTAACATCAACTCTGTAGACCCAAGATGTGAAAATACTACGTATTCTACTAGATTTTAGAAATTCTCTGTGCAAAATATCATTCAGGATCCTCTTGTCTCCTCTCATGCTATTTTTCCCCATCTCTTTTGGAGGTGATAGTTTTAAGCCATAGATTTAAATTAAGACCTTGCTTTACAGAAATCATTGTATTTGATTCCAGAGAGGAGGGTTTTCAGTGCTTATCTCTAGAAGAGGGAGGACTAATCTGCTAAGAGAATGATTCTCTCCCTACCCATCACTCTGCCAGCTATACTGGCAGAAACCAAAAGCCTCTTTTTTTCTTTTTTATTTACTTATTTATTTTAGAGATGGAGTTTTCCTCTTGTTGCCCAAGCTGGAGTGCAATGGCACGATCTTGGCTCACTGCAACCTCCGCCTCCTGGGGTCAAGTGATTCTCCTGCCTCAGCCTCCCGAGTAGCTGGGATTGCAGGCATGCACCACCATGCCCAGCTACTTTTTTGTATTTATAGTAGAAATGGGGTTTCATCATGTTGGCCAGGCTGGTCTCGAACTCCTGATCTTAGGTAATCCATCCACCTCGGCCTCCCAAAGTGCTGGGATTACAGGGGTAAAGAAAATAACATTTATATATTTAAAGAAATTCTGATAAATGGCTTTTTTTTTTTTTAATTAAGAAAAGGTCTTGTTCTGTCGCCCAGGCTGGAGTGCATGGCTCACTGCAGTCTCAACCTCCTGGGCTCAAGTGACCCTCCCGCCTCAGCTTCCTGAGTAGCTGAGACTACAGGCATGTGCTGCCAAGCCCAACTATTTAAACATTTTTTTTGTACAGATGGGGTCCCACAGTGTTGCCCAGGCTGGTCTGATGGGGTCTCCATAGTGGGACCTCCTGGGCTGAAACAGTCTTCCCACTTGGGCCTCCCAAAGTGTTGGGATTGGGCTGGGTGTGGTGGCTCACGCCTGTAATCCCAGCACTTTGGGAGGCCAAGGCAGGTGGATCACCTTAGGTCAGGAGTTCGAGACCAGTCTGGCCAACATAGTGAAACCCCGCCTCTACTGAAAATACAACAAATTAGCCGGGTGTGGTGATGAGCGCCTGTAAACCCAGCTACTCGGGTGGCCGAGGCAGGAGAATAGCCTGAACCTGGAAGGCGGAGGTTGCAGTGAGCTGAGATAGTGCCATTGCACTCCAGCCTGGGCAATAGTGTGAGACTCTGTTTCAGAAAAAAAAAAAGTGTTGGGATTACCAGCATGACCCACTATATCTGGCCAAAATGGCAATTTTAAGGACATAGAATTATACTTACGGGAATAAATTTTGTTGCTATGGCTTTAGAATTCAAACAAAAATCATTCTATTCATAGTTGAAAATTATTATAGTGCTCAAGTGTTAGTTTTCCACTAAGTATCTTAAAACCAAAGGTAAAGAACTACAATTTGTTAGGACAGATAGCAAGAGATAGCAGGTTACTTCTGCATGTAGACAGTGGGTATAGAAGGATATCAAATTCCTAGTGATTATTCTGAAAGCCTACAATTTAAATGACCACTGCATATTGGTGGCAAGCCACTGCCCCAGAGAGCACTGATTTTTCCTTCTTCTGTCTCTGTGAGCAGAGGTTATTCTCACTGCCACGCCATCCACATCTTAAACAGTAAATAGTTCTGCAGGCTCAAGGGCTTGGGAGGGGACCAAGGCATTCCTAGAAGTTTAAGAAAAGATTCCATTGTCTCCATTTCCTCCCTCCTTGTCCATGTGCCCATGTTCATAAAAAGATAAAATGATCTTCTGGGCATCCATCAGTGAAAAAGAGTTTTTTTTTTTAAAAAAGTCTCTGAGGCCAGGCGCGGTGGCTCACGCCTGTAATCCCAACAGTTTGGGAGGCTGAAGCAGATGGATCACTTGAGGTCAGGAGTTTGAGACCAGCCTGGCCAACATGGCGAAACCCTGTCTCTACTAAAAATACAAAAATTAGCCGGGCCGTGGTGGCGCATGTCTGTAATCCCAGCTACTCGGGAGGCTAAGGGAGGAGAATCTCTTGAACCTGGGAGGCGGATGTTGCAGTGAGCTGATATCAGGCCACTGTAGTCCAGCCTGGGCAACAGAGTGAGACTCGTCTCAAAAAAAAAAAAAAAAAGTTTCTGAGCAGCTGCAACCTCAGGGGTAGGTCTGACCCGGGGCCTTGGCGTGGCTGAAGGTAAGAATTTGACCGTGGAAGTATTGTCACAACTCTCCCCCACCTTCCAGGTGAAAGGGGGATTTCGGCGAGAATGGTCCTGTAATTTACCGTATTTTAATTACAGCCCCAGAAACCACAGCTTTTCACTTCCTGGCCTTCCCGTTCTCTGGGGAAATCCTAAAGGACTCCATTCTCTTGTGCTTCCCTTCCTCCATCCCTAATTTGAGCTGGCTTGGAAAATACCTTGACATTTCTTAGGGTTAAAATTCTCCCCTGGCCTTTTTGGGAGTCACTTGGACTCCTTCGGTCTTTCCAGATCCTCCTGACTTCTGCTTAGCCCCTCCTTCCCGTAAACAATCTCGACTCTCAGGACCGGGCCAAGCTGGAGAAAGGGCTCACCACCTGGGCTGTCTAGGCGGAGCCCTGGAGTGGAGTCAGGGCGTCAGGTCAGGTAGGTCAGGGCGTCAGGTCAGACATTTCCAGGTCACCAGGCAAGCCACTTTTATGATAGGAATGTGGCTCTTAGGAACACAACACCAACCTTTTGAAGTAGCACTGCTGTGACTTGAGAGAGGATGCAATTAGGGAAACAATTTTCAGTTTAAAGGCTGTTGTCTTAGTGAGTAGATGATCTTGGAAGAAACAGATGCTTTGGACAGCTTGTTAGTTTCTCATAGATGACCTTTCTGAACTCGTTTTCCTCTTTTTGGGTCTGTTAGAATTTGAGATATGGACTTTTGTGGAGGCTCTTGTACGTGCTACATAAGAACATTTGAATCCTTCTGTTTTCTGAACAAAGAGGGGCTCCGTTTTCAAAGATATTGATAATCCTTTGCTCTTTATTTTTTCCTCTTGTGTTTTATAATCTTTCTCCTATGTCCAAAGTTTGTATTATTTTACCAGAGTTCTAATATTAGCTAGAAATAGTAAAATACCCTCAGCTACCAACTTGGCCCCTGTGTATCTGTTGGGTCAGCTTTGATTGAGCTCTTAGCTTAAGCTCAGTTCTGTCTCTAGTGATTCCCATTTTGTCTTCTTAGATGTTGTGTATATCCTGGTCTCTGTATCAGGTTTGAAAGAGGTTGCACTATAAATAAAGGGCACATTTATATCATCATGTTGTCTTGCTAGCATGTGTCTTCATAGAGAGCCAAGAGTAAGGCCATTTAAAAAAATTTTTAAATTATTATTTTCTTTAGAGATGGCTTCTTGCTCTGTCACCTAGGCTGGAAGGGCAGTGGCACAATTATAGCTCACTGCAGCCTCCTGGGCTCAAGCTGTCCTCCTGCCTCAGCTTCCCAAGTAGCGCACATTACTGTAGGCGCACATTACTGTCCCAACTAATTTTTTGTTTATTTTTGTTTTTTGTAGAGATGGGGTCTCGCTCTGTTGCCCAGGCTGATCCTGAACTCCTGGCCTCAAGTGATCCTCCCACCTTGGCCTCCCAAAGTGCTGGGATTACAAGTGTGATCTACCACACCCAGCCAGTGAGGGCATTTTTATAATTTCATCTCTAAACAGTGGATGCACACATTGATATGTGAAATGCTCTGGGCTGGTGTTTTTTCACTCTGTGAGTGGTGAATTGGTAGGTAGTAAAGTCAGTAAAATTAGTCATGACTAGCGTCTTGAAGAAAAGAAAATAGAATACAAACAAAAAATATCAGAGTGAATCACTCAAAGTAAGGATAAGAAATTTTTATAAGACCTTTTTTACGTTTTATGAGTGTGTGTGTCCTGATATGAAATATATTTCTTCCTACGGATCTCGAAAAAGTTTGAAAACCTCTAGCATCCGCTCATGCCCCAGTTTAATCTCTCGCCATCTTTTACCCCAGGCTTCAGGCATGTTGATTGACTGGACATTCTTAGACCCCGCTTCCTGAACCCCAGACCCTGCTCTTTATTCTGGGGCTGCCTGATCCTGCCCCCTTTTGCATGGGTAACTACTGTTTGTTTTTTAAAATTTTTTCTACTCCAGTGGCATCACAATGAATAACTACTTTTATCTCCAAAATTAAAGTAGATGTCACCTCCCACAATAGCCTGCGCTGATCATGAAAGCCTCCTCACTGTGTTAATTTAAGTGTCCCTATGTTCTCAGTTTTGTGGGTGTACTAGGCATGGCAATTTTTTTTCATGATGAAGTGAGGAAGAGAAAGTGGATAAGGAGGACTCATATTAGTAAATACATTGCTGATAAATCAAACACAAGTAGGCCAGATTATAAGCTCACGCTTATAATCCCAGCACTTTGGGAGGCCCTGGTGGGCTGATTGCTTGAGACCGGGTGTTTAAGACCAGCCCATGCAACATAATGATACTCTATCCCTACAAAAAATAGAGAAAGAAAAATTAGCTGGGTGTGGTGGCATGTGCCTGTGGTCCCAGCTGCCCAGGAGTTTGAGGCAGGAGGTTTAGGAGTTCAAGATTACAGCAAGCTATGACTGCGTCATTGTACTATAGCCTGGGCAACAGAGCAAGACCCTGTCACAAATAAATAATAAATATATAAAATAAAATACAGGTACCTTATAAGTTATTCTTCAAAAGGGCATTAAAAGAGAACACATTTTCCTGATTGTATATGGGATACTTATTCATTGTAGACAATTTAGAAAATAAAGAAGAAAATAAGTATGACTCATAGTTCTACCACTCAGAGATAACAGTTAGCATTTTGATGTTGTTTCTTTCCAGTTTTTCTTCTATGCAGATTTTTGTTTTACATAGCTGATTGCATATATAATATTACCACCAGCCTTTTTTACATAACAACTAAAGATAAGTATATACCCCAGAAGCTAAATTTTAAGGGACACGATAAACTCTTATTTTTAATTATGGTAATTCCCTCTGTTGCTAGAGTGCTGGAGTGCCGGAGTGCCAGGCTGGAGTGCAGTAGCACAGTCTTGACTCACTGCAGCTTCCACTGCCTGGGTTCAAGAGATTCTGTCACATCAGCCTCCCAAGTAGCTGGGACCCACAGACATACACCACCATACCCAGCTAATTTTTAAAAATTATTTGTAGACAAGGTCTTGTTGTGTTGCCCAGGCTGGTCTCAAACTCTTGGGCTCAAGCAATCCTCCCGCCTCAGCCTCCCAAAATGCTGAGATTACAGGTGTGAGCTTTGTTTGCTTAAAACAAGCATTATGGGCTGGGCGTTATGGCTCATGCCTGTAATCCCACACTTTGGGAGGCCAAGGTGGGTAGATCGCTTGAAGTCAGGAGTTCAAGGGCAGCCTGTGCAACATGGTAAAATCCCGTCTCTACTAAAAATACAAAACAAAAAAAAAAGTAGCCCAGCCCCAGTGTGGTGGCACAAGCTTGTAGTCTCAGCTGCTTGGGAGACTGAGGTGGGATGATTGCCCGAGCCTGGGAAGTCAAGGCTGCAGTGAGCTGTGATTGTGGCATTGCACTCCAGCCAGGACGACTTGAGTGAGACCCTGTCTCAAACAAAAAAAGCATTATGGCCAGGTGCAGTGGCTCACACCTGTAATCCCAGGGCTTTGGAAGGACAAGGCAAGAGGATTGCTTGAAGCTAGGAGCTCAAGACCAGCCTGGGTAACAGCAAGACCCTGTCTTTACAAAAAAATTTTTGAAAAGTTAGCCGGGCATGGTGGCTGTAATCCCAGCACTTTGGGAAGCTGAGACAGGAGGATCTCTTGAGCCCAGGAGTTGGAGATTATGCAGAGCTGTGATAGAGCCACTACACTCCAGCCTGGGTGACAGAGTGAGACCCTGTCGCTAAAATTAAAAACAAACAAAAAAAGCATTAGAATATCTCTTGCTGGGATATCATGTGTGATAAATTTTCTAATATACAGGGTGAGGATTTCGATAATACTCTCTTGCCAGTGAGGAGAAACACAAGGAGTAAGTCCCAGAATAATGTAAAAAGGTATAGTAATTAATAGTAGCTAACATTTATGGGCACGTACAACACATCAGGAACTGCGCTCAGTATTTCACACATGGTATTTGTTCAGTGTCATTCAGTCCCTGGGTGCCAGAATTAAAAGAACAGTATTCAGAGCATGGGTTCTGGAGCCAGATGGGCCTGAGTTTAAGGCTCTTTGCTGCCACTCCCTAATTGTGTGGACCTGGACTAGTTACTTACCCTCTCTAACCTCAGTTTCCCCAGCTATAAAATAGGGTTAATAGAACATTTACATCACCAGATTGTTTTGAGGATTAAATAAATTGCTGTGAGTTAGTACTTTGCATGGTGTCTGGCCCATGGTAAGTGTCCCATAAATGTGAGTTTAGAAGGATAATTTAGTTTTGGATTAAAGATTTTGATGTTAGGGAATTTTCTGTCTTTAATCTTGCATATATGTAATCATTTGCCCAACCAGTCATTTCATATGGGAGGAAGTCATGACCCAGATTGGTTTTGGGGTTGGGGAGAAGCAGGTTAGGAGCTGCAGATCTTCATGCTGTGGCCCAGTGCTCTGTTTGTCTGACTTGTTACTTGCAAAAAGAGGACTACAAGGTAGAGGTCTGCAAACATCATCTATAAAGGGCCAAATAGTAAATACTTTAGGCTTCGTAGGCCACACGTTGCTCTTTTGCAGCTACTCAACTCTGCCATGGTATAATGTGAAAGCAGCCACAGACAAAGAACAAATGAATGCTGTGCTCCAATAAATCTTTATTCATGGACACTGCATTTGAATTTCAGATCATTTTCATGTATCTTGAAATACTATTTTTCATTTTTCTCTCATCTGTTTAAACATGTAAAACCATTCTTAGCTTAAAGGTCATACAAAAACAAGCATTGCCTTCATGGACGAGCCTTTGGACTGATCTTGCCTTTTGCGGAGGTGGCATGATCAGGGTAACTTTTTTTTTTTAATTTCAAGGACAGAGATCATTTTCTTCCATTTTTCCCAAGGTCTCCTCAGACTGACATTGGAAGCAGTTTGTCCTGAGATGAAGGGTTTTTAGGAACCATTGCTTTCTTTCTCTGTTTTTTACCCAGTGAAGACAGTTGGCAAAGAGCTTGTCAGTTGAAATTTCAAACCCCGCTCTCTGGGATTTTTATGTTATATGATGGAGACTAAATAAAATTAACTAGTAGGTATGGCCCATCAAGATGTAAAAGTAAACCAAGTTTGCTGAAAGGCACTGAAAAGTATAAGCAAAGAAAAAATGGATTAGAAAGGCACACTGTTAATAAACAGAACGCTCTTGTCAGAAAACACTCAGGCTACTGTTTTTAAAGAGTCCGCTATTCCTGCAGCTGAAATCAAGACATGTTTCAAATTCTTTAGGTTTTTTCTGTTTCTTTTTTGGATTGGATAGGGGAAGTGGTGGGGAAGAGGTGGTGTTAGAGAGAGGAGGGATGGAAATGTCATGTTCAGAGTTGTTGCTGTTAGTTTTTTCTTTAAAGGTATATGTGCAAACAATTAATTGAACTTGATTTAATTAATCCAAGAGTATAAGTAGGCAGGAAGAAACTTACTCATTACATTGGAAACTATTGGACATTGTTATACTCACAGTATGACTTTCTTTCCAAGGATTATAGCCTCTCTTTTTATTTTCAAGAGCAGTGGGCTTTTAGGCTGGGCTCAGTGGCTCATGCCTGTAATCCCAGCACTTTGAGAGGCTGAGGCAGGCGGATCACCTGAAGTCAGGAGTTCAAGATCAGCCTGGCCAACGTGGTGAAACTCCGTCTCTACTAAAAATACACAAATTAGCTGGACATGGTGGTGGGGGCCTGTAATCCCAGCTACTTGGGAGGCTGAGGCAGGAGAATTGCTTGAACCTGGAAGGTGGAGGTTGCAGTGAGTTGAGGTCGTGCCATTGCACTCCAGCTTGGGCAACAAGAGTGAAATTCCATCTCGAAAAAAAAAAAAAAAAAAAGCAGTGGGTGCCGGGCGTGGTGGCTCACACCTGTAATCCCAGCACTTTGGGAGGCCGGGGCGGGCGGATCACAAGGTCAAGAGATCAAGACCATCCTGGCCAACATGGTGAAACCCCGTCTCTACTAAAAATACAAAAATTAGCTGGGTGTGGTGTTGCATGCCTGTAATCCCAGCTACTTGGGAGGCTGAGGTAGGAGAATCACTTGAACCTGGGACGCGGAGGTTGCAGTGAGCCCAGATTATGCCACTGCACTCCAGCATTGCGACAGAGCAAGACTCTGTCTCGGAAAAAAAAAAGAAAAAGAAAAAGAAAAAAAAAGAAAAAAAAAAAAAAGCAGTGGGCTTTTGTGGAATGACGCCAATAGAGATCTGGGCCAGGAGGCCTGTTCTGAGCTAATCACCTCATTTATGGGTGTTGGAATCCACAAAGCCAGAGGTTGAGGGGGAGCCTGTGTTGGCCCAACAGAGTACAGCTGTTTTCTGTCACCCCAAGAATAAAAAATGATGGCCTTAACTCTTGGATACCATCCCACGGACTCCCCCTGTTTTGTTTTTCAACAGAAAACATCCTGTTTCATCATGCATATTTAGTAGAATAATTCAAATATGCCTCATAGAAATAATTAATACTTTTTCTTACCCCGAGAGTAGCCAGAGATGATGACACTATTTTTTAGTACCCACGGGGTATAAATTAAGAAGATTAATGCTCCCTGCATGTTCTTAGACAGATGTGAGAAAGATATATGTATAAAGTATTATTTTCCATGATTCTCTCTTGATCAAATAATTCTCTTCCTCTTCTTTCATTTTGAGAGCTCTAAGATTGCTTGCAATTATCTGCTTTTGGGGGAAATGGGAGAATATTGTTTTTTATATACTTGCTGAGATCCACAAAGTAGGAAAATATTCTTTATAGAGTCCTGTAACAATTCCTAATTTTATCAGATAGTCTGGAGCAATGGCTCCCAAACATTTTTTGACCTTGAACTTCAGTAAGATATGTATTTTTCTTGATAACCCAGAACATAAAAATACACACATACATGACCAGAGGGGAACACAGAAGTTCGCTTTAGACTCAAATTTTTTCCAAAATCTACCATTAAGCTTTGGATAACTGGCCAAATGGTGGAATGCCAACTTTATTTGGCACACCAAGACTTCTGCTTGAGCAAGGATTATAGAGTGCATCGGTAACCCTCATGCCTCATCACTTTAGCAGCATCAGTAATGCAAACAAGGCATGACATATGGATTTACTGTTACCTTAATATTCACTTTGAAGGTTGGGCCTGGTGGCTCATACCTGTAATCCCTACACTTTGGGAGGCCGAGGTGGGAGGATTGCTTGAAGCCACGAGTTTGAGATCAGCCTGGGCAACATGACTCCCGTCTCTACAAAAAATGAGCTGGGTGTGGTGGTGCATACCTGTAATCCCAGCTACTTAGGAGGCTGAGGCAGGAGGATCTCTTGAGCCTGAGAGGTTGAAGCTGCAGTGAGCTATGATTGCACCACTGTACTCCAACCTGGGTGACAGTGAGACCCTGTCTCTCAAATAAATAAATAAATAAATTAATTAATTAATCAAAGAAAAAAGAAAAAGAAAAAATTTGCTTTGGAAACAAGTAATTTCTCTAAATGTAACAGTTACAATGTGTGCCTTTCTGATTTGCCTTTTGTGGAGGTGGCATGACCAGGGTAACTTTTTTTTTTAATTCCTAGGACTGAAATCATTTTCTTCAATTTTTCCCCAAGAAAATTTTCAATATTAATATATTGAAATTCTCTCAGTTGAATGTATAAATGATTATTCATTGTTGGAGGAGTAAATTATTTTAATAATTAATGATGATAATGAGTCCGAATTTTAAGTATGAAAATTATTATATAAAGAGTAAAAATTACAGGCATAGATTGAGAATTAATGTTGAGAGAGTGTGATTGCTAGTAATTCTGGGGAATCCATTGTATTCTTTGTGGGACTACTTTCAGTGACATTATATCATCATCATTAAGCAAATATTCAGGCCCAGGAGATGAAGAGATTAAGTCTTGACCTCAGTTGGTTCCTATCAGGGAGGAAGGATAGCTTACTAATGTGCTGGCAGCGTCACTTCCGGCAGCAGTGACTCTGGCAGAGCTAGCGCAAGAACATCTTGCTTTTTCTACAGACCTTGTTTTAGAGAGAGGATTTGTTTAGTTTTACAGAAGTCCCATCAGGCTGCAGTTAACAGTACCAAGGAATTACCATTTCTGCCCTTTTATATCAAACTTTTAAAGTGAGTCTACCGGAATTTTAGTAATAAGAGTGTAATTTTAATTATTTTTTTGGATAAAATCTCAGGTTTATTCTTTTTTTTTTTTTTTTGGGTGGAGTCTCACTCTCTTGCCCAGGCTAGAGTGCAATCTTGGCTCACTGCAGCCTCCACCTGCTGTGTTCAAGAGATTCTCCTGCCTCAGCCTCCCAACTAGCTGGGATTACAGGTGCCCGCCAACACGCCCGGCTAGTTTTTGTATTTTTAGTAGAGATGAGGTTTCACCGTGTCGGCCAGCTGTTCTCCAACTCCTGATCTCAAGTGATCTGCCCGCCTCCACCTCCCAAAGTGCTGGGATTACAGGCATGAGCCGCCATGCCCGGCCAGGTTTCAGATTTATTCTTGTATCCCAGTAGTTCATTCTGTTAAAGCCACATTTGGCTTTGGCAAATATTAATTTTAGCATTTGGTCATTTGGCATTAGGCCAAAAAATGTGTATTTGGTAAATTTATTAATTAAATATCCATCTACCTGTCCATGCCCAATAAGACAAAATTTCACAAAACTGTAATTTCTTCTATTATGTATAGTGTACACTGGTCTTTCTGACCCATTTAATTTTCTTAAAGTCAACTAAATTAGTTTCTCAATCTACTAATAGGTCATGACCTTCAGTTTAAAAGTGTTGAGGTGACTCACTGTGTTCTGGGATTAGTGAAACAGTGAGGAGGGGTTATTTTTGTATGCAATATTTTCTTCCTACGGAAGATGACCGGAAGGGATTTCTAGTTATGTTCCACTCCCAAAAATGCAACTTAAGGTCTCAAGGCATGTTAAGACTAGTAACAATGAATTAATGCTACCACCAAACAATTTTCTATAGTGGCTGTACTAATTTATGCTCCCACTAGCAGTATCTGGGAATTCTATTTGTTCTATAATGCTTAGCAATGCTGGTATTGTTTTTAAATTAATAGACTATTTTTTTTAGAGCAGTTTTAGTTTTACAGCAAAATTGAGTGGAAGGTACAGAGATTTCTCATATACCCCTGCTGCCACACATGTGTAGCCCCTCCATTATCAACATCCCTCACCAGATACAGCATTCTTAAAAAGACATTTGTTAGAATTGATGAATCTTCATTGATGCATCAATGCATCATCATCATCCAGAATCCATAGTTTATGTTAGGGTTTGCTCTTGTTGATGTGGTTTCCATGGGTTTGGACAAATGCGTAATGGCAGTGATACTCTAATAAACCATTAGAGTATCATACAGAGTCGTTTCACTGCCCTAAACATCCACTGTACACTGCCTTTTCAACTGTACCTCCCCCAACCCTTGACAACCACTGATCTTTTTACTGTTTCCATAGTTTTGCCTTTTCCAGAATGTCATATAGTTGGAATCATGTAGTACATAGCCTTTTCATGTTGACTTTTCACTTAGTAATACGCATTTTAGTTTCCTCCATGTCTTTTCATGGCTTGATAGCTCATTTCTCTTTAGTGCTGAATAATATCCCATTGTCTGAATACACCACAGTTGATTTATCCCATTGTCAGTATTTTTCACTTTAGCCATCAGAGTGAGTATGTAGTAGTTATCATAGCCATTGTAAGTGAAGCCCATCTAAGTGTCTCACACTTCTTAACATTCTTAAAAAGACATAAGTGAAATAGTCTATCTATTACAGATGGCCAGGGGCTGATATTTTAAATAGTCATTCCTCTTGCTGTTTATCGTATATCTGTGTATCTGTCTCTTATAGTGAGCAGTTTCTTTCTTTTTTTTTTTTTGAGACAAGATTTCACTCTGTCATCCAGGCTGGAGTGCAGTGGTGCAGTCATGGCTCACTGCAGCCTTGACCTCCTGGGTTCAAGTAGTCCTCCCACTTCAGCCTCCTGAATAGCTGGGACTATGGGTGTGTACCAACCGCAACCACACCTGGCTAATTTTTAAATTTTTTTTGTAGAGCTGGGGTCTCATTGTGTTGCCCATGCTGGTCTTGAACTCTTGGGCTCAAGCAGTCCTCCACTTTGGCCTCCCAAAGTGCTGGGATTACAGGTGTGAGCCACCGTGCCCGGCCCCAATCCCTTTTTAATGATATCTGAGTGGCTTTCTTTAGAGGCTTCTCCAGTTTTTCACCAACAGGAAATAAAATAGATTAGAAATTCTTTGCTCAAATTTGTAAGCCCCAGGCCCGCCTAAGTGCTGTTTCAGGGCCTCAAAAATGAGCTGACACATACTCTGTTTGCATAACTTAGAGCAGAAATTTCACCTAGTTACCCTTTGCCTGTAGAATATCCTGTTGCAGAACCCTTCTCTCTGCCTTTGCCCTGCCTCTACCACTATGAACAGGGATTCATTTATGGAAGTCTAGGGTCATCCCAACTCCAGAGGAAAATACAGTGTTTGGCTGATGACTAATGGACTCACCCTTCTCTTCAGGGACTGGGTGGGGTTGGACAGAACAGAGAAGGGTGGGACTGGCAAGGTGAGGAGCCAGTGAAGTGAGCCAGCAGGTGCACCGCTGCTGCTGCTGTGCTGATCTTGCTTACGTGAAGAGACCAGCCCTGCTTAGATCCTTAGTGCTAATACGTGCAGGTTCATGCAAGGTTCACCTAAAGCCTCAGACAAAAGATTGGGCCTCGTTTTAACCTTAACTCAGTTGAATTCCAGGGTAATTTCAGGTTATTTATATAGTCTTCTGAGCTCCATTTTTCCTCTTTGTTATATGTCACTAGACTTTGATGAGACAATGATCAAGCTTGAGGGAGCCCGAGGAAAGCATCTAACTTAGCCTCCTTGCATACACAAGAACAAGTAAACTTGGAATTGATCAGTACTTCCTCTTGGTGATCTATTAAGATGTTTACTGCTTTTTTTTTTTTTTTTTTTTTTTTTTTTTTGAGGCGGAGTTTCTCCCTGTTCCCCAGGTTGGAGTACAATGGTGTGATCTCGGCTCACTACCACCTCCGCCTCCTGGGTTTAAGCGATTCTCCTGCCTCAGCCTCCTGAGTAGCTGGGATTACAGGTGTGTGCCACCACGCCCAGCTAATTTTTTGTATCTTTAGTAGAGGTGGGGTTTCACCAAGTTAGCCAGGCTGGTCTGGAACTCCTGACCTTGTGATCTGCCCACCTCAGCCTGGCTGGGATTACAGGCATGAGCCACCGCACTCAGCCTACTGCTTTTTTTTTTTTTTTAAGGATGTTTGCAGGGAAGATAATATGAAACACAGAGTACTCTAATTTCTTCCCCTTGATACTCTGTAAATGTATAGACCTATAGAACATTGCTCAAAATTGAAATAAATATGATGTAAAATGATCAATTAATTCAGTATTATTATTATTGTTTTCTCGACAAGAACAGTATCCAGGGTTGTTAAACAGTAATCATAAAAGTCATCTGTGTTTCTTCTTTATGCATTTCTTTCATATTCTGAGGCTATTTCTATTGCCTTCTTTCATTTCCATTTGACTCAATTTTGAGGATGGAATAAATTAATCCCAGAACTTTTATAATGTATGGATGAAAAGGGACAAGAGGCTAATGTCCCAACATTAAGCAATAAATAAGGTTGTGTATGTAAAAGTGTTTTCTACAACAGATAGAATATTCATTTGCATAATAGCCTAAGGAGTTGCCTGCTGTTCACTGTTTAGTATAAATCAAAATGCAAATAAATCTCCCACTTTCAGTTGTGAACATTTTAAGTAATATGATCATGAAAGATACAATTACAAAAATCAGTGGTTTAGTCACATCCACATATTTGTTTTCAGGTTCTGTAATTTTTGTTGAATTTCACCTAAACCCATTTAGTTCGCATGGGATCTTGTTTCCAAAATTAGCCATAACACATCTCATCGCTGCCTTCCCTCAAAGGAACAAGAAAGTTCTATCGTTATTGATTTTGGTCACAAGTGGACTGCTTCCTTGTATAACTTCTCTTTGGAAAGTTCGAAGTAATCAAGATAACTAATCTCTGCTCTCAGAGAGACAATCTAGTCAGCAGAAAATACTGTATTTCTCCTGGCAGCTCCTCCTTCCGCTTGGTGTTTCCTTTCTTCAGTCTATATGAGTGAAAAACAAACTCCAGACCCAAAAAATTTCTACTTTTGTGTGTGCCTATTAAGCCCCTCCTAGTAGAGCAGGAGAGATGTGGCCCTGGAATTCTGATGGTGAAAAGAGTGTTTTCTGGTAACAGGGATCTGAGCTGCTCTTCTATATTAAGATGTTTAGAAGAATGATTCCTCCTCCCAATCCCAAATCACACTGTTACTGTTTTCGTTGATTATAAAGGTAATACACACTTGGCGTAATGAATGTAAACAGTAAATGTCAAGTAGAATATGATGCCCCCGCAATTGGTGCTCTCATTCAATGGCTGTGTGTGTTTTGTTGACATAAACAGGATGGTACTTGCCTACTGTTATAAACCTGCTTTTTTGTGTGTAGATTATATTCTATGTCAGTGTCTGTGGTTCTGTCTGCAATATTCTTTTTTTTTTTTCTGTCTCTTTTTTTTTTGATACAGAGTCTTGCTCTCTCGCCCAAGCTGGAGTGCAGTGGTGCAATCTTGGCTCACTGCAACCTCCGCCTTCTGGGTTCAAGCCATCCTCCCACCTCAGCCTCCCCAGTAACTGGTACTACAAGTGCATGTCATCATGCCTGGCTAATTTTTGTATTTCTTGTAGAGATGGGGTTTTGCTATGTTGTCCAGGCTGGGCAACCCTTTTTGTTAATGGACAAGTAAAAATTGTATACATTATGGTGTACAACATGATGTTTTGATAGCATACATTGTGGAATGACTAAATCAAGCTAATTAACATGTGTTACCTTACATTATATTTTTGTGGTGAGAACACTTCAAATCTACTCTCAGCATTTTCAAGTACATAATACATTGTTATTAACTGTAGTCACCGTGATGTACAATAGATCTCTTGAACTTGTTCCTGCTGTCTAACAGAAATTTGTGTTCTTTAACCAGCATCCCCCCAAGTCTCCCTACCCGCCAGCCTCTGGCAACCACTATATTACTGTCTGTTTCTATGAGTTCAACATTTTTAGATCCCACCTATGTGAGTGAAATCATGCAGTTTTTGTCTCTCCATGCCTGGCTAATTCACAAAACATAATGTTCTTCAGGTTCATTAATGTTGTCACAAATGACAGGATTTCTTTCTGTTTTAAGACTGAATAGTATTCTATTGTGTGTGTGTGTGTGTGTGTATGTATCACATTTTAAAAATTCATTCTGCCGTTGATGGACACTTAGGTTGATCTCCTATGTTGGCTATTGTGAATAATGTGCAGCATTCTGTTTAAGATGACTGTGTCTTGTGGACAAATCAGAGTGTATTTACATAATCCCCTTTTAATGGACATTAAGTCAATCCATTTTCTGATGTTCTAAACCTGCAACATGAGGGAAATTAACTAAAATAATATTAAAAATCAATTTATCAGTCACATGAACCATTCTTCTCGTGCCCAGAAGCTACATGTGACTAGCACAGATACAGAACTTTTCTATTATTGTGTGAAGTTATGTCAGACAGTACTGTTGTAAACTACTGGTTTCAGACTTTTAAATTTTTATTTAATATTAATTTTTTTTTTTTTTTTGAGACAGGGTCTCTCTCTGTCACCCAGGCTGGAGTGCAGTGGTGCAATCTCAGCTCACTGCAACCTCCACCTCCTGGGTTCAGGCAATTCTCATGACACCCACCTCTTGAGTAGCTGGGACTACAGGTGTGTGCCACCAAGCCTGGCTAATTTTTGTATTTTTAGTAGAGATGGGGTTTTGCCATGTTGGCCAGGCTGGGCTCGAACTCCTGGCCTCAAGCAGTCCACCTGCCTTGGCCTCCCAAAGTGCTGGGATTACAGGCATGAGCCACCATGCCTGGCCTCAGACTTTTTAAAATTCATGCTTCCATCTATTCCTTTCTTCATGCTTCATTCATTCCATAAATAATTAATTATTGAGTGCCTTGTATGTGCCAGGCACTGTGGTAGGCACTCGGGTGTCTCATTCATAAAACAACAAAAATACTTGTCTTCTTAATGCTTACAATTGATCCACAAAAGGTTTTTGAGTATTCAGTCTATATAAACGCATGTGGATTTATAAGTTGTATGTATATTATTCTATGGTGTTATATCATAAAACATGTTCAAATAGGAATAGAAAAGAATAAGAAAGATAAAAATGTAAATAATTTCTGAAGTAGTCTTCCCGTATCCCACCTTGGAGGCCACTGTTCTGCATTATTTTCTTGTCCTAGATAACCATCTTCTAGAACTAGAAGATAACATTCTTCTAGTGCTGCAACTGAGCTTTTATTTATTATTATTATATTATTTTGAGGCAGAGTCTTGCTCTGTTGCCCAGGCTGGAGTGTAGTGGCGTGATCTCAGCTCACTGCAACCTCCAACTCCTGGGTTCAGGCTATTCTCCTGCCTCAGCCTCCTGAGTAGCAAGGACTACAGGTGCACGCCATCATGCCCGGCAAATTTTTATCTTTAATAGAGATGGGGTTTCACCATGTTGGCCAGACTGGTCTCGAACACCTGACCTCAAGTGATCCACTTGTCTTGGCCTCCCAAAGCTTTTAAATAGCTATCAAATAGATAGTCCCTCTATTTTGATATCTGTTCTAAATCTATTTATTTTATTAAAAGAGGACCCCCCCTTTTTTTGTTTTTTTTTTGTTTTTTGTTTTTTTTTGCTATCTATAGGCTTTTTTCCTATACTGTTTGGGTTTGTTAATTTACTTATTTACAGCTGGCCTTCTGTATCCACTGGTTCCACATCTACAGATTCAACCAACTGTGAATCAAATATATTCAGGAAAAATACTAAAAAATAACAATATTGTTCAGGCATGGTGGCTCATGCCTGTAATCCCAGCACTTTGGGAGTCTCAGGCAGGCAGATCGCTTGAAGTCAGGAGTTGGAGACCAGCCTGGCCAACATGGCGAAACCCCATCTCTACTAAAAATATAAAAATTAGCTGGGTATGGTGGCAGGTGCCCGTAGTCCCAGTCACTCTGGAGGCTGAGGCAGGAGAATCTCTTGAACCTGGGAGGTGGAGGTTCCAGTGAGCTGAGATTGTGCCACTGCACTCCAGCCTGGGCGAAAGAGTGAGAATCTGTTTCAAATAATAATAATTATTATTATAATAATACAATAATACAAATAAAAATTACAATATAACTATTTACATAGTATGTACATTGCATTAAGTATAATAAGTAATCTAAAGATGATTTCAAGTATATGGGAGGATGTATATATGTGCAAATACTATGCCATTTTATATAAAGGTCTTGAACATCCATGGATTTTGGTATCCATCGTGGTTCTAGAACCGGTGCCCTTGGATACTGAGGGATGATTATACTCATTTAGCAAACATTTATTAAGTTCTACTATGTACCAGTTAGGTGCTGGGAAATTGACCAAGTTAGAGTTCCTGCCCTCAAATGAGACAGGTAGCAAATCAGTGATTATAGTCCGGAGTGTCATGGAAATGCAGTCTACGAAGAGAGAAAGGAGGAAGTATTGTTTGGCAGGAAGGAGGACAACTCAGGCATGTGACCTTGTTGCCTCTTTTCTGTTTTGGGACTTAATGGAATCATAGGTTTCTCCAATGGGTCCTTTTTTTTTTTTTTTTTTTCCTCCGTGGTATTTTCTTTTCTTTTGGAATATATAGAATTCCAACCCACTGATTTAAGAATATTAAACCAGTGTAGATTATCACATTAAGGATTTGTTTATGTTAAGATGGTCATGTTTATATTTTTAAACTTAGATCTCAGGGTTGGAAGGACTCTGTATAGGACAGAACCTAAGCACAAATAATTATGTAGCTCCTTGCTGTTAGAAGGAAGCAAAGTCATTTTTCAGAGGTGTGTGTCTGTTCTTACATTCACTTAAGAAATATTAAAAAATATCTCCTATGTGGAAAAGGCACTCAATTCTGAAATACCATTCTCCCACAGGCTTTTTTTTTCTTGGATAGAGATATTTCAGTCAGTGTTTTTATAATGACAGTAGTTGCTGCTGCTACTTATATATTTTTCTATGTAGTCACATTGATATATAATGATATGTTTTTAAAATTTATTTTATGATTGACAGATAATTGTACATATTCATGGGCTACATAGTGATGTTTTAATACATATAATGTATAGTGATCAGATCAGGATAATTAGCATTTCATCATCTTAAACATTTATCATTTCTTTGTATTGGGAAATTTAATATCTTCCTGCTAGCTGTTTGAACTATATAATAATTGTTAGCTATGGCCATCTTATGGTGGTATAGAACACTGGAACTTATTCGTCCTATCTAGGTGTGATTTTGTATCCTTTAGGAAATCTCTCCCTGTCCTTCCTTTCTCTCTACCCTTTCCAGCCTCTAGTATCCTCTGTTCTACTTGATCACATGGGTTTTTAATTAGGGAATTCTGAAGGATATAATGGATAATGCTATTAAGAGCAAATTCAGGAATGAAAAATTCAGTTGTTGTTTTTTCTTCCTTTTTTAGGGCAAGTTAAAGTCTTCAGAGCCCTGTATACGTTTGAACCCAGAACTGTAAGTGTTCAGTTTTTAACTTCTAAAATTGACAGAAAAACCTAAGATGATTTTATTTAGACATTTCCTCTGGTGTGAATGGTCTGCCTTTTCTTTGATAGACCTAGGTAATTCTCAGGAATGGATGTTGGGTCCAGAGCTGTGCAAGTTAAGTCCCAGGCTGATTTGCATGTCTTCTGCATCTTGAGGTCATGTCTGTCTTGTAAAGCTTCTCCCTACATGGTGACACCACCTGCTTTCAAATTGACAAGTGACTTGCATATAAAGCACAGCGACCCTGTCTTAGTCATCTTTCTTCTGAATTTCATACTAACCTTCCTTCATTCTCCTCTTGACCCTCTACCTCAAAATAGCTCATAATGATACCTACTGCTAACCTTCCAGAACAATTTTTTATTCCTCTGCAGTGTGCATTTTCCATTGTTGTAGTTTCCGGTATCCGTCCATTTATCTGTGGTTTATTAAGCGCCTATTATATGCCAGACACTGGTCCAGGCCTTGTGACTAGTGCAGGGACAACAGAAAGGATGGTCTCGTAGAGCTTGCATCCAGTGGAGAGAGACAGAGAGTAACAGACAAATGAATGTGACTGTCAGGGGCTAAGTACTCTGGAGAAAAATAAGGAGGGTTAGGAGCAAAGAAGTTAATGGAGAAAAGAGTGCTGTCTTCAATAGCATGTTCAGAGATGGCCTTTCTATAAAGGTGGCATCTGGGGAGAGACCTGAAGGAAGTGAGGGAGCAACAAGTGCAAGCAGCATCTTTGGTGGATGCTAGAATAGAAAAAGCAGGGAAGACAGCATGGCTTGGAAAGTTGCAAACATGGGAGAGGGTAGTGGGAGACTACTTCCGAGAGTTGGGGTGGACTGGAAGGGCAGAGCATTTAGGGCCTGTGGATCTCATTTGGATTTTGCTCTGGGTAAGATTGGAGGTGAGTAGATGGTTTTGATACAGGAGTGACTAGACGGTGAAGCAGGGAGTCGAGACAGTTAGGAAGGAAAGGAAAGAAACCAAGAAGATTTCTTGGGGAGAAGGGGTGTATGAGTCTGTTTTCACTCTGCTGATAAAGACATACCTGAGACTGGGTAATGTATAGAGAAAAAGAGGATTATCGGACTCACAGTCATGGCGGAAGGCGAAAGGCATGTCTTACATGGCAGCAGACAAGAGAGAATGAGAACCAAGTGAAAGGGGAAACCCCTTATAAAATCAACACATCTTGTGAGACTTATTCACTACCACGAGAACAATATGGGGGAAATTGCTCCCATGATTCAATTATCTCCCACCAGGTGCCTCCCACAACACATGGGGATTATGGGACCTACAATTCAAGGTGAGATTTGGGTGGGGACACAGCAAAACCATATCAAGGGGAAACCTGCTATCATTGACTTTTCTCTCATATATGCTAGGGACCAGAGCTTTCTCTCTGTGGGCAGTCAGCTTGCTGCCCGCTTCACCTGGGTTTGCCCCAGACCCTGCTGTCCCCAAAGTTAGAGGCAACTCAGAAGGTCACACAGAACAAGTGACACTGAGCATCAGTTCACTGCCATCAGGCCAGGGCCTGCCTTCAAATCCCAAATCTGTCTTTTACTTACTGCGTGAATTTTCTTACCTCACTGCCATTGATTCCTCATGTGAAAGTGGGGATACCATTCTGCAGTGGAACCATGCTGTGAGCATGGAGTGGGGTGAATATTGAAGGCCTACCACATGGTGAGCACCAAAAAATAGTAGCCACTAATAGACTAACATGGGGGTGTGCATATTCAGACAGTTCTCCCAAGACTTTGTCCATGAAATGTTTCTGGAGCAAGAAAGGTAGGGTTTTTATTCTTCTCACCAAGAGATTCCACTGACAACTCTCCTGTGTTGGTGAGGGATTGGGAATGGGTAGAGTTAGTTTACTGAGCCTGCTATAACAAAGTTCTACAGACTGGGTGATTTAACCAAAAGAAGTTTATTTTCTCACAATTCCAGGAGCTAGAAGACTGAGATCAAGGTGTCGGCAGGATTGGTTTCTTCTGAGGCCTTGCTTCTTGGCTTGTAGATGTCAGACTTCTCTCCATGTCTTCTTATGGTCTTTCCTCTGAATGTCTGTGTTTTCATTTCCTCTTCTTATAAAGATGTGAGTCGCTGGGCACGGTGGCTCACGCCTGTAATCCCAGCACTTTGGGAGGCTGAGGCGGGTGGATCACGAGGTCAGAAGATCGAGGCCATCCTGGCCAACATGGTGAAACCCATCTCTACTAAAAATACGAAAATTAGCTGGGTGTGGTGGTGTGCACCTGTAACCCCAGCTACTCGGGAGACCGAGGCAGGAGAATCACTTGAACCCAGGTGGCAGAGATTGCAGTGAGCTGAGATTGCGCCACTGCACTCCAGCCTGGCGACAGAGTGAGACTCCGTCTTAATAAAAAAAAAAAAAGATATGAGTCATTGGATTAGGGCTCACCCTAAAGACCTCATTTTAACTTAGTTAACTCTAAAGTCCTTATCTCCAAATACAGTCATATATGGAAGTACAGATGCTCTTCAACTTATGATGAACCCAATAAACTCATTGTAAGACAAAAAAATCCATAAGTCAAAAATGCATTTAATACCCCCATAAGCCCATCGTAAAGTTGACAAATTGTTAAGTTGGATCATCGTATGTCAGGGGCATCTGTACTGGGGGTTTGGACTCTAACGTAAGAATTTGAGGTAGGGAGAGGGCACAAAGAGCCCATAACAGGGAAGTGTGAGGCCCAGGGCTGTTGTCTTTAAGCCCTGCTCACGGGGAGCGCTGTCATTTTATGCCTCTGCTTGTCCTTATCAGTTGTGTCCTGATTGGTTGCATGACCCTGAGAGGGATAAAAGTGAGGGAGGTGAGGGGTGGTTAGGTGCCAGCCTGGGCCACTCAATGAATAGACCATTCTCTGCTGCCTCCTCGAATCTAGAATGGGACTTGCATTTACTTTGTTTTGAGACTGGAGGTGACTCTTGACTCTATCTCCTCTCTTCGTATGCTTCGTTGTCTTCGCCTTTGTCCTTTCTCACCGACCTCTTCCTTCCCCTTTGCTTCCTCATGACCTGGTTATGCCTTTCCTCACTGCCTACAGACTTAGCTCCTCCATTCCATCTGTCGTCTGAGCTAGATTGGCATTCCTCAAAGGTGGCTTTGCTTCCACCAACTGCTTCAACCTTTTATTTGACTAAAGATGTCATCCTATATAGTCCAGCCCCTATTCCAGCCCCGCTGTGCTCTGCTCCTTCCTGTTCTTGAACTATCCCATCTAGATGTGACTCACAGTAGAACCTATCTCTCAACCCTTTCTAGACCCATGGCCCTGTCCCTTCCAAGCTGACATTAAATACTTCCTCTTCTGTAAAGACTTTTCTGACCACTCCAGCTGGAGGTGGACTGCCTCTCCTGCCTCTGAACTTCCACACGTGGTATTTCAGTCCTGCTCATAGACACAGCGTCTGAGGAAGCAGGGTAGCACTGGGTTCAGAGCCCGCACTAGGGTTCAGGACCAGCTCCACTTCTTGAGCAGCTGTGTGACCTTGAGGAAATTACTGAACCTCTCTGTCACAGTGTTCTCATCTGTAAAGTGAGGATAATAATAGTCCCACCAGGTTTTAGTGAGAATTAAATGAGATTAATTGCCTAAAGCTGCTTTTACTATTAAGGAGTAATTGTTACTATCGAAGGAATAGTGGTTGCTATATTAATAGACATTTAACAGATATTTTTGATGGGTTGTGTATTGATTTATTTACTTCCAATTCTACTCTAAGATGGAGTTTCTCCACTGCTTTTAAAAAAATCTTAGTTATTATTGAATATACAGGAGAATATACATTTAATTCTTTAGGCTTTAAAAAATATTCTATATTTAAAATGTTGTATTTTTAATATTTTTAGTCCCAAGGATTATAGGCTACAGTCAGTAATGACCACTTCAAGCCCTGTTGCCTCTATATTTCTCCCCTGTTCAGCTCCGTTCAATTCAGGTATGAAGGGGGTAGCATCTGGTACAGCAGGTAGCCTCTAGCTCCCACAGACCTTCCTGACTGGTTAAGTGCCATGCCATACCCATTGTTAAATTTTGAATCTCATTCCAGAACTAGGTTAGTCTTATCTTCTTTTTCTGAATGAGAATTTCTGTTGGAAGCTGTTTGGTCTCTCTCTCTCCCCTCTGACCAGCAGCCATCTTCTCTGGAGGGATAGATACACCACAGCATATCCTAAGCTGACCTGGCCTCCTCGAAATCACTGGGACCAGGCAATATTGAAAGGCTGAGGTGGGCTCTGAGGGACATTGCTGGCATGTGCAGCTCCCCAGGCAGGCCTGGGTCCAGTTTTAAGCTCCTGTTCCCCCTCAGGAGATGGGGACAGCAATGCGCAACCCCAGTCTTGGGGATCCATTGAACAGGAAGAACGCTAGGTAGCTCCTGGTTCTTCCTGCCAACCCATTTCTCATTTGTCTTGCTTAAAGGCAAGGGTGTCTTGGCACCACCCAGCCCCATTTGGTTCTTTTTTCTCACCCAGCTCCTTTTAATAAAGTGTCAACCACGGACCTGGCTGGACTGAATTGACGAGTGTCAAGACAGACTGATGAGGAGGGAACAGAATTTCCTGTGTTAAGAGGAGCATTGATTTCCAAAGGGAAACCAGCAGGACCCTGCTCTGTCATGTAAAGGTTGCTGGGCTGCACTAGGTTAATAGAGCCACGTGTAGAGGAAGGAGACTGGGAATCTAAGAGCTGAGATAGGAGCCCAGCCCTGCCACTCACTCTGATTTGTAGAGAGTTTTTAACTTCTCTAAGCCTGGTTGTGAAATAGAGATTATATCCATGACCCATCCAAGCCTAGTGAGTTGTGAGGACCAAATGAGGTCAAGTATACTTTGCAAGTAAAATATGCTGCCATTGGTTTTGTTATACTGTACTATAGGGGTAGGGCAGTTGGGAGTGTATACAGACAGATATTTTCCAAGGTGGCCAGCTGTTAATCTGGTCATGACACCATGATGGCCAATAATGGCTGTGTGTGATGCCTTTTGTATGAGAGAAAGCACAGGTGGTGGGTAAGAGCAGGGACTTCGTAATCTGACTTATAGTTCAAGTCCAGGTTCTACCATGTACCTGCTCTATGGCCTTGGAGAGGTTTCTCATCTGTAACATGATGATAAGAATAGCACCCACTTCATAGTGTTCTTGGTGAGGAACAAATTAGTTAATATTTCTGAATGCCCAGACCAGTACGTGGCACATAATATATACTATAAAGTGTTGAATAAAAACATCTGTGGAGAATTTGTTTTCTCTTTTTATTAATTTTGGGGGCTTCAGACTGACAAATCTTAAAAATTTCAAAAGTATATCAGTTTTTCTAAACTTTTCATAAAATATATTTGCATAAACCAACAAAATTAATGCCTTGGGAATTATATGTTACCAAGAATATATGGAATGGGAATATATGTTACCAAGTGTGTACTCTTTGCTGTAACATCCCAGTGGACAACAGCCTACTTATTCTGATACCTTGCTGTTCTTCAAGGAGAGAGGAAAGGAGGAATGTAGTTAAAAAACAAAGAAAGGCCGGGCGCAGTGGCTCACGCCTGTAATCCCAGCACTCTGGGAGGCCGAGGCGGGTGGATCACGAGGTCAGGAGATCGAGACCATCCTGGCTAACACGGTGAAACCCCGTCTCTACTAAAAATACAAAAAAATCAGCCGGGCGAGGTGGCAGGCACCTGTAGTCCCAGCTACTCCGGAGGCTGAGGCAGGAGAATGGCGTGAACCCTTGGGGGGCGGAGCCTGCAGAGAGCCGAGATCGTGCCACTGCACTCCAACCTGGGCGACAGTGAGACTCCGTCTCAAAAAAACAAAAAAACAAAAAACAAAAAACAAAGAAAAGCTGGAAACAGAGAAGTGCATACTTCATTATGTTATTGTTTTCCCATTTCTGTTCCCTAACTGTGATGCTGGGAATTTAAAAGTAGGTGCTCATTGAACAATTTAGATCAGGTATCCTGCTAGTGGTTTCTTAATGGAAAATGTGAATATTGCAGGTGAAATCTGTTGTTAAAATAATGAAATTACCGTGTTGTATGTACTGCCACCAACACTGTGAAGAATTTGGTACTTAGCTAGATTAGGAAAACGTGTCCCTAGTTTCTTTAGAAGAAGACATTTTACGAGTAGTAGCATTCCGTGTCTGGGAGCTATGGATTAAAAGAGAATAAACTGTCGACTGTAATTTCTCGGGATGAAAAAATGAGGTCACTTTTTGCCTGACTGAAATGGACTGCCTGTTCTCATTGCCTCAGTTGAAAAACAAGTCTGACCTAATGGGTGGCTTGTGGCAGACACCACTATTGAACGGCAGCCATTAATTCAAAAACCGAAATAGCACTGAGAGGTGTCGAAGCGACTGGCACTTAGTGGTCTTTCTCAAATGATGCACTTTCCCAAACCACAGAGGACGAGAATTACTTGAAAGACATTAAGAGTTTTGACTATTTTGGGCTTTATTACTTTTTTTAAAAAATTGAGGTAAAATTCACATAACATAAAATGAACCATTTAAAAAATTTTTAATTCCTGTGAGTACATAGTAGGTGTATATATTCATGGGGCACATGAGATGTTTGGATACAGGCATGCAATGTGGAATCACATCATGGGATATTAAGTATCCAACCCCTCAAGCGTTTATCGTTTGTGTTACAAACAATCCAATTATACTCTTAGTTATTTAAAAATGTACCATTATTATTGACTATTAGCTATCCTGTTGTGCTATCAAATAATAGGTCTTATTATTTCTTTCTAAATTTTTTTTGTACCCATTAACCATCCCCGTCTCCCCCCAGGTTTGCCCATTACCCTTCCCAGCCTCTGGTAGCCATACGTCTGCTCTCTGTCCATGAATTCAATTGTTTTGATTTTTAGATCTCACAAATAAGTGAGAACATGCGATGTTTGTTTTTCTGTGCCTGGCTTATTTCCAAATTAACCATTTTAAAGTGAATCATTTGGTGGTGTTTAGTACATTCACAATTCATTACCTCTGTCTAGTTCTAAAACATTTTCATCATCCCACAGATCAACCCTGTACCCATTAAACAGTTACTCCCTATTCCCCCTGACTTTATTGCTTATTTTTATAAGAAAGACTCATTACCATGCTTGTGTGTGTTCTTTGTTTTTAAAAGCTATTTGTTTGGTACTTTTTCATAAAGTGTTTTGTTTGTTTAAAGGGTGAGTGATTTTATTAAATATGGAAATTTAGGGAGATTTGACTTTTGTGATTTTAGAAGGAGGGTCAAACTGTAGAGAAAGATGACTTCTTCACTTCTTGAAAGTACTGATTGAGGAGGATTTATTGTGAGACATAACTGAGTGAGATTAACTTTGGGAGATGTACTCAGTAAGAACAGCCCAGGACGGCTCATAGATGGGACAGACTTCTTCAAGGCATTGAACTCTTTCAAGTTCCAGGAAATGAAAAGTTCCTCCAGAAAAATGTTGCAGCCCACATATCCTATTTTCCTGACACTCTTCTTCTTCCTTCATTCTCCCCTCCCAGGCCTTAGCACCATCTAAAGGTGAGAGAGTCAGATGGTGTTAAAATTGCCAGCAAAGGCCAACCTTAATGTGGGCGGGAGGTTGGGGCAGAGGTGGCTGCTGAGTCCAGCTGGGATGCTGGCGTGCGGAGAGAATCATCTTTCTGGCCTCTCTGGGAGTGATCCAGTTTGTTTCAAATAAATACTAAAGGAAATAGTTTGTTTACCTAATCACTTTCTATATCTATCACATATTGGTAGTAATAGTGGTCATTGATCGATCATCAGAACATTTTTGAGGCAGGTTTGAGAGAATATTAGTGGTCATTAACTTCTTTTTTCCCAAATTCAAGCAACAAAAAAAGTAAAAACTTATTTCAAATAATATCAAAATGTGTATTACAAGGTCTAGTACATATAACTAATTTTCCATAGTTTGTGCTATGTGTAAGACTAGTCTGTGCAAATCAAAGTGTAAAAGCAATATATATTTCAGAAAGTTACCTTTTAAAGGACTTAGCCATTTGGGGGCATCAATAATCATCATTTGCTAATTTTTATATTTGAATGCATAATGCATCTAAGTATTTTCATGTATTATGGTTGCTTAAAGCATGTTATTGCTGATAATAGCCTTCATTTAGATTCATGGAGAAATAGTTATAATAAGAATGTAGATCAGCTTTAAAACTAAATAAATTGCTAGTGCAGAATCATATTTACTGCTCTAGTCTGCTACTGAGAGGAGGTAAACAAATGGAAAAATGAATGGATGAAATATTTTATTTTTAATTTCATTTTTTAAAAAAATTTTTTGAGACAGAGTCTTGCTCTGTCACTCAGGCTGGAGTGCCATGGCGTAATCTTGGCTCACTGCAACCTCTGCCTCCCAGGTTCAAGTGATTCTCAAGTCTCAGCCTCCCGAATAGCTGGGATTATAAGTGTGCACCACCACACCTGGCACATTTTTTGTGTGTGTTTTTAGTAGAGATGGGGTTTCACCATGTTGGCCAGGCTGGTCTCGAACGCCTGTCCTCAAGTGATCTGCCCGCCTCAGCCTCCCAAAGTGCAGGAATTGCAGGCATGAGCTACCACGCCTGGCTGGATGAAGTAATTTGTTTCACTAGCATAATTTTGATTTATATGGAATAGTAATTATAATCAGAAATATCAAAGCCTTTCTTTTAAAAGTATTTTTCCCACCTGAAATATGAAAGCAACACATGCTCATGACAGAATTTGGAAATTTTTGTGTCTATTTAATGCATAGTTGTGTTCTTATCACATGTGAAATTTGTGTCCTACATTTTTCATCCACCATGATGATGTAAACATTTCCTAACACCTGAAATTTGCTCTCGGTAGGCATCACCCTACTTACTTACAAAGTCATGGTAAGTGTTATCTACTGATGGTCAAAAGATGTTTAAAATGTGTATCTTTATTCAGAAAGTGTTTTTTGGTTGTTTTTGTTTGTTTGTTTGTTTTGTTTTGTTTTTTGAGACGGAGTCTCGCTCTGTCACCCAGGCTGGAGTGCAGTGGCGTGATCTCAGCTCACCGCAACCTCTGCCTCCCGGGTTCAAGAAATTCTCTGCCTCAGCCTCCCGAGTAGCTATGATTACAGGCATCCCCCACCATGCCCAGCTAATTTTTGTATTTTTAGTAGAGATGGGGTTTCACCATCTTGGCCAGGCTGGTCTTGAACTGCTGGCCTTGTGAACCACCTGCCTTGGTCTCCCAAAGTGCTGGGATTACAGGCATGAGCCACCGCACCTGGCCTCAGAAAGTTTTTAGAACATTTGGTTGGTACAGGCCAGAGCACATATGGTCTGTGTAATTAGCCAACTCCTTAGAGCTGCTTGGGGTTTCTGGACTGGCTGAGTTACTGCTTCATATCTTTTAGCTCTTTAGCCTTATTAATGGTTGAATTACATATTAACTTTTCTCATACAGAAAATGTTCATTCTCCCTGAACATGAAGAGCTAGGATAATGATTTTCTTAAAATGAGCAGATAGCAGATGTTGATCTTAAAGTGTTCAAGGATTGAGGCCTTGTTTAAGAGAAAATCAAGCTTCTGGCTGTTTTTCATGACTCTAATTCTAGACATTTATATTTTTATGAAAAAATGTATACCACCTTTTAGAATTTCTACAAGGAAGAAGTTTTATTAATACTCTATTTTGATATACAAATGTCTTGCTTTGGTTGTAGAAGAATGCAAGATGTGTGTGGAGAATCTTTATATATGTAATTCTTTGAAGTTCATCATGGGAAAAAAATCTAGCCGTCTATTCATGTGTTAATTTTTCAGTAGTGTTTTATTATATGGCTTATGTGCTGATTTAAGTGTATAAAACCACATTGCTTATTAGAATATGATAGAATTTTGAATCTATATAATCATATTCTAATTCATGAAAAATCACATGGAGTCAAACTTTTTTTTTTCTTCTAGCCAGATGAATTATACTTTGAGGAAGGTGATATTATCTACATTACTGACATGGTAAGTCCAGATAACATCTTGTAATACCACATATAAAGACTGTTTTATGTAGCTATAACATTGTAAGTTATTTAAATATATATGTACATAGAAATACATATGTACAAGTCTGTTCATTTTAGCACAATTGATAGTAGCATAAGATTGAAAATAGCCCTTATTTCCATCAATAGGGAAAGAGTTGAATAAGCTTTGGTCTAGCCACAAACAGAATATTATGCAGCTGTAGAAAGAAATGGGGAATATCTCTATATGCTATTATGAAGTAATTTAAGTGAAAAAAAAAGCAAAGTGAGAAAATGTAGATAATATATCCTCAGTTTTCTAGGAAAGGGTGAGAGTGTATGTGTACACACACATACATGCAGACACTTGTTTTTCTCAATTTCAGATAAAAAGTTGAAAGATGAGTTGCAAAGTAAAATTTAGTTTTATTCTATGAAGAGTAAAGATCCTTTCTCTAGGTGGAAGGAGAGAAATAGGGTATAATGAACATAGATGGAAGATAGACTTTTTAGAAAATTATACCTTGTTTTGTGGATTTGACTTTGAACTGATGTAAACCTTGACATGGTTAAAAATTGAAGTAAAAAGCAATCCCTAAAAATTAAAAGCAGAATGAATCAAATGAACTTAATTGTACCCTGGTAATTGGCCTAACCACACAGAGAGGAAATATTCCAAGTTTAAAACTCAGCAATTTGACTGAACATCCATAGTAGAATATGGATATGTATGAAAGACATATATATATATATATATATATATATATATATATATATATATATTTTGTCCATATATATATATATTTTGTCCATATATATATATATTTTGTCCATATATATATATATTTTGTCCATATATATATATATATATTTTGTCCATATATATATATATATATTTTGTCCATATATATATATATATATTTTGTCCATATATATATATATATATATATTTTGTCCATATATATATATATATATATATATATTTTGTCCATATATATATATGGACAAAAAGAAATGGCCAAAAAAGGGTAAATTGTTTTAAATCATGCCCTTGTTAGGGAAATGTAGGTATTGCTAATTCTGAGATTGTTGCATGTGTATTGTGGTTTAGAGCAAATGAGTAATTAGGTCGGTGATGTTGCTAACGGATTTTCAGCATAGCAAAAAGGATACACAGATGTAAGATTAATGACAGTTTAAGAAAAACTCTGTATTCCTTCATCTGAATTGCAAGGATCACATTGTATTTTATCTAAAATAAAACAAAAATATTCCCTGCTGTGTTCTTTGAAAGGGCCTAGGAAAAATGACCAACCCAATAATAATATGTTATTTTCCATTGAAATGTACAGGCTTCTTTGAGAAATGGCTGGTACCAAGTCAGGGGCAGCAGAGGTACAAGATAAACCCAGAACATCCTCTTATTAGAAAACATGGAAGCTCCTAAAGACAGTAGGGTCACACTGAAAGGACTTGGGAACGAACTTGAAGAGACTCCCACTGGCCAAAGATAGGACAATTTGAGCATCAATTAGGGCAACAACTTCCAAGAATTGAAACCCATTAAATACATTTAAATTTATGAGTTTCTAATGTTACTTCTGAGGAAATCTCATTGGTCAGCATGAGAGAATGCTAGGAAATCAGGTTTTTATTCTGACAACTGTTAAGGGAAAGAATCACCATTTATTCTGTGTTTTCTTTATGAATTTCTTACCTGGGCAATCTGAGAGCTGATGAGGAAGTTTTTGTTTAAAGAGGTATTCAGGTTATTTCAATGAAGAAGGAATGATAGAATTAGAATGTCACCATCTTGCAGCCTCTAGGAAATAGTGGATCTAGACAATGATCATCAAGGGCTACTAACATTACAAAAAGAAGCCGACTAGATAGTTTGCATTTCCTAATGGAAGAAATCAATACTGCCTAGGAAATAGCCTTGCCAAAAAAAATTGGAGCTGAATCTAATTAAACCTCTAGAACTGATGACCAATTTATAGGCAATACAGGGAACAGAGGAACATGCTTAATGATAACACAGGGATACAACAGGCAAAATCCATAGAGGTTGACACTACAGAACAAACCAACTGGATTCTTCAACAAATACATTGTAAGAGATAAAAAAGAATGGAGAGACAACCTATAGATTAAAAGATACTTAAAGACAAATCAATCATATTGTATAGCCCTTATTTGAGTCCCAAATTATGGGGCAGTTGGGAAATTTGAGTATCGACCTAGATATTTGATGATATTAAGGAATTATTGTTGGAAAAAACTTTTAAGCTGTGATAATGGCATTATAATTGCCTTTCAAAAAGTATGTGTCTTTCAGAGATACGTACTGAAATATTTACAAATGAAATAATATGATGTCTAGAATTTATTTTAAAATAATCCAGGAGGGGAGGGACGTCATGGGGGCATATATGAAACAATATTGGTCATTAATAAATGATTTGTGCAGTTGGGAAATGGGTATATATATGGTCATTACATTGTTCTTTCTACTTTTTTGTAAGTTTAAATTTTTCTATAATAACAAGTTACCCCCAAAATGAAGATAATATAAAGAGATCTTTAGAACTTCCTCCCCCATAAAAAAAATTATCTCAAAGCTAAGAGAAATGAAACTGTGGACAAAAAATCATATAGCTAGTCTAAACTAGCGTAATTTGTTTTCTTCTGTTTCATGTCATCTCTTATTTGTTTGGTTGTTGAGACTCTGTCATGAAACGTATTCCATTTGTTGCAGGCAGATGCGTGTTTATTTGTAACTGAGTGGTAAGGGAGACGGACACCCACAGCTAGGGCGTGAGGAAGCTTGATAGTGTGGGTAGGGTTGATGGACATTTTGTAGAACAGGTACTCCCTAGGAGCTAGATAATTTGAAAAGTGAATGAATGCAGTCTGGATTTCATACCACTTAATTTAACTCTTCTTTTACCAGAGCGATACCAATTGGTGGAAAGGCACCTCCAAAGGCAGGACTGGACTAATTCCAAGCAACTATGGTAAGTGTTGCTGAGTGGTTTTACTTTAGCTTCGTTCACTTGGAATTTTTTGGTTCTTGATGCTTTTCTGCTTGCTACTGTGGCTGAGAAAGCAATGGAGTCATTGTCAGTCTAGGACATTTTCTATTCCATGAGCCTTCTGTTAATAAACTGGCCATGAACACCAGATGTGCTTGAGCCTGACTCTGTGGCCTAAGAGAATGCATTTTAGCATTCTTAACCCAAGGTTTCCAAGGAAACACTTATGGTTTTACTTTCTTCAACCCTTAAAACAATTTTTTTTAATGCTGATAAACTCAATCTTGCAGATAGTTTCTTAGACTAGCCGTTTCTTTTGTGATGGAGTAACCCGGCCTTGTTCATTCATGTTTGGGGCAGTGATGTTCATTAAATGCTTATCATGGCAGTTTGGAGACTTTGAGAGATGAGAGACACGGCTCCCGCCATGAAGCTGCTTCAAGCTGGAAGTGGGACAAACAGATAAAACACTTGTTTAGTTGTCAGCAGAATCAAGTCAAAAGAGCACAGAATTGATAAACAAGGCTCCTGAGTTTTAATCCTCTTTCTTCCATTTCCTAATAACACTTCCTACTGATTCTAGGACAGCAGCGAACATGCCTTCTTTAAGAGGCAGGTAGCTATGCTGATTGTTCTTTCTGAATACAGGAAGCAAAATACTCCCCTCATCCGATCCTACATAAATACACACAAGAGAACCAAAATTATTTTCAGGTATCTTTAAAGCAGAGTGATCTACAAAATGTAAAAATGAACATCAAATGCTTCCTTTTGCATTTTTGTGACTTTGTTTATTAAATACTTGAGTAATATCAAGTGTGCATTTAACTCAGGTATGCGGGTTTGTTTGTTTTTGTTTATACTTCCAGTTAATTACTATGTTATTGCCTTATTGCTTGGCTTGGTTTCCCTAAACACATAATTCAGCTTCATTTAATGCAAGAACTATCCATTTGATTTTCTGTTACTTTTTATCCACATTAAGTAAAGGAAACTGTGTTGAATGCCCTGGTACTCCTGAAGCTGGGGGACTGTGGTGAATGAGTGGCTTCAGTAAATCATTTGTGTGGCAATTCCACATTGGGTTAACACTTTTTATTTTCAATCTAGTGGCTGAGCAGGCAGAATCCATTGACAATCCATTGCATGAAGCAGCAAAAAGAGGTAGGTGTGATTCTTTTTGACTGAGGTATGCAGTACAGTAAAAGGCACGGATTTCAATTAGCTTTGACAAGTGCATACACCCACGTAACCAACACCCAGATCAAGATCTAGAACATTTCTGCCATCCTAGAAAGTTCCCTTTGCACCTTCTCAGTTAAATCCCTGCCTTACAGTCTGTCCCAACATCTACTACCCTAGAGAAGTGTGATTTTAGTTTTAAAATGTCAGTCAAGAAACACTGTTGTGGGGAGATGCAAGTCGAAAGACATGGTCTGTGACTTCCAAAGCACAACATCTGGCAGGGGAGAGAGAGATGTAACAGATCATTAAAATATGGTATGATAAGTACAGCAATTGAAATGTGTTTGACAGGCCGTAGAGGCCCAGGTGAGTAACTGGAGGGCAAGAGAATGGAAGGGTCTGGTGGGTACAGCATTTAGGAGAGCGTTGGTGTGGTGAGCATTTGGCCAGGGAGGGCATGACTAACAGGGATGAACCTGGGGAAGATCCTTGACCAAACAACGATCAGCCTTGTCTTGGGCTTTATTCTGTAGATCAGTAGTCCTCAGCTAGGGGTGATTCCTCTTTCACAAACCCCGAGGGTATTTGGCAATATCTGGAGACATGTTGACTGTCATGACTGGAGGGATGTTACTGGCATCTTTTGGGGAGAGGCAGGCGTTGTTGCCACACATCCTACAGCACACAGGAGCACCCCCACAATAAATCCAACCCCAAATGCCAATGGGGCTGCTGCTGAGAAACCCTGCTGTAGATAATGGGGAGTTTTTGTAAAGCCTCAATGAGCTCCATTTCATTCCATTTTTAGATTTTTTTGGAAATCTGAATGTACACAAGGAAATTATTGGTTAGGATTGTGAAAAAGTAAAAGGACTAAACTGACATTTAAAAAATTCTTTGTGAATTAGATACTTGGGACATTAGCCTGAGGATTTTAAATTAATAGTTATAGTTTAGCATATAAGAGCAGCAGCTTTGAGTAGGTTATTTAGCCTTTCTTATAGGAACTGAAGATGCATTTTAAATATGAATATGAATAGTATCTGCTTGTTCTTAGGTTTGATTGTTTTTTCCTCAATTTCCAGAATTTCACAAAGAAAAAAATAATATATACACATACACACACATACACACACACACACACACACACACACACACACACACACACCCCTATATATTTTTTAACAGAATAGAAATACCTTAAGTATACCCATTTGGGCAACTATTCCCATTAACTTATCATTAGAAACATTGATGTTAATACTTTCCATTAATAAGCTGGAAGTCAAAATGTACCATAATAAATGCATTAATGGGGAGGTCTTAATTTAATACTTGCTGATTAATCCATTGCAAATGGAAATTTATGCAGAATGACATTGATTTAAAAGCAAAATAAAAAGTGAAAGCTTTTTTTCTTGTGTTCTTGTAAATGTAAAATTCTTTCAGGCAACTTGAGCTGGTTGAGAGAGTGTTTGGACAACAGAGTGGGTGTTAATGGCTTAGACAAAGCTGGAAGCACTGCCTTATACTGGGCTTGCCACGGGGGCCACAAAGGTATTACATTTTGTTTGTTATATGTTTCTATGCTGCTGAAAATGTGTTTCACCTACGGGAGCCAGATTTACAAAAAATGAGAAAGGAAAAGCATTGGCTATTCTTTTTGAATCCTTTAGAATACCGGCCAAAACCCTTGTTCCTGGAAGCTCTGTAGAACAGTGGGTAGAATGTGGTCAGTCAGCCTCACTGCATGGGTCCCTCTCGCTTGAAAGACTGGACACTTCCTTTCCTCTCTCAGGCTTAGAAAGGTTACTGGAAAACAGCAGTAATATAAAAACAAAACCACTGTCTAATCTTACAGAAGGAAAGATCAGAATTTGCTCCTCTAGCTTAGCTTTTCACAAGGTCTTCTTTTATGATTTGCATTTTAAGTTTAATGCAAACTATTAGATTCAAGAGAAAGCCAACATTTGCCAAAGTTAGTGATTCCATTGATACTTTTTCTGTTGTAATCAATAATAATGACAAATTGAATTTTTAGATGTATTTCTTCCTGGACAAAAATTTATCACCCACCGCTTTTCTACCTCTCTCTATAACAAAAGAAATAAACTCAACAACAATAAGAAATGAAGATCTCAACAAATTAAATAGCAGTGCCAAAGGAAAATTTGTAACTGTCTACTAAAAAGAAGCCTATCTTATTTCAGCTAATAAACATGTTAGTTATATGAATGAAAAGTATTATAGTGAATGTAAAAATATTCCTCTAAGTGTCATATGAAAATGCAAAAGCCAAAACTATTAGAAAAAGTATATTTTCCTAAATAATTCCACTTTTTAGATTCTTAAGTTTTTCTATTTTATAAATTTTACAAAATGTGTTAACATTTTCTTGAAGGTTCTTCTGAAGAATCTCTCTTTTATAAAATTATTGTACCTAGATTTGTCAGGCTTCTAATTTTCGTTCTTAAAAGGTATCTTTTCTCTTTGAATTTCAGATATAGTGGAAATGCTATTTACTCAACCAAATATTGAACTGAACCAGCAGGTAAGACTGCTTATTTGAAAATTATTTAACACATACCTGCTTGTTGTCTTTAGTACAGAGCAACTCATGGGCATGTGAAGTATTGTAGTCAAAATCCCACAAGCACATAATTTAAAAATTATAATTGTACTAAAATTCAAATTATCCACAGCCCCAAGTGCCAAACCCACTCCTCCTCATATGTCACTTTCAGCTTTTAGCTCTTTCTTCCTGTACTTACCTTTGTGTTACTAAGGAATAGGCTGACGGAGCTATCTCGCCATGCATTGTCTTCATGTGTACTTTGGCCTCCTGTTGGGTATGTGAAGGGTTAAGCTTGTCAGCTGCCCCAGCTCTCATCTTTCAGCACCCCAGCACCAAGCCTGTTCTCCTCTGCTCCTCAGTGTACTTCATCACAGTTTTTGGTTATATTACTATATAATATTTACTTTATTATGGGTGTCTAAATAGTGTTCACTGCTTATATAACCTTTTTTTGTTTCTGTACTTACTTTTTAAAACTCATTTTTTGTTATCTCACTGTGACTTCTCTACTGTTTTATACAGTCTTGATATATAATACTTTTCCAAAATGTGTAAGATAATCAACAGCTTTCTTTTTTCTCCCTGGATTCATTACTTCCTGAAGCTCTCCATCATTCTCCAGTCTGAGCAGCTTGGTCCCTGTGGCCCTTTGCTGTCCTCCAGGGAACCCCTTCCGTTCTCTGCCATGTTGCATCTTCATTTTTCTGGATCCCTTGTCTTTCTTTTGTCAGAGAACATCTTCAAGTAGATTCCTGAGAAAGAGAAGCTTGGGATTGATTATATGGCTGATCAGAATTCTAGGTCAAAAACAGTTTCCCTTAGAATTTTGAAGGCATGGCTCTGTGGCATTCTTGTTTCCAGGGTTGCTTTTGAGAGATTTGGTGCCATTTTGATTCCCATTCTTTTATGTATGATCTGCTTTTTCTCTTGCTAAGAGTATTTACTTTATTGTTGGTGTTTTCAAATTTTATGATGATGTGCTAGCATTCATCTCTTCCCAATGATTATGATGAACTCTTTCAGCCTGGAAAATTATCTTGTATTTCTTTTAGAATTTTTATCTGACCCTTCTTTGTTCTTTTGGTTCTGGAATGCCCATTAGTAGGATGTTGGACTTCTTGGATTGAACCTTCAGTTTTCTTAATTTTTCCCAGAGATATTCTCACCTTTGTTTTATTTTGGTTATCTTTTTAATTCCCCAGAGTTCTGTATTAGTTTTCTATTGCTGCCTAGCAAACGACCACAGGCTTAGCAGCTTATACTTTCTGTACGTCAGAATTCTGGGCATGGCATAGCTGCGTTCTCTGCTCAGGGTCTCCCAGGTGGAAATCAAGGGATTGGCTGGAGCTGGATTCTCATCTGGAGCTTGGGGTCTTCTTCCAAGTGCATTTAGGTTGTAGGAAGAATTGATTTTCTTCTAACTGTAGTATTACTGAGGCCCTCAGCTTTTAGAGGCCACCCCTCTCTGTAGACAGCTCACAGTATGGCTGTTTGCTTTCTTCCTCAAGGCCAGAAGGAGATTGTCTCTCTGCTGTTTCATTGTTTTTATTTTTTAGGGGCCCACCTGGTTAGGTCAGGCCCACCTGGGATAATGTCCCTTTTGAAGAATTCAACATCCGCTGACTAGAAACCTAATTATGGGAGTGATAGCCTGTTACATTCACTGCTTTCACTTGCAGTCAAGAGGAGGGGGCCTGTACCAGGGCCAGGAACCTTGGGGGCCATTCTTAGAATTCTGTTATAAGCCCTTATTTTACTCTGATTGTTACTTTTACGTAGTATCTTTTTCTTGTTTCATGACACAATATGATCTTATATCTTGCTGATATAATATTTATAACTTTTCAAACTATGTTTTTTGGCTCTTCACTGTACTGTGTTTTTTCCCTTTGAGATCCATTTATTTTGTTTGTTTTGGTCTTTACTAAAATATTGTAGGCTTTCCACGAACACTTGGTGTCATTATCCATTCATTATTATTTTTTTAATTTGAGATGGAGTCTCGCTCTGTTGTCCAGGCTGGGGCGTAGTGGCGCAATCTCAGCTCACTGCAACCTCTGCCTCCCGGGTTCAAGCTATTCTCCTGCCTCAGCCTCCCAAGTAGCTGGGACTACAGGCCCATGCCACTGGCCTGGCTTATTTTTGTGTTTTTAGTAGAGACGGGGTTTCACCACGTTAGCCAGGCTGGTCTCGAACTCCTGACTTCAGGTGATCCGCTCTCCTCGGTCTCCCAAAGTGCTGAGATTACAGGTGTGAGCCACCATGCCTGGCCCTTATCCATTCATTTTTAGGTGTGATTGGAAGCTGTGTGTGCTTGGTGAGGCCTGCTGGCGGTTGGGCTTCTCCATAGGGTGATGTGGTGAGGTCCTGGCTATTTTGCTAGGTGACACCCAAATGCTAATGAAAGTGACACTCCTTCCCTTCCCTGCACATGGGGCTGCACTGCTTCACCAGAGAAGTGCCCTCCAGTCTCCTGCCTGGGGGTATGTGCACACTGGGCAGTGGGGTACGTAAAGGTACCTGAGAGAGGGGTCTTACTGTTCAGTCTGTAGGTTTTTTACCTAACCCTCAGGTTTGAGTTTCTGGCCTTTTGCTACTTCTCTTGTACCTAGTGTTCATGAACTTGGAAACTATCAGGTTAATTTCTCAACAAGTAAATCTGTCATCATTATTGGGTCATCTGGCAGCAAGAGAAGGGGAAGAGGTTCTGAGATTCTACTTTTTATGAGTACTTTAAACCAATATCTCTGTTTTCCCACCCATGCCTCATGCCTGCCCTAGCACCTCCAGGAATCTCCAATTCCTAATTTTTGCCAGGCTTCTGCATGTTCAAATCTGCTTCCTTCCTCCTGGATCTCCCTCCGCAGGCATGTGCTTTTCAGCTCGTGCTCCACCAAGTCAGCTTGTACTCCTCCATCCTATTCCATCTCCCAAAAATGACTCCTCTCCCATCTCTTGAGTCTCCTTTCCTTTTCTCTTTGGAATTTTATGTGGTTCTATAACTTTGTTCCCATTTTAGGTTTAACTTTTAGGTTTAACTGGGTTAAACCTGAATTAACATGTACTTTCAATCCACCCTCTATCTTAAAAATGGTACTTTCTCTTTTTATCACTATAGAACAAGTTGGGAGATACAGCTTTGCATGCTGCTGCCTGGAAGGGTTATGCAGATATCGTCCAGTTGCTTCTGGCAAAAGGTAAAGTTTGTGCTGAGTTTATCTGGTCTTTGCTTGCCCTGAAAAATAGTCTATATCAACTTACGCCATTTGAAATGGTAGGAAGAATAATAGTCTTATTTCAAAATAGGGTTTAACCTTTGCTCTGCCTGTGTATCATGGAATAGTTATGATAAAATAAAATTATTGGGGGTTGGTTTGTGTTAGTTTTTAATATAAACTAAAACCATGGCAAGCTTTAACATTACATATATTACTTTTAGTAAGAACTGTATTGTATGTTTCTGCAGGATTATAGAGCCTTAGAAACAAAGAATGTATGTGTACACGTGTGTTGGGGAGATCCTGTCTGAGAAAGCTGTATAGGTAAAGTTGCTGAGGCCCCTGTTCTCACAGGGAAGTCTTGACAGATAAGCAAGAATGATGCGGCTGCAATGTCCTGCTTTGAGCTGAGCAGGTGCTAGATGTAAAGTGAACGAGAGAGGATATCTTGATCCCCTGTTTTTATAAGTCAGAGGAAACAGTGAATTTATAAACTGACTATCCCTTTATCCTTTTGTCCCACAAATATTAGTTTACTCTTAGAGAAGGCCAGGCAGATCACCTATACCATACTCTAGTCCAGAAGCCTATCATGTAGGATGCTTGAGTCCCCAAGACACTTGTCATGGAATTACCCTCATTAGGGATCCTCAGAGCAATATTGTGGGATATATGATAGGAAATGGTTTAGATTTTAAGTATGCTGGTGATGTAAGCTGCAGGTCTAAAAGGCCAGACATTATGAGGATCACTCTAGTGCCCTGTAAAGGGTATACTGATGACTTTGATGCCTAATATGGCAGCCACTAGCCACGTGCACAACTGAGCCCTTTAAATGGGGCTATCTGAATTGAGATGTGCTGTAAGTGTAAAATGCATACCAGATTTCAAAGACTTAGTGAAACAAAAAGTAAAACATCACAGTAATTTTCATGTTGGTTATGTGTTGAAATGATAATATTTCAGATATGCTGGGTTAAATAAAATATATAATTAAAAATAATTTCACATTTTGCAAATGTGGCTGTTAGAAAATTAAAAATTATATATGTGGATCACATTATATTCCTATTAGTGCTCATCTAAAGGGACCCAGGAAATAGTTGTGTTTCTTCTTTATCATCACTGTCTCTGAATATTTCCTGTTCTGATAGAAATCATGTCTATGAGCTCTAAAGTATAATATAGTATATGATTAGTCACAGAACTGTTAACCCTCAGGAGTTTTTGATCTGTAGCACACTGAGAGAATGAGGTTTTATATAACCCTACTGTGAATAGAATGATCTGCTTAGGAGAAAGATTTTGACACAAGATCATTATATTACTAATTAAACATACTATTTTTTTTCTTGATGCAATATTTCTTTGCCTTTAAATTTGGGGACACTTCTTTCTTTCTTTCTTTCTTTCTTTCTTTTTTTTTTGAAACTGGGTCTCTATTGCCCAGGCTGGAATGCAGTGGCATGATCTCGGCTCATTGCAACCTCCGCCTCCAGGGCTCAAGTGATTCTCCCACCTCAGCCTCCTGAATAGCTGAAATTACAAACGTGCACCACCACACATGGCTAATTTTTGTAGAGATGGAGTTTCGCCATGTTACCCAGTCTGGTCTTAAACTCCTGAACACAAGCGATCCGCCTGCCTCAGCCTCCCAAAGTGCTGGGATTACAGGCGGATGAGCTACTGTGCTGGCCTATTTTTGTTTATTGAAGGGGAAGTGGTTGCAAAAAAAATATGATACTTTCCTACACTGTGGCAGAAAGTATGAACTGACAAAGCCTTCTTTTTTTGTTTTTTTGGTTTTCTTTGAGACTGTCTGGCTCTATTGCCCAGGTTGGAGTGCAGTGGCGCAATCTTGGCTCATTGCAGTCTCCGCCTCCTGGATTCAAGTGATTCTCATGCCTCAGTCTCCCAAGTAGCTGGGATTACAGGCATGCGCCACCACACTTGGCTAATTTTTGTATTTTTAGTAGAGATGGGCCATGTTGGTCAGGCTGGTCTTGAACTCCTGACCTCAAATGATCTGCCCGCCTTGGCCTCCTAAAGTGCCAGGATTACAGGCGTGAGCCACCGTGCTTGGCCTAAAGCCTTCTTGGAAAGCAATCTTAAAATCAGAGATGAAAAAGGAGGTATTACAACTGATACCACAGAAATTCAGAGGATCATTAGAGACTAGTATGAAAAGCAATCTGACAGTAGCTGTCAGAATTTAAAATGGACTTAGCCTGACTTTCCAATACCATTTTTAGTAAACCATTCTTCAGAAATACGTGTGAACAAAGATGTTGTTCAAGGATGTTCACTGGAGTATTTGTGATAATGAAAATTAGGAGTAGCCTAAGTGCCCGTCAATACAGGAGTAATTAAATTTTGGAGCACCACAAAATGGAATACTTAAATGGTTGAGTTACAAATATGTGTATTTGCTAAGAAAACAGTACCATTAGACATTAAAGTTTTAAAAACATGAAATCACAGACCAATACGTGTAGTACGATTTTGTGTCTATATCAATATGTGTATGAATGCACTGATGCAAATAAGGGAGATAAGAACTCACACCCACTTGTTAAGAATGGTTACCTTAGGCGTAGGTAGAAGATGAAGGAATGAAATGGGACTTGTGCTTTTGTTCAGCATACATTTGTATTTTTGAATCCTTAACAATGCAAATGTATTCATGAATTCTGATGTAATTTTGAACACAATAAAGGCAAAGGAAAAGTGGGTAGAAGATGGCTTATGGGAATAATGAATTGCCTCTTGGTTTTACGTGTTGCTATTCTGTTAATTTGCATGAGAGCAGACTTACAGATATAAAATATTAATCCCCTCAAGCACTATCCACTTGGTCTTTTCTAAAGACCCTCTTGAGCAAAAGAGGAAGCAAAGGGCTCATTGAAGTCAAGCCCCACAGGGACCATAAACTCCTCACTGAAAAGTTCACATGCAATTCTATAGGGACTCAAAAGGTTCGGAATTAATTGTTATCACAGGTGCAGCAACAAGCTTCCCGATTAAAGATGCCAAATTATACTGCATGAGAAAGTTTATTGTTTTGAGAACGTTTACTTCTGAGCCAGAGTTGTTCACTAGTTTATTTTGCCAAAAGTTGTTAGCTGTGGGGAGAGAGGATTGGCTACTACTATATAGTCTTCAAAGACACCTAATTGACTTTTCTTGTGTTGGGAAGGTGCTAGAACAGACTTAAGAAACATTGAGAAGAAGCTGGCCTTCGACATGGCTACCAATGCTGCCTGTGCATCTCTCCTGAAAAAGAAACAGGGAACAGGTATTTGTTTTAAATTCTTCTTTCTCCTCTGGTGCCCCATAACTAAGATTTATTAACTTAGAATGGCGCAAAAGAGATAAACTCAGCTGAGTGCAGTGGCTTATACCTGTAATCCCAGCACTTTGGGAGGCCAAGGCAGGAGGTTCACTTGAGCCCAGGAGTTGGAGACCAGCCTGAGCAATAAAGTGAGACCTCTGTCTCTACAAAAAGTACCAAAAATTAGTCAGACATTGTGGTGTGGGCCTGTAGTCCCAGCTACTCAGGAGGCTGAGCTGGGGGATCACTTGAGCCCTGGGAGGTTGAGGCTGCAGTGAGCTGTGATCGCACCACTGCATTCCAGCCTGGGTGAGAGCAAGACCATATCTCAAAAAAAGAAAACCAAAAAAAAAAAAAAAAAAAAAAAAAAAGATAAACTCTTCAGATGATTCTGAAGTTTGTTTCAATATCCTTGATCTTAATGAGAACCCCCAAAATAGGACACCCTCAATTAAACAGAAATTAGACAAGAAACATAATCTTTTACCTTTATTGTGTGTTTCTTTTATTCCTTGCAATTAAGTTCTAATCACCCTGCTTTCCATTACAGTCCTTTTCAGAGAACGATCATCTTCATTCCCTCATTTAAATATGTATTTATGAGTGATTACCACTAAATATTTTTAAAAATAACATTTAATAGCTCCATGATTATATTTTATTTCTGTTTTAAATGAGGATATCAGTAAACTGTAATCAAATTTATTCTAGACTTTGCTAAATCTTCTGGACTTTATTCATAGTATTATGGGTGGTTTTTTAAAATAGAGTTTAAATGTACATTATTATTATTTTTTTAGATGGAGTCTTACTCTGTTGCTCAGCCTGGAGTGCAGGTGTGCAATCATAGCTCACTGCAGCCTCAAACTCCTAGGCTCACGTGATCCTCCCATCTCAGCTTCCTGAGAAAATGGGACTACAGGCATGTGTCATCATGCCCAGCTAATTTTTTTTTTAATGTAGAGATAGGGGTCTTGCCATGTTGTCCAGGTTGGTCTCGAACTCATGGACTCAAGCCATCCTCCTGCCTCAGCCTCCCAAAGCACTGGGATTACAGGCGAGAGCCGCTGTGCCCAGCCTCCTTTTGTTCTTTATTCTAGATATGTCTTTGTTCCAGATTTCTTTTCTTTTTTTAACTTCAGTTTGAATATAGTGTAACTGCTAATCAGTTGGTATTCCTTAATTAATCCATGAGAGCTCACTGGGAGTGCAAGCCTTTCTTTAAAGTAATTCCTCATGGATAGATGGAGATGGGTTCTACTAAGGGAATGGGAAAGTATCAGCTGAGCTGGTGCTCCCCAGCTACATTATGATTGAGAAGCCATATTTGCAATAGTGTGAGAGACATACTTCTGCTTGAGTTCGACCTCCTACTCCTTGCTGCCTTGATTGGGTCAGGAAGTAGGAGTCTGGCCTAACTTCCTTTCTCTGCCACTGACTTCCTGTTGTGTGGCTACCCTTAGCCTGTCCTGACCGAAGAGTAAGGCTTCTTATGACCTGAAGGTATCAGAGTCTAATGCATGCTATGAGCTCCATTTTGATAGACAAGGCATATACCAAACTTTCTTAGACCTCAGAGAGCTTACCCAGAAGCCTTACTCAGGAGTGGTTTGAGTTGAGGGAGGCAGGTAATGAGCCTTTCTGCAGCCTTCGTAGAACAGGGCTGGGAGGCAGGTACTCTTTTCTCTGTGCACCCCAAGTGTGTTTAGTCTACCTTCCTGAATTTGAACTGATTAGGTAATAGATTCATTAATGAGGTAATCTTAGGGCCTGGCAGACAGAGCCAAGAAATGAGTTTTTATATTTCAATTTTCATGTTACTTTTAAAATGTTTTTTCTTGCTTCATTTCCCCAATTATACAGTTAATTTGTATTGTGATCCTCATTGGAATAGGTTTGGACTATTTGGCCATAGAGTTAATTGTCAGCATGAACTCTAAGTTGGAAAAGGTATATTCTGATATTGTTGTCCACTTTTTTTTTTTTTTTGAGACAGAGTCTCACTCTGTTGCCCAGGCTGGAGTGAAGTGACACAATCTCAGTTCACTGCAACCTCCGCCTCCCGGGCTCAAGTGATTCTCCTGCCTCAGCCTCCTGAGTAGCTGGGATTACAGGCATGAGCCACGATGCCCGGCTAATTTTTGTATTTTTATCAGAGATGGGGTTTCACCTTTTTTGTCCAGGCTGGTCTCGAACTCCTGACCTCAAGCGATCTGCCTGCCTTGGCCTCCCAAGGTAGTTGTTGTCTACTTTTAGAAGCACAATGTGGATTTTTTAATAAGTACAAAAATTCACATTTTGCAGTTACTATGGAAGATAACTAGGATATAGGGCTGGGGGTTATACTCGAGTTGAGCCCTTTAACATTTTTTTCCAACTTTTAAAAATTTGTGTATAATTTACATTAAGTAAGTACATAAATCTTAAGCATACAGCTTGATTAATTTTTTTTACACCTGTTCACCACAACCCAGATGAAGCTAGAGAACAGTTCCCACACGCCACATGCCTCCCTCAGTGTCTTCTGCTTCTCTCACCATAGATTAGTTCTGCCCGTTCGTGAACTTTATGTAAATGGAATCAAACAGTATGTACTTTTTGTGACTGACCTCTTTCATTTACATTATGTCTGTGAGAGTCATCCATATGCCTGTGTTTATTTCTCCATCATTTATTTATTGTTTGTATGTTTGTTGGTTGGTTTTAAGTGCTGGTTCTTGATTTGAGATATGTAAAGCCAGGGTGATGGGACTGAGGTAAAATGAACGTGAGCTAGGGAAGGATGGCAGTGCTGCAGGAAGATACATTCCTATGCGTGCTATGCCCAGAGGTGGGCTGTGAAGAGATACAGGCTCATCACACAACACCTGACCATGTGGGAAAACTGCCTCAGAACAGTTCATGAAAGGAAAGAAGGAGAAGGAATTTATTTGCTGACTTGTGCCTGTCTTTTGATGACCACTCAGTCAGAGTCTGCACTGTGGCAAATCATCCTCTCTTTTTAATAGAAGTAAGAATAAAATAAAGAGCAGAAGTAACCATCCAAGGACACAGAATATGGGCAAAACTTAGGATAGTGGAGTAGAAGGGGACAGAGTTTTCCTATTTGTCTCTCAGGCTTTAGCTTAGAAAGCTACATTTTACCAAGTTGACATGAAGTCCTGAAGGTCCTGGGTGTGTGTTGGGGGAGAACAAAATATATTCCTCCCACTTCTTGTGAACTCCTCTTGAGGAGAGTGGAGAAGAATAGAGTCAACCTGGAGACTTCCAGTAGCTTGAAGGCTGGTGTGAAGTCAGTGAAACATGGCCAGGTGTGGCGGCTCACACCTGTAATCCCAGCACTTTGGGAGGCAGGGAGGATTGCTTGCATCTGGGAGTTCAAGACTAGCCTGGACAACATAGTGAGATGACGTCTTTACAAAAAAAATTAAAAACTAGCTGAGTGTGGTGCTGCATGCCTGTAGTCTTAGCTACTTGGGAGGCTGAGGTGGGAGGATCACTTGAGTCCAGAAAGTCAAGGCTGCAGTGAGCCATGATTGTACCACTGCACTGCAGCCTGGGTGACAGAATGAGATCCAGAAAAGAGACTTGGCCTCTGTTCTGCTTTATCTTTCCTTCTCTCTCTTGCAAGATAAATCGGCTTCCACCTCCCTTGTACTGATCATCCCTTCTTCTTTTCTTTTTCTCAATAATCATTTTCCAAAACATGTAAACATGAAAACTTTTTTTTTTAAAAGAGCATTAGCATACCTAAAAAATAATTCCTTAATATTCCTTAATATCATCAAATATCTTGTCCTTGTCCAAACTTCCATTTTCTCATACATCTTTGTTTTTACTTATTTATTTACTTATGGTTTATTTAAGTCAGGATTCACATAAGGTCAGTTTGTGATTGGTAGATATGTCTCTTTATTTATTTTTTAAGCAATAGTTCCTTTCCCTCTCTTCTTCCCCCTTTTTAACCTTGCAATTTATTTATTAAAGAAACTGGGTCAACTCACTTGAATTTCCCATTGTGGACATTGCTAACTGCATTCCCATGGTGTTATTTGTCATGTTCCTCTGTCCTTTATGTTTTTGTCAATTAGTGTTAGATTTAGAGGTTTGATCCAATTTAGGTTCATTCTATCAATCAATCAATCATGAATCAATCATGTATCTGCCTGCCTATCTATCTATCTATCTATCTACCTATCTATCTATCTAATCTATCTATCGGTTTGATCTAATTTAGGTTCTATCCATCTACTTACCTACCTACCTACTTACCTACCTACCTAGCTATGTATCAAATCTAGCTAGCTAGCCAGAGGTTTGATCCAATTTAGGTTCAATCTATCCATCTCTTCACCTACCTACCTATCTACCTACCTACCTAATCATGTATCTTTCTTGGTAGTAGAAGGAATAATAAATCATATAGAATATTGTGTTCTTTTATCAGGGGCACATGATACCTGGTTGTCACTCTTCCTGTGATGTGACATCCATTGATGATCGTTGCCTAGATCTGTTACTTCACTAAACGGCACAAAATGATGATATTCTAATTAAATCACTTCTTTTTGAGTTATTAGCTGGAACATTCTATTAGGAAAAGTTTTCCCTCATCAATTGTTTTGTTACGCAGAGGAACAGTTAATGTAGCAAGGGCAGGATAAATGCTTGATTTTTGACCTTTATTTAAGAGGTTTTAAAATAATAAGCTGGTCTCTGTCATCCTCCAAAGGGTGACAGATGAGTTCTTTTTGGTGTGCCTTGAAATATTTAATGTGCTTTAATCCATTCCAATTAGTAGCTTTATCAATAGCCCATCTTTGGCTAGTGGAGGCCTCTTTAAGTTGAATCTCAGACCCTTTCACGTGATGCTGTCTTTGTTAGGATGCTTGCTTTATGACATGACTAGGGTTCTAGGTCCATCCCTTACACTTCCTGCCCCATACTTGGAACCGGTCATATGTATAATAAGCTTCAGAGATGTGATACTTAGAGATCATGAAGATCTGGGTGCTGTGACATATATTTATTGAACTTCAACAATGTGCTTGTGTTTGCATTCTGTTTTTCCCACTAAAATTATACTTGGGCTAATCTGTTGCTATAGGAATTTGACTAGACAGTTGAAGGGGTGACTGTGAAAGATCAGATGTCTTCCTTTTGAGTCCTGTTCAAGTTTGCTTGAACATTTGATGGGGTCCAGCTCTATTTTAAAACTTTTCCCCCCCATTTCAGCCTTTTGCTTTATTGTCGGTGTTTTCTACATTGAAATGGAAGCTTCTTTGTTTTCATTCTTTCTTTTCCTTTTTCCCCTTCGGTAGTTAACGTCCTACCTAGTGACTTTGCCTTTAGGCAAGACCTCAGGCTGTCACTGGGAGAGGAGGTTGGAAGCTCAGTTGTCAGAGTGGAGTGCTGCTGGTGGTGTATCATGTTGGTCATGGTGCCTGTGGCTAGGCCTTTCTGTTGGAAATGGATGCATGGCACCTAGGACCAAAACTTCTGCATGACTGTGGAACGCATCATCAGCCTCTGTGGCAACAGAAACTTAATGGTTAGGCTGAAAAGCAAAAGCAGAGAAAGATCCTCAGGGAAAGTACAATCCCTGGGTCAGATGGAAGATTCTATTCTAATTTAAGAGCTTTGAAAATGAAAAAATAAAATCTGAGCAGTTTATAATTTCCCTATTTTGCTTTTTTCCCTCCTCTTTCTTTCAGATGCAGTTCGAACATTAAGCAATGCCGAGGACTATCTCGATGATGAAGACTCAGATTAATTCCTTTCTGGAGCTTTGAGATCTAAAACTTCTGTTGCTTTTGCCATTCCAAAACTTTGTCTTTGCCAGAAAAGTGTTGGTAACTATAAAGAAAATTATATATGAACACGGCAGTGTTGCACTGTGTTTGAGTAGAACGTGTAAATGAATTGTTCCCACCTTTGGTTTGCCAGTAAGTGACTGGATTCTTGGCACATTTATGTTCACCAAAGTAGAACAAGAAGATATTATTTCTATTTATCAAGCAAAAGGAATTTTAAGATTTTTTTTTTTCTTTAAAAACAAATTAGGATTTTTTTTTTTTTTTTTTTTTTAGTTAAAATGCTTTACCTCAATGGTTGAGATATTTTGAATGGATTTTTCAAGGGGGGGAAATGCTTATTATAATAATAAACCAAAATACTTAACAGAAAATTGTCAGCTATTCTGACAAAAATAAACATTTTGAGAGACTTTATTTCTTTTGTCCGTTTCTGTGGTATCACTCATTGTCGTTAAGTAAGTAAAGCTTTTTATATTTAGGTAAGAACTGATTTTATTTTTTAAATTATATTTTATATTTATTAGCACAGAAGAATAATGAGAGCCACATTTTAGTTCAACTTCTTGTGTTAGCTTTGATCAAAGTCAGGACAATAATCATTGAGAAGGTGCATGTCTAATAAAATAGGTAAATTTAATAATTGTGAGACTTCCAGTTTTTATCTCCAAGGTTGTATTTAGAGTGGAGAAACCCAACAACTCATTACAGTTTCGCTAAGATTTGAAAGGTTAAAAAAATTTATTTCCTTATGATAGATGCCATACTTTTCCATATGGAGTAGTCAGGAACCATGAAATTTTTTGCATTCAGTTTTTTTAATAACATTTGTTTTCTCACAGTATGGATCTAGTTCATAATGATTCAGATTCTTTTGCTGAAACACAATTAGCATTGCAGGGAGCCTTCTGTACTACTGACATGACACTTCATTTGGCGTTCTAATTTTGTATCACTACAGTGATGATGTAAAAATGACATGGCCATTGGAATTTGCCTAGAATCCCGGCCCTAGGTCCAAAAGTATATTTTGCAAGATGATTTCAATGCTAATTTCAAAAAACACGTTGATGAAGAGAAGGAAATGTATGAAGAAGGAAGTGGGTTAGCTCAGGAAATGAATAACTGCCTCTATAAGAGTTTATTCTGTGACTGTTTGGTTTTTCACTCTGTGGGAGCCTTGAGAAACGATACCCAGAGAAGCCCATTTGAGGTCTTTCAAACACCCTCAACTAAATTTTAGTAGAAGAGAATCTGTACCACTAGTGACAACAAAGTATGAACACAAATTCTGGCACCAACAAAAGAGGGCATTTTATTCTTAAAATAAATACGTTATTAAATTTGATTTAACCAGTTGTATTTCTTCTTAAACATAAACTTGAAGATATGAAATTCTTCCTGAAATTGTATCTATTCCTATAGATCCTTTAAGATTTTTCTTTAAAATGGGGCTTGTTTCTTAACAAAAAGCTTTTAGAGAACCCTGTAACTTTTTGTTCTTCTATACTTTGGGCTGGGGTAATTAGGATGGATTTCAACTAAAGACTCTTAATTTTTAAAACATGGGCAGAAATAATACAGCTTGTGTGGCTATAGACAATTTTTATCAAAATACCATGTACTTGCTTTAGATATATTATTTGTATATCTGAGGGAAAGAATAGTGGAGGTCTCACTATCATTGTTTTTAACATTATCAAACTTAAGAGAATTTTAGAAAGTTGGACAACTATAGTTTTTTTTTGAAGATGAGGAGAGTGCTTAGCTATGTGCATGAATTTTTGGTAAAACAGGACAACTCATTTAGTTGTGGCTGAAACTCCACTGGAAATTTTTTTGGTTTGTTTCTTGTTTATTCAGCCTGGCTAATCTGAGCTTTCTCAGAGATTGTTTAGTGCTGAACTCAGCAACAAAAATCAGTTCTAGGAATTTGCCACTGCTCTGACTGTGCAGAGGAGAGCTCTGATTATGTTTTGGAAATAACTTCAGAGGTTTTGCTGTAATCTGAGCTTGCTGACAGTCACTGTGGCCTGAACTCCTTTCTAGTGATTGCACCCTTTAAATAGGAAATGCCTTCCAGCTACTTGGGCAGTGCGATACTTGTTTAGTTGTAGGCCCAGGAGCCTCATGCAAAGAAAAATTCTTATCAGAGGTTCCCATTTCAGTTTTCTTTCTGGGCTGTTCTGTTGCACATTTTGTTGTTGTTGGGCTGACATGTATTACAGCATTTCTTTATAAGCCCCCATGGCTCCTCTTTTCAGTAGATTAATTATGTTATTACTCAAAGGGAAATGTTGAACAAAGCAATGGCGACTCCATTTTATTAATCTTAAAAAAAAAAAACTGGAAATAGGCCAGGCACGGTGGCTCACGCCTGTAATCCCAGCACTTTGGGAGGCCGAGGCGGGAGGATCACCTGAGGTCAGGAGTTTGAGACCAGCCTGGCCAACATGGTGAAACCCTGTCTCTACTAGGAAAAAAAAAAAAAAAAAAAAAAACTAGCTGGGCATGGTGGCGGGTGCCTGTAATCCCAACTACTTGGGAGGCTAAGGCAGGAGAATCGCTTGAACCCGGGAGGCGGAGGTTGCAGTGAACGAAGATTGCGCCATTGCACTCCAGCCTGGGCAATGGAGACAGACTCCATCTCAAAAAAAAAAAAAAAAAAAAAAAAAGGAAATAATGCTGAAAACGAAATTTTAGGTAATTTGCAGATAATTTTAAAGATGGAAATGTAATTTTTCCACATAAGCCTTCTTCATAAATGTTTTTTATTGTGTAGAGTTTCTGATTTACTAATTTTCTTATTGTGAGCACTATATTTATCATCTTTGTAAATGATGATTTCTTTTCTGATAGGCTGTGGAACCTAACATTTACATCTGATTATCTGCCTTCCCTATTGACTCAGACTGTGTATTTTTTGTCTTGATTTTTATATTGTAAATATGTATATTGCAGGAAAAGATTGTATAGCCAAACTTTGAAGTGTCCAATTACTAAAAGTTGAGGTTTTAGTGGGAGAAATATTGTAAAAGATTCTGGTATTCCTGTTTGCAAATATAGCTTTGGTGAACAGTTTTCTCATGTGAAGGAAAAATTGCAGACCACAAATTTGTGGCTTCTGTTTCCTTATTTCTCAATAACAAGCTTTTACATCTGCCCCTCCCTTAAAATGACATGAAATTAAATAAAACTACCATTTATGAAATGTCTACTCTTCCAGTGCCTGTGCGAGACATTTTCACAGACATGATGTCATTTGATCTTTGCAGTAACCTTAGGCGAGGAATGTTAATGCCCCAACTTTTTACAGAGACGCTGAGGTTTGAAGAAGTGAAGGAACTGGTTGAAGGTGGACACACGGGTCTGGGGAACCCACGCGCTATTGCCTGCTGCAACAGTCAGATGTCATCATTCACATTCTCTCAGAAAAATCTGCAGAAACAGGACAGCTTCTTTCCAACGGAAGCCCTTGATATAGGCATCTAACAAATTCAGCATATCTGCTAATCAATTCATAATTTATTTAAAATGACCCTAAGCGCTTCCAGAGAAATTTTCACCAAACTTTTAGTTCCCAGTAACCCTAAAGAAATATTTAATGAAGCAGGTTTTACTCCCAAGTTTCCAAAATTTCCTACTCTGTACACATTAGAGTATGAGTAAGTATAAGAGAAGGAAAGCTTAGATCAGCACCTATTCATTTTGCTTTGAGTTTACATTGCTAAGTTCAGCAGTTCTCTCAGAGAGTCTGAGAGCTCCTCACTTCTGTGTAACCATGAAAATAAATGCATCCCTTGGAAGGGTCAGGGGATGTGGTCTTACCTGAGTCTGGGAGCTCGATGTGTACATGGAGGTAAGTAACTTCACAATTCCCAGGCAGTGCTGCTGTGTCTGTCGCCAGTGGCCAGCGGCTTGGGTTTCCCAGCAGGCTCAGCCCTGTGGGCAACTGGGAGCCACAGGGAGGCCAGGTTCCTCGCGGTGCCCGGAAAAGAACACTGAGGAAATCCAAAGGTATACATTAGACAGCCTGACAGGAAGCAGGAAGGAAAGTGGAAGGAATAGACAAGGAGTGAAGAGGCTGAGCCTCAAAGGAAAAATGGTTACCTTTTCTAAATGACCCATAGTTCTGACAGAAATTAGTAGAATGCTTCGAGAAGTGGTGAGGGGTATGGGCTTTGGAATCACACTGTCTGGATTCAAGCCTGATTCTGCTGAGTGACCTGCGACAGGTTACCTAAACACCCAGATTCCCTAGCTGTGCAGTGGAGGAAGTGGTAGTATCTACTGCCTAGAGTTAGAAGGATTAAATAAAATCATATATGCAAATGACTTAGTTCCTGAAAAACTCTACTACTGAGCAGTTGCTCAGTTAATGTTGGGTATAACCATGAACAGGGAAGTCTGCATTAAAACCAGATATGTGTGTTATACAAAGGAGTGTGTCAACACGTTTTTCAGTTTCACCACCAATATTGAAGAGCAGAATTTCCTAAAATACTTTAAAAATGAGTGGAGGACAATGATGTTGCCTTCCAGTCATTTAGGTTTCTTCATATGTGGTAGTAGAGTTTTTCTTTTTCTTCTTCTTTTTTTTTTTTTTTTTTTGAGATGGAGTCTTATTCTGTTGCTAGGCTGGACTGCAGTGATGCGATCTCAGCTCACTGCAACTTCCGCCTCCCAGGTTCAAGCAATTCTCCTGCCTCAGCCTCCCGAGTAGCCAGGACTACAGGTGTGCACCATCACGCCTGGCTAAGTTTTGTATTTTTAGTAGAGACAGGGTTTCACCATGTTAGTCAGGCTGGTCTCGAACTCCTGACCTCAAGTTATCCACCCGCCTTGGCCTCCCAAAGTGCTGGGATTACAGGCGTGAGCCACTGTGCCCGGCCGAGTTTTTCAATATAAATGTACTTTATTTGAGTTACAGAGAAGAGATATATAACTGGAAAAGACCTGGTTATTACTGTTACAGTAATTCAAAGATGAAGTAGGGAGATTGTCTCTGCCACTGTTTCAGTTTTATCCTGTTGCTTTCAAGTGGTTTGATGGGCTTGATAGACCGTGGGTCTGATGTTTGATACATGATGATTTGAAATCAGAAAGGTGTTTGGTGTTACTATCCTGCTCTTACATGACTTCAAAATTCAGACAATACTATTATTCAAATGAATAGACTTTGCACCTTCATAGGTTCCCCTATAAAGTCTAAACTTCAAGAATTTAGTCTCACAGCTTCAATGACAAAAAGAGAATTGAAGACACTTTAAAGTATCATACAATCATATTAACTTTGAACAAGGTGAACAAAAAAGAACTAAATTGCATATTTTGTTATTACCCATTTCAGAAGGTGAATTCCTGAGGCCACAAGAAAATGCTTCATGCCAACAGTGAGTATGAGATGTGGATGTGATGCCTGTTTGGACACAGGTTGGCTTGAAGAGTCACACAAAGCTGGTCATTGACTGAAACTAGAAATGGCTTTGGAGAGATTCATGGCCCTGAAAGCTCTCAGAGAGGGCATGCCACCCTGACAGCAGGGTTCAGGGAAAGCTGGCATGCAGTCCTCTGTCATCCTGAGCCTGTGACATTGACCAGGTCCCTTGGTCCACATGATATGCCCAAAATTAGGATCAGGTGATACCAGCTCCTCCTTGTGTGAAGCAAGTTATCATTGCTGCATCAGTTTCTTAGAGGTCTTCGACCAGGACCTGATTTTTGAGCTTCGGGTCACAGCTTAACCCTCTGTGGTGGTTGTGTCAACTTTCCAGGGTGTGGTACGCCTCATCTGCATCAGAACGCGTGACAAACCCCTGTGCTTAATCTCAGATCTGGGGCTCAGGTGGTTGGTCTCAGGATGAAAGAGCACTTGAGGGCACAGCTGAGTATGTGAGTGTGGTCTGGTGTGGTGGAGGTGTTCACTGGATCTTTAGACCTGCTCTGGGCAATGCTGGGAGTCTTGCTCTTCTATGAGCCATTGCATTTCACAGACTGTTTATGTTTTAGCCACCATATATAGATACTGTATGACGTTTGTGAATGCCTTTCTTCTGTTTTTGAAAATGGGAAATCATGCCTTATCAGCTCTCTCTCTCCCCATTTCTCATTTTTAGTTAGCAATAGTGTCTTGTATACTGCTATGTGAATTCATTAATTATTACCACTACCACTACTATTTATTAATGTATTTATTTTCCTCTGGTGTTGAAACTGAAACTGCTACTGCTAGTTCTAACTACTAAGCAATTATTCCTTGCTAGGAAATCTCAGCAGGAAAACTATAACTGCTCATATGAGAATTGTTCTTCCATATTGTCTTTAAACAGTCCTTAGATGTCCAGTCCAGTGCCTTACACCCATCCCCTTTTTAATAGCTGGAGCCTGAGGCCTGGAAGTGACTTGCTATGAGAAACATAAGTCAGTACAAGAGCTGACCAGCAAGTGAGGAATTGGAAGCAAGGGGTCTGAGATGGTTGCCATGGGTATTTCCTTCTAGATTGTATTACTGCGTGAGACCATTTTCCCACTGTGGGCATGTTTTCCTTGAGTCAATTTTCCAGGTACTCTATATTCAGCACTCTCCTCCTTCCTTTTCTTTAATTCCATTTTAGCCACACACAGGGGAATGGAAAGGGCCTGATTAAATCAACTATTTTTTTTTTTTTAACTTTTATCTTCTGAGGCCAGGCATGGTGGCTCATGCCTGTAATCCTAGGACTTTGGGAGGCCGAGGCGGGCGGATCACCTGAGGTCGGGAGTTGGAGACCAGCCTGACCAACATGGAGAAACCCCGTCTCTACTAAAAATACAAAATTAGCCGGGCATGGTGACATATGCCTGTAATCCCAGCTACTCGGGAGGCCAAGGCAGGAGAATCGCTTGAACCCAGGAGGCGGAGGTTGTGGCGAGCCATGATCGCGCTGTTGCACTCCAGCCTGGGCAACAAGAGCGAAACTCCATCTCAAAAAAAAAACAAAAGACAAAACAAACAAAAAAAAACCTTTTATCTTCTGATTTAATGTGGCAAATATGAGAAGAAATTGAAATGCCAACCAAAATGCCATTGTAGAGTTTATAATCCCATGTTTTTTGGCCGTCCCCTGTTACCTCTCCTAGATAAACAGGAGTTGAATGTCTTGTGTCCTGATTTTTATGGTCTCTTAGTTACTACAATAACAAGATCACTCAATCCCGTGGAGTCTGTCCTATTACAGAATATCAATGTTCACTCTGCTTTTTCTTTATTTCATCTATCAGCAGTGAATAGCACTTTCATGTTTAAGATGCTTCCTTTTAAAGTTGGAGAATAAGAATAAATGTATTGGACGGCTTTGTTTAGTAGCAGCATTGTCCTTTAGATCCACTGAGGAATCTTAAGAATGAAATCATCATAAATAGGCAAATAGGTAATGTTTCAGTAAATACTTGTGGCGACTATGTTTCCTTTTTAACCAAGAGCCCAGTAAAATTTGTAATTACTTCAACTGAATGAGAACACAAGGCCATTTCATGTCCTCAATCTTTGTTGATATGCTTTGCTTATTTTAATGGCTTGCATGCATTTTTTATTGTGCTGTTGATAATAGTTTTACATAATTCATAATGATACACAATAAAAGTTTCATTGCGTTCACATTCCTTTGTGGGTCTCCTCTGTTGCATGTTGATTGTGGTTTAATACTAAAACTGTAACAATGTACATCCAGTACTGTTTCATTTTCCTTGTTACTACAAGCTATGTGATAAACTTACTTTATTCTGTATATGTCATTTTCATTTTTTTCAACATAATTTCTTTATTATGAAAGAAGCCAATACTTAAGAAATTATCATGTATTATTTTCTTATTCTTTATTTTATAAAATCTATGAAAATTCTTTCCTTATTTCCACCTCAATAAGGAGTTTTAAATTGTGATTTGAGGGATTGTTGATTGACTGATTGATTGATTGATTGATTGAGACAGAGTCTCACTCTGTTGCCCAGGCTGGAGTGCAGTGGCATGATCTCGGCTCACTGCAACCTCTGCCTCCTGGGTTCAAGCGATTCTCCTGCCTCAGCCTCCTGAGTAGCTCGGACTATGGGTGCGCACCACCACACCCAGCTAATTTTGTATATTTTTGTTTGTTTGTTTTACAGATATGGGGTTTCACCATGTTGGCCAGGCTGGTCTCGAACTTCTGAGCTCAAGAGATCTGCCAGTCTCCGCCTCCCAAAGTGCTGGGATTACCGGTGTGAGCCACCATGCCCGGTCAAGGGATTGTTTATTATTTGATATTTAAAAAATTATGTCATGCAGTTTCCCATACTTTAAAAAAATTTTAAAGCCACTTTATTGAGATATAATTTGCATGCCATATATTTTATCCATTTAACATATACAATTCAGTGGTTTGCAGTGTATTCACAGAGTTGTATAATCATCATTACTGTCTAATTTTTTTATATTTAATTTTTAATTCTGGAAATGAACACAATGTCAAATTTATATTAACCGTTTTTTAAGAGTAAAGTTCAACTGTTAACTATTCACATTATTATACAACTCTAGGACAATCTCTAATCTCTAAAAGAATCTAGAACAATTTCTAGAACTTAAAATACTTTTAAGTTTGAATAAAGATTCAAACCTCTTGCTGTGGAACAAAAGGCCCAGGTGTAGCCTCTGCTATTCTCCCTCTTAGCAGATTGCTCATGAAAAAGAGTCAAACTCTGTAAAATATTTGAAGGTATTTATTCTGAGCCAAATATGAGTGACCAAGTCCTGAGACACAGTCTTAAGTCCTGAGAACATGTGCCCAGGGTGGATGGGTTATAGCTTGATTTTATATATTTTAGGGAGACAGAAGTTACAAACAGACATCAATCAAATACATGTAAGGTGTACATCGATTCTGCCGGGAAAGGCGGTACAACCTGAGGTGGGAGGGGGGCCCAAGTGTGTATCCAGCTGCCTGGAAGGCCGTGCCAGGTTACATGGCCAGCACCCTAGCTCAGGCTCTTTCCACATTCCTTGTCTTCTGTTTAAGCATGCTTTCTACCTCTAGGCCCTTTTTGTTGCATCACTTCTGCTGTGATTTGAATGTTTGTCCCCTACAAAATTCGTGTTGAAACTTAATCCCCAATGTGACAGTCTTGAAAGATGGGATGTTTAACAAGTGATTGGGTCTTGAGGGCTCTGCCCTCATGAATACATTAATCCATTAATAGGTCAATTAATTATCATGGGAGTCATACTGGTGGCTTCAAAAGAAGAGAAAGACCTGAGCCAGCATGCTAAGCCCCCTTACATGTGATGCCCCATGCCACCTCAGTTCTCTGCAGAGAGTTCCCACCAGCAAGAAGGCTTTCTCCAAATGAGGCCCCTTGAAGCTAGACTTCTTAGGTCCATAACTATTTTATTTTATTTATTTTTGAGACGAAGTTTTGCTCTTCTTGCCCAGGCTGCAGTGCAATGGCGTGATCTCGGCTTGCTGCAACCTCTGCCTCCCAGGCTCAGGCAATTCTCCTGCCTCAGCCTCCCAAGTAGCTGGGATTACAGGTGCATGCCACCACGCCCAGCTAAATTTTTGTGTTTTTAGTAGAGACAGGGTTTTACCATATTGGCCAGGCTGGTCTCGAACTCCTGACCTCAAGTGATCCACCTGCCTCAGCCTCCCAAAGTGCTGGGGTTACAGACGTGAGTCACTGCGCCCGGCCAAATTCCATAACTTTAAAAAACAAATTCCTTTTCTTTGTAAATTACCCAGGTTCAGGTATTCTGTTGTGAGCAACAGAAAACAGACTGAGACACCTTTCTGCACACTATTGACAAGATAATCTTTCTAAATTTTCTCATGGAATGATCATTTGCCTTTTCTGGCTCTTGAAAGTGAGATCCAATGCAACCTCTACTCTGAAGCATTTTCTGTGTAGTTAAGCTACAAATGATCTCTTTTTCCTTTAATTTCTTATAACATTTGCTGTTTTTATTTTTTAGTTATCAGGTAACAAATATTTTTGTGTTGTAGTTACTTTGTATTTATATTCATGCCTTAACTCATTGCACTCTTTGAGGATAGGGTCTGTCATTGCTCTTGCCTCAAGATAGCACAGTGCCTAGCATACAATAAGTGCTTAAACATTAAAAAGAAATGCATAGTAGTATTGACTTCTTTTTCTTTCTATGTTTAAGTGTATAAATTTTAACATGTGTATAGATTTGGGTAACCACCACCACAATCAGGATACAGAACACTAAATAACTTCCTGTGCTATCACTCTGGAGTCACACCCTCCCCTTCTCCTCCCCCTTGCCAATCACTGATCTATTCTTCATTACTGTAGTTCTGTTTTTTCCTAGGATGTCATATAAATTGAATCATACAGTATGTAGTCTTTTGAGGCTGGCTCCTTTTACTCAACCATAAGGACTTTGAGATTATCAAAGTTTGTTGCGTGTATCAGTTGTGGCTTCCTTTTTTATTGTTGAGTAATAGTCCATTATATGGATATAACACAGTTCGTTGCTGGACATTTGGGTTGTTTCCAGCTTTTGGCAATTATAAGAGCTATAAATATTTGTGTACAGGTTTAAGCAAGTGCTTTTTGAATGAACAGGTGAATAAATGATCAGTATAATTTCAACCATGTGGTTTTATGGACTGCTATACATAAGCAAAATTTGTGATAAGCCTCATTGGAGGCACATAGAGAAATGGACATATACATAATATTTATATATATTTTATGGATACACAAAGATTATATATAATGAATAGTTCTAAAATAGACATACAAACAATGTTTTTTTCAGATTTCAAAAATGGTGGGGTTACTTCTGGCTAGTTGTGGATGTGGGTAAGGTATCATCAACATTATTTGGATTCTGAAATCAAACAATTACTTCCCAAACTCAGAGGCTTGACACTACAAACCAAAGAAATGCATGAACCTGCCCAAAGATTTGTTTATTTTGTTATTTATATAGAATTAATTGACTATTTTTAAAATGCTTCCAAGAGGTCCAAAATGTCTGTTTATATCATTGGCAGAATTACTCCCCGTGATTCAGAAATACAAAACACTTTAAATATAGTTTTTAAAGATGTTGTCATTGTAGACATTCTCACAAATTTCAAATACAGCAAGAAATTCTCAAAAATTTCAAATAGAGCAAGACACTCTCAGAACATTCAAAGTAGTACAAAGTATTTTGACTTCCCCTTCTAGAAAAATGCATCCACTTTTAGGGAGAACTGAGTTTTGGACGTGGAATTAACTACAGACTAACTAAAAAGCATCAGGCAAGTTTTTTTAACCTCTTGAACCTCTGTTTTCTCATCTCTAAAATTGAGATTACTATTGGCCGCCAAGTAGGACAGTTACAGTTTCAAGAGATCATGTGTAAAATGGTTGTCATGGCTGGGCGCAGTGGCTCACGCCTGTAATCCCAGCAGTTTGGGAAGCCGAGGCTAGCAGATTACCTAAGGTCAGGAGTTCAAGACCAGCCTAGCCAACATGGTGAAATCCCATCTCTATAAAAATATAAAAATTAGCTGGACATGATGGCAGGGGTGCCTGTAATCTCAGCTACTTGGGAGGCTGAGGCAGGAGAATGGCTTGAACCCAGGAGGCAGAGGTTGCAGTGAGCCGAGATCACGTCACTGCACTCCAGCCTGGGGGACAGAGGAGACTCCGTCTCAAAAAAAAAAAAAAAGAAAAAAAATGCTTATCACATAATATTCGTTCAATAAACGCTCAATCCCTTCTTCTCCGAGCTTCAACTTGCTTATCTTTGAAATGCGGGAGTAAGAGTAGATGATTTCTAAAAATTTTTCTAGTTCCGGATTTATTTTATTTTCATTTTTTGTGATTGAGTGAGTTATGAACAGGTGTGTCTTCCAGGCACACAATTCTCTGAATTGGTAAGTAAAATATTGTGTCTCAATCCTCTTTTATACTCCAGTTTGACTTGCATTAGATAATTTAAAATAGAATTTTAATATTTTTTTCTGTTTCAAATTACTTTGGAGGCAATAAATTAGGTAGAGTGATCCAGGCTTTCTAATTAAGGAATATACTTGATGACAATGAAGGAATGATGACACTAAATGTCTAACCTTGAACTCAAAGATTCTCAATGGCTCTATAGAACTTTTTTTTTTTTTCCAGTCTGGTGTCCACCTTTACAATTCTTATGTATGTTCCTAAAGCACAGAGAAAATGAAAAAGTCACAGAACTCTAACCAAGGCATCAGACTGATGGTCAGGAGGAAATTTAGAACTGAGGGTTGAGCAATGAATATTGCTGGGATTAATTTCCACAAAGGGCCTCATTATCTCTCTGAAAGGCTCGTATTTGGTGGTAACAAACGTGCTTATTTTTAAAAGAAGGAAATATTTAGTTGGATTTCAGAAACTATAGGCCAATGGGCTTTACGTTAATCATTGTCAAAATTATAGAATGAATGATAAAACAAATAATCCGCTTATAGAAAAGTAGGACATTTTCCTACATAATTACAACACATTCAAGACACTCAGGGAATTTAACATTGTTATAATGTTACTTCCCTAATTGTCTTAATAATGTCCTTTTAACATTTTTCTTCTTCTTTTGAGAGGGAGTCTCACTCTGTCGCCCAGGCTGGAGTGTAGCGGCGTGATGTCGGCTCATTGCAACCTCCGCCTTCTGGGTTCAAGCAATTCTCCTGTCTCAGCCTCCCAAGTAGCCGGGATTACAGGCATCTGCCACCACGCCTGGCTAATTTTTGTATTTTTAGTAGATATGGTGTTTCACCATTTTGGCCAGGCTGGTCTTGAACTCCTGACCTCAGGTGATCCACCCGCCTCAGCCTCCCAAAGTGCTGGGATTACAGGCGTGAGCCACCATGCCCAGCTGCATTTTTCTTCTTTAGTACAGAATTTCTTTCTTTTGTTTTTACACAAAAAGTAACACATTCAATTCTTGCTTTTTTGTTATTTGAAACAAGGTCTTGATCTGTCACCCAGGCTGGAGGGCAGTGGCACAATCTCGGCTCACTGCAACCTAGACCTCCCAGGCTGAAGCGATTCTCCCAGCCTCTTGAGCAGCTGGTACTATAGATGTGCACCCCACACCTGACTAATTTTTGTATTTTCTGTAGAGACAGGATTTCCGCAGTTGCTCAGGCTGGTCTTGAATTCCTGGGCTCAAGCCATCCTACTGCCTTGGCCTGCCAGAGTGCTGGGATTACAGGCTTGAGACACCATGCCCGGTCTTTGTTTATTTTTTATTGTTATTGTTTAAAATTTTATCTTGGCAATAGCATTTTTTAAAAAAAGTTAAGATCTCTCCCTTCCTCTTAATATAAATAGTATCATATGTTACACTTTTTTGGGGGGATGGGGTGAGATTATTTTGTTTTTGTTATTGCTTAAAAATTTAGTCCTCACTCAGTGGCTCAGGCCTGTAATCCCAGCACTGTGGGAGGTTAAGGTGAGGATCACTTGAGCTCAGGAGTTAGAGACCAGCCTGGACAACATGGCAAAATCCCATCTCTACTGAAAATACAAAAAATTAGCTGGGCATGGTGGCCCATGTCTGTAGTCCCCAGCTACTCAGGTGGCTGAGGTGGGAGGATCACTTGAGCCCAGGAGTTGATGGCTGCAATGAGCCGTTATTGTGCCACTGCACTCCGGCCTGGGTAACAGAATGAGACCCTGTTTAAAAAAAAAAAAAATCTTGGCAGTTATTCTCTGTCTTTATATAAGAGCTTTATCATTTATTTTTAATTGTCAAATGGTATTCCAGTATATGGCTGTACCATAATTTATTTGATTGGGCTACAACTGATGGATATTTACACTATTTTCAATAGTTTAGGTTTACAAACAGTGCAGTGATAAATTACATCATATGTATTTCATTTTATACAAGAGCATGTCTATCTCTAGGATGAATTCCTGAAAAATTGCTAAGCATGCACATATATTTCCATAAATATTGTCACATTACGATGATAGGGTAATTGCCCTACATCAACAGTGTATGAGAATGCCTGTTTACCCAAAGCATTACCAACGCAGGACTTATCAAGCATTTTGTGATTTTAGGGCATTATTGATAGGTCCTCTATCTTCTAAAGATTTTTCTCTCAAGCTCATGGAAATGCCTGACTCCCTTTATTTAGTCTTACCACTCTTAAATCCATTCTTTATAGAGCTGCCCTTAATGATATTACCATCTTGCATAAAATCCTGTAATGGCATCTCTGTAGACTGGGAGAAGGACTCCTCAGTGTAGCTTAGTCAGGTTTTTGCTTGTATCTTTAACCTCATCCCTCACTATCCCCTCAATAATGGCCTCTCCCTCCCCAATTCTGCTCCAACCTTGTTCAACCACTAACAGTTTCCCCCTAATGCCCGATGTTTGTCTCATTGACAGCTTTTGCCAACTTGCTGTTCTTTCTTGGAATGCTTTGACCCTTTTTCATCTTACAGCCTTACCCAATCTGTTTTAAATTAAGTGCTCCTGTTGTGTGCTGCCTAACTTCCCAGGTTTACATTTTTCCCTGGATTTATCAGGGTTGATGTTGGCTGGTCTGCCTTTTCTACTGGACTGTAAATTCTTTAAGCTCTGAAATCTTGTCTTGTGCACCAGAGCATTCACAGAGTCTGGACCACAGAGGGCCTTTAAGAAATGTTACTTAAATAAATATAGTTCTCTATTAAAAACCAAATATTCTTAAGACAGATATCTGTTCATATTGTTTTGTCAGTGTAATTTATTTTGCTATGGTAAAATATATAAAACATTTAAAAAGGGGCATTAATTACATTAACAATGTTGTGCAACCATTACCACTATCTATCTGCAAAACTTTCTCATTACCCAAACAGAAACTCTGTCACCATTAAGCAATAACTTCTGATTCCCCTCTTCTTCCAGCCCCATGGCAACCTCTAGTCTATTTCTGTCTCTATGAATTTTCCTATTCAAGATATTTTATCTAATTAAAATTATATAATATGTGTCCTTTTAACATCTGGCTTATTTCACTTAGCATAATATTTTCAAGGTGCATCCACGTTATAGCATGTATCAAAACTGTATTTCTCTTTATGGATGAATAATATTCTTTTTCTTTTCTTTCTTTTTTTTTTTTTTTTTGAGATGGAGTATCCCTCTGTCACCCAGGCTGGGGTGCAGTGGCACGATCTTGGCTCACTGCAACCTCCTCCGTCTCCCCGGTTCAGGTGATTCTCCTGCCTCAGCCTCCTGAGCAGCTGGGATTACAGGTGCCCACCACCACACCCGGCTAATTTTTTGTATGTTTAGTAGAGATGGAGTTTCACCATGTTGGCCAGGGTGGTCTTGAACTCCTGACCTCAGGCGATCCACCTTCCTCGGCCTCCCAAAGTGCTGGGATTACAGAATGATATTTTACTATATGTGCATTCCACATTTTGTTTCCCTTTTCATCTGTTGGTGGACACATGTTTCCACCTTTTGACAGCATTATTGTGAATAATGCTGCAATGAATGTTGCTGTACAAGTACCTGGTCAAGTCCCTGTTTTAAATTCTGTTCGGTATATACCTACGAGTGGAATTCCTGGGCCATATGGTAATTCTCCGTTTAGCTTTTTTTTTTTTTTTTTGAGATAGAGTCTCGCTCTGTCACCAGGCTGGAGTGCAGTGGCGCGATCTCCGCTCACTGCAAGCCCCGCCTCCCGGGTTCACGCCATTCTCCTGGCTCAGCCTCCAGAGTAGCTGGGACTACAGGGGCCTGCCACCACGCCCGGCTAATTTTTTTGTATTTTTAGTAGAGACGGGGTTTCACCATGTTAGCCAGGATGGTCTTGCTCTCCTGACCTCGTGATCCACCCGCCTCGGCCTCCCCAAGTGCTGGGATTACAGGCGTGAGGCACCGCGCCCGGCCTCTGTTTAGCTTTTTAAAGGAACCACCAAATTGTTCCCCACAGCAGCTGCACCATTTTATATTCCTATCAGCAATGTAGGAGGGTTCCAGTTTCTCCACATTCTTGCCAACGCTTATTTTCCACTTTTAATTATAGACATCCTAGTAGATGTGAAACACTATTACACTATTACACTGTTTTAATTTGCATTTCTCTAATGACTAAAGGTAGTGAATATCTTTTTGGTACTCCTTGGCCATTTCCATATGTCTTTGGAGAAATAGCTATTCAAATGTTTTGCCCATTTAAATTGGGTTGTTTTTGTTGAGTTTTAGGAGTTTTAACATTATTTTGGATATAACCTTATCAGATATATGACTTGCAAATATTTTCTCCCATTCTGTGGGTTTTCTTTTCACTTTCTTGATAATGCCCCTTATGTGCAAAAATTTTATATTGATGAAGTCCAATATACCTGTTTTTTGTTTTGTGGCTTGTGTTTTTGGTGTCATATCTAAGACTCCATTATTAAATCCAAGGTCAAGATTTACTCCCGTGTTTTCTTCTGAAAGTTTTGTGGTTTTAGTCCTTATATCTAGGTTGTTCCATTTTAAGTTAACTTTTGTATATGGTATAATTTGGGGGTCCAACTTCATTCTTTTAGCTGTAGAAATATAGTTGTTACAGGCCATTTGTTGAAAAGCCTGTTCTTTCATTGTTGAGTGGACTTTATATCATTGTCAAAAACTAATTTGCCATACATATATGGGTTTATTTCTGATCTCTCAATACTATTCCATTGATCTGTATTCTACCCTTATGCCAGTACCATACTGTTTTAATCACTGTAGCTTTGTAGTGAGTTTTGAAATTGGAACATGCAAGTCCTTGACTTTGTTCATTTTAATATTATTTTGGCTATTTGGGGTTCATTAAAATTTCATATGAATTTGAGGATTGGCTTTTCCATTTTTCCCAAAAAGGCTGTTGAAATTTTTATAGGAATTACATTAATTTGTAGTTTGCTTAGTTGTATTGATATTTTGATAATTTTAAGCCTTTCTATTCATGAACATGAGGTGTTTTTCCATTTTTCCAAAAGGTAGTTTCTTTTCTTGTGATGGCTTTATTTGGCTTTGATATTGTCGGTAGAAGAGCTAAGGCAGGACTGGCTTGTCTGTCATAATATAAAAGAGTCTTGGAAGATGTCCAGGGTCCAGGGTCTAAAACCCCTGGTGGCCTTTGGAACACCAAGCTCTGTGCCAAAGGGTGGAAGGCTACCCTGCTGCACCACAAAATCTAAGCCCAGGGCATAAAACCCCTCGTAGCCTCTGGAAAGTGCACAGACTTGTTGGTTGCTCTCCCAGGCTAGTAAACATGTTCTCCGTTACCTGAAGCAGCAGAGCATGTTCTGTATGTGTTTATATGCGTCACTGCTATTTTTCTACCCCCACGTCTGCACATCCTCACCACCTGCTTTGTTTAATCACCAATAAACAGTGTGGGCTCCCAGAGCTCGGGGCCTTCGCGCCTCCATACCAGCATTGGCCCCCTGGAACCACCTTATGCACTCTTAACTTGTCTTTTCTCATTCCTTTGACTCTGCCAGATTTTGTAGCCCCCACGGCCTAGTGTTGGGTCTGATCACCTCAACAGATATCAGATAAGGTAATGGTGATCTCATAAGAAGTTAGGTAGTATTCCTCTCTCTTCTGTTTTTTAGAAAAATGTCAGAAGGATTGGTGTTAATTCTTTTTAAAATATTTGGTAAATCATCAAGTTTGGTACTTCACCAGTGATGCAATTTGGTCCTGAAATTTTCTTTATTAGGAGGTTTTCAATTACTAATCTGATCTTTCCTGTTACAGATCTGTTAAGATTTTCTAATTCATCTTGAGTCAGTTTAGGTAATTTGTGTGGAATTTGTTCATTTCTTGCAGGCTATCCAATTACTATATAATTATTCATAATATTATCCCTTTTATTTCTGTTAAGATAGTAGTATTGTTTCCATTTGTTTTTCAGATTTTATTTAATAGTTATTTGTGTCTTCTCTCTTTTTCCTTTGTCAGGTCTAGCTAAAATTTTGTCAATTTTGCTGATCTTTTCAAAAAACCAACTTTTGATTTTGTTGATTCTCTATTACCTTCTAGTTTCTATGTTATTTTTCTCCACTCTAATCTGTATTATTTCCTTCTTTCTAGTAACTTTGGGCTTAGTTTGTTCTTCTGCTTCTAGTTCATAAAGGTATAAAATTAAGTTATTGATTTGAGCTATTTTTTTAAATGTAGTTGGTTATAGCTATAAATATTCCTCTGAGCACTGCCTTTGCTGCATCCCATAAGTTTTTGTATACTGTCTTTCATTTTCATTTGTCTCTCAGTATTTTTAAAATTCCCTTGTGATTTCTTCTTTGATCTTTTGGTTATTTAAGAATGTGTAATTTAATTTCCATATATTTGTGAATTTTTCCCCTTAGATCCATACTGAATATATTTGTGAATTTAAAAATGTTTTTCTTTTATTATTTATTTCTAGCTTTATCTCATCTCATCGTTGTGACTGAAAAAGATACACTGTATAATCTCCATCTTTTAAAATTTATAGAAATTTGTTTTGTGGCATAACATATGCTCTATCCTGGAGTATGTTCCTTGTGCACTTGAGAATAATGTATATTCTGCTGTTGTTGGATGAAGTGTTGTATATAAGTCTGTTATATCTTGTTAGTTTATGTTGTTCAAGTTCTCTTTCTCCTTATTCATTTTCTGTCTAGATGCTCTATCCATTATTGAAAATGTATTGAAGTCTCCAACTATTATTGTTGAACTGCCTATTTCTCCCTTTAATTCTGTCAATATTTCTGTTGTCTGTTGTATATATGCTTATAACTGTTATATCTTCTTGATAAACTCTTTTTCATATAATGCCCTTCTTTGTGTCTTTTAATCAATTTTGATTTAAAGTCTATTTTGTCTAATTTTAGTATTGGTACCCCAGCTTTCTTTTGGTTACTATTTACATAGAATATTTTTTTCCATCCTTTTAATTTCAATCTTTGGATATTCTTGTAACAGGATGTAATTGGATCATGTTTTCTCGTCTGTTCTGCCTATCTCTGCCTTTTGATTGGAAAGTTTAGCCTATTTATATTTAAAATAATTGCTGGTAAGAAAGGACTTACTTTTGTCAGTTTGTCTTCTGTACATCTTATGCCTTTTTTGTCTTTCATTTTTTCCATTACTGCCTTCTTTTGTGATTAATTGATTTTTTTTTTTTTTGCAGATTATTTTTATTCCCTTCTCAGTTCCTTTTGTATATATATTTAAGATTTTTTTGTGGTTATTACAGGAACTACATTTAACATCCTAAAATTAAAAAACCAAAGCAAATAACTAAATTTATAACAATCTAATTAGATTGGATATCAACTTAACTCTAATAGCACACAACACTTGATTCCTATACAGCTCTGTCATCCCTCTCCTTATGCTTCTAGACACATAAAGATGTTATGACAAATTATACCTTGATGTGTCTAGAAGCATAGATTTATTATATTTTAATGCATTTTTCTTTCAAATTCTGTAGGAAATAAGTAGAGTTATAAACAAAAAATACAATAATAATCGCTTTAATATTTGCTCATGTATTTACCTTTACCAGAGGTCTTTATTTTTCTTGTATATGGCTTTGAGTTACTGTTTAGTGTTCTTTTGTTTCAATATGAAGGACTTCTTTAAATATTTTTGTAAGACAGGTCTAGTGGTAGCAAGCTGCCTCATCACTTGTTTATCTAAGAATGTGTTATTTTTATCCATCATTTTTGAAAAATTATTTGTTGGTTATAGAACTCTTAGTTGACAGTTATTTCCTTCATCACTTCACATATGTTATCCCACTGTCTTCTAGCCCAAACAGTTTTTGATAGTTTTTGAAATCAGCTGCTAATTTTGAGTCTCCCTTTTACGTGATGTGCTGCTTCTCTCTTGCTGCTTTTAAGATTATCTCTTTGTCTTTTGACCGTTTGATCATGATGTGTCTTGGTGTGGATCTCAGAGCTCATCTTACTTGGAGTTGGTTAAGCTTATTGGATTTGTAGATTCATGTGTTTCATCAAATTTGGGAAGTTTCAGCCATTATTTGAACAATAATATTGTTCAAATATTATTTTGCCCCTTTCTCTAGCTCCTCCTTTTCAAACTCTTCTGTTGTATATATTAGTCTTCTTGATGGTATCCCACAGGTCCCTTAGACTCTGTTCACTTTTTTTTTTCTTTTACTCAGACTCAGTATTTTCAATTGTCCTATTTTCAAATTTGGCCATTCTTTTTTCTGCCTACTCAAATCTGCTTTTGAACCTCTCTAGTGAATTTTAAAATTTTTTGTTCTTGTACTTTTCAGTCCAAATATTCTGTTTGGTTCCTTTATATAATTTCTACCTATTCATTGATATTCTTATTTTGCCCATATATTATTATCCTGATTTTCTTTTGTTCTGTATCTGTGTTTTCTCTTTGCTCTGTAAGCATACTTAAGACAGTTGTTTTAAAGTTTTTGTCAAGTAAGTCTGAGGTATGGGCTCCCACAGGTACAGTTTCTTTCAGTTTATTTTGTTCCTTTGAATGGGCTACAATTTCCTGTTTCCTGTATGCCTTGTGATTTTTTTTATTGTTGAAGGTTATAGTAGTCTGTTTGTTTAGTATTTTTTCCAAACTATTATTGAAAAGACTATATTTTTTATCATGTGAGGTCATAGAAGTCTTTGTTCCTTAGCTTATATTCAGCTAGTGTTCTGACTGAGATTTCCGTGAGTGCCAGGAACTAAAAACAAAACAAAACAAAGGGAGAGAAAGGGAAAACCACCTCTACTAATCTTTCCAGACTGCCTCTGTATATGTGCATGTGTGCCCTTCCTTCAACAGTTAGCCATCCTCACACTGAGTCTACAGATCAACTCAAGGTGAAAGTGTAGGGTCATCTTAGGTCTTTCTTCTGTATGTGTTTTGTCCTGGGTGTGTACATGGCTTTCTAAATTCCCAGTATACATGACTACTTTTGAATGTCCTGATTTCCTAAAGAAATTTTCCTCAGCCTTTGCCTTGGGCAACTTATTTTATGTTTTGACTATAATCTTTTGTCCCAGGCACCTGAAAGTTGTTAGTTGGGCTTGTAGTATTTGAGAGCATTGCTTTTTTGGCCTGATTTCTGAGGTAGAAAAAGAGATGTTTGCTTTCCATCACTCCTTCAGGTAGTCCCCAGACAGGTTAGAACAGACATACATGATTTGTGGATAATATCTGCTCTGCTCCACTCCCTCTTGAATCAGAGGAAAGCGTCCTACACTAAGAATGCAGGCAGCCCCTGCTTCAAGACCAAATCTGCTATAAAATCACCACAAACTTTCCTAACATTTTGTTGTGCTTTTTTTAATTCAGTTTTTGTTTGCTAGAGTTCTGAAAAAGTTGATTCTGATAGTTTATTCTTGTTTTTTAGAGTTTCTGTGGGAAATGAGAACTGCAGCTGCCAACTTCACCATTTTGCTGATGTCACTAAGTGCAAGTTTGACTTTTCAATTAGACCATCTATGCCTAAAGAGTAAGAGCTGTGGTTAATCTTCATAGTTGTGTTTTTCTCAGCATTTAGTGTACAACTTTATATAAAATTGAATTCAATGTATATTCAACTTGAACAGTGCTGTATTCATCATTTACTGTACATTCTAGTGTTAAGTCATATATACATTCATTCATTCAACAATATTTATTGACCTCTTGTATTCAAGGCATGCCCTAGCTGAGTTATAAGGGTGAATCATAGAGGTAAGATTTCATTCCTAAAGGAGTGAATATCTAAAGAAGGGAAGACAACAATAAATAACATTAACAAAGCAACAGGTTGGTTTGTGTTTCCTTGGAAAGATGGCTCTTTTGGTGCTGACTTCTTAGATAACAGAAGCTTCAGACTAGGCTCTGGGGAAGGATCTGAAAGCAATCCCTCTTCCTGGACTTGGTGGTTTGTGCTTGTAGTCCCAGTGACTCAGGAGGCTGAGGCAGAAGGATCACTTGAGCCCAGTAGTTTTGAGTCCAGTCTTGGCAACATAACAGGACACTGTCTCAAAAAAAAAAAAAAAAAGTAACCCCTCTCCTCTTTCTGACTTCTTCCTGTACCCTTTGGGTTTGGAGAAGAAACTGTGGACATTCAAGGAAGTGCTGAAGAGGGGACAGCTCCTAGTTCTCCAACTCTTTTGTTATTTGTTTGAAAATTCTGAAATCTAACTCTTGGCTCAACTCCCTTGTTTAGCTTTGGCTTTGAGGCGCCTGAAATTTATCCCCCAACTTCCCCTGCAACCTCTACTCTCTAAATTGAGGATTGCTTAATTCCTTATTTAATATTTCAAATGTGGATTGTTGTATCTTGAAAAATATTCTCTGGAGGCATAACATTTAATTAAGTTTCGTCAGGGTAATGGCAAGGAAATTAAATTACATATTGTTTTTGTCAGAGTAGTCAACTAGAGTGCCACTTGCATGTCAAGCCTTTTTCTCAACAAAGGTTTTAAGAATATTTATATGCTTGGAGAAGATTTTTGTTTTTGAGTTGATTGCCTTTCATATTCATATTATTCTACCACAGTCTACAAATAAAGGACAAAACAAAACATCAGAAAGCAAAATTGCCTTGATGAAAAAAAAATATAGTGCTATTTTAATCTTAACCTTAAAGTGTTTACCCCTGTGGGTAATGGTATCATCTGAAGGGAATATAAGTGCCACATGCTTACACTAAGTGAGTAAAAGAGTATCTGTGAAGTTATTCAAAAGGATAGAAGAGATGAAATTTTTTTTTTTTTTTTGGCACACAAACCCCATGAAGGTCAGTTAATAGCAGACAGTTGTGTCATTAAATAATTTTGGATTTAGTACTATTTTTTAGAAAATTCCTGATTTAAATTGAGAAAAAAGAAATAGCCCAGAGCAGTCTGAGCTATGTGAGGTGTGCAACATTTATAAGGCCTGGAGATTCATGAATATGGGACATAGGTCATCCCCCAGCCCCTACCCATGCCCAGGAGCAATTGTTTAAAGGCATTTCGTTCTTTTTTTTTTTTTTCCACGTAGTTTCCTGACTAGCTGACTCACCCATTATCTTCATGTTCCTGGAATTTGTGATACAAAGAAAAATGTATAGCCAATCTAGCTTATGTTATTTTAATGTAAAAACTTGGTAAACAACCTAGGACCTGCCTCTTCATTTTTCCTTTAACAGCCCACTTGTGGCCCGGTGCAATGGCTCATGCCTGTGATCCCAGCACTTCGGGAGGCTGAGGCCAGTGGATCACAAGGTCAAGAGATCGAGACCATTCTGGCCAACACGGTGAAGCCTTGTCTCTACTAAAAATACAAAAATTAGCTGGGCGTGGTGGCTCGTGCCTGTAGTCCCAGCTACTCAGGAGGCTGAGGCAGGAAAATCGCTTGAACCCAGGAGGTGGAGGTTGTAGTAAGCCGAGATCATGCCACTGCACTCCAGCCTTGTGACAGAGTGAGATTCCATCTCAAAAACAAACAAACAAACAAACAAACAAACAAACACCCACTTGTATACTTGTAGCTGCTGCTAATTAGAGCATATATTCTGGGAAACTTGAAACTATTCTCCCCAGTTGCAGTCCTCAAACTTGGTCCAATAAACTCTCTACTTGTATTAATTTTACCTCAGTTTATCCTTTAGGTCAACAAGATGAACAGTTGAATGAAGTCATAGAATAATTGCATACTTTTGTTGTTCATTTTGGCTAAGTTGCCCTTGCTCAAATGCTGAATGAAATGTATGGATAGCATGGCTAGTAGTGTCCTCTATCAGAAAAGCTAATTTATTTATTCATTCAATTCATTCATTTATTCAATCATACAACAAATATTTATGGAGTGCCTAGTGTATGGCAGATATTGGTGGTGAATAAAGCTGACATGTTTTTTCTATGTTTAACTGAGGTCTAGTTTAGGAGATAAACAATAAATAGGTAAAGAATATGAATTATGATATGTGGTATGCAGAAAGGAACCAGGGGCTCTGTTAGGGAATAACAGGATTTCTTCAGTTGAGATTGTCATTTGAGAAAAGGGAATGAAAATGAAACTTGATAAATGAAAATAAAATCCTAGGCCCCCCAAATGACTAAATGGACCCCCTCTTGGCCAACAGGATGCCAGAGTAACCTTGAAAACTGAGTTCTTGGTCATGATGGGATGGGAGATAGGACACGTCTTATTATACCCATCCCCTCACTAACCACCAACAGGCTTTCTTCCCTGAGGGCTAAACAGAAACCAGTTCTTTCAAAACATTTTACCTCTGATGTCACCCAGCTTCCTGAGGCTGCTCCCCCTTTTTGCAGTTTCAGCACAACAACTGACCAGCATTCCTTCCTGATAAGAGACCACCAACCACAGAGTAGTTCTGACCAGTCTACAGAGGATGAGTAGTGTGGATTTTCATGTCCTCTCTTCACCTTTTGACATCAGAGGGCTGAAAACTCCACCCTTGGATCATGCTAACACTGCCATTTTTTGTGCCTGGGTTCCATAGAGAGTCACGAAGCTCTGTGCATGTGCTTGTTTCTCCTTTCATAAATACTCATGACTCCTCCTCTAGCTTATTTTTATTTTTATTTTTGAGACAGAGTCTTGCTCTGACGCCCAGGCTGGAGCGCAGTGGAGCAATCTTGGCTCACTGCAAACTCCGTCTCCTGGGTTCAAGTGATTCTTCTGCCTCAGCCTCCCAAGTAGCTGGGATTATAGGTGCCCACCACCATGCCTGGCTAATTTTTATAATTTTAGTAGAGATGGGGTTTCACCATGTTGGCCAGGCTGGTCATCTCAAACTCCTGACCTCAGGTGATCCACCCGCCTTGGCCTCCCAAAGTGTTGGGATTAGAGGCATGAGCCACTGCATCCGGGCCTCCTCTAGCTTATTGAATATGTATATTTGGCCACCCTGTTCATCATAAATTCTTGTTCCCCTTGCCCTTCCCATGAAGTGTGTTTCTGGCTTCTGGCTGGGGGATACACTTTCCCAGACTGTTAGAAAGGCCACCCTGCAGGCTGCAAGCCTTTATATGTATAAAAAAAGCTCTCTTTTTCAAATTTATGAAACTCATGATTCTTCAGTTGACAGACTGGATGAGAAGGAACTCTCCAGGTAAGGCATATGGGATTTTGAAGCTTCCAGATCCAGGGGAAGGAACATGCCTTGAAGCTAGAAAAACCTTGCTTTGTTTAAGATATAGAAAGTAGGGCTGGAACAGAGTGAAGGAGGGAAAGACTTTCTAGGACAAAGTTAGAGAGGTAAGCTGAAGCCAAATAATCCAGGTCAGTGTCAATCCTTGATGATGGGATAAATACAGAAATTGAAAATAAGCTTGTAAAGCCTTTTAAATGATTTGACATAGTGGTTTGATAGCTCTTCAATCTAATGAAAAAATTGGACTTATATTTTGATGTCTTATTTCTGGTTTCATTTTTTCTAGTAATTCATTTTTATTTTATCTTATAAAAGTATCCATCAGAGAGGAATTGAAAATTGAAAAGAAAAAAAAAAAAAGAAAAACAAGCTGGTTCTTTACCATAGATAGTTTGAGAAGCATTGCTGTGAGATCTTATAAGTTCCAGTAAAGAGTTAGATTTTATTTTTAAGTTCAAAGGGAAGTCATAGAAAGTTTTAAGTTTTAAGATTCACTTGAATTGATTTATCCTTTAAAAAGACCACTATGGGGCTAGTTTGGCTAGCACACATGTCAAAAAGTGGACTCCTTTGGCAGATGAGGATATATTTCCTAGGCATTTTATTGACACATGAAAAGGAAAAGAGTAATAGAAAAAAAAGAATTAACGAGAACTGAAAGATTGCATCTTAGAAATTGTAAGAACTGATACCTCACCTGTTCCTACAGTCCAGTAAAAATTCTGTAAGCCTTTTTCTTTTTGAGCCATTTGGGGCTGGGATGGGGAGAAATGGAAACACATGTTAGATAAACAAATTACTTTTTGAAAGAGCTATGGCATTTGCTGGATGGAGAGTAGATTGAAGGTCTTCAAGGCAGGTATGGGGAGAGCTGTTAGGAAGACCATTACAAGGTCTGCTGTAGCTGGTACTAGGGTTGTGGCTATGAAAAAATGGGTAGTGGATGGATTCTAGATATATTTTGTTCATGGACTCACAGAACTTGTTAATATAGATTGGATATGGTAGAGTGAGGGAGAAGTAGACGTCAAGGAAAATTCTTGGGTGTCTGACTAAATAACTGAGTCTATGGTGATGCACCATTTACTGGTATAGGGAAGAGTTAGAGAGTAACAGATTTGGAGGGGAGGGGGTATGAGGAATAGTGTGGGCAAAGGGCAAAATCAAACAATGTATTTTCTACATCTTGAGTTTAAGGGTGTGAAATACACAAGTAGAGATGTCAAGTAGGCAGTTAGGTATATAACCTATATATACGTTGAGCTGTTAGGTGTGGTCTGGCCTCAAGATAGACATTGGCGGGGGTGATCAGTGTATGGGTGGCATAGATGGTGTTTAATGATATGAGAAGAGAATAGTTATTATGGGGCTTGAGGACTCCCAGTCTTTACAACAGATGTCAAGAAGGGCCAGCAAAGGGAATGTGGGTGGAGTAAACTGACAAAGAGGAGGGAGCAGGAACAGTGTAGAACCACTGAAACCAAGAGAGGAAAATGTTTAAAGAAAGAAAGAGGAATGTGGCCGGGTACAGTGGCTCATACCTGTAATCCCAGCACTTTGGGAGGCTAAGGTGGGTGGATCACCTGAAGTCAGGAGTTCAAGACAAGTCTGGCCAACACGGCAAAACCCCATCTCTACTAAAAATACAAAAATTAGCCAGGCATGGTGGCGCAGGCCTATATTTCCAGCTGCTTGGGAAGCTGAGGCAGGAGAATCACTTACACCTGGGAGACGGAGGTTGCAGTGAACTGAGATCACACTACTGCACTCCAGCCTGGGCGACAGAGTGAGACTCCATCTTAAAAAAAAAAAAAAAAAAAAAAAAAAAGACGGGAATGAAAACTTGTGTGAAAAGTTGCTGAAAGAAATAGTAAGATTAGCCCAGAGGATGGTAACTGTATTTGGCAATATCAAGGTCATTGGTGAGCTCATAATTTTCTAATTATTCTTCTGGTAAAGATGAAACACTTTCCCTGTGAGAATGATCTATGTGGAGATAGTAGTCTTTAGTTTTGTGACAGCCTCTTCCTTAGTGACTGAAGCCCTTCTCCAGCCTAATAGTACAACCATGCCCATAACTATCCCAATATTTAATCCCAATAATCCCAGTGATCTCTTACCTAATCATGGTGAATAAATGCTACTACGCTCAAGGTTCCTACCAGGCTTACTTTCCTTCTGCTTTCCAACACTGTACTTTGTGCACTGACTTTCCTATGCCCCCAAACCAATAGATGCCACACCTTATTATATCCAATTCCTGTATATCTCCATTTGTATGGCATGTTGGACTTTTTGCCTTAACACAAGTCTGCAGGATCTGTAAGCCATTCTTCAGTAATTATTATTCATCTCCAAAATTCTGCCGCATGGGTCTCTTGAACCTCAAAGCCATTCCATACCTGGGAAGGAATGGTTAATATATCACATACTAAAGGATTTTACATACATAGATTGTAAAAGAAGGCATGAAAACAAGAAGTGAATTTTATTTGGACTGTAAATTATATACCGTCCAAAGGACACTTGGACATCATGTAAACAACCTGTCCCTGACCGATAGTTGTGGGAATCCTTCTGTAACATCTCCACAAAATAGTTATCCAGACCCTGCTGCTACCTACCCCTCCAGGGAATGGAAAAATGCTACTTCCTGAGGCACCTCATTACATTTTTAATTAGCTCTAAGAGAAAGAGAATGTGTAGTTTTATTGTACCAAGACTTTCATACACTCCTCCAAGATTTTTTTTGTTACTTTGGAATTAAATCTGCCTTTTCGAGATGACAGCCCTTTAGATATTTGAAGACAATTTTGAAAGTCAGCCTACATCTTCTGTCCTTCATTTCAAAAACTGTGACCAGAAGATAATCTGGGTTACACCTCATCTCTCAAGGCTGGACACGCCGCCTCTCTCAGGTACTTGGATCACCAGTCATTTAACTTTATCCTATGGAAGTAGAGAGTGCTGGGTAGGGGCTGGGAAGAGAAGAAAGGGTTTAACTTAATATTTGAGAAAGCTCTTTCCCACCCTTTGCCTGATAGCTGTTGCTAGCGACAACTGGTATTGGGAATGCTTCATAACGGACTTCTTGAGCAATAGAGAGACAAGTTATTATTTAAAAAATGTTTCAACAAAGCTAGAATAGCAAAACTAGAATTCATATACCTCTGAAAAGCTATCATTAGCACTTATGGTGGTTATAATTATTGAAGAAACCAGGGAAAACATTCCTTGAAGAAATATAGAGTTAATAAAGATGACAAAAGTTCTATCAGGATATCAAAATATATACCTACTTTATGCTCCTATGCTGATTTTAGGAAACAAAAGCTTTATCTTTTGTTCTATGTTCTATTCAGTAATATCTCCAATGATTGTACTAGCTCACAGAGTACGGTGGTTAGTTACTATGTAAAACACTTACATAAGTGGTGGATTTAAGATGGCCACACATTTTTTACCCCGCTACCCAATTACAGGTAGAGTTTAATTCTCCTACCTGGCTTTTGCGACACGCATCACTAGTAGAATGCAGTGGAAGTGACACTCTGGGACTGAAGGCTTTGTTAAAAGAAGACTTCCAGCTTCTACTGAGGTCTCTTGGAACTCAGTTGCCAGACTTTCGGGGAACTTTAGCAGCCCTGTGGGAAGGTGCACTGGAGAGGAGCCAAGGGCTCTGACTGCCAGGCCTGGGTGATCTCCCAGCTGACAGCCAGCATCAATTGGCCGGTCATGGGAGTCAGCGTTCTTGGAAGTGGATCCCCAGCCTCAAAGAAATCAACTTAGTTGGTGCTTTGTGGAGCGGAAATGAATGCTCAGCCAAACCCTTACCAGATCCCTGACCCACAAAACCATAAGCAAAATAAAATTGCTGTTTTAAGCCACTAAGTTTTAGGGCTATTTGTAATGTAGTAACAAGTAAGCAGATGACATGCATTAACTTATTTAATTCTCACAATAACCCTATTAGAAAGACAGTATTATATATGCCATTTCACTGGTGATGAAACTGTTCAAAAGTTGTTAAGAAATTTGCCTAAAATCCTATAAGAAGATGTGAATTGAATGAAGGTCTGCCTGACTCTAGAGCCCCAATTTGAACTTTTGAGCTAAATTGTTAATGTAATTCTACTGTTTGGATGTCAGTTAAATGAGAAAGTAAATTTGTTTTAATTGAGCATATTGAATCTTTAGTTTTTCAGATGCCAAGATGCTTCTTTCACATCTTAGGATCATGGTGGTTTGTAAACAGATAAGAAAGTTTGGAGTTGCCCAGAAAGAAAGCATAGTCATGCTTCACCAATCCAGTGCTCACTTATCCATGTCAGCTCTTTAAGTCATGTCTGAGATCCCTGAGGTAAGCACAAAGAGGTCTGAGTGGAGAGAAATAAACAGAAATCACAACTTGCAAAACTGTTCTATAACTTGCAAAACAGACAAACTGTACCAAACCAGGACATGCAGGAAAAACTATCCAAACTAAGACCCTTTTAACATCAGCTCATCCAGGGCCCTATGTTCAAAATAAGACCACAGATTTGATTTTATAGTAACTGCACAAGGACTTGTGTCTTTTAAAGATAAGACCACTGATTGTTCCAAAAACTTATCAAGTTGACAGATTCTGACTAATCACTGCTCAGACCCTCCCCATCATCTTCTGCCCTAAATCCATGCTATGACAAACCCCAGTTCCCCAAACCCTGTAAGTATCCTCCCCTAATTACCCTAGTTTGAGATGTGCCACAGTTCTCATGGTGTGTGCTCTTCTTGCTGCAGGAAGCAAGTAAACCTAACCTCTTTTTGACCCCAGGTGTGTCTTGGTGATCCTTGGTGGGTAAGCTTTTATTAGCTTTTATTAATTTTTTTTTCCTAACCACTAGACAACCAGGGATGGATAATTTTTTTTTTTTTTTTTTTTGAGACAGAGTCTCGCTCTGTCACCCAGGCTGGAGTGCAGTGGTGCACTGTCTGCTCACTGCAACCTCTGCTTCCTGAGTTCAAGCGTCTCTGGCTCAGCCTCCCGAGTAGCTGGGATTACAGGCGCCTGCCACTATGCCTGGCTAATTTTTGTATTTTTAGTAGAGATAGGGTTTTCACCATGTTTGCCAGGCTGATCTTGAACTTCTGACCGCAGGTGATCTGCCTGCCTCGGCTTCCCAAAGTGCTGGGATTACAGGCATGAGCCATCACGCTCAGCCGGTTAATCCTTTATAGCAGAAAAAAGAAAAGCCTACCTTAGATGACAGAAAATTAAAAATGAGACATTATGCCTTGAAGAATGTGCTCATTTGCTAGGGCTGCCATGGCAAAATATCATAGACTGGGTGGCTTAAACAACAGGAATCTATGTTCTCACAGTTCTGGAGGCTGGAAGTTCACGGTCTGTCGGGGGTTGGCTGCTCCTGAGGGCTCTCTCCTGGGCTTGCAATAGTTGCCCTCTCATGGCGTCCTCATATGGTCCTTCCTCTGTGCTTGTGCATCCCTGGTGTCTTCGTGTGTGTTCCAATTTTTTTTTTTCTTTTAAGACCACCAATCAGGTTGGATTAGGGCTCATGATAATGACCTCATTTTAATGTAATCATCTCCACAAGGCCTTATCTCCAAATACAGTCACATTCTGAGGTACTCGGGGTTAGGGCTTCAACTTGTGAATTTGGGGGTGGGAAGGAGGCACAATTCAGCCAGTACAAGAACACATGGGGCTAATTGGGTGGGCATATGGGCAGGCATATGGGCCTGGGTTTGAGGATACTGAAGGGGTAGACTTACTTCGTGGATCTCTACTTCACATTGGTGAAGCCTTCTGCAGCTGTAGGATTGTGAACAACATATCAGGGTCGTGATAGAGACAGATTCCCTGAGCTGCCTCTATGAATGGATCATCTTGGATGTTTTTCCCACTGTGACACATGTACTAGCCAAGGTTCACCAGTACAACACACCACGGGCGGTTCCTGTCCCCCTCGGGCTAGCTCTAATTGTACCTTTGACTCTTGTTCTTCTCAGGTTCCTTTTCCCTAGGAGAGAGCATGCTTGTTCGTGGATTTAGATACCACTAGATGACTCCCAAATTTATCTTTCCATCCCGGGCCATTCTGTCCTTTTGACTCCAGAGCTGTGTCTCCCACTGCCTCCCAGCCTTTTCCACTTGAACATTCCCAAGGCATTCTAAACCCAATGTGTGCAAAACCCAGCCCAGGGTCTTCCCTCATTCCCACACTCAGACTTGTTAGGAATAACATTCAAAATCCTAAGGAAATTGAACACTCGAACAAAGGAGTCTTAGCAAAGCAATTTTACTTCTGCGCAGAGGGGTGCCTCCTTGGCCAGTCGCCATGAGAGCACACCTGAACAAAGGGGCACGAGAGCCTTTATTCCTGACACAAGTCCTGCCCCTGTACCCTTTCCCCATTGGCTGGGGTTGGGTCGTACAATCTAAATGAATCCCGGTTGGCTAAACATTTGATTTTTTTAGATAAGGTGGGCATGTAAAAGAAAGCAGAGAAGAAAGGGGAAGGGGTGTCTGTAATGAGCTAGAAAGTTAGTCCTCTTTCCGAATAAGGAGAGGAACGTGAGCTGGTATTGGTAATGCCTGGTACTGTGGCGTGCCTGTGTATCTAACAAAGGCAAAAAGAAAAAAAAAGAGAAAAAGGGAAAAAGGCAGGGGGGGGTACTATGAATTAAAGAATAAAAGATTGATCGGGTTATCTGAAGAGAAACCTCATCATATCCTACAGACTTACTCAGCATTTTCTATCTTAGTGACAATACTGTCTGTCCTTTTATCTAGGTCAGAAATCTAGAATAATCCTTAATTTCTCCCTCACCTTAACCCCTCACTTTCAACCCATTATTTATTCTATTGACCACCTCACTGGAACCTGTCCACCCCTCCTTAGCAGCCTGGACCACACTAGGTCATCTCTCCCCTGCCTTCCAACTGATCACTCCACATCCCTGTATCCATTTTTTGGCCATCCAACCAGCTCTGTACGCTTGAATCTCATCCGCATGGATGAATTCTCATTTGTTTTCCAGGGTAATAACAAAACATTTTTAAAAGCCCTGCATGTTTCATCCTTCCTCCTTCCCCTCCAGTCCTTTTCACATGGCTCTCCCTCTGGCTATCCCTGCCCCAGCTACCTGACCTTATTTTATCCCATTCTGCATGCTGTGCTTCCTGCTTCCAAAGGTAATTCCTACGAGTTCACTCTGCTTGGAACACTCCCTTTCTTTGCTTGTGAATGTCCGCTTGTCCTTCAGATCTAAAGATTTAAGGTAAATCATCACTACCCACACATAGTCTCTCTCATACAGATTGTAAATGCACTCTCAATCTACTTTTTTCTTGCGAAGAAAGAAAAAATGATATAGTCGTAAGGGTCGTGGGCTCATTAATACAAACTTCTTGGCTTCAAGCTCCAGCGCTCCCACACTAGTTCTACCAATCTTGTGTAAAATTTTAAAACACTCTGTGCTTCAAAGTTCTCAGTGATAAAATAAGAATAATGATGACAATAACAGTACTGACTTTATCAGATGATCAGTGTATTAGGCCGTTCTTGCACTGCTATAAAATACTCGAGGTGGGGTAATTTATAAAGAAAAAGGTTTAATTAGCTTATGGTTCTGCAGACTGCACAGGAAGCATGGAACAGCATCTGCTTGGATTCTGGGGAGGCCTCAAGGAGCTTTTACTCATGGCAGAAGGTGGAGCCATCTCACATGGCAGAGCAGAAGCAAGAGGGGGCCTGGAAAACATATCGGGAGAATAATCAAGGAAAACTTCCTCAGCCTTGTGACAAATCTAGACAGCCAAATACAAGAAGCACAAAGAACACCTGAGAAATTCATCACAAAAAGACCATCCTTATACCTGTCTCCTTGGGCAAGTATTTTTCTAGGGTTGGGGCCTGAAAACGGAATTATTAGATAGAAAAGTATGTGTAGTCTCTACTTCACTAGGGTTTGTAGTTATAGCAATTTATACTCCTAGTAATATATGAGCTGCCCTTTCCTTACATAACCTCCAAAACTTGACATTATTAGATTTAGTCATCTTGATGGATATAAAATAATATTTATTATTGTTCTAATTTGGATTTTTTTTCTGATTATTATCAAGGTTAAATTATTTAGTTATCCTCTTTTGTTAATTGCCTATTTATCTCTTTTGCTCATTTTTCTACTGGGTTATTTGTTTTCTGCTTATTAAATTTTAGGAGTTCTTTATATACTAGGGAAGAGAATCCTTTGTTCATTATATGTGTATATTACAAATATCTTCTCTCAGTCTGTGACTTATCCTTAATTTTGTTTAGACTATTTCCTTAATACCAAATTAAAAAAAGTACTAATTTTATTTTCCTTTTGTGTTTCTGAAAATGTACATGAATTTGAAAATAATGGCCTTCTTTTTTATCCTGTCATGAATACAGTGTATCTCTCCATTTATGGAGATTTTTTTTGTTTAGGGATTATTTCATGTCCTCCATTATAGTATTTTGATTTTATTAATGTCTTGCATATCTTTTTTGTTGTTGTTAGATTTATTCCTAGGAATCTTATGGTTGCTATTGTAAATTCTTTTAATTGACATTTTCCAGTTGTTTATTGCTGTTGTATCGGAATGTTAATTTTTCATTTATTGATCATATATAGAGCAATCTTGGTGATTTATTGTCATAAAATTGTTTATAGTATTCACATAATTTTTTTTTAACATGGAGTTTATGGCCGGGCGCGGTGGCTCACGCCTGTAATCCTAGCACTTTGGGAGGCCGAGGCAGGCGGATTGCCTGAGCTCAGGAGTTTAGCCTGGGCAGCACAGTGAAACCTCGTCTCTACTAAAATACAAAAAAAAAAAAATTAGCCGGGCGTGGCAGCGTGTGCCTGTAGTCCCAGCTACTCGGGAGGCTGAGGCAGGAGAATTGCTTGAACCCGGGAGGCGGAAGTTGCAGTGAGCTGAGATTGTGCCATTGCACTCTAGCCTGGGCCACAGAGTGAGACTCCATCTCTAAAAAAAAAAAAAAAAAAATGAAAAAAAAAAGCAGTTTATTCTCCTTTTGTATTCTTACCTTCTCTCTCTTTGTTGATCAATATTGTCAGAAATTTGTCTATTTTAGTAGTATTTTCAAAGATTGACTCTTTGAATTCTTTGATCCTCTCTATAATTTGTTTGTTGTTTACTCATTGACTCTGGCTCTTATTTTTACTATTTCCTTCCCAGCTCCGGAGTTTAGACTGTTGTTTTTAATTAAAATTCTGTATTAGTACATTTATTCATTAATATTTTTTCTTCTCTTTGCACGTGAACATTTTAGGTTATGGCTTTTCTTCTAAGCAAAATTGGGTTTAGCTCATTCCTTCACATTTTGGCTTTTCATCATTATTAAGCTCTAAATATTTTAAAATTTTCATGATTTTTTTCTTTTGACCTATTAAGTATAGATTTAAAATAATTCCAAATATATTGTTTATTTATTGGACTATAGTGATAGGCAGACCCTCCCCCACTACCAAAATATGTCCACACTCTAATCCCAGGAACCTGTAAATCTGTTACTTTACATATTATTATTTTTAATTTTTAAAATTATTTTTTAAGGCTAGTCAAGTGAAGCAGTGGGAGTGGAGAAGAAACAAATAAATTTATAACTGGTTGTGATCAATTAGCTGTAAACACCAGTGCACTCAGGCCAATATGTTACTCTACATGGCAAAAGTGAGTTGCAGATATGAAGATGATGGATCTTAAAATAGGGAAATTATCCTGTATTATCTGGGTGGGGAAAACCTACTTAAATATATCCTTAAATGCAGATAATTTTCTCTGGCTGGAAACAGAGAAATGTGGCAGAAGCCAGAGAGATTGGAAGTATGAGAAGGACTCATCACTGCTGCTGGATTGCAGGAGGTGGGGCACATGGAAAGCATGAGAGGGAGTACAGGCAGCTTCTAGGAGCAAAGACTGGCTGGGGCTGACAGCCAGTAAGGAAGCCGGGACTTGGGTCCTATACCTGCAAGGAACTGAATTAGACCAACAGTCTGAGTTTGGAAACATCCCCAGGGCCTCTGGAAAGGAACACAGCCCAGCTGAACACCTTGATTATAACCCTGTGAACCAGATGATTCATGCTGATTCATGAACCAGCTGATTCATGCTGCACCCAGATATCTGACTTACAGAACTATGAAATAATAAATGGGTGTTGTTTTAAGCCACTAAATTAGTGGCAATTTGTTATAGCAGCAATAGAAACCTAATACAATCGTATTTTTGCTTATTGAATTCTACATTTTTCTATAGTAGCCAGAGAGTCTGGTATGCGTGACATTAATTCTTAGTGTTTGCTGAGAATTACCTAGTATATGGTAAATTTTGGTAAACATACTGTACGTGTTTGAAAATGATGTGTGCTTACTAATTGTTCGTTACAGGTTTTTCTCTATATAATTACTATATAAAGATTAATAGTTTTGCTCTGCTCAAACTGTCAATTACTCATAGACCTATGTTGATATTTCCTATTGTGACTGTGAATTTATCATATTCATTTTGTAATTCTCTGAATTTTTGCTTTATATCTTTTTAGGTGATGCTGTTAAGTATGTATAAGCTAAAAATTATTATATCATTGTGGTGAATTCATTTTCATTATTATATAATGACCCTCTTTATCCCTAAAAGGATTTTTTTTAAATCCTAAAGTCTATTCTGTCTGCTATTAATATTAACATGGTTACATTAGCTTTCTTTTGGTTAATATAACATTTGCCATATTTTCCTACAAATTTTCTGTGCTGTTGGGTTTCGTGTGAATCTCTTAAAGAGAGCATATATGTGTATTTTATTTTTCTAAACCTTTTCTTAGAAAAATTCTTTTTTAGAATATTTGTCTCTTAATTGGTGAGTTTATTCTAATCACTTTAGGTTATTGATCTATTTGAAGTTATTTCTACCATCTCATTTTGTGCATTTTATATACTACATGTTCTTTGCATCTTTTTTCTTTTTAAAATTTGATTGGATTGATCAAATTCTTTCTCATTTTTCGACTCTAATAGTTTGGAAGTTATATATTCTATTTCACTTGTTCTTACATTCACTCTTAAATTTATGCATACTTAGTTGCTTTAATGGAATCTAAGTTTGCCTGTATCTTTAACTCCCTTCCAAATAATCTTTGGATTGTTTATCTCTGTTTTCCTCCTTTATTATATGTTATTGTTATTTATTGTCTAGTATTTTAGTTCCTCTGTTTCTATATTCTCAAGTTAATCATTTTTATTTACCTATTTTGAAGATAAAATGGTATTTCAAATGACTGGCCCAGGGATCTTCTTGATTGCTGAGCAGTGAGCAAGCTGAAACCAAGATGCATTAGTCCGTTTTCGCGCTGCTGATAAAGACATACCAGAGACTGGGCAATTTACAAAAGAAAGAGGTTTAATTGGACTGGCAATTTCACATGGCTGGGGAAGCCTCACAATCATGGTGGACAGCAAAGAGGATCCAGTCTCCTCTTACATGGATGGCAGCAGGCAAACAGAATGAGGAAGACGGGATGGCAGCAGGCAAAGAGAGAATGAGGAAGATACAAAAGCGGAAATCCCTGATAAAACCATTAGATCTTGTGAGACTTATTCACTACCACGAGGACAGTATGAGGGAAACTGCCCCCTTGATTCAGTTATCTCGCACCGGGTCCCTCCCAAACCTCGTGGGAATTGTAGGAGATACAATTCAAGATGAGATTTGGGTGGGGACACAGAGCCAAACCATATCACAAGGGCTCTTCTAACCCCAGTGGGGACCCGGTGGGGAGAGGGGAGACTGTGCTTGAGATCACCAGTGCTCACTATGGACACCAAGTGTGGACAATTGGCATTTACCCATAAAGAGCTACCTCTTGTGTTCAGACTATCTGGGGCTAAGCCCAAAGTGTTTTCTCCCGCCTATCAGCACCCTAAAAAGGGAATGCAAGATGGGGGATCCCAGTCCTATAACATAGGGCTTCCCAAACCAAGCCCTCCTCTTTACTCATGCCAAGAGAAGGGAATTCTTTATTCTCTACCTTACTCAACACTCAGTGTGTGTGTGTGTATGTATGTATGTATTTATTTATTTATTTTGAGACAGGGTCTCGTTCTGTTGCCCAGGCTGGAGTGCAGTGGCACAATCTCGGCTCACTGCAACCTCTGCCTCCCAGGCTCAAGCAATTTTCATGCCTCAGCCTCCCGAGTAGCTGGAATTACAGGCGCCAGCCTCCACACCCATCTCATTTTTGTATTTTTAGTAGAGGTGGGGTTTCACCATGCTGGCCAGACTAGTCTTGAACTTCTGACCCAAGTGATCCATCTGCCTCGGCCTCCCAAAGTGCTGGGATTACAGGTATGAGTCACTGGCACCAGGCCTCAGTATTTATTTTATCACATATTATCAATGTGCTTACCAATGTTTCTTACATACAATTTAACTTATGAGATTCAATTTCCTTCTTACTGAAGTTCCTCATTCAGTATTTGTATTAGTCAGTTCTCTCATTGCTATAAAGAAATACCTGAGACTGGGTAATTTACAAAAAAGCAAGTTTTAATTTGGCTCATGGTCCTGCAGGCTGTGCAGGAAGCATAGCTGCGTCTGCTTCTGGGGAGGTGTCAGGAAGCTCACAATCATGCGGAAGGCAAAGGGGGAGCAGGCACATCACACGGCAAAAGCAGGACTGAGACAGAGAGCAGGGAGGTGCCACACAGTTTTAAACCACCAGTCTCATGAGAACTCACTCACTATCATGAGGACAGTACCAAGGGGATGGTATGAACTCATTCATGAGAAATCTGCCACCATGATCCAATCACCTCCTACCAGGCCCCACCTCCAACAATGGGGATTATGATTCAACATGAGCTTTGGTGGGGACACAGATCCAAACCAGATCAGTAGTTATATCTAAAAGTTTTGTGTGACATCTACAAATATCCTTATTTTGTCCTTTTATGTGAGTGATAATTTGTCTGGATATGGGATTTCAGGTTCTAAATCCTTTCCTCTTAGAACTCTGTATATATACTCTTTTGTTTCCTAGCATCTTAGGTTGTAGATGTATGATCATTATTGCCCTGTACATAACTTTTTTTTCTTTATGGAATTTTTCACTTTTCCTCTTCAGCTTTAAATCAATTCTCGATTTTTACTAGCCTTATTTTTAGCAGCAATGTCTGTAAAATAATGGAATTGATATAATAATTGTATGTATTACACCCAGACAAATATGTAATGGTTAAAATGAATACTCATCCATGTACTAAGTAAAATCATCATGCAGGAGCAGTGGAAGCAGATAGTTCAGTCATCTGTGTCTCCAGTTGTCCACTCAGGGATGCTTCTGAACATCTTGGCTTTACTGCTCTTTCTAAAATTTCCTCGTCTTTCTGCAGACTGCATTGTGCTACAGCTCATAGACTTGAAATAATAAGAATCCCTCTTGAGGGGTGCCAGTGTGATAACGAGGTATTGGGACTCCCTTTCATTCACTTTTTATGAATTGTCCTGTGCATTGTGCTACAGCTCATAGACTTGAAATAATAAGGATCCCTCTTGAGGGGTGCCAGTGTGATAACGAGGTATTGGGACTCCCTTTCATTCACTTTTTATGAATTGTCCTGTGCAGCCTCTCTAAGATTATTCCACCAGGCTCTGCAGGTGAATATGTGTATTAGTTTGCTGCCATAACAAATTACCACAGAGTGGGTGGCTTAAACAACAGAAATTTATTTTCTGACAGTTCTGCAAGTTGGAAGTCCAAGATCAAGGTGTCAGCAGAGTTGTTTTACAGTGAAGCTTCTTTCCTTGACCTGCAGGTGGCGGCCTTCTTGCTGTGCCCTGTCGTGCTTGTCCCTCAGTCTGTGTGTTGCCGGCTTCCTAGTCTCCTTTTCTTATTATGAAACAGTTATATTGGATTAGGGCCTTCCCATATGACCTCAGTTTACCTTACTTACCTTTTTAAAGACCCTACCTCCAAATACAGTCATATTCCGAGGTACTGGGGGTTAGGACTTCAACACATGCATTTTTGGGGATACAACTTAGCCCATAACAATAAGAATTTATCTACTGAAGGATAGGAAAAGTTTAAAAGAGGGAATTATAGTGTAGGAGGGGAAAGACTAGATTTCTAACTGGAAGATTCTTTTATTGGGGTTTAAGAGGAAAGCATCTCAGAAGCTGGGCTCTCCACATGAACACTCCCCCAGCTTCCCTTCCTGCTATGGCCTCTTCACCCCTAAGTACCTCCTTGTCTTATGAAGACCAATACAACTCTTGGAAAACCCTACTCAGATCAGGAATTCCCATGCCTGACATGACTCTGCTATACACTTACCCCATACATTTAGTCAAAATTGCACTTACTTTTGGTCTGGTGATGCCAGTTTCCCATGATTCAATTCTTTACAGATTTATTCTCATGTTTATTTTATTTATTTATTTTTATTTCCATGGGATTTGGGGAGGAAAGAGAGTAAAATGTGTGTGCTTGATTAGTGCACTCTTGAACCAATTTGCTATTCTTCAAAACATAAAAGAGATATAAGGATTAACATGAGAGATAAAGGGGTTTCAAAGAGTTAAAATTTTTATATTGGCATGTACAATTTATTAAATCATCACACCAAGTGTTTCTGACCTGAGTTATGTTGTATATTTCATTCATTTTTCATACATTATAAAGTTTCTTGGAATTATCCCTCTGGACAAAAAAAATTGCTTGCTAGAACGTCTGCATAGTTACACTAATGAACTTGAAATGGTTTTCATAGATTTTAATGAAATAAATATTCCAATCAAATATTCCAGCATCTCTGAAATAATACAGGAAAAAGTCGAGCTTTTGAAGGACGGCATCTTAATTTTATTTGTCTAGGTGTCTTATATAGACATCTACAGTATCTGACACACATTGCTTTCTCAACATATGTTATTTAATCAGTAAGCAAGAAAAGAGATGAAAATGTTTATTTTTTACTATCAATTCCAACATTGACCACTAGAGGACACTGGTTGCAATGGGAAAAACAGAATTACTAAACCATCTACAGCATTTATCTGTAGTATTAATTCTAAAATCAGATTTGATCACATTTTATGTGAAATATGATTTTTGATATTTCACCCAAAAAAGGAAGCCTTGTTTCACTATTCTGAATTTTCTTCTAAAACGGAAATGCAGTTTGCAGCCTGAACGGGGCTATAAGAGTCAAAAAGTAATGGAAAAATTTTTTCTCAAGGAATATGAGGAAAAAAAAAATAGTGGAAAAGAAATAGAAACACATAACAATCAAGTGAATAAAAGGAAGAGAAAGAAGTGAACAAGAGGAGAAAATGAAAAGGGGGGGGGGATTTTTGTGAAATTGAAGGGAGCACCTTTCCATGTGGAATTTCCTCATTCATTCTGCCTCTACCACTGCTTCTCAAACTTGAGTGTTGTAGTGGGTTGAATGGTGTCCCCCAAAAAAATATGTCCCCAGAACCTATGAATGTGAGGGTAAGGGTGTCTTTGCAGGTGTAATTAAGTTAAGAATCTTAAGATGAGATCATTCTGGATTACCAAGTGGACCCTACATCCAATGACAAGTGTCTTTGTAAGGGACAGAAGAAGGGAAGACACGGACACACAGATGAGAGAGCCATGTGAAGACGGAGGCAGAGATTGGAGGGATGCAGCCACAGTGAATGCCAACAGACACCAGAAACTGGAAGAGGCAAGGAACCGGGGAGCCTTGGGAGGGAGTGAGGTCGCGCCACGCCAACACCTTGACTTTAGACTTCTGGTCGCCAGAGCTCAATCTGCATTTCTGACAAGTTCCCGGGTGATGCTAGTGCTGCTGATTTGGGAACCACATTTTGAGAATCACTATTGTTGTTACCGGAGAGGGGGTTCTGATCCAGACCCCAAGAGAGGGTTCTTGGATTTTGCACAAGAAATAATTCAGGGTGAGTCCGTAAAGTGAAAGCAAGTTTATTAAGAAAGTAGAGAAAAAAAGAATGCTTACTCCATAGACACAGCAGCCCTGAAGGCTGGTGGTTGCCCACTTTTATGGTTATTTCTTGATGATATGCTAAACAAGGGGTGGATTATTCATGCCTCCCCTTTTTGGACCACACAGGGTAACCTGTTGTTGCCATGGCATTTGTAAACTGTCATGGCGCTGGTGGGAGTGTAGCAGCGAGGACTACCAGAGGTCACTCTTGTCACCATCTTGGTTATGGTGGGTTTTATCCGGCTTCTTTACTGCAACCTGTTTTATTAGCAAGGTCTTTATGACCTGTATCTATGCCAACCACCTGTCTTATCCTGTAACTAAGAATGCCTTAACCTCCTGGGAATGCAGCCCAGTAGATCTCAGCCTCATTTTACCCAGCCCCTATTCAAAATGGAGTTGGACAGGTTCAAACGACTCTGACATTGTGAACCTATGGTTTTCAACACTTTATATTAGAATAACCTGGAATGCTTTTAAAACATCTAGACATTCTGATTTTTAATTGGTCTGTGGTGGTGTCTAGGGATCAGTATTTGAAAAAACTCCTCAGGTTGTTCCAATTTATATCTGGCAAAAACTACAACTTTAGACTTGACATGTACTTAAAAAGTTCTCCAAAGTAGCTTGCAATACGAAAATGGGCATTTCTGTGAGACACCCAAAGAAATGGTATGAAATCATTCACAAAGAGTTATGATTACTAAAAATCATTAAGAATTTTAATGATTATTAAGAATCTTTATTTTTGAGAGGTCAGGAATGAGAACATCCCATTTTTAGATGATTTCCTTTTAAAATTGTAATAGGATCTTGGTGTTATAGTTTATTCTGAGGATGCTGGTCAAAGGATGTGCTACCATTTGTGGTTAGCACATTATATGACAAATGATTTGGTATGATTCTCCTCTGCAATAGGTTCTGAGTAATATCCCTAACATGATGTCATGTGGGATTCTATGGTGTTAGAAATGCACACCTTAGAGAGTGGGACTTAGAGCTTAAACATAAAAGACATAAAAGATGACACTGCCAATGAGGCAGAATCAGCACATAAAGGAGTCGAAGGCACAGGTTTTGCATGACAGGCTAGGACTGGAATGCTAGCACTGTCCATTTCTGAGTATGACCTGTGAAAACTTGCTGACAGTTTAAAAGCAATAGTTTCATGATGTGTAAAATGGATCGTCATGGTTAAATGACATTCCTTAATGTTTTAGTTTTCAATATATTCTATTGATTTTCTACTAGCATAGTTGAGATTTTATCTCTTATATACTCCCACATCACCAGTGCTTTCTCTGACCCCATGCAAACATCTACTACATTATACATTTTTGGTGAAATCAGTATTCACCATTTACGTTCTTTTAATTATGTATGTATTGTTCACAGCATTATCATAAAATGTAATACATTTCTTTTATAACTTTTTGTTTTTGCTGGAGTTAGTAGTTGCTAGGATCCTCCCCCCACCACCAATATATTTGGTTTTCCATGTACCTGTCAACTCTTTCCCAAGTACTCTGACAGAATTGTACATGTCCTTTTTGTATAGCCATACTTGATCTATTAGTCCTCCCCTTTACTCTTCCCCATGGAAACAACTCTGTTCCAGAGCCTTTTATCTTACTAATCCAGTCTGGATTGGCTGATCTCTAGGCTTTTGCATAGCTGCCATTGAGGAACCAATTCTCATCCAAATTCCCCTCACCTCTTCTGTGTTTCATTCCTTCTTTTGAAACTCATGACTTCTTGGTTTACTTCCTTCTTGTGGTGGAATTTACCTTACAATAACTTTTTGGGAAACAATGCTTGGAAGACAATTTTGGGGTAACCTGTATTCTAAAAATGTTTTTATTTTTATTTTACCTTTTGTTTGATAATATAGACGGGACAGAATTGTATGTTAGAAATAAGTTTTCTTCAAAATTTTGATGATACTTTCTATTCCTTTCTCCTTTATTTTTGCTCTTTAAAAGTCTGATGACTTTGGTTGGGTGTGGTGGCTCACACCTGTAATCCCAGCACTTTGGGAGGCCGAGGCGGGTGGATCACCTGAGGTCGGGAGTTTGAGATCAGCCTGACCAACATGGAGAAACCCCTGTCTCTACTAAAAATACAAAATTAGCCGGGAGTGGTAGTACATGCCTGTAATCCCAGATACTCGGGAGACTGGGGCAGGAGAATCGCTTGGACCCAGGAGGTGGAGGTTGCGGTGAGCTGAGATTGTGCCATTGTACTCCAGCCTGGGCAACAAGAGCGGAAACTCCATCTCAAAAAAAAAAAAAAAAAGTCTGATGACTTTTTATTCCTGAATCTTTATACATGGTCTCTTTTTTCTTCTATTTAAACTTTTAGGATTTTCTTTTTATCCCTGGTGTGCTGAAATTTTATGGTGACATGCCTTGGTCATTTTTGGGTACTTGGGTGGGGCTTTTCAAACTATAGATTTATTTTCTTCAGTTCTAGAAATTTTTCTTTTATTATGTCTTTTATATGTTCCTTTCATCTATTTTCCATTTTCTTTTTCTGAAGTTCTTATTATTCAGATCTTAGTAGATCCTCTAATTTTGTCATTTTTTCTACTCCTGTGTATTTAAATTTTATGGGATTTTTTTTTACCTTGCCTTTCAAGTCTTCTTTTGAACTTTTATTTTTAGTTTTAATTATCACAGTTTTTGTTTCCATTTGCTCTCTCTTGTTTTAAGATGCCTTTTTATTTAACAGTGTCTCATTCTGTTTTTATGGATGTCCTACCTTTTCTTGTTTTTTCTGTTCTTAATCATTTCTTAAAAAGTTTTTTTTGGTTACCGTTCTCTGTACTGTCAGTGTTTCCTCTGAATTCCGTAATTCTGTTTTGCTTTTCTGCTTCTGTTTTTAGTTTTAGAGGTGTGCCAATTATTTATCTGCTGTCTCTAAGCTGAGCACTTACTCTTTCTTACTTGCTTCTGTACTGCTAGTTCTGGGAGTCTACAAACTACATTTCCCAGGATCCTTTGCCAAGAGGCTGCCTTTTAGGTTCTGTCAGTAAGTGGCATTTATGAGAGTTCAGAAGTGGGAGGAAAGGGTAAGCTTTCTGATTCTGGCTTCCATAACAGTGGAAATTGTTGAGTTGCCAGAAATTGCTGGTGATTGTTGTGAGGATTGTGGGTTATGGCAACTACCAATTCCAGGTGTCTGTTCCAGCAGCAGTAGCACCTCTTAGGCATTTCCATGTCTCCTATGTCTGGGGAGGCTTTCACTGCCCTAGGCTGCCTCCTCATAAAAAGAATGAAGGAAAATGAAATAGTTATTGATTTGCTGACATCCAAACACATCTTTTTTTTTTCATGGAAACCAACACCAGAAATAGTAAATGGGAAATCAATTAACCTTACCAATTCTCTATTCTTCCTGAACAAGATGGATAAATTATATTAATGTGCTGTATATATATATTTTTAACCTGAGCTATTGGAGAAATAAGAGAACCTGTTAGATTTGAAATAGATTTGTAACATTTACAGGAAATTTGCTTGTTTATAACACAGTACTCTGGCCAGGACGTATGCTTCATCAGGAAAATGTCATAACTGAATTGGAAATAGGAATTTGAAGCCATTTACTTCTCTGTAAATGAAAACACATTCAGTCTTACTCTTTTGGTGATACCAGATAATACCATTTTAAGGCCATAGGTTCTTGCTTTAATTATATTTGTCATCATGTTAATTAATTTCTGCTTCTGTGTATAGTTGCCCAGGTAACACATGTATGTGTCTGTGTATGTATGTGAACTAACACCTTAATTAGTGGAGAACACTGGCCATATGGATCACCAGAGTTTTTCCATATTAATTACCTTTACAAGTCAATGAAGGAACAAAGGTAAAGGCAAAAGAATTGGAACCAGGCCATTTTTTTTTCTAGCATAACACAGTTTTCCCTTACTTGGTTAACAAGGAAAGTTGAAAAACTCTTAAAGAAACTCTAGCCTAAAGCATTGAGTCTTTCAGAAGGGATTTCCAAACTAAACTATGAAGACAAATTTGGACAAGAAGTAAATTTTTTTCTTGGTTATATTCCTCTGAAAAGCATATTATTTAATAAACCGTTGGTCAATTACTCTGGAGTGAGAATTGCATTCTTCTGAATCAAACGATCAACATAAACTTCTATTAGGTTGGTACAAAAGTAATTGCAGTTTTGCCTTTACTTTTAATATGTGTGTGTTCATGGGAATCTTTGCTTGTTTGTTTCTGTGGTTGTGTCAATCTATGTACAGCAAATTTAGTGTGATCCCTGTCTCCTCAATTTGGCGTAGAGAGAAAAATACTAACTTGGGAATCAGAAGAATTGGGATCTAGCTTTGGATAAAAGGGCTAATACTTTAATATGAAAAGCCTCTTAGGAGACTTCACCACAAGAAGGATCATGCATAGTATTGTTTACAACAATGAAATCTGGAAAAAAATCACTAAATTTCTAATAATTGTGAATTGTTTAAATACATTTTGGTACATTTATGTAATGGAATTTATGCAGCCATTTAAAATATTGCTGTAGAATCATATTTACTGGCATAAAATGATGTTTCCATAGATAGATTTACTTCATATAATGACTGTTCATTCAACAATTTTTGGCCATATTGGCTATTTCACAGTTATACAACTTTTCAGACAATGTTTAAAAAAATTTAACTATTTTTCACCCAAGCAATACTAAGTAAATATGCGATATGAAACATTATATCCTAAAACATAGTTTTAGGATAACCATGTTAACCAAACCAGATTGTTTAAACATTATGCTTTTAGGATAACCATGTTAACCAAATGATTTTAGGATAACCATGTTAACCAAACCAATTTTCTCAACACAGTAGTTTCTAGTCAAATAATATAATGTGAAACAAGTAGAATTGGGCACCACATTAGGTGATTCTAAATACTTTGCTTTGTGTAGGTTCACCAATCCAGTGGGGTAAAGACATAGTGTCTCTGTGTGCTCTTTCCATACTTTGCTAAGAATTATAAAACTGATATGGTTTGGCTGTGTCCTCACCCAAATCTCATCTTGAATTTTAGTTCCCATAATCCCCACATGTCGTGGAAGAGACCCAGTGGGAAGTGATTAAATCATGGGGGCGGTTTCCCCATGCTGTTCTTGTGATAGTGAGTAAGTTCTCATGACATCTGATGGTTTTATAAGCGTCTGGCATTTCCCCTGCTTGCACTCATTCTCCCTCCTGCTGCCCTGTGAAGAGGTGCCTTCCACCATGATTGTAAGTTTCCTGAGGCCTCCCCAGCCCTGCTGAACTGTGAGTCAATTAAACCTCTTTCCTTTATAAATTACCCAGTCTTGAGCAGTTCTTTATAGCAGTATGAAAACAGACTAATACAAAGATTTAGCCTTTATTTTACCCTATAGATAGCTTTCAGTGATCTAACTTTATTTCTAAGTCCAATTATTTCTAATTTGAGTGCCAAATATAATCATGAATCCCTGAAAATGTGAAAAATTGGTAAAGAAAATGGTGTATAGAAAATTCATCTTCCAAAAGAATGACTTTCTCACAACTGTCCCCAACCAACATCCACTACGAAGACTATTTGTCCTCATTTTGTGAGTACAATAGATCTTTATTATATTTTAGTCAATATACAAACCATATTCAGATACTTTGGGATACTGTTGTCTGCTGTTTGTATAAACTTGTTTTTATTGCTTAGTTAGCAATGTGAAAATTGTTTGGGTAAGGTAGGTTAAGATAAAAAAGTGTCATAAATTTTTTCGTTAAAAATTAAAGAAAAAATTTAAATTTACTTTTTTTATATTTAGAAAGGCTTTTCAGAATTGAGTAATGCTGTCAAGCATGAGAGAAGTGAATTATTAAATTCAATAAAGCAGATTGCAACCTACAGGTAGCAAAAGATAGACATAGTAGAAATATATAGATGGATATATAGATAATAAATTGAAAAGATATATACCAAAATTGTTCCCAGTGATTGTGTTGTTAGATGATGGGGGTAATCTAATTTTTAAATTAAATCTGATGACTTTCCTCCCTCCCTCCCTTCCTTCCTTCCTCTTTCTTTCCTTCCTCCTCCTTTCTATCTCTCTCTTTTATTTGCTTAAGTGGCAAGATAATATTTTGAGATATAAACTAAAATTCCCTCCCTATAGGTTTTGTATCTCTTCGTCAGTCTGATATAGTATGAAATTTATCTTTATACCGTAGAGATGGGCTGACACAGAGCAGATTGCAGGTAAAAGAAAAGTAATTTTTAACTTTTGTATTTTTGAAGTTAAGACCAGGCAAACACAAAGTTTGGAAAACCACATGAACAGTTAGAGCCAGTTCTCCCACATAAATACTGGATAATGTCTGCCTGGACTTGGGAGGAGCAGAAGAGAATCAGAGGGAAGGTAAGGTTATGGGTCTTCGATGGGCCAAGTTCTGGGATTTGGAGGGAGGAGGAGAGTGATAGAATCCTCTAGTACATTTCGGGATTTGAGAGCAGGGAAGAACTCCTTGCAGAGGAATTAAAACTCACAAGTAAACAGAAACGTCTCAAAATAATGTTAGGAGGATTTTGCCAAGTGTTGATTTAGGGCTTTTTGCATTTGGATGATTACAGAGGCAGAGAAAAAGTGGGAGGTAGAGGGAGAGGGTGAGAATTAGCACTTCCAAGACTCTTACTACAGTCCAGATATTTCTATCTCAACAATAGTTCAGTAAGGCTTTGGGTCAATATGGATCATTTGGTTATAATTATGTACGGAGTATTATTTTCTCCAAATCACCATAATGACAACCAATATTACATACACAGAGATAACTTTCCTGGAATTTGCCTGATGTCAAAATGTATTTATAGTTGCTCTCAAGCCACTTTACAAATAAACAAAAGAAACCATTTTGAAAGCTTAAAAGTTCACAAAGCTTCATTTCCATTAAAATCTAATCTGAACAAAATATACCAATCTAGTTCCACATAATGTTGAAATGTGACTTCATTTCTAACCTGCCATATAGTCTAATTTAAGAAATAGCATTACACAAATAAAGTATCTCTTTATGGCTTCTAGTAATGAATTCCATCTTCCTGTTTACATCTATCAAAAAGTTATAGCTCGGCTTTGCGTGGTGGCTCACGCCTGTAATCCCAGCACTTTGGGAGGCCGAGGCGGGTGGATCATGAGGTCAGGAGATCGAGACCATCCTGGCTAACACTGTGAAACCCTGTCTCTACTAAAAATACAAAAAACTAGCCGGGTGTGTTGGTGGGCGCCTGTAGTCCCAGCTACTCGGGAGGCTGAGGCAGGAGAATGGTGTGAACCTGGGAGGTGGAGCTTGCAGTGAGCCGAGATCGCGCCGCTGCACTCCAGCCTGGGTGACAGAGGGAGACTCCGTCTCAAAAAAAAAAAAAAAAAAAAAATTACAGCTCAAGAGTAAAAATATTTGCAAATATGGTTTGACCTTATTTCTGCTATTGTTTTACTTCCACTTCTCTCAGAGTTTATTCTGCTAATTCTGCCCTTTACTCTGCACCTGACTCTGCCCTTGCCACTCCACTGAAGGTCCTCTTTTCCAGGTTGCCAGCATCCCCTGCACTGCTGAACCAATGCATCCCTTCTCTGCCTTGACCTAACTTAGTCTCCCATAAACAGCCAACAGTATTGTTCATGCTCTCCCTCTTGATATTTCCACACCCCCATTTATGTTTGTCCACCATCATTTTTGGATTTTTCCCCTTCCACTTTTAAACTTCCCCAAAAGCTCTTCTTTTTCCTCTCCATTCCTTAAACATTGGTGATTTTTTGATGTATGTCCTCAGTCTTTTTTTTTTTCTTTTTATTCATCCTCATTCTCTTCCTGAGAAATATCTTGTTGTTTCAAGGCTTTAATTATCAGCTATATGCTTATTGTTAAATCTACATCTCTGATCTAGCTGCTTCTTCTGAGCCCCAGACTTATGTATCCAACTGCTTACTGGGCATCTCTGCCTGGATGTCCCATAGTCCCTCAAACCCTATATGCCCAGATTGGAACTCATCCTCCCCACAAGCCTGTTTCTCCTGTGCACACCTATCAGTGCCTGGTATTCCAGGTCGCATCTTAACCAAGCTAGAACCCTGGAGGTCCCATTTGACTCCTCTCTCTCTGTGAACCCCCATCCGTATTAGTCTATTTGGCTGCTATGACAAAATATCATGGGCTAGGTGACTTAAACAACAGAAATTTATTTTCTCATAGTTCTGGAAGCTGGAAAGTCTAAGATGAATGTGCTGGTAAATTTAGTTTTTGCTGAGGGCTTTTTTCCTGGTTTACAGATGGCCACCTTTTTAATGTGTCCTTACATGGCGGGCAGAGAGAAAGAGAGAGAGCAAGTTCTCTGGTTTCTCTTCTTATAAGGAAGGACACATCCTATTGGATCAGGGCCCCATACCTATGGCCTCATTTAACCTTAATTGCTTCTTTAGAGGCCCTAGCTCCAAATATAGCCACATAAAAGTTAGGGTTTCAAAATATAAATTTTGTCGGGAGTTGAGAGGGACACAAAGTTTCAGTTCTTAAAACCATCCATCAGTCACCAAGGTCTTTAATTCTTTGTAATAAATAGTGTGTGAAATGCCCACTTCTCTCAACCCCGTGGTCATTAGTTAAGTTCTGACACCATCATCTTTCTTTCACCTGATTTACCACAGCAAGAATCCTTACTGTTTCCCTGCTTCCAGTCTAGCCCTCTCCCATCTAGTCCCTACACTGCAGCTAGGGTACCCTGTCTCAAATGCAAATCTGATCACATTACCCTTCTCTTAAATCTTTTCAACGACTCTCACAATAAAGCCCAGTCCTGTTCATGTGGCTTATGAAGACCTCTGTGACCTGGGCTTTGCTTGTCACCCCAGTCTTACCTGTGACAGCTCCCCACTGTCTTAGTCTGTTTTGTGTTGCTGTAAATGAATACCTGAAGCTGGGCTGTTGATAAAGAAAAAAGGATCATTTGGCTTATGGTTCCAATGACTGGAAAGTTCAAGATTGGGCGTCTGCAATGGGTGAGGGCCACAGGCTGCTTCCACTTATGGTGTAAGGGGAAGGGGAGTCGGTGTGTGCGGATATCACATGCTGAGAGAGGGGACAAGCAAGAGAAGTGGGAGGCGCCAGCTCTTTTTAACAACCAATGTTTGAGGGAATTAATAGAATGAGAACTCACTCACCCTCACCCCCCGTGGGGGGCATTAATGTATTCATGCAGGATCCATCTCCATGACCCAAACATCTTCCATTAGGCCCCACCTCCCAATATGGCCACACTGGGGATTAAATTTCAACATAAGGCTTAGAGGGGACAAACAAACATCCAAACTATAGCACCCACCTTGTGCTCAGTGCTCCAGGCTTAAGAAGCATCCACTTTCCCCAAGGAACTATATTTTTTCTCTTGCACGTCTTTAAGAACTTACTGTTTTTTTCCTGCAATTGTGTTCTGCTCCTTCTCCCTCCCTCCTTTCCTTTCTTTTTCCCTGTCTCCTCCCCAGCATCTGAAGAGCCTGGCTAATGTTTCCTCATCTCTCAGGTCCCAGCGTTGTCAACACCACTTTCTCCCAGAAGCTTTTCCTACCCTCTAAGGTTGAGCGGGTGTCCTTCCTCCAGAGGCTCCTTTGCTTACTCATTTCTTCTTACTGTGTCCCAGAGTCTAGCACAGAGCTTGGCACAAAGCCAGCTTTCACTAATTAGAAATGGATGAATACATCTCACCCACCGTTTAGGCCAGTTAATCAGGCAATAAACCCGTTCTATTCTGGTAACAGTGTCCTCCACCTCTGAAGGAAAAAGTAAACCACATCTACATTATGTCAGTGTGCTATTTTAGGGGAGTCAGCAGGTGATGTCATAGGACAGAGCTCTGCAGGGTGGGTGGGAATGGTCTTGGATGCAGGGAGATCAGCTCAGCCACTGTGTAGGAGGGACGTCTTCATGTCTTCTCATTTGCTGCCAGGCCGTCATGACAGCTTTCTGTCTCTATGTGAATGAATGACTGCAAACCTGAGAGGTATTTAAAACATCCAACAACTGCTATGGCTGCATAGATAAATAAGTGAATAAGAAAATGACAGTGCTCGCTTTGGTGGCACACATACCAAAACTGGAATGATACAGAGAACATTAGCACAGTCCCTGTACAAGGATGACACACAAGTTTGTGAAGTGTTAAAAAAAAAAAAAGAAAATCAGAAATGGGTTTCTTATTCTCTAACTAAACTAAACTGTATGTCACAAAACAAGTGATATAACTAATTCTGGTGCATATCACTCACCAAATTATTCTAATAATTTCCAACTTGTTTATTGATTTTAGAAAAAACTGTTTTTGTGGATTTCACTGACTAAATAGTGCTCCTTTCTGAGCCGTGATTGAACACAAGAACTACATCAAGGTCTTCCAAGGATTTTACTATTAGGAACGGTGTGCATGTAGATGCTAGCACCTCCTCCACAGCGGGACTTGGAGAGCCTGTGTCCCAGCCTCACCAATAATGCCAGTGCTAAGTTGCTGCCCACCATTTACTCTGTTATTCCAACCCAGACCCACGTAGCGCAGTGGGGCCTCCGCTGCCGCCTCTGCCACCATGTTGGTTAGCTGAGTGGCCACCAGGGGCCACCCTCCCTAGGCCACCAATGCTTCCAGACCCTTTCACTGCCTTTCTGGCCTCAGCAGGTGACAAAGCCTGGAAGTGGAAATGGCTCGGATGAGGTATCCTTATTAGCCAGGGGAACTACCAGCAGCCCGAGGCAATGGATTTTGGTGGGGGAGGAGGGTTTGAGCTTCACAGCATTTCCCTGCTCAGAAATGTTCTTTCTTTCTAGTAGGAAATACTTATGTAAGGGTCCCTTGGCCTGGCATGGGGGTGCCTTGGTGCTATGTTCCAGTCTGCATTCCTGCCCCATGTCCCTTTACTTTCTATGTGTGCCTTGTGTTGCAGACAAACTGCAACATTCCCGTACACACACACACACACACACGCTCCTGCCTCTTTCCTTGTGTTTGTGTAACCACTCAGTGTGTTCTTCTTGCCCACTGCTAAGATAGAGCCAATTTATCAAGACAGGGGGATTGCAATAAAGAAAGGGTTTAATACGTGCAGAACCCGCTAAACGGCAGATTGGTGTTTGATTATTACTAAAATCAGCCTCCCTGAAAATTTGGAGGCTAGGATTTTTCAACCATAGTTTGGTGGGCAGGGGCTAGGGTATGGGTGCTGCTGATTGGTTGGGAATGCAATCATAGGGGTGTGGAAAACCGTCCTCCAGCACTGAGTCTGCTTCTGGGTGGGGGCCACAGAGGAGTCGCTGGTCCCCGTATGACCATCCCATCATCAGAAATGCAAACGTCTGAAAAGACATCTCAAAAGGCCAATCTCAGATTCTACAATAGTGATGCTATTTACAGGAGTACTTGGGGAAGTTGCAAATCTTATGTCTTCCAGAATAATGGCTGGTAGTCATTTAACTATGAATTGAGGCCCCTCTCATCCTCCTAACCTGGTGACCTTTAGTTAGTTTTATAGAGGTGGTAGTTTTGGGGACGGGCTATTATCAATTAAGCTATAAACTAAATTTCTCCCTAAATTATCTTGGCCCACACTCAGGCATGACGATGGGTAGTTAGGACATTAAAGGCAAGATAGAGTTGGTTAGACCAGATCTCTCTCACTGTCGTCATTCCCGCTGTTACGATTTTTGTAAAGGTGGTTTTCCTTGGACTGTTGCCTCTTTCTCAGTTGTTCTCCCTCCTCCTATCCTCAATTCTACCTGTTAATATTTATTCTCTCCTTCAGAGCTTGGCTGACATGCTGCCACCTCCTATGAAGGGATTCTTGATCCCTCCAACCAGATTATAATCTTTCTCTCACATTTATTCCTTCTCTTATGACATTGACCCTACTAGACCTTATATTTTTACATTAGTATTTGCATAGTTAATTTTTAAAATATTCCATATTTTCCTAAACTGATGATCCCAGAGAGATATTTGCTCTGCTTTTCCTTTTCATTCCCTGAAGATCTTAGTCTAGAGCCTTTCACATAACAGGCATATAATCCTTTTTGGGTAGGATTTGGAATTCCTACTTTTTTCTTTTTTTAGTTATTGTCTCTTATAGTCTTGTTTGATGGAATTATTTTTGTGTGATATGTAAAAGTGTTATGAAGGGAAAGCTCTAGAACCAATGTTTCTACATTTCTTTCTACAGAAAGAAATGCTTCTGGTTTCTGCATTTCTCTAAGCCTTAGATTCTTCCTCTGCTGAAATGTGGGTATTAATGGTCCATGCCATGCAAGACTGTTGTGTGGATTAAATGAGACCATATGTTACTCAGCACAAAGTCCGCCATGCAGTAAGTGATCAGGAAATAGCAGTTGTTTTTGCTGTTATTATTACTTTGCTCTAATAGAAGGAAGATTTTCCTTCTTTCACTGGTATTTGGTAATTCTTTCATTCAACTTATATTTATTCTCTAACTACTGGTACTGAAAATCCTATGCTTAGAAAAAATTCCAGACAAGTCTCCTGTTTTCATGGAGGTCAGTCTAGAGTGGAGTCAGATATTTATTCAGCAATTATGCAAGGAGAGATACATGGTTCTGCAGGACCCTAGTTTAGGGAGCCTAGACCTAGTGAGAGAGGTCAAGGAAGATGTTCCTGAAGTGTTCAAATGTGGCTGTCAACTTCCTGGAGAAAGTAGTTTAGGGCTAGTTTGACCAGTGCTGGGATTAGGGTAAGGCAAGTGAGGCACTTGCTATAGGGACAAAATTTAAGGGAGCCTCAAAAGATTCAGTGATCAAGATAAACAATATTTTAATGCGATATTAAAAATAAAATTTAACGCAAAAAAGTTCCCAATGAACAAAACATCACAATTTTGGATAAAGACAGGATCAGTAACAATGTTGTATTGAATCATATTGGAGCCTTAGGCAAAAGGAGAAAATCAAATACTGATCCTTAGTTTTAGCCCTGGATTTGACTAGGTAAGAATAACTTTAAAAGTCCTTTTATATCCAGAGAATCTGGAAAACTAAGTACACTTACATGGAAACTTCTAATTTTATCCAGCAGAGGGCAGTGATGCCTAAATAAACAGTTGGAGGCTTTTGCTGTCATTTTCATCAATCATCATCATCAAATTTGGGGAGGGATTAACTTAAAGGTTAAAGGTTTTTGCAATGGAAATAGGGTATGCTGTGGAAACTTTATGTAACTCTGGTGTTAGAGGACCAGGAAACTCTTATAAACTGCCATACAACAAGCTTTCTTTTTAGTAGATGTATTTTTACAGACATGATTTGAAATGTAGCCAATTCCAGGACTTACAAACCATGAAGCCATGTAGCGAAGAGCATTCTGTAATTTTTGAGGGGGTCAATTTTTGGAGGCAGCAATTAGTGGCTGATTTCCTTTTCATTCTGGCCTTCTTTCAACATTAAAATCAGAGACTTAGGAAGCTGGACATCATGTAGAAAGAGAGATCCTCTCATTTGCAAGCTAATACAGGGGAGGTTGGCTTATTTATTTGTTAATTCACTTGTTCATTCATTATCTCATTTATTCAAGGATTTCACAAACATATATTGTCTACCATATAACAAATACTGTGGTGGCACAAAGGGACACAGAGACTCAGATGAATCACAGTGCTCACCTTTCATGAACAACTACTTGAGAACAGGAAAGAGTGGCAGAAGTAGATCCTTGTGATACTTAGGCTAAGTTGGTGTGCTGAGATATATGCCAAGCACTCTAGGAACTTGGTTCAAGAGGAGCTCACAGGTCTTCATCTGTTTACCGTTGAGGGTATTTTTGGAATCTAAGATAATTTTGGAGTTTTAGTAATTTGTTTTTATTTGACTCTGATTTTGGCACAAAAAAAATACCTCTAATGAAACTTCATGCATTTCTCAGGTCCTAGTTCAATGGGGACATCCATCACATGCTTCTTGATGACTGCCTGAGAAAGAGGATGGAAAGGCCAATCCCTAGAGAAATAATCTAGGCACGTAGTTTGTAAACTGTGGCTTGGGAAACTCTAGGGCCGTGCTTCTCCAGTGTGGTCTGTATCACCTACATCAAATACTTTTGAGTACTTGTTAAAAATCCAAATTTCCTTCCTGGAGACCTACAGAATCAGAGTCTGGAGGGACTGGGGGCAGGGAGGGTAGGGACCTGCACTTCCACAAGTGTTCCAGGTAGTTCTTATGCATACTAAAGAGCTCCAGGGGCTCTACTCCTTGCCTTTGCCAGCTCACATAGACCCCTTCAACCAGATCACCTCTTCTTCTAAAGGGTAAGTTCCATGAGGTCTGGGCTTTTTGTCCATTGTGTTCACAGCTGTATCCCCAGTACTTTGAACAATGGTGCACAATAGATATTTGTTGACTGAATAAATTAAGACAGTATATAAATTGAATTTCCACCTAAGAGTTCATTTTGACCAAGTTTTCTAATACTAAAAAAAAAAAGTGCCTAGACCATAGTTTTGGATCATCTTCTTTCCTTAAAGAAGGGAAGCAAAGATAGCTGAAAGCCCTTAGGTTTTTGAGCCCCTCTTAGATAATTACATTGAGTATGGAACCTAGTTAGCCACATTTTCTTTTTCTCTTTTTTTTAAAATTTATTTATTTATTATTATTATACTTTAAGTTTTAGGGCACATGTGCACATTGTGCAGGTTAGTTACATATGTATATATGTGCCATGCTGGTGCGCTGCACCCACTAACTGGTCATCTAGCATTAGGTATATCTCCCAGTGCTATACCTCCCCCCTTCCCCCACCCCACAACAGTCCCCAGAGTGTGATGTTCCCCTTCCTGTGTCCATGTGTTCTCATTGTTCAATTCCCACCTATGAGTGAGAATATGCGGTGTTTGGTTTTTTGTTCTTGCGATAGTTGACTGAGAATGATGATTTCCAATTTCATCCATGTCCCTACAAAGGACATGAACTCATCATGTTTTATGGCTGCATAGTATTCCATGGTGTATATGTGCCACATTTTCTTAATCTAGTCTATCATTGTTGGACATTTGGGTTGGTTCCAAGTCTTTGCTATTGTGAATAATGCCGCAATAAACATACGTGTGCATGTGTCTTTATAGCAGCATGATTTATAGTCCTTTGGGTATATACCCAGTAATGGGATGGCTGGGTCTAATGGTATTTCTAGTTCTAGATCCCTGAGGAATCGCCACACTGACTTCCACAAGGGTTGAACTAGTTTACAGTCTCACCAACAGTGTAAAAGTGTTCCTATTTCTCCACATCCTCTCCAGCACCTGTTGTTTCCTGACTTTTTAATGATTGCCATTCTAACTGGTGTGAGATGGTATCTCATTGTGGTTTTGATTTGCATTTCTCTGATGGCCAGCGATGGTGAGCATTTTCTCATGTGTTTTTTGGCTGCATAAATGTCTTCTTTTGAGAAGTGTCTGTTCATGTCCTTCACCCACTTTTTGATGGGGTTGTTTGTTTTTTTCTTGTAAATTTGTTTGAGTTCATTGTAGATTCTGGATATTATAATGCCTTTTGTCAGATGAGTAGGTTGCGAAAATTTTCTCCCATTTTGTAGGTTGCCTGTTCACTCTGATGGTAGTTTCTTTTGCTGTGCAGAAGCTCTTTAGTTTAATTAGATCCCATTTGTCAATTTTGGCTTTTGTTGCCATTGCTTTTGGTGTTTTAGATATGAAGTCCTTGCCCATGCCTATGTCCTGAATGGTAATGCCTGGGTTTTCTTCCAGGGTTTTAATGGTTTTAGGTCTAACATGTAAGTCTTTAATCCATCTTGAATTGATTTTTGTATAAGGTGTAAGGAAGGGATCCAGTTTCAGCTTTCTACATATGGCTAGCCAGTTTTCCCAGCACCATTTATTAAATAGGGAATCCTTTCCCCATTGCTTGTTTTTCTCAGATTTGTCAAAGATCAGATAGTTGTAGATATGTGGTGTTATTTCTGAGGGCTCTGTTCTGTTCCATTGATCTATATCTCTGTTTTGGTACCAGTACCATGCTGTTTTGGTTACTGTAGACTTGTAGTATAGTTTGAAGTCAGGTAGTGTGATGCCTTCAGCTTTGTTCTTTTGGCTTAGGATTGACTTGGCGATGCGGGCTCTTTTTTGGTTCCATATGAACTTTAGTTTTTTCCAATTCTGTGAAGAAAGTCATTGATAGCTTGATGGGGATGGCATTAAATCTGTAAATTACCTTGGGCAGTCTGGCCATTTTCACGATATTGATTCTTCCTACCCATGAGTATGGAATGTTCTTCCATTTGTTTGTATCCTCTTTTATTTCCTTGAGCAGTGGTTTGTAGTTCTCCTTGAAGAGGTCCTTCACATCCCTTGTAAGTTGGATTCCTAGGTATTTTCTTCTCTTTGAAGCAATTGTGAATGGGAGTTCACTCATGATTTGGCTCTCTGTTTGTCTGTTATTGGTGTATAAGAATGCTTGTGATTTTTGTACATTGATTTTGTATCCTAAGACTTTGCTGAAGTTGCTTATCAGTGTAAGGAGATTTTGGGCTGAGACAATGGGGTTTTCTAGATATACAATCATGTCGTCTGCAAACAGGGACAATTTGACTTCCTCTTTTCCTAAGTGAATACCCTTTATTTCCTTCTCCTGTCTAATTGCCCTGGCCAGAACTTCCAACACTATGTTGAATAGGAGTGGTGAGAGAGGGCATCCGTGTCTTGTGCCAGTTTTCAAAGGGAATGCTTCCAGTTTTTGCCCATTCAGTATGATATTGGCTGTGGGTTTGTCATAGATAGCTCTTATTATTTTGAAATACGTCCCATCAATACCTAATTTATTGAGAGTTTTTAGCATGAAGGGTTGTTGAATTTTGTCAAGGGCCTTTTCTGCATCTATTGAGATAATCATGTGGTTTTTGTCTTTGGTTCTGTTTATATGCTGGATTACATTTATTGATTTGTGTATATTGAACCAGCCTTGCATCCCAGGGATGAAGCCCCCTTGATCATGGTGGATAAGCTTTTTGATGTGCTGCTGGATTCGGTTTGCCAGTATTTTATTGAGGATTTTTGCATCGATGTTCATCAAGGATATTGGTCTAAAATTCTCTTTTTTGGTTGTGTCTCTGCCCAGCTTTGGTATCAGGATGATGCTGGCCTCATAAAATGAGTTAGGGAGGATTCCCTCTTTTTCTATTGATTGGAATAATTTCAGAAGGAATGGTACCAGTTCCTCCTTGTACCTCTGGTAGAATTCGGCTGTGAATCCATCTCGTCCTGGACTCTTTTTGGTTGGTAAGCTATTGATTATTGCCACAATTTCAGATCCTGTTATTGGTCTATTCAGAGATTCAACTTCTTCCTGGTTTAGTCTTGGGAGAGTGTATGTGTCCAGAAATTTATCCATTTCTTCTAGATTTTCTAGTTTATTTGCGTAGAGGTGTTTGTAGTATTCCCTGATGGTAGTTTGTATTTCTGTGGGATCGGTGGTGATATCTCCTTTATCATTTTTTATTGCGTCTATTTGATTCTTCTCTCTTTTTTTCTTTATTAGTCTTGCTAGCGGTCTATCAATTTTGTTGATCCTTTCAAAAAACCAGCTCCTGGATCCATTAATTTTTTGAAGGGTTTTTTGTGTCCCTATTTCCTTCAGTTCTGCTCTGATTTTAGTTATTTCTTGCCTTCTGCTAGCTTTTGAATGTGTTTTCTCTTGCTTTTCTAGTTCCTTTAATTGTGATGTTAGGGTGTCAATTTTAGATCTTTCCTGCTTTCTCTTGTGGGCATTTAGTGCTATAAATTTCCCTCCACACACTGCTTTGAATGCGTCCCAGAGATTCTGGTATGTTGTGTCTTTGTTCTCGTTGGTTTCAAAGAACATCTTTATTTCTGCCTTCATTTCGTTATGTACCCAGTAGTTGTTCAGGAGCCGGTTGTTCAGTTCCCATGTAGTTGAGCGGTTTTGAGTGAGATTCTTAATCCTGGGTTCTAGTTTGATTGCACTGTGGTCTGAGAGATAGTTTGTTATAATTTCTGTTCTTTAACATTTGCTGAGGAGAGCTTTACTTCCCAGTATGTGGTCAATTTTGGAATAGGTGTGGTGTGGTGCTGAAAAAAATGTATATTCTGTTGATTTGGGGTGGAGAGTTCTGTAGATGTCTATTAGGTCTGCTTGGTGCAGAGCTGAGTTCAATTCCTGGGTATCCTTGTTAACTTTCTGTCTCGTTGATCTGTCTAATGTTGACAGTGGGGTGTTAAAGTCTCCCATTATTAATGTGTGGGAGTCTAAGTCTCTTTTTAGGTCACTCAGGACTTGCTTTATGAATCCGGGTGCTCCTGTATTGGGTGCATATATATTTAGGATAGTTAGCTCCTCTTGTTGAGTTGATCCCTTTACCATTATGTAATGGCCTTCTTTGTCTCTTTTGATCTTTGTTGGTTTAAAGTCTGTTTTATCAGAGACTAGGATTGCAACCCCTGCCTTTTTTTGTTTTCCATTTGCTTGGTAGATCTTCCTCCATCCTTTTATGTTAAGCCTATGTGTGTCTCTGCACATGAGATGGGTTTCCTGAATACAGCACACTGATGGGTCTTGACTCTTTATCCAATTTGCCAGTCTGTGTCTTTTAATTGGAGCATTTAGTCCATTTACATTTAAAGTTAATATGTTATGTGTGAATTTGATCCTGTCATGATGATGTTAGCTGGTTATTTTGCTCGTTAGTTGATGCAGTTTCTTCCTAGTCTCGATGGTCTTTACATTTTGGCATGATTTTGCAGTGGTTGGTACCGGTTGTTCCTTTCCATGTTTAGTGCTTCCTTCAGGAGCTCTTTTAGGGCAGGCCTGGTGGTGACAAAATCTCTCAACATTTGCTTGTCTGTAAAGTATTTTATTTCTCCTTCACTTGTGAAGCTTAGTTTGGCTGGATATGAAATTCTGGGTTGAAAATTCTTTTCTTTAAGAATGTTGAATATTTTCCCCCACTCTCTTCTGGCTTGTAGAGTTTCTGCTGAGAGATCTGCTGTTAGTCTGATGGGCTTCCCTTTGAGGGTAACCCGACCTTTCTCTCTGGCTGCCCTTAACATTTTTTCCTTCATTTCAACTTTGGTGAATCTGACAATTATGTGTCTTGGAGTTGCTCTTCTCGAGGAGTATCTTTGTGGCGTTCTCTGTATTTCCCGAATCTGAATGTTGGCCTGCCTTGCTAGATTGGGGAAGTTCTCCTGGATAATATCCTGCAGAGTGTTTTCCAACTTGGTTCCATTCTCCCCGTCACTTTCAGGTACACCAATCAGACGTAGATTTGGTCTTTTCACATAGTCCCATATTTCTTGGAGGCTTTGCTAGTTTCTTTTTATTCTTTTGTCTCTAAACTTCCCTTCTCGCTTCATTTCATTCATTTCATCTTCCATCACTGATACCTTTTCTTCCAGTTGATTGCATCGGCTCCTGAGGCTTCTGCATTCTTCACGTAGTTCTCGAGCCTTGGTTTTCAGCTCCATCAGCTCCTTTAAGCACTTCTCTGTATTGGTTATTCTAGTTATACATTCTTCTAATTTTTTTTTGAAGTTTTCAACTTCTTTGCCTTTGGTTTGAATGTCCTCCCGTAGCTCAGAGTAATTTGATCGTCTGAAGCCTTCTTCTCTCAGCTCGTCAAAGTCATTCTCCATCCAGCTTTGTTCCGTTGCTGGTGAGGAACTGCATTCCTTTGGAGGAGGAGAGGCGCTCTGCTTTTTAGAGTTTCCAGTTTTTCTGCTCTGTTTTTTCCCCATCTTTGTGGTTTTATCGACTTTTGGTCTTTGATGATGGTGATGTACAGATGGGTTTTTGGTGTGGATGTCCTTTCTGTTTGTTAGTTTTCCTTCTAACAGACATGACCCTCAGCTGCAGGTCTGTTGGAGTACCCGGCCGTGTGAGGTGTCAGTCTGCCCCTGCTGGGGGGTGCCTCCCAGTTAGGCTGCTCCGGGGTCAGGGCTCAGGGACCCACTTGAGGAGGCAGTCTGCCCGTTCTCACATCTCCAGCTGTGTGCTGGGAGAACCACTGCTCTCTTCAAAGCTGACAGACAGGGACATTTAAGTCTGCAGAAGTTACTGCTGTCTTTTTGTTTGTCTGTGCCCTGCCCCCAGAGGTGGAGCCTACAGAGGCAGGCAGGCCTTGAGCTGTGGTGGGCTCCACCCAGTTGGAGCTTCCCGGCTGCTTTGTTTACCTAAGCAAGCTTGGGCGATGGCGGGCGCCCCTCCCCCAGCCTGGCTGCCGCCTTGCAGTTTGATCTCAGACTGCTGTGCTAGCAATCAGCGAGACTCTGTGGGCATAGGACCCTCCGAGCCAGGTGCAGTATATAATCTCCTGACGCGCCATTTTTTAAGCCCATTGGAAAAGCGCAGTATTCGAGTGGGAGTGGCCCGATTTTCCAGGTGCCCTCTGTCACCCCTTTCTTTGACTAGGAAAGGGAACTCCCTGACCACGTGTGCTTCCTGAGTGAGGCAATGCCTCGCCCTGCTTCGGCTCGTGCACGGTGCGTGCACCCACTGACCTGCGCCCACTGTCTGGCACTCCCTAGTGAGATGAACCCGGTACCTCAGATGGAAATGCAGAAATCACCCATCTTCTGCGTCGCTCACGCTGGGAGCTGTAGACCCGAGCTGTTCCTATTCGGCCATCTTGGCTCCTCCCCAGTTAGCCACATTTTCAAGGCCAAGTTCCTATTGCCTTCAGATAATAATCTGGTAACCATAAGTATCATTCCTGCATTTACTCCAATAAAGATTGGACTTTAGAAATGTCAAGTGTCAAGTACTGGTGAGTTTGATTTCCCATCCAGCTGTCCTGACTTGCAGACCAAAGCTCTTAATGCTGGAATGTCTGACACTCTTGATTCAATTTAAGGCACAGCAGTAATGTGACTTTCTGTGGGTTTTTACTTTGACAGTGATGGAGCTGAAACTAGGCACTTCCACTTGGATCTTATGCTTGGTAAGATGGCATTTTCGATTTTTATCAGGGGAGAGCCCTTGCTTCTGTGACCCCTGTGTTCAATTCTACAACCAAAAGTTATCTATTTGTTTATTTATTTTTTGAGACAGAGTTTTGCTCTTGTCACCCAGGCTGGAGTGCAATGCCTTGATCTTGGCTCACTGCAACCTTTGCTTCTCAGGTTCCAGCTATTCTCTTGCCACCGCCTCCCAAGTAGCTGGTACTACAGGCATACACCACTACACCTGGCTAATTTTGTATTTTTGGTAGTGACATGGTTTTACCATGTTGGTCAGGCTGGTCTTGAACTCCTGACCTCAGGTGATCTGCCCACCTTGGCTTCCCCAAGGTGTTGGGATTACAGGTGTGAGCCACTGTGCCTGGCCTGAATGTTATTTATTCATTTATTCATGTACCTGTTTTTCATAAATATCAATTGAGCATTTCTGTCTAGGAATGCCTTTATTCAGCTTTACAGATACAATTGTGTAGTCTTTATATATTGATGGGAAGAATCTACTTGTTATTTTATACTGGGACTGCCAAATTTGTGTGTGTGTTTTGTGGATGTGCTGCTGAAAGTGAAGTCCTTGGATAGAAAAGGGGGTAGTCCCTTATTCCTGGTTCTCTCTTCTCAGTACAAATAGAGATCAACTTTAAAAAAATAATAAATTATAGACATAAGCTCTGTTTGTATGAATTGGAGCCTGAAATCAAGAAGTAGATAATAGGAAGGGAGGGAAGCAATGTGGAGTAAGAACAACCAGCTTGGATATTATCTTTTTTCAGGTTCCCCAAAAGCAGGATGCTGAAACAAGAATTTAGGTACAGGCTGTTTCTTTGGCAGGTGATCCTAGAAGGCACTGCAAGGGAGTAGAGAAATGAGACAGAGAAGGGATCCTCTCCTTAGAGATGGGGTGGACTGAGTCTTTGATTGTCACTCTGAAAGATGAGGAATTTTAGGTTATCCACCACATTGCACCCCTTATTAGTTAAGGGCAGTCTGGAAGCATTCACTTCTGGGTACTTTCAGCCTGTGTCTTTCCCCCTTTGTGTGGTCAGACGATAACCTCAAATAAAAGATGCTGCAGGAAGTCTTGGTAGTAAATGGGAACTGTGCAGGTGGCTTCTAGGTAGGTAGGGGGAAGCATGACTTTGCGATGGTATATATATATGTGATGGTAAATTTTATGAGTCAACCATTATTGTGGGTGTTTCTCTGAGGGTGTTATTGGGTGAGATTAACATTTAAATTGGTGGAGTTAAGTAAAGCAGATTGCCCTCCATTTTATTGGTGGGCTTCATCCAATCAGTTGAAAGCCTGAGTAGAACAAAAAGATTGACTCTCCCATTAGTAACAGAATTCTCCAGCCGATTGCCTTCAGACTTCATCTGCAGCATCAGCTCTTCCAGCCTGATGACCTTTGAGCTGAACCTTTGCTCTCCCTGGGTCTCCTGTTCCACTGGCCCATCCTGTGATTTTGGACTTACCAGCCTCCACAATCGTGTGAGTCAATTCCTTAAAATAAATCTCTCTCTCTCTCTCGTTGATTCTGTTTCTCTGGAGAACCCTGGCTAATACAGTATGCCTGTGCTTGATTTCTTCTGGTTAGGAAAAAAAGCAGTAACTACTTTTGGACAAAGAAGGTAATGTGTGTTGGTTTTACGTGTTTTATTTTACCTACAAAATAGATTGATATTCTGATAATTTTTCTAAAGTTTGTAAAGCGCTTTAGTTAAATCTTTTTAAAAAGGTAACCAAAAGTACAAACCCAGATAACTTTAAACTCTTAACACCAAGCACCACCATTGACAGAAGCATTTTCATTTCAGGAGCATTTTATTCTGCATAAGAGGGGATACAATGATACAAATCTGCAGTTTTGTGGTTGTTGTTGTTCTTTTGGGAATCCTGCATATGTAGGCTATAATTTTTTACAGTGGGTTTAGCTCATAATACATTCTGTCCATGAAGCACATTGCTGCTGAAGGTGTGTTTGGCTTTTACCTGTTTATTGCTACCCAGAGTATATATAATTAGAATGAATTTATTATTTCCTAGAAGGCGTTAGGTGCCCACTCTTGTCTCTCTGATTCTTTTGATTCCTAAGCCCCTGAAAACAACTCTTAAGAATAACTCTGGATGCAGGTTGGCAAAATAAATGTATTTTTGTTTGTACAGTCTGAAATTTCTCTGCTGCATATACTGTAGTGTTTTGCTACTTGTCAATATTCAGTCGAAGTCCCTTGAACATCTGAAAAGCTAAGCCTGATAAGAAGCATTAAACAGTCTCTTATTTTCTACATTAAAAAACTAATTTTCAGAGCAGCAATTTGTATGAAGCAAATAATCAGATTGTTTCCTTTATCTCTAAGTGTTTCCCAGATGGAACAGCATATAGAATAGTATATTATGCAGCTTGAATTGGATGTACATCAAAATCATTAGCTTATATTGAAAGCTCCACTGGGAAGATTAGAACTAAAGTCAAGATAAAATTAACTCTTTGAAGATGAATTCCAATGAAGTAATGCCAAATAAGTGGAAAAAGGCATCTTTTTAAAAAATATTTATTGTCTGTATTTAATATTCTTAGATTTCTGTTAGACAATCTAAAACAGAGAATTAGTGAATAAGTTATTAATTTGGAGATGATATTGGGAAGAGAATGTTTATTTTCAACTGTCCCTGTCTTACTCATGGCATTTTGCCTATTAATAGAATAAAAAAATTGCTGCCTGTATTAATATATTGTGGGATGTAAGTGGCAGAAACTCAGCCTTCAGCATAGCCAAGCGAAGCTGGAGAGAGGGATAAGTAGAACCAGGTACTTGAACACTTTCAAGATTCTTAGTCTGGGTATCAGATTCATGCTTCTTTGACTTTCCTCTGAGTATCTTCGTGATACCCAGACCAGACTGGCTTTCTCCAAATGGCAGAAGATGACCAGCGATAGTTCCCAAATTTTACATCTTTAATTATACTCACTGGAGAAAGTTTGACTTAATATACATAGACTCATGTACTTATGAAACACACACCTCTCCCCAATTTAATGTGGGAAAACTCAGCTCTGGCAAGGAAGTGGGGCTCCATCACTGAGTACCTGCCACATTCCAGGTAGACTTTACCTAGGGCTTTCCATACATGATCTCTAATCATGGAATTCTTTCCAAGTAAGCCTCACTCTTTTCCAGATTAAGCATAAAGAGGTTAAATCACCAAAGTCACACTGCTAATAAATGACGGACCTTGGATTTCAACTTTTTAAAAAAAATTTTACTTTAAGTTCTAGGATACATGTGCAGAATGTGCAGGTTTGTTACATAGGTATACATGTGCCATGGTGGTTTGCTGCACCTATCAAACTGTTATCTAGATTTTAAGCCCCACATGCATTAGGTATTTGTCCTAATGCTCTCCCTTCCCTTGCCCCCTACCTCCTGACAGGCCCCAGTGTGTGATGTTCCCCTCCCTGTGTCCATGTGTTCTCATTGTTCAACTCCCACTTATGAATGAGAACATGTGGTGTTTGGTTTTCTGTTCTTGTGTTAGTTTGCTAAGAATGATGGTTTCCAGCTTCATCCATGTCCCTGCAAAGGACATTAACTCATTCTTTTTTTATGGCTGCATAGTATTCCATGGTATATATGTGTCACATTTTCTGTATCCAGTCTATCGTTGATGGGCACTTGGGTTAGTTCCAAGTCTTTGCTATTGTAAATAGTGCTACAATAAACATATGTGTGCATGCGTCTTTATAGTAGAATGATTTATAATCCTTTGGGTATATACCCAGTAATGGGATTGCTGGGTCAAATGGTATTTCTGGTTCTAGATCCTTGAGGAATTGCCACACTTTCTTCCACAATGGTTAAACTAATTTACACTCCCACCAACAGGGTAAAAGTGTTCCTATTTTTCCACATCCTTTCCAGCATCTGTTGTTTCCTGACCTTTTAATGATCGTCATTCTAACTGGTGTGAGATGGTATCTTGTTGTTTTGATTTGCATTTCTCTAATGACCAGTGATGATGAGCTTTTTTTTCATATGTTTCCTGGCCACATAAATGTCTTCTTTTGAGAAGTGTTTGTTCATATCCTTTGCCCACTTTTTGATGAGGTTGTTTTTTTCCTATAAATTTAAATTCCTTGTAGATTCTGGATGTTAGCCCTTTGTCAGATGGGTAGATTGCAAAAATTTTCTCCCATTCTGTAGGTTGCCTGTTCACTCTGATGATAGTTTCTTTTGCTGTGCAGAAGCTTTTTAGTCTAATTAGATCCCATTTGTCAATTTTGGCTTTTGTTGCCATTGCTTTTGGTGTTTTAGTCATGAAGTCTTTGCCCATGCCTATGTCCTGAATGGTATTGCATAGGTTTCTTCTAGGGTTTTTATGGTTTGGGTTTTACATGTAAGCCTTTGATCCATCTTGAGTTAATTTTTGTATAAGGTGTAAGGAAGGGGTCCAGTTTCTGTTTTCTGCATATGTGTAGCCAGGTTTCCCAGCAGCATTTATTAAACAGGGAATCCTTTCCCCATTGCTTGGTTTTGTCAGGTTTGCCAAAGATCAGATGGTTGTAGATATGTGGTGTTATTTCTGAGGTCTCTGTTCTGGAGTTTCAACTTCAACTTCATCTGTGTTTCTTCCTCTGTACCATGCTGCTTCACTAAAACGTTTGTTTTGTTTTGTTGTGTGACAACATGACATTCATAACACAGTTTCATCAGTAATATGCCCTTTTGCCTGTTAGATACCCTCAGCTTTCATCACATTTATTCTAATCCAAAGCAGTGGGAAAACAGTTTTAGATAATTTTTTTTCCAACTTCTGCAAGTGGTAAAATGCACAAGTGTTAAGCTCGGATGAGTGTTACTTAAAATGATTAGTCAACCTAGCCTCAGAAACTAGTGATATCATGAAGTTGTGCTTTTAATGTGAGAGTCTCAGGTGCCCAATTCTTTCCCTCAATAGTTCACTGTGGCAGACAGTGTTGAATTTCACCGGAGCTCTGAAAACGGTAACAGTTTTCTGTTCTGGTTAACAGCTTGTCACCAACCAACCTTCCCATGTGACTTAGATAAGACTTCTTGTCCACTCTTGACTCTTTCTCATGACAAATAAGATGCACAGATGACTCTCTTGTTTACCTGTGACAAGGCCAGATACACACCCTCCAATTTCACATGCTTTTTCTTATGAATAATTAGATGAATTTTTTGTCCTCCTGTAACTAGCTAGACACAGAGATAAACATTTTCTTTTAAGCTGATTGACCGAGACTTCTCCTGATTGCAAAATCAATCTTGACTGTAAACCACCCCATTTATAACTGTCTACACCTACCTATAAAGGTATAAGACAAAGCCACCCTGCTGGGACACTCTGATCCTCAGATCTGGGGTGCTCCCCATTGCTATAGCCAGAATAAACTCAATTTCTGTGCTTGTTCGGTTCTTGTCTTTAATGAGCCATCTCAGGTCTCATAGATGAATTCCATCTCTCCTGGCCCAAGTGTGTCTGTGCATTTGTACATACATGAACACTCATGTGTGTATGTCAGTATCCTAAAAGAAAGTGTATACATCAATATCCTAAAAGAAACATTGGAACTTACATTGAATATGAGTAGCAAACTTCAAAATTTTATAATAGAAAACTCCCATGCTCAGTGTATATTGGTGCTACCATCATAGATTCAGAAGCATGACAAATGCTGCTTAGAGAAATCTCACCAGTGACTATTGCCATTTAAGATTCATGCTGAGGACCAGGATAGTTTTTTGTCCAGGTTCATTTAGATTTTCTTTCATTCTAGGAAGCTGTATGTAATAAATCTGTTTTTTGTGTTGCTCCCTTCACCTGTTATAGTTAGAACCTGTATATAACCAGAGCACCACGAGGCCAAATCTCTAGCAAGTGCAAATTCAAAGAAGCAGTAATCTGACAAAGTGTAATTGATTGCAAGCAAATTGTAAATGGAAGTTCTCAAAGGACAACAAGAAGCTTCTTAAAACCTATTCTTTTTTTCCCCATCCATCTCTTAATCACCCCAAAACTTTTCAGTTGACTGTTTTCTCCCTCCACTTCTACATACTGAATGACACCATGTAGAATAGTAGTGTTTGCCCTCTCTCATCCTCTGAAGACATTTCTTTCCTTGCTCACTTAGTTTCTAGGCTTTTGAAATGTAGAATTAAGGTGAGTAGGAAATGAAAAAAACAAAATAGGACTGAGGTTTACTCATGGAAGAAAAAAAGAGTAGTGATTAAAGGGAAATGAGTGTGTGTGTGTGTGTACACAATAGAAAATCACAACTTCTATGTAATTCAGTTTACTTAACACAGAATTTTGCATACAGTAAATTCTTAGGAACTATTTGAAACACATTAATGACTTCCAACTGTTTTTTTTTTTTTAAAAAGCAGTGGAACCATGTTTTTTAAAAAAGAAATATTAAGTAGAACTTTAATAAACAAAATAAAACTGAGGTTTGGACAAAGAGCCTGAATATCTGTGTAATCTGCTTCTCCTCCTGGAGAAGACAGTTTGAAAAATAGTTAGAAATTCCAGCTCAATAAAAGTATATGCTATTAATTTTTAAAATTAAGAAACAAATCATCATTGATTTTTTCTTATTATAAAGGCAACATGTTTATTTAGAGGAAATTAAAAATATAAATAACTACTGCATATCTCATAATTTCAGCACCCCAAGATAAACTTTATTAACAATACTGTTAATATTTTCCTGTCCAGTCACCGATTTTTAAATCTGTATCAGTGTTTCAATATATCAGTGTTTTAATATGATGATGCCATGGTTTTTTTGTTTCTGGTTCATAGAAAGAATCATATAACGTCATTAAAGGCTCAAAAATGATCTTACATGCTGTCAAAAACACATTAAACTGTGGTCTCCAGGTTATTTAAAAATTGACTTTCCTTTGAGATTTTTTTCTTAGAGTTTGCTGTTATCTGCCGCATCAAAGGTAATGATCTTTCTCCCCATTTCTTACACCTGAGTAAATTTTCTGGATCCATTGGATTTGGTTCATAAATACCCAAGCAAATGAACAGTCAAAATGGTCTAATTAAACTGCGCTGCATTCCGCTTCCCCTGTCATAAAGGTCAGAACCAGGCTTCAAGTCTGCGAGCGCAGTAGCAGCTGGAAAAAAAATGGCACTATAGGACCTTGAGAGGTCTCCACAATTTTACAAGATGCTGTCACTCTTAACCTACGGATTCTGTTTAGTCAGTTTATTAAGGAAGGCTAGGACACTAATAAAACGGGGCTGAAATGGGGGTTTGAGATTAACTGTGAAATTGATTTATCCTTGTTATGCATGACTCTCATTTGCCCAGATAACTGAGAATTACCTTCTTTTCCTAAGGAAAGAACAGTTCTGGTTTGGAGGAGATAAGAGGGTAAATGAAAGAAGGGACATGGGATTTCTAAGCAACACTCTGCCCCCACTTCTACCTCAAGCAGTTAGGGCAAAAAGAGTCCACTGTCTTTCATAGCAAAGCCAAGTTTCAATCGCTCAGTTGACTTTAAAAAGTGCAAAGCATGTTCTGCTTTATGTTTTAAACTCTTGACCCGTGATCATTATCATGTAAGAACCATATCAATTACCATAACTGTAATTGCATTGCTTTTAATAATATCTAGAAAATCATGCACATTAATAGTGGAGCTTTCTATCTCTGTTGAAGAACAATTACTCCTAAAAATTTATTATACTATGAAAGTAGATGATTTTTATTTCATTTTTTTGTGCAAAAGAAATCCCAGCATGGAAGTACCTTTTAAAAAATTGTTTTTGGGAGAAATACATTAAGTTTTTTCAACAAGATCTTTCAGTGCAGGAGTAATTTCACATTATAGAAATGCAAATTTTTTTCCTTCAGGATTAATGTGCTTATTTCTTGACTGATGATCAGCCTTTTTATCTGGCAGGGGTGGGATAAGCCCAGTTTGACTACTTATATGTTTTGTTTTACAAAGCTTTATAGTTCCTGTGCTATTTTGTTTTGCCTGTAGGCTATAACAGCTTAAAATAATTATTTTAATATCTGGAATTGATAACAGCAGTCTAAAAAATACAGCATTGTTTGCACTATATCTTCACTTAGAAGGTAATGGCTGTAATAAGATTGAACTCTTCTATGAATTAATCACATTGCCTGCTTCATCCTTCCAGTGAATTCTATTTTTTGAACAACGTACAGAGAAACACTGTAAATTTGTAGGTTGTACTTGCTTTTATCTCTTTGGTGGTAATATATTTGTTGAACAGATAGCAACTATCTTTATGGAGGACCACCATGCTAAGGTAATATTTTTAGGGTTTTGGTTACTAAGTGGATTTCTGATTGTTTTATAGTTTCCAAGGTCAACTGCTGATGTACATTTCTTTTCCCATATAAAAATGGGTGCACCAAAATTTCACGAATCACCACTAAAGAACTTCCTCGTGTAACCAAATACCACCTGTACCCCAATATCTTATGGAAAATAACTCTTGATAAAAAGATTACTTTCTTAAGAAGCAAATATAATTTCTTTCTTTCCAGTTCTTTTTTTCTATAGATTTTTTTTTTCTTTTCAGCAACGTTTCCCCTCAACATTATTTCTTTTCTCTGAAAACAATCGCCAAGTGGATATATTCTGGGGTCTTTTCTCAGTGATATTTTGTTCCGTAAGAAATAATAATCATTAACATCACTACAAATCATCACAGTTGGTCTGATTTTGTGTTTGAGTATAACCTATTATCAACTAAGTTGAAAAGAAATACCTTTATTTATTTATTTATTTATTTTTTTTGAGACAGGGTCTTGCTCTGTTACCCAGGCTGGAGTACAGTGGTGTGATCTTGGCTAACCGCAGCCTTGATCTACTGGGCTCAATCTGTCCTCCCACTCGGCCCCTGAGTAGCTGGGACCACAGGTATGTGCCACCAGTCCTGGCTATTTTTTAAATTTTTTGTAGAGGCAGGGTCTCACCATGTTGCCCAGGCTGGTGTCAAACCCCTGGCCTCAAGAGATTCTCTCTCTTTGGCCTCTCAAAGTGTTGGGATTACAGATATGAGTCAGCACACCTGGCCTGAAAATAACTATCTTAATGGTCAAGATAAAACAAAAATTGGAGTGAAATCCACCGAACATAAAATTAACTAATTTAAAGTGAGCAATTCATTGGCATTTAATCCATTCACAATGTTGTACAATCACCACTTCTACTTAGTTCCAAAATATTTTCGTCACCCCAAAGGAAAACTCCTACCTATTAAGCAGTTGCTTTTCATTTTTTCCTCCCCACTGCCTGTGGCAACCATCAAGCTGCATTGCCTCTATAGATTTACTTATTCTGGATGTTTCATATAAATGGAATCATACAATATTTGTCCTTTTGTGTCTGGCTTCTTTTGCTTACATGATGTTTTTGAGGTTCATTCATGTTGTAGCCTGTATCAGTACCTTATTCCCTTTAATGGTTGAATAATATTCCATTGTCTGTATATACCATAACTTGTCTGTCAATTCATCCATTGATACATATATGGATTGTTTCCACCTTTTGGCTATTGTGAATAATGCTACTATAAACATACCTGTACATGCACTTGTTTGAGTAGCTCTTTTCAATTCTTCTGGGTATATATGTATAAGTGGAATTGCTGGGTTGTATAGTAATTCTATGTTTAACTTTTTGAGAAACAGAATTTCTTATTTCAAATTTTGGGCAAGTATTTATATCAGTAGTTCTAGTCAGACACTCAGCCGTACTTGATTTATCTCATGGCTCACTAGGTAAACTTAAGTGAAAAGCAAGCTTATAAAGAAAAAACAAGATTGTTCCAAACTGAGAACAGAACTATATCTTCCTAATTTTTTTTTTAAATAAGGGGTATTCAACTACAGATTGTGAAATGAATGAGATATGTAGTAGAATGTGAACAATAGTACTTTCTTAGACCTGGGCAAGCAGGACCCGTGCCTGAACCCTAGGCTTTGGAGTACTTTCATCAAAAATTCTAAGGCCCTCTTGGGTGCCGGGCACCTGTAATCCCAGCACATTGGGAGCCCGAGGTAGGTGAATCATTTGACGTCAGGAGTTCGAGACCAGCCTGGCCAACATGGTGAAACCCTGTCTCTACTAAAAACACAAAAAATCAGCCGAGCGTGGTGGTGCATGCCTGTAGTCACTTCTACTTGGGAGGCTGAGGTAGGAGAATTGCTTTAACCTGGGAGTCAGAGGTTGCAGTGAGTCAAGATTGCATCACTGCAGTCCAGCCTGGGTGACAGAGTGAGACTCAATGTCCAAAAAAAAAAAAAAAAAAGAGATGGCCCCAGTGCACTGCAGTCCAGCCTGGGTGACAGAGTGAGACTCAATGTCCAAAAAAAAAAAAAAAAAGAGATGGCCCCAGTGACTTCCAGAACTGTGCCTGCGGGTTGTCCTGGGGTCCTGTAGCTGGGCTGGTTCCAAGAGGGAGGCTTGCTCCACTGCAATATGTTTTGTGGGATCACATGGTATCAGACCACCAGAATAATGCTGACACACTAACCTTGGGTAACTTTCATCACATCAGACCCAGATTGAGTTCTGAGGTCTGGGCTTTGATGGTTCACCTTGGGCTTGAGCCATATGTGTGGGCTCGTGTGTCTTCTCTTGCCTCAATCATGTGTCTTGACCATGGTGCCACTTCTAGTCTACAGCACGATGTGGCAGGGGTCAAGGCGGGGAGAGTTGTCATTTACCCTCAGAACCTCCCTCCATTAGCACCCAGAATGGTCACTTCACTCTCTTTCAGTTTGCACACCAATTAGTCTTCCAGGCGTGATGTGCTTATGTCTTCCATGGACTTTGGAGACCTTTGTTCTGTGACACCAGTGGGCCCTTCCGATCCATGTCCTCTCTTGCCTCCAATCAAGGTGTTGATATAGTATTGATATAGTACTCTCTGAGGTTGGCCATAAGCTGTCCTGGACAAGGGATTAACATTCCCTTTGTGAATGGGACTGCTCCTTTTACAGCACCCACAGACCCCGAACTATCCTTGTTATAGGTGGCAATGTGTGGAACGCAGGTGTGTGGTTACTTACCATGAAGAGTTCACATTCTAAGAATGCAGTGATTTAGAGGGAAGACATAGTTGGAAGATGTGTTGTTTTATGTTTATTTTATTGAATTTTGAGGGATAAATTTAACATGGTTAGAAAACAAATATTTGTCCATATTTTTCTTTATAACTGTGGGTAAATTTTACATTTATGGCCTTCACCAATGAAGTGCAATAACAACCTTTAAGATAATCCTTTAGAAGCCAGCTTCATAGGCAGTGTGATGGATGATGATGCATCATGAGCAATGATATAACCAGGTCTAAATAAATGGCATTAGGGGACTGCAAAGGCAAACACATCTATGTTATTTCAATACAAAGAGATTCTGAGTAGCTAGGGCATTGAGAAAACGTATATGGCTATTTTTTTCATGGTGAGAAATATGGCATTGATGGGCCTGAACAGAAAGACCTGGTGCCTAGGCACTCTGAAAAGCCTTCACATGCACTGATTGGACAGTAAGTCAATCTAAATACCTTTCTTTACCCATTATTCTTGATTGGTAATTATTGTAACTCGCATGGACCCATGAATTTTGCAATGCATTTTAAAATAAAACATTGTCCAGGGCCCTGCATTCTAGGGATACCTCTGGTGGGTCATGCTGTGAGTTTATATAACTAATGAATGCTTCCTATGACTGAACACTATAGTTGAGCACATGTTGGAGAGGGTAGCCCTCTCTAAACAGAGATTGATCTTTATATCAGGTTGTAGAAAGAATACTGTGCACATAACAAGGAATATCAATAGAGTCTAGGTCATGAAGAATCCTCTGTCATGTTTGTAATTTGGACATTATTTCATATTGAAAGTTAGTTTAGAAAGACTGTTATTGAGTAGAGAATCACTGTGAAAGAGCCAAGACTAGACAAAATGATATTATTAATGAAGCCATTGCAACAGTTCTAGAAGATATCATGAGGATAGTGATATAAGGAATAGACATAATAGATGATCTCTACAATGCTATTTACAATAATTTAAAGTGAAAGATATTCAAACTATTCATTAACATAGAACTGAAAATTATGGCACATTGATTTGATGAGATATAATTCAATTACTATAAATGATGTGGATCTATATTTGATCTGGGAAGTTATTCACATTATTATTATATTTTTTCTTCTTCTTTTTGAGACAGAGTCTAGTTCTGTTGCCCAGGCTGGAGTGCAGTGGCATGATCTCAGCTCACTGCAACCTCTGCCTCCTGGGTTCAAGAGATTCTCCTGCCTCAGCCTCCTGAATAGCTGGGATTACAGGCACATGCCACCACACCCGGCTAATTTTTGTAATTTTTGCTGAGACAGGGTTTCACCTTTTGGTCAGGCTGGTCTCGAACTCCTGACCTCGTGATCCGCCTGCCTCAGCCTCCCAAAGTGCTGGGATTACAGGTGTGAGCCACCGCACCCGGCCATATTATTATATTTCTTATTAAGGACCTATGCTGAAGTCCTGGAATTAGCTGTCTTTAAACACTTAATTTATATTTTTATAAAAAGAATGCATACATAGTGCTAAAAATAATATAAAACCCCCAAATACCTCTATTTTATTTTAGACCTTTATTTTATTTCTGTTCCCACTGGTTCCCCTGACCATTGCTGGTCTACGTTCCAGAGACATCCACCAATAATTATTTAAACTATGTTTTCTGTATTTATCCCCATATTTTCAAATAATATATGTATTTATCTATATTTTTAGTCTTCAGTTTTAGACATCTTTGGCTTCCTGTAGCAGGTGAGAGTTTTATCTCTTTTTCAACTTTTTAAAATCCACTGATTATTTCATGTAGTTTGGTTAAATCTAGATTCAAGTAAGCCAAGTGACTATGGTTTCTTTCTACTACAACTCTTTTTTTTTTTTCTGGAGATTAAAATTCTCTCTCTTCTTTCTTCTCACACTCTCTCTTCTTCCATTTGCTTATATATTTTTGAACCCATTGATAATTTCCCTCACCTCCATTACCATTGTAAAATGCCTCTTAATTCAATTTCACATAAACTTGTCAGATAAAATTTGTTTCATCTTATCGTGTAGATATTTTTTCTCACCTTCCTTGTCCTTTTCTGGACTGGTTACTTGCTTGGTCTAATTCACAACTATTATCTTTGTGTTTCATTTCACCATCTTTCTGAAAATTCTCTTTGCTTTTCTTTCCTCACTTGCTTTTCTTTTTCTTGGTGATTCTCTTGTTTTACTGGAGTACATCCTTTTGTAGTTTCCTTAGTAAAGGTCCAAGGGAAGGAATCGTTTTGAAACTTTGTGCACCTGATGCCTTTTTTCTTCTGCCTTCATACTTAATTGACAGCTTTCTTGGGCACAAAATTTTTAGTAAAACCAATTTTCTCTTCAAAATTGCTCCATGGTTTTCTAGCTTTCAGAGCTGCTGCTGAGATATAGAATGTAATGCAGATTCCTGAAACTTTGTGAACATTTTTCCCTCCCTGTGGAAATTTAGGATTTTCCCTTATTCCTGGTATTCTGAAATTTCAGAATGTATACCTTACCCTGATCTTTTCCATTTATTGGTCTGGGCTTTTGGTGGACCATTTTAATCAAATTACACTGGGAAATTTTCTTGTTTTTTTTTTTTTGTCCCCTTCAACTTGGATTATATGGATATGATGAATCTCCTGCATTGATGTTCTAATTTTCTTAGTTTTTTTCTATTTTCCTTCTTCCTGTTTTTACTTTCTAGAGGAGTTCCTTGATTTTACTACCATTTCACTGAAATTTTTATTTTGAAATTTTATTGGTTATTGTATTTTTAATTACTAAATGTCCTTTCCTTGTCTAACTAATCCTTTATGACATAGAATCTTATTCTTTTTCATGAATCCAATATCTTTTATTTTCCCTCTGATGATAATGTAATTATTTTTAAAGGTTTTTCTCATTTTCTGCATTATTTGTTTTATCCAAATTCCCTATTTGTTTTTCCCTCTGCCATTCATGTTGGAGACATTGTTCATTTGCTTCTAATGATCTATGGCTGTCCATTCATGTTTAATAGTGATAGCTAAAAGCTTATTGAAAACCACTGTGCATTGATATTGCTGACTGATGGGCCTCTGTATTAGTCCATTCTTGCACTGCTATAAAGAAATACCCGAGACTGGGTAATTTATAAATAAAAGAGATTTAATTGGCTCATGGTTTCATGGGCTGTACAAGAAGCATGGCAGCATCTACCTCTGGGAAGACCTCAGGAAACTTACAATCATGGCAGAAGACAAAGCGGGAACAGTTGTCTTCTATGGCAGGAGAAGGACCAAGAGAGAGTTGGGAGGTGCTGTAGACTTGTAAACAACCAGATCTCATAAGAACTCACACTATTGCCATGACAGCACCAGGGAGGGATGTTGTTAAACCATGAGAAACTGCCCCCATGATCCAATCACCTCCCAGTAGACCCCACCTGCAGCATTGGGGGTTACATTTCAACATGAGATTTAGGTGAGGACACATCCAAACCATATCAATCTGCGCTTAGCCCCTCCCAAATCTGATGTTCTTCTCACATTGCAAAATACAACCGTGCCTTCCCAATAGTCTCCCAAAATCTCAACTCATTCCAGAATTAACTCAAAAGTCCAAAATCTCATCTGACACAAGGCAAGTCCCTTCCACATATGAGCCTGTAAAATGAAAAACAAGTTAGTTACTTCCAAGTACAGTGGGGGTATAGACATTGGGTAAATACTCCTATTCCAAAAGGGAGAAATAAGCCAAGAGAAAGGGGCTACAGGTCCCATGCAAGTCCAAAACCCAGAAGGGCAGTCATTAAACTTTAAAGCTCCAAAATAATCTCCTTTGACCCCATATCTCACATCCAGAGCACACTGATGCAAGGGGTGAGCTCCCAAAGCCTTGGGAAGCTCCACCCCTGTGGTTTTTCAGTGTTCAGCCCCTGAGGCTGCTCTCATGGGCTGGAATTGAGTGCCTGCAGCTTTCCCGGTACATGGTGCAAGCTGTTGGTGAATCTACCATTCTGGGGACTACAGGATGGTGACCCTCTTCTCATAGCTCCACTAGGCAGTTCTCCAATGGGGACATGGTATGGGGGATCCAACCCCATATTTCCCCTCTGCATGCCTTAGTAGAGGCTCTTTCTGGGGGTTCTGCCTCTGCAGCAGGCTTCTGCCTAGACATCTAGGCTTTTCCATACATCCTCTGAAATCTAGATGGAGGCTCCCAAGCCTCAACTCTTTTTAATTTTTTTTTTTTTAATTTCCTTAGGTTATTGGAAAACAGGTGGTGTTTGGTTACATGAGTATGTTCTTTAGTGGTGATTTGTGAGATTTTGGTGCACTCATCACCAGAGCAGTATACACTGCACCCAGTTTGTAGTCTTTTATCCCTCACCCCTTCCCCTCCTTTCCCCCTGAGACCCCAAAGTCCATTGTGTCATTCTTATGCCTTGCATCCTCATAGCTTAGCTCCCACTTATGAATGAGAACATATGATGTTTGGGTTTCCATTCCTGAGTTACTTAGCTTAGAATAATCGTCTCCAATCTCATCCAGGTTGCTGTGAATGCCATTAATTCATTCTTTTTTATGGCTGAGTAGTATTCCATTGTATCTATATACCAGTTTTTCTATCCACTCATTGATTGATGGGCATTTGGGTTGGTTCCATGATTTTGCAATTGTGAATTGTGTTGCTATAAACATGCATGTGCAAGTATCCATTTTGTATAATGACTTCTTTTCCTCTGTGTAGATACCTAGTAGTGAGATGGCTGGATCAAATGGTAGTTCTACTTTTAGTTCTTTAAGGAAACTTCACACTGTTTTCCTTAGTGGTTGTACTAGTTTACATTCCAATCAGCAGTGTAGAGGTGTTCCCTGATCACCACATCCATGCCAACATCTATTATTTTTTGATTTTTTGATTATGGCCATTCTTGCAGGAGTAAGGTGGTATCACACTGTGGTTTTGACTTGCATTTCTCTGATCATTAGTTATGTTCAGCATTTTTCATATGTTTGTTGGCCATTTGTATATCTTCTTTTGAGTATTGTCTATTCATTTCCTTAGCCCATTTTTTGATGGGATTGTTTTTTTTTTTCTTGCTAATTTAAGTTCATTGTAGGTCCTGGATATTAGTCCTTTGTCAGATGGATAGATTGTGAAGATTTTCTCCCACTCTGTGGGTTGTCTGTTTACTCTGCTGACTGTTCATTTTGCCATGCAAAAGCTCTTTAGTTTGATTCAGTACTAGCTATTTATCTTTTTCATTGCATTGCTTTTGGGTTCTTGGTCATAAAATCCTTGCCTAAGCCATGTCTAGAAAGGTTTTTCTGATGTTATCTTCTAGAATTTTTATAGTTTCAGGTTTTACATTGAAGTCCTTGATCCATCTTGAGTTGATTTTTGCATAAGGTGAGAGATGAGGATCCAGTTTCATTCTCCTATGTGGCTAGCCAATTATCCCAGCACCATTTGTTGAATAGGCTGTCCATTCCCTACCTTGAGTTTTTTTTTTTTTTTTTTGCTTTATCAAAGATAAGCTTGCTTTGTCAAAGATAAGTTGGCTATAAGTATTTGGGTTTATTTCTGGGTTCTCTATTCTGTTCCTTTGGTCCATCTACCTATTTTTATACCAGTACCATGCTGTTTTGGTGACTATGGCCTTATAGCATAGTTTGAAATCAGGTAGTGTGATGCCTCCAGATTTGTTCTTTTTGCTTAGTCTTGGTTTGGCTATGTGGGCTCTTTTTTGGTTCCATATGAATTTTAGGATTTTTTTTTTCTATTTCTGTGAAGAATGATGGTGGGTATTTTGATGGGAATTGCATTGAATGTGTAGATTGCTTTTGGCAGTATGGTCATTTTCACAATATTTATTCCACCCATCCATGAGCATGGGATGTGTTTCCATTTGTTTGTGTCATCTATGATTTCTTTCAACAGTATTTTGTAGTTTTCCTTGTAGAGATCTTTCACCTCCTTGGTTAGGTATATTCTTAAGTATTTTATATTTTTTTGCAGGTATTGTAAAAGCGGTTGAGTTCTTGATTTGATTCTCCACTTGGTCACTGCTGGTGTATAATAGAGCTACTGATTTGTATACATTAGTTTTGTACCTGGAAACTTTGCTGAATTTTTTTATAAGTTCTAGGGGCTTTTTGGAGGAGTTTTTACAGTTTTCTAGGTATACAATTATATCATCAGCAAACAGCGACAGTTTGACTTCCTCTTTGCTGATTTGGATGCCTTTTATTTCTTTCTCTCGTCTGATTGCTCTGCCAAGCCTCAACTCTTGCACTCTGTGCACATGCAGCCTTAACACCACATGGAAACTGCCAAGGCTTACAGTTTGCACCCTCTGAAGCAGTGGTTCAAGCTGTACGTGGGCCTCTTTGAGCCATGGCTGGAGCTAAAGTGGCCAAGACACAGGGAGCAATGTCCTGAGGCTGTGCAGGATGGCAGGGCCCTGGGCCTGACCCATGAAACCATTCTTCTCTCCTAGGCCTGTGATGGAAGGAGCTGCTGGAAATCTCTCTGAAATGCCTTCAGGGCCTTTTCCTCATTGTCTTGGATATTAGCACTTGGCTCCCTATGCAAATTTCTGCAACCTGCTTGAATTCCTACCCTGAAAATGGGCTTTTTTTTTTCAATCACATGGCCAGCCTGCAAATTTTCCAAACTTTTATGCTCTGTTTCTCTTTTAAATATAAGTTCCAGCTTCAGGTCATTTCTTTGCTCATACTTATGGGCATAGGTTTTTAGAAGCAGCCAGGTCACATCTTGAATACTTTGCTGCTTAGAAATTGTTTCCACCAGATACCCTAAATCATCTCTCTCAAGTTCAAAGTTCCACAGCTCCCCAGGGCAGGGGCACAGTCCAACCAAGCTCTTTGCTAAAACATAGCAAGAGTGACCTTTACTCCAGTTCCTAGTAAGTTCCTCATTTTCATCTGAGACCTCCTCAGCCTGGATTTCGTTGTCCATATCACTATCAACATTTTGGTCACAACTATTTAACAAGTCTCTAGAAAGTTCCAAATTTTCCCTCATCCTCCTGTCTTCTTCTGAGCCCTCTACACACTTTCAACCTCTGGCTATTACCCAGTTGCAAAGCTGCTTCCACATTTTCAGGTATCTTTATAGCAATGCTCCACTCCTTAATAAAAGTTTTTTTGTATTAGTCCATTCTTGCACTGCTATAAAGATCTACATGAGACTGGGTAATTTATAAAGAAAAGAGGTTTAATTGGCTCAGAATTCTGCAGGCTGTACAGGAAGCATGGCAACATTTGTTTCCTGGGAGGCCTTGGGAAACTTACAATCATGGAGGCAAAGAGGGAGCAAACATCTTACATATCAGGAGCAGGACCAGGAGAGAGAATAGGGAGGTGCTATAAACTTTTAAACAACAAGATCTCATGAGAACTCATTATCACTATCACAATGACAGCACTGGGGGGATGGTGTTAAGCCATGAGAAACTGCCCCCATGATCCAATTACCTCCCACCAGGCCCACCTCCAGTATTGGGGATTATATTTCAACATGATATTTGGGTGGGGACACAGATCCAAACCATATCAGCCTTGAAGGAAAACCAAATGATTATCCTGCTTTTTGATTGGAAACCCTTATATATTAATTTCTTACTGTCTTTTATTCTGGGGTGGTTCAATTTTACCAGGAAAATGGCAACCAGTCTACTGCTTGAGGTGTAAAGACTGGACTGCTAGAGTTCTGAAACTGCTCAGGGAAAGAGGGTCTGAGGGTCTCTGTTCAGCACACAAACTTTAAAATTAGCTCCTGGTTTTAGTTCAGCATCTCATTTGTGCCTGGCATCCTCACTTCTATAGTCTGTTATTTATTTTCCCCCAGAATATGCTGCCCATCACCTTCAGGGATGGAGGCACTTTCACCTGTTAGTGTGGGGGAATGATCTTGGGTCTAATTGTTTCTTACACCACTTCTAAATAATTTCTCTTTTTTTTCTAGCCTGCTACCTCATCTGTGCCTGCTGCCTCACTAGGTGTAATTCTTAAGAATTGTTTGTATTGAGTTGGCTTGTTTCTTGGCTAGACGGGTGTTTCCATTCCATCATTTTTCCATCTTAATATGGTGTGGTTCTGGGTTTTATGTCTTCTGGATTTATAAAAATGGAGATTGTACTTCTGTTTCTTATTCACATTGTTGTTTTAGGGGTTAATTTTAGACCATAAAATGGAAATGTTTACTATTCTTAATTGATCTGAAGTATTCACCTCTCAAGTCATTATTCCTTATAATAAAAGCATGAAGAGAAACTATTAATGTTTGCAAGTGATTTACCTTTACTGGGGATGTTAGCTAGTGTGTCTCTTCAATTATGAGATGTGTATTTTCAGTTGACAATGAGAGATATGAGATGCCAAAAACCAGTCTGGCTAAAGTAGCTATGGTTATATGAACATAGAAAATTTATTCCTGATACAGTTCTTAATATAGTGACATAACTTAAATGAACAATTCTACCAGTAACTAAAAATTAAAATGAATTAATCATTTAATGTCTATTCAATGCTAGGCTCTAAGACTGCAGAAAATAATGACTGAATTGTACACTGTTAAAAGTAAAACAAATTCTTAACCAGTCAAAGCTATTTCTACCCTCTTCACAAAAGCAGGGGGAGTGTTTTTTCTTCTGTTCTCATCCAGCTCTCAGGGTAGTTTGTCTGTGCCATTTTCTCCTCTGCAAGTCTGCTCATTGCGACTACGCCTCATTGGTCTTGATACAGGTTATCATATTGAAGTGATAGGAATTACAGTTAACTAACTCAGAAATCCAGGAAATACTGCATTTAATTTTTTTTTTTCTGGAAATCAACTTGATTTCAGCTTGAAGCTCCCAACCTCACAGTATACTCTTGCTCAAACTTACCTCCCTGCAGGGTAAATGCACCTGAAAGCAATAACTTAAGCATAAACTTAGAATGACCCTGTATGACAGGTGCACCTGAATGTGTGTTCCAAGCGAGGGAATCTGGGAGTGGCCAACCTGGAGATTATTACTTGTCTATGAGGAATAGCTGAGCTACCAGCTGACCCATGGAATGTGGGCCAGACAAGGGATTGAGGCCCTGAATTTTGGGTTAAATGAAGGTTGCCAGGTGGAGGTTGTTAGGGTGTTAAGTAAATTTCTATATAAGCTGCATGCCTTCCGCAAGTGGTTGCGGCTTTCCTGCCCAGCCCACCATCACTGGGCTGTGCAGTTATCATGTCCAGCCCATTGCCACTGGACTGTATGTAAGCTGGCTACCTTGCCAAGCCTGCCACTATGAGACTGTAAGGTGGTTCTCCTGCCTGGCCTGCCACCACTGAACTCTCTCCCCTGTAGGTAAGTCCACAATAAAACCCCATGTTTTGCTTGTTGGCTCTGGGCCTCTTCAGCCTCTTGAGCCTGGTGCCATACCCATTGGAGTTGATAGCATGACCCTGAACCCCTTGAAACCACTTGCAAACAGCACCCTCCCTCTAACGACCTCCACCTGGCAACCCTCATTTAACCCAAAACTCAGGGCCTCATTCCCTTGTATGTCCCATGTTCCATAGGTTAGCCGTTGGATCAGGTTTTCCACATAGGCAAGGAATGAATCTCTGGGTTGGCCACTCCTGAATTCCCTGTCTTGGAACACACATTCAGATGCATCTGCTATAGAGGGTCATTCTACGGGCATGCTTAAGCTACTGCTATCAGGTGTGGTTACCATACAGCCAGGGAGCAGTCTATATGTCATTTGCTCTCTAGATTTACAGACCTCTTTGTCCTCAACTTTATTTCTCAAATTCTTTCTCTCCCCATAGGGCCTTGGGTGTTTTGGGAAAAAAAAAAAAAAAGCTGGCAAAGGAATTATATGCAGGCAGCTTCTGAGTTCTGGCCTGCTGTAAGGAACATAGCTGTGCTGCAGCCAAGCAGGCATAGGGCAGCAGGCATAGGCCAAGGTAAACAACCTGGATGACTCAGCGGGTTTGTGGCACAGGCACACAGTCCTGTGTCTTATATAGTCATAGCCACGTAGACATAACATAGAGAAGCTCACTACCTGGCTCTCAGCCTCGATTGTTTGTGTAAGGTATAAAAGTAACACTGACCCTGTGAGGGAGCTGCTGAGTAAAGCCATGTCTCACCTACCTGCTGTTTCTCAAGAGTTCTTCCAGTTCCCTGCCTCATGTCCACCCACTCCCCTTAGTCCTCAGCTGGGGCTGAAATCTAACCCTGAGCATAACACCTGCCTCACACCATCTCTAAAGGATGCATGCCTTGACTTCCACCTTCCTTTTTTTTCATGCTCAGCCAGGAGGAGGAGACTTCTACCTTCTTAAATAGGAAGGAGGAAAATATATGAAAAACGTAATTAGTATCCCAAAAATATTATTCTTGCCAAATTGTGAGCAGTCAAATCTACTAGTGTATTTGGAAGGCCATGCATTCAGAGAAGAAAAAAACTTAGAGATCACCAAATCCATGCTTCTCATTTTCTAGTGAAGAATCCCAGGGCTGAAAGGTCAATGCTCTGATGAATGGCACGTGGACTGTTTTTTTTCTGTGCATTTGGTTACTGTTCCTGTTGACTCTAAACAAATGCTGAGTCAATATCATTAAGGTTTTTGGACTAAACTCCAAGGACAACTTGAAATTGCTTGAATTTGACCTTCTATCTTGTTAGATAATGTTTGGAACCAAGGCCTTGTTCTATACGGTGCCTAAAACTGTGGACTTTCAGTGACTATCAATCAAAAACAGAATATTCGTGTTTTCTGATTCTGGGGAAATAAGAAAGGCAAATGGGCATAGATCTGGTTTTGATGATATGCTTGTCTAACCCTGTGAGTCTGCAACTTATTTGCTATTGAAAACACAGCACACTTCATTATTTATTCATCGCATCAAGTGGATAAAAGACAGCGCTGGGCTCTTGGACCACCTGACCTTGAATGAGTTGAATTCTAGCTCCACCACTTTAGGAATAGTGTTATGGCAAATCACTCCAAATATTTCAGGTCTTGAGTACCCTCATGTTTAAAATGAGCTTAATGCTACCATTGTCCACTCATCTTCAAGCATTATTATGAAGATTAATGTGTAATAGTGTCACTAATTAATGCAGCCAACAAATATTTATTCTACAGCCATTGTGTTCCAGAGCAAGTACACTTAATACAGGGGGGAGCAGAACTGCCACTACTCTTGGCCTTGTAAATGCAGTAATCACACAAGTCTATAACTGTGTGGTGAGTGCTCTGATAGAAAAGTATCATAAAAAAGCAGAATGATGGTAAAGTTCCATGAGGAAGTGACACTTAAACTGAGGTCTAAAGGGAGAGTAGGAGGTCAACAGGCACGGAATGACGAAAAGACCATTCTAGGCAAAGGGAATAGCAGGTGCCAAGGCCCCAAGGAGGGCACCAAAGAGGCTTGTGAGGCTGGAGCATAGGGGAAATGGCAGAAGATGAAGGTGGAGCTGGAGGCACGGGCCAGATCATGCCAGCCTTGCACGTGAAAGTTCTTTGCAAACTTGTTGAGAATTAGATGTTAAATAAGAGTCAGTGAGGCTCCAAGTGGGGCTTAAGAAATCATAGTGAGATGTTTGTCAGGGTTTTGGGGTAGTTATTGTTAATGCTTAGTCTTTGATTGATGTACAGTATCAAATAGTCATTGGAATGTGGGATTTGGAGCCAATGGTCTGTGTTTGAATTCGGGCTCTGACAATGCTTAGCTGTGTGAGCTCAGGCAGCTGCTTAACATCTCTGTGATTCTGTTTCCTCATCTATAAAATAGGGAAATAATGGCATCTACTCAGAGGGTTGCTTTGAATTAAATAAGTCAATATAGGTAAATTGAGGATACCCTGGGGCATATGAAGCACTCAGCACATGATTATTGTCTATGTTTGGGCTATACTGTGGATGACAGTAGTCTGATTTTCAGATAAATGGTGCAAGTATTTTTTGTTTGACAATACGTCTTCCACAGCATTCTTGTAGTATAGACAGAAGACTGAGTCTGGGATCAGACTTCTTGGCTTTACATGGGATTAACCTCTAAATTTCAGTGTCCTCATCTGTAACTTGGGAGAACTCTTCCTCTCTGTCACTATTTTCATCATTTCTATCCTCCACGTCATTTTCAAATAACTTGTATTTAACATGTGGAAATGGGTCTCCTTTAGAATAAGGAGAGGATTCTGTCTTTGAAATCTGATGGTGTAGCAGCGCTTCAACAGCTGAATGCATTTGCTTTCCCTGGTCTGAAAAGTATCCCTGGTTTGGAAGAACTGGAGCAAAAAGGAGGCAAAGCACCACGCCTATCCTTGTTACCTTGATAACAACTTTTATTTCTCACTGGAAAATCCTGTTCTATCTCCCTGTTGCTGCCTTTGTTTCACAGAATAGTTTCACTTTTGTCAACAAACCATGTCCTTTCTGTTTTGTATAGTATTTGGATTCTGCCTAATGAAATAATTTCCCTTTCCTTTGTGAGAACACCTAACACTCATACAGAATTGAGATTGGGGATTTTTTTCGTAATTGCCTTATTGCCTTCTCCTAAGTCCTGTGTTAATGGGTAGCATCTCCACACGGCTTGCATCCTTCGTGTGTGTTAGATTACAGCATCTTGATGTTTGGGATATCAAATGGGACCCATCTGTGGGAGAATTATATCACAGAAGAGAATAATGAATTTCTATGTGTTTTGAGAGAAGGGAGCCCAAGGGAAAAAAGGTAGAGAAATAGTGTCTTACAAAATGCTCTCCCTTATGTTGCTTCATCCAATCTACATCCTTCTGAGGAGTAGCAGATATGATCCCTATTTTAGAAATGAAAGCCTGAGAGCCTTATTAGCAGAGCTTTGCTTACCCAAAGTCATGCAGCCAGCATAAGGGAGAACTGAGGCTTGAATCCTGGTCTTCTGACAACCAAACTCACTCAACTGTAGGTTATCAAGGAGCCAGACACTTGGTTGCTAATTATTTTCTCCTTGCCTTTCATTTAGTGATGTTGCTTGTGTACTGCTATTAGAAATAAATAAGGAATGTGGTGGGGCATTTCAGGCCTAGAGGTCCCCGCTGCAGATGTTGCCATTCTCGATGATTCACAGCTAGTGATGCAAGTCTGTCTAGATCAACAGGGGGTTTGTGCCTGACGTATTGGGGTACTGTGAAAGAACAAACACTGACTCTATCAAACACAGCTCTTTCTACACGTGTGATAGCCAAACCATGTCAGGCCATGTTCTGACCGTGACTCTTGACCAAATTGATTAGTGACAGTTATTCTACACAGGACCATGGTTGCATTACATCTTTAATCTGATTAGAGAGGTAGGGAAGACTTGGGATGCCCTTATATCCTTCTGCTTTAGAAACAATGCCCAGGATTGTTAATCCTCGAGGCAGGCGACCACCTCTTTTCAACAGCAGAGAGCTGTAGGAGGCAACACACGTGGTAGAGTGAGCTGGCTTTGTAAAGCTGTGGTAACATTCATAGAAGATGTGCATTAGAGCCATAATAAGTCGTTGATAACATTTCACAGGTGGGAAAACTGAAGCCCAGATTGGTAAAATGACTTGTCCAAGGTTACATGCAAATTAGTATCAAAGCAGAGCCTAGAATCCAGGGCCTTTTCTCCTTTGCTATTCTTTCATCTGTAGGGAACTTTAAAGCACTGGTTCTCAACTTTGATTTGCACATTGGAAATACCTTGGGAGATTTACAGACGCTGATGCCTGGGTCCTATCCCTAAAGGTTTGGATTTAATTGGCATGGGGCGTGGCCTGAGACATCAGGATTTTAACAAAGCTCCTCAGCTGATTCTAATATACAGCAAAGCTTGAGAACCTTAGACCAGTAGTTCTCAAACCTTGCATACATTAGAATCATCAGGGGAGCTTTTAAAAAGTATATATATCTGAAGCCCCACCCCAACACAATCACATCAGAATCTCTGAAAAGAAAATTGATAGAGAATGGAGGAGAAAGTATCTTCTGATGTAACCTATTCTCTTTTATTTTCTTTTGGTCAGTGGGTCTTCACTTCCAAAGTTATACCTGCTTCACCACTAGAACTCTCATGGCTGTGTGTTGTGCCTCCCTCTAAAAACGAGCAAGACTACTTGATTTCAGCTGCAAGTGATCTTCTTAGATTTCATGTCAGTGATGTTATCACTTGTGTGGGGCTGTTAGAAACGAATGAGGAGGAAGGACAGAGCATCTCAAGCACAGAAGACCCTCCTAGATGCTAATGTGTTTATTTCCGTTGGATCACCGTTTGCTGTGGTTTTAATGGTCTCTCCAAAACTCAGGTGTTGCCAATTGTGATGGTATCAAGAGGTGGGGCCTTTCAGAGGTGGTAAGGCCGAGAGGATGCCTCCCTCATTAATGGAATTAAGGCCCTTAGAAAAGAGGCTTCTTGCAGCAGCATTTGGCTAGTTTGCTGTCTTGTCCTTCCACCATGTCAGAATGCAGTAAGAAGGCCCATGTCAGGTGTTGGCACCTTGATTTTGGACTTCCCAGCCTCCAGAACTGTGATAAATAAATTTATTTTTTAATAAATTGTCCAGTTTCAGGTATTCTGTTATAGCAGCACAAACTAAGATGCTAGTCACAGTGCTTTCATTAGAATAACCTGAGAAGCTTTAAATAACAGATACCTGGGTCTTATCCCTCAACTATTTAATTAGCAGGATATGGCACCTGGGCTTCGATATTTTTTTAAAAGTTCCCAGATGCAGTAAGGATTTATTAAAGCATAAATCCTACTGGGTGCTAGGCAGCACAGCTGCACACTCAGGGATTGAATGATCATGCCCTGGTCCATTCACCAAGCATGGAAAAAGCTGCCTTTGCTGTGCTTGAGCCTCTAGCCAGAGAACAGTTATTCAGTATTCCATCAGCATGTGGTGATATCATTTTGCTCATTGCTCCTGGGCTCTTTTAATTAAGTTTGGAAATATTGTGCTCTCTATATTTTCCCATAACCCCCCAACCCCGGGAACCTAAAGTCAGGGACAATAGCAAGCAAATTTTGTGTGAAGGAGCCCATCAGTGTTGGCAGGAGCTGTAATGGTAACTGCAGGAGTTCAACATCCACCCACACTGGGCCTTTGACCATCAAAACGTTTGAATATAAATAAAAACAATCATGTTGCATGTAAGCAAGGAGCCAAAGCCCTCTTAGTAGAGGGAATCTAGAATGAATAAAAGGTAGCAGGTCAGGAAGGATCTTGGGAGATAGGAAGCTCTAGGTCTTGGTCTTCACTGTTTGGGAACCTGACCATCATCCTTCCAGCCTTCACAGCCGGCCTTCTCAAAATGGCTTTTCTACCTTTCATAAAGGTGGCTAAAAACACCCAGGTGTTCAAGTTGTTATTGATCTTCTTGTACCTGGAAAGAAATGGAAATGTAATTTATGATGCTTAAGAATCTCATCAGGAAGGTATTGTGGAAACATACTGTAAGGTTCTAACTGAGGTTTGAGGGGAGTGGGTGCACGAGCGGCAGGCAGCTGAAAGAACACTTGAAGAATTGCAGGGAGTTTTGACGTGGCTTTATTCTCTCTCTGGGCACAAGTGGGCTGTGGGTTCAAGCAAGGTATATGTACAGCATCAGCAGGGTAGTTATACCTTTTACAGACAATAGTGGCTCCAAGCCAAGCACAAGCACACCTGAGTGGTTACTTAATACACCTCATGTGGCATGGTTGCGTCATGTGTGGAGCTGTGTCCCTGCACTCCAAACCTGCTGAGTCATACTGTACCAGAGGTCACCTCTGCCTATTTCTAAAGCACAGCCATTTCCCTTACACTCTACTCCCTAGGCTAAGGGCATCCTCTGGGGCAGGGACACCTACCCATAGGGCAGAGCCCTGAATCTATAACCCACAATACAAAGAATAACAGCTCACTACTAGGATCTCAGCTATGCTACTTATGACTATGAGGGCCCAGCATAGTCCAGAGCCCAGAGATGCCCACCATCTCTACAGGGGGTTGTCAGTAATGCTCTTAACCACCTTAATCTCCTGCGAGACCCCTTGCAGGGCTGCTGTTATGTTCTGCCAACTGTCAGGGATAAAGGTACAACATTGTTTTCCTAAAAGGGCACAGACGCCTCCTTGGGCAGCAGTTACTATGTCTAAAGCCATTCAGTTTTGCAACACTATCTTTCTGATCTGATTGTGACAGGTACCTATCCCACAGTGGTGTTGCCCCAGTGTTGCTGTATGTACTGTGGCACCTGGGCTGGGGGTACTACATAATCCCCAACTAGCCAGCCCACCCGTCATAAATGCTACAGGCCAGCCAGGGGGCAGGTGCACCATGGGTCTTGTAGCATCCTTTGTCCAAAGCTTGCTGTGTTGTATTCCAGGCTTCGGCCATGGGACCACAAGTCTCCAGCCATGTCCATTTCTCTGCAGACATGGAATGTATGTGCCACGGCAAGCCATCTGCAGCTGCTGCTGGAAAGGTGGTATGGTTCCAACAGTTGGAAACATTGGTCACCTCAGCATAGGTGTGGGCCCAGTCCACAATGCAGTTAGAGCATGTTAACCTATGGTTGAAATGACAGAGCAGGCACAGGTACTAACAGAGGTAAATCATGTCCCTTGGGCAAAATACAGGCTAACCTTTCATCCCTGGATGACAATGCATCTGCCAAGAGCTTTTGCCCTGAGCGATGATACCACACCTTCTCAGCTCCCCGTGGTTCCTTTGGGTCCTGTATCCATGCCAAAGTCATGGATGGGGGAGCTCATAATAGGCCACACAGACAGCATATATGTCCCCCGGAGGAGGGTTCCTTCCCTGGATATTCCTGTGAACAGTCAACCATGGGGACCATGTATTGAACACCCAAGGAATGACATGCAAGTCATACTGTAGGCCCTCTCCACAGGGAGCTATGACAGCCAACCACCAACAGTGGGGGGCTTGGAAGGTCCATGGCCACAGCCAGGTTTTCTGTTCCCCTGCCTTCAGGGGTGTTGGGGCAGGCAACAACAGGTTACCATTTGTCTCCATACCTGGTCAGAGGAAGTCATCCTTCCTCCCATAGGTTTTGCCACATGGCTTGGCCCCACATGGGCTGGTGACCAACTGGCCACTTCTGTAACTTCTAGTGGTTAACCACAAGGTTAAGCCTCGACAGATCACCCAGCTATCAGTATAGATTACCACAGGTGTCACCTCCTTGGTGATCACCATCAGGATTGCTCTAAATTCAGCCCATTGGCTACTTCACCTACATCCAGTTTCATACCGCATGGTATCAGTACTAGGCTGGACGGTAACAGTGGTCCAAATAGCAGCACCTTGGTTAGACTCATCTGTGTACCATGCCCCATCAGGAATGAGGGGATGCCCTTCCTTAAATGGTGAAGGCTCAGGGTCTAGGGGTGCCTCAGGCCCCATGGCCTTATCTTGCATTAGGGCTGCAGGTCCCAAGACCTCTTGCAACTCTGCTGATAAGGGACTTGTACTCAGCATACTCCACTGCTCCAAGTAGGCGCCCCACTTTGCCAAAGTGTATGTCTGCACCGTTCCAGTCTTGGGGGGTCTTTACCCATGAATGCACCCATCCTGCTATTGGGTAAATCAGGCACATAATGATTGTAGCCTGTCTGGTCACACACTCCTGAACCTGAAGGGTAGCATATGCAGTTATTAACTGCTTCTCTATCAATGAATACTGGAGCTCAGCTCCTTTCCGTAGTCGGGACCAAAAGCCAACTGGCATTCTTAAGTGCTCCATGTGCTGCTATAAGCTCCAGCCAAAACTATCTGTGGTCACATTCACATCGAGTTTAAATGGGTGCCTCTGGATAATTACCTATAGGGCTTGTGCCTGCTTGGCTGCCAGGAAAGTGGTCTCAGCTGCACCATTCCAATCCCAGGAAAGAGGAGTGTTGCCACTTCTAAATCTGCAAAAGAATCAGAGGTTAGCATAATATCAAGATCACGACATATGGTGGGGCTCTGCACATAGCCCTGCAGCAACACTGAAAGTCCATTGTCACCCTCTCATGAAGGCAAACTGTTCCTGGCTCTCTGGAAAAGAATGCATTCGCCAAGTCTACCACATAGTGGTACTGTCCCAATTCCATCATCAAGCAGTCCATCAAATGGTTTGTAAGGCCAAGCCATGTAGAATATCCACCCCCAGAATGTATTTGTGCTGGGATCTACCAGCACTAACACTTGCTATACGTTGGTGGAGGATCAGAGGATTGCTAATTTCACATGTGACTGCTGGTCGTCTGGTGTGCCCCCAAGCTGGGCACCTTGGCTAGTTCCCTAATCAAACGGAAAAGGCTCTACACCCCCACCCAGCTACAGCACTTAGTCTTTGAGCTAGAATGCCTGGGCAGGACTGGGTTGCGCGGCATTATCCTTCTCCTGAACGACTTGCACCAAGTCTGTGTACAACTGCCATCTACTGACATCTTTTGGTATTTCACTGGCATCCTACACAGTCCATATGGCTGCCTATATTCACTCAATCAGCGTGTGGTCACCTTGCCCTTGTGCCAACCACCTACTTATTAGCAGTCGCTGATGGAGGGAGGGGTGTCATAACAGAGGCAAGTTTTTCCATCTCAGGCGGAATGGAATATACTATTTGCCCCCTTGTCCCACAGATGAAGCATCCAGGCGGGCAGAGGTTCCCCTGGATGCTGGTGGCACTGTTTAATTCCCACAGGTCTGTGTGGCACCCTGTAGGAACTGAGCATGCACTTCCCACAGCACAGTCTCAAACACCCATCCAACTCTGCCGGCAAAGGTTGGTTCCTTCTCGGTGTTCTGTGCTTCCAGCTGTTTCAGCTCTTTCTCCACACTTGTGGGGGACCCATCTACCACTGCCCAGGTTTCCACCAGAGCCCATCCGAGCAGCACATCTGCCACCAGTTCCCACAATCCATGTTGTGGCCACATAGCCAACCTGGAATCAGCAGAGACTTAAGGCTCACTCACCTTGGGATTCTGCTCATAGTGCCAATTGTCAGGTTCTAACTGAGGTCTGAGGGGAGTGGGTGGACAAGTGGCAGGCAGCTGAAAGAACATTCGAAGAATTGCAAGGAATTTCAACATGGCTTTATTGTCTCTCTGGGTGCAAGTGGGCTGTGGGCACAAGCAAGCCATATGTACAGCATCAGCAAGGTAGTTATACCTTTTACAGACAATAGTGGCTCCAAGCCAAGCGTGAGGGCACTTGAGTGGTTACTTAATGCACCTCACATGGTGTGGTTACATAATGTGCCTCATGTGGCATGGTTACATAACATGTGGAACCGTGCGCCTGCACTCCAAACCCTCTGAGTCATGTTGCATCAGAAGGCTGCCTCGGCCTGTTCCTGACTAAAGCACGGCCATTTTCCTTACACATATGAAGCCACATGGAGAGGGGATAAATCCCATGGAAGCTTTCTCTGGCTTTCTGCCTGCTTAGTATACAATATGCAAGTGGATTGGCGGCTGGCATGGCTTTGCTCAGTTATCCTTTCAGTAGCTCCCATCTTCTCAGTGAAGACCACCTCTCTTTTGTGAATCCTGACTCTTCTGTTCATCTGAATCAAGCCCTGTTCTCTTTCTTCTCTCTTTCCCAAGTGCTTTGTTGTACCATTTAGACACTGTAATACTAATAACACTTCTTTCTGCCCCACTAGACTGTTAAGCCTTCTCAGGCAGTAACCTGCTCACTCATTCATTTGGCTATGTACCTAATACAGTGCTTCTATATAATTGATTCTCACAGAAATTAAAAAAATAAATGATTGAAAAGGGGCTTCTGCTCTCTCCATCTTTTTTTTTTTCTTTTTCAGATGGAGTCTCGTTCTGTCACCCAGGCTGGAGTGCAGTGGCGCGATCTCAGCTCACTGCAAGCTCTGCTTCCTGGGTTCGTGCCATTCTTCTGCCTCAGCCTCCCCAATAGCTGGGACTACAGGCGCCCACCACCACATCTGGCTAATTTTTTGTATTTTTAGTAGAGGCGGGATTTCACCATGTTAGTCAGGATGGTCTCGATCTCCTGACCTCATGATCCGCCCGTCTCGGCCTCCCAAAGTGCTGGGATTACAGGCATGTCTCTCCATCTTCTTGACTTGGATGTTTATAGCTTTTCTTCCACAGTTCTCCAAGTTAAGGTTCAGGTGAGAAGATCTTTGTGGAAGGCAGTTGCAGCAGTGGAAGAGTGGAAGCTGATGCCTTTATCTGTGTTTCACAAGTCGAGGTGGTCAGCAGAGCTGCAGAACTGTTAGGAGAACTGGGGAGTCAAGCTCTGTCACTTTCCTGATCTGAATGACTCTTGAAAGATCTAAAATGAGGGCCTCTCTGAGGTGGGGGAACTGATTGAAGCAGGGCAAAGAAATAAAAATTCTTACCATTTCATGAATAGTGACACAGAGGATCTCACCTCTGTGTCTGGCACTTAGCAGACATGCAGTAAATATTTGTTGGGTGAACTTGTCTGCCATAACCTAAGAAGGCATCAGTTCACAGGGACTTCAAGTAGCTTCTAATGTGCAGCTTGGCTCCATTTCTGTTGCTTTCCTAGTATGACAGAATTACTATTAAGTTGAGATGATTCATTAGTCATTTCCAGAACAGTTTTATTGGGATGACTATTACCATGTATTTAACTTCTCAGATCTCCATAGCATTTTATTGCTGATTATTATTCCACTAATCCATTCAACGGTGATGGAGCTGTATTCAGTCTTAGTAAGGGCCAATCTATTCAGCTAGCTGCGTGTCCAATGAGCCACCAGTTAAAATCCCCACAGAGGCCCTCCCAGATAATACAGGACCTTTAATTAAGTGGTGTTAACAAAGATCACACAGATTTTCCTTTGATGTTTTTATTAGCCAAATATTATAGTGATCGATGATTACCATTGTATAGAAAATATACTAATGAAGATTAAATTAAAATAGGTTTCAAGGTACCAGCATGCAGGAAATCAAGTTCTTTAGAAAAGAAAGAAAAGATGATTGATAGGTATCTGGGATTTTTGTGTTTACATGTATACCTACAGAAACCAATTTAAACAGTGTTCTTTTTGTTTTGGTCTCCTTGAAAGAGTACTATAAACTCTTCTGATCTAAGATGTATTGATATATAGAGAAGGAAGGCAAATATCTATGAAATATAGTTACAAAACAAGGGTTTGGGTTGTTGAAAGTGTTATACGTGCCATTCTATGAAATTAGAATTTTTGATCTACATGATGAGTTAGTGTTATGTGTCAGATGCTTTCTAGCAGCGGCAGCAGAAATGTTTTCTTGGGAGAAGGAATGAAAGCTTATATGGAACCCTGATATATATATATATATAAAATATGTATATAATATAAGAATATATATAATATATAAGAATATATAATATATTATAAGAATATATATAATATATAATATAAGAATATATATAATATATAACAAGAATATATATTATATAAGAATATATTATATATTATAAGAATATATAACATATTATCAGAATATATAATATATAATATAAGAATATATATAATATATAAATATATATGCTATATAAGAGAACTGATTCAGTTGAAAACAGAACTTGATCCTCCCACACCCCCACTTCATAGCTCCTTTGTCTCCACATACCATCCAAGAAGAAGCATATTTCTGGAACTCTTGAGCTCTGTACAGTTTGTAAACTGTTGCCCCATTGAGTAAATTTTAGAGAAGCATTCTCTAGTGTGAAAGTGGACCCCTTTTCCTTCCTGAAAAGACAACTGAGGCAACTTCAGTCACCCTCTTGGCCCCTGAACGTTGTTTATTCAATAGCAGTGGTAATAGCCGATATATCAGCTCAATTTTAAAACATTTCATTTGTTTAATCTTTAGCTTTGATGCTGGGGGGATCCTCAGGAAATATGTTGCTTGTTCTTTTGAAAATCCCAGTAGACAACAGGTGAAAAGTGTAAATAATGAGTCTCAGAACTTGTAATTAGCCCAATAGGGAAGAGCAGCTCAACACATCCAAAATAGAAGACACACCATAGCCGTCACCCTGTCCTGAAAGTATCTCTGCTAGGTTTCGTTTCTTTTTCTTTTCTCCTTTTCTTTTTCTCTTTTTTCCTTTTTCTTTTTCTCTCTTCTCTCTCTCTTTGTCCCTCTCTCTCCTGTCTCTCTCTCTTTCTCTCTTTCTCTTTCTCTCTCTTTATCTCTCTCTGTCTCTGTCTCTCTCTCTCTCTTTCTCTTTCTCTCTCTCTCTCTCTCAATTCCAACATCTAACAAAGTATTCCACACATAGGAGTTATTCAATAAATAGTTGAGACTCAAGAGTAATTTGTAGAATTTTTAGACTTTTGAGACAGATGCAATGAACAACTCTATTTTATATCACCATTTAGCAGAGTAGTCACATTTTGGGAATTTGTATAGAAGAAAGCACTGAAGACGTCTCATGATTCAGGCTGCAGTCTTGCCTTAGAACAAATGAGTTGGGATGACATTAAAGCCCAGAGAAGCTAAATTATTTGCCCAATTTCCTTATCTATAAAATGAGGAAGTTCAGTCTGATGATCTCAGTCCTTTCAACTAGAGCATTTCAAAAGCATCTATGATCTATGTTATTGTCAATTATACTACTGGCTATAATACATGTAGGTGAACTCAGCTGGAGAGACCAAATTGTGATTTGTACTTTCCTACTCCTCATTGTGATCATTAGATTTCCTTTCCAACCATACCAGCCTGAATTCTGTGCTGTAAACTTTCCCTTCATGTAAAAATCTTGCTCAGTTAAAAAGTGAGGCGAGGCATGGTGGCTCAGGCCTGTAATCCCAGCACTTTGGGAGGCTAAGGAGGGTGGATCACTTGAGATCAGGAGTTTGAGACCAGCCTGGCCAACACGGTGAAACCCTGTCTCTACTAAAAAAATCCAAAAAGTAGCTGGATGTGGTGGTGGGTGCCTGTAATCCCAGCTACTCAGGAGACTGAGGCACGAGAATCACTTGAACCCAGGAGGCGGAGGTTTCAGTGAGCCAGGATTGCACCATTGTACTCCAGCCTGGGTGAAAGAGGGAGACTCCATCTCAAAAAAAAAAAAAAAAAGAAAAAAAAAATTGTGAGATTTATTCTCTGGTTGCTGACCCACAGCAGATTGGAACATTTATTGTTCTGCTTTTTAGGCTTGATGATTAGCAATTGTGTTCCTGTTAAACAGCCTGTGGTTGAATTCTGCACATTGGAATGGCTTACTGACTCCTTTGCGAGTTAAGAATATATTTTTATGGCATCATTTGTATCTTCAAAAATATGTATTATGATAATAAAATGAATTATATTTGTCACTTTTTAACACCATGATTATCTCTGTAAAGTAGTTCGAATGTAGTGTTTTCATTTATAGTATCCTATCTTAGCTATAAATCACTTTTATTTTTAAATCTTCCTGACTCAGAACCCCCTGTAGTATGTTTGCATTTCTCCCCAATATTATGTCTTTCTTGTTTCATTTCTTTCTGCTTAAGTGTCACTTCTCTGTTCCATAACTTTGAAAAGGCACAGAAGTCCAACTGCATACATTTGGTGGAGAGGTTGCTGTGAATGACATGAATCTAATTGTGAAGCTTCCCTTTAGGGATTGTATTCAAACTTTAGTGTCAATAAAAGTCACCACAAATATTTGTTAAAATATTAATACATATTTTAGACCTAGTCCCCAGGGTTTCTGAATGAATAGATCTGGGATGTGTCCCAGTCTCAGAAATCTGCATTTCTATCAGCAACCTCAGTTTATTCGGATGTAAGGGAAGATCACACCTCACCATAAATGTCATTTAATGGCTCTTAGGGTGAGAATGTGACGCTGTGTGGCCAGGAACCAATACTGCATATTCCTCATATGGCTCAGTTTCCTAGCTTATCCCTGGGTGTTGAATTGCACTGTTTCTCTTAAGCTAGAATTTTGTTTGGCTTTCATGGGAAAGGCATCGCTTCAGAAAAGCACTCTTCCTTTTCTTAGGTGATTTCTATGTGTGCTAAAATTTGAGAACTACTTCTGGAAGGAAATATCACAATTAGATTCAAACCTTTAAAAAAGTTTTCTAACCAAATACCTGTACTAAAAAATAGGTACGTTTTATTAATTTATTTTCTCCTTCCAACTTTTAAGTTCAGGGGATACATGTGTATGTTTGTTACACGGGTAAATTCTGTGTCACTGGGGTTTGTTGTACAAATTATTTCATCACTCAGGTAGTGAGCATAATGCTTGATAGGTAGTGTTTTAATACTTATCTTCCTCCCATCTCTACCCTCAAGTAGGCCCTGGTCTCTTGTTGTCTTCTTTGTGTCCGTGTGCACTCAATGTTTAGCTCCCACTTATATGTGACAATATGTGGTATTTAGTTTTCTGTTCCTGCATTAATTTGTTTAGGGTAACGGCCTCTGGCTGCATCCATGTTGCTTCAAAGGACATGATTTCATTTATTTTTTTTTTTGGCTGTGTAGTATTTCATGGTGTATATATACTACATTTTCTTTATCCAGTCCACTATTGATGAGCATCTAGGTTTATTCCATGTCTTTGCTGTTGTGAATAGTGCTGCAATGAACATGCAAGTGTATGTGTCTTTGTGGTAGAATGATTCATATTCCTTTGGGTATATACCCAGTAATGGAATTGCTGGGTCAAATGATAGCTCTCTTTTAAGTTTTTTGAGAAATTACCAGACTGCTTTCCACAATGGCTGAACTAATTTACATTCCCACCAACAATATAGAAGCATTTTTTTTTCTCAGCAATCTCATCAGCATCTGTTATTTTTTGACTTTTTGATAATAGCCATTCTGACTGGTATGAGATGGTGTCTCATTGTGGTTTTGATTGCCATTTCCTTTTTTGTTTGTTTGTTTTTTTGAGATGGAGTCTCGCTCTGTTGCCCAGGCTGGAGTACAATGGTGCAATTTTGGCTCACTGCAAGCTCCGCCTCCCGGGTTCACGCCATTCTTCTGCTTCAGCCTCCTGAGTAGCTGGGACCACAGGCGCCCGCCACCACAACTGGCTAACTTTTGTATTTTTAGCAGAGATGGGGTTTCACCGTGTTAGCCAGGATGGTCTCAATTTCCTGATCTCGTGATCCGCCCACCTCGGCTTCCCAAAGAGCTGGGATTACAGGCGTGAGCCACCACGCCCAGCCTTGATTTGCATTTCTATAATAATTAGTGATCTTGAGCATTTTTTCATATGTTTGTTGGCTACTTGTATGTTTTCTTTTGAGAAGTGTCTGTTCATAACTTTTGCCCATTTTAAAAATAGTGTTACTTGATTTTTGCATGTTGATTTAAGTTCTTTATAGATATGGATATTAGATCTTTGTTAAATGCATGATTTGTGAATGTTTTCTCCCATTCTGGATTGTCTGTTTGATAGTTTCTTTTGCTGTGCAGATGCTCTTTAGTTCAATTAGGTCCCACTTGTCTATTTTTGTTCTTGTTGCAATTTCTTCCGGAGTCTTCATCATGAAATCTTTGCCAGGGCCTATGTTCAGAATGGTATTTCCTAGGTTTTCTTCTAGAGTTTTTATAGTTTTAGATTTACAGTGAAATCTTTAGTCAATTTTGAGTTGATTTTGTATATGGTGAAAAGGGGCCCAGTTTCAATCTTCTGCATATGGCTAATGAGTTATCCAAGTACCATTTATTGAATAGGGAGTTCTTTCCCCATTGCTTGTTGTTGTTGACTTTGTTGAAGACCAGGTGGTTGTAGGTATGTGGCTTTATTTCTGGTTCTCTAATCTGTTCCATTGGTCTATGTGTCTGTTTTTTGTACTAGTACCATGTTGCCTTAGTTACTGTAGCCTAGTAATATGGTTTGAACTTGAGTAGTGTGATGCCTTCAGCTTTGTTCTTTTTGCTTAGGGTTGCTTTGGTAGTTTTTTTTAATTACTGATTCAATTTTATAACTCATTATTGATCTGTTCAGGGTTTCAGTTTCCTCCTGGTTCAATCTTGGGAGGCTGATATGGTTTAAATTTGTGTCCCTGCCCAAATCTCATGTCCAGTTGTAATCCCCAGTGGCGGGGGAGGAACCTGCTGGGAGGTGATTGGATCACGGGAAGGAACTTCCCCCTGGCTGTTTTCATAATAGTGAGCTCTCATGAGATCTAGTTGTTTAAAAGTGTGTAGCACCTCCTGCTCCACACATGTAGAATATGCCTGCTTCCTCTTTGCCTTCTGCTGCAAGTTTCCTGAGGCCTCCCTAGCCTTGTTTCCTGTACAGTCTATGGAACTGTGAGTCAATTAAAACTTTTTTTTTTTTTTCTAAATAAATTACCCAGTCTCAGGGAGGTCTTTATAGCAATGTAAGAATGGACTGATATAGAAAACTGGTACTGGGAATTGGGCATTGCGATAAAGACCTGAAAATATGGAAGTTACTTTGGAACTGGGTAACGGGCAGCGGTTAGAACAGTCTGGAGGGCTCAGAAGAAGACAGAAAGATGAGAGAAAATTTGGAACTTCCTAGAGACTTGTTATTAAATCATTGTGACCAAAATGCTGATAGTAATATGGACAATGAAGTCCAAGCTGAGGTGGTCTCAGATGGAGTTGAGGAGCTTATTGGGAACTAGAGTAAAGGTTATTGTTGCTATGCCTTTGTAAAGAGACTGGCAGCATTGTGACCCTGCTCTAAGGATCTGTGGAACTTTGAACTTGAGAGAGATGATTTAGGGTATCTGGTGGAAAAAATTTTTAAGCAGCCAAGTGTTCAAGATGTGGCCTGGCCACTTCTAACAGCATGTGGTCATATGCATGAGCAAGAGATAATCTGAAATCTGAACTTATATTTAAAAGGGAAGCAGAGCATAAAAGTTTGGAAAATTCGCAGCCTGACCATGTGGTAGAAAAGAAAAACACATTTTTCTGGGGAGGAATTCAAGTAGGCTGCAGAAACTTGCATAAGTAAAGAGGAGCCAAATGTTAATAGCCAAGACAATGGGGAAAATGCCTTGAAGGCATTTCAGAGAACTTTGTGGCAGCCCCTCCCATGACAGGCCCAGAGGCCTAGGAGGGAAGAATTGCTTCATGGGCTGGGCCCAGGACCCGGCTGTCCTGCACAACCTTGGGACACTGCTCCCTGGATCTTAGCCTCTTCAGCTCCAGCCATGGCTCAAAGGGCCCCAGATACATGTCAGGCCACTGCTCCAGAGGGTGTGGTGTTAAGTCTGCAGGTGTGTGGAGGGCAAGAGTTGAGGCTTGGGAGCCTCGGACTAAATTTTGGAGGATGTATGGATATGCCTGGATATCTAGGCAGAAGTGTGCTGCAAGGGCAGAACCCTCATGGAGAACCCTTACTAGGGCAGTGCAGAGGGGAAATGCAGAGTTGGAGGCCCGACACAGAGTCCCCATTGGGTCACTGTCTAGTGGAGCTGTGAGGAGAGGGCCACTGTCCTCCAGACCCCAGAATGGTAGATCCACCAACAACTTGTACTATGTGCCTGGAAAACCTTCAGGCACTCAATGCCAGCTTGTGAAAGCAGCCAAGGGGGCTGTACCTGGCAGAGCCACAGGGGTGGAACTTGCCAAGGCTTTGGGAGCCCACTCTTTGCATCAGTGTGGCCTGGATGTGAGATATGAAATCAGAGGAGATTATTTTAGAGCTTTAAGATTTACTGACTGCCCTGCTAGATTTCAGACTTGCATGAGGCCTGTAACCTTTTTGTTTTGGCTGATTTCTTGCTTTTGGAATAGGTATATTTACTCAATACCTGTATTCTCATTCTATCTTGGAAGTAACGAACTTGTTTTTGATTTTACAGGCTTATAGGTAGACGGGACTTGCCTTGTCTCAGTTGAGACCTCAGACTGTGGACTTTTGAATTAATGCTGAAAAGAGTTAAGACTTGGAGTGTTGAGAAGGGTTGATTGTATCTCGCAATCTAAGAAGTACATGAGATTTGAGAGGGGCCAGGGGTGGAATGATATGGTTTGGCTCTGTGTCCCTGCCCACATCTCATGTTGAATTGTAATCTCCAGTGTTGGAGGGAGGGGCCTGGTGGGAGGTAATTGGATCATGGGGGTGAATTTTTCCCTTGCTGTTCTTGTGATAGTGAGTTCTCATGAGATCTGGTTGTTTAAGTGTGGCACCTCCCTACCATTCTTCTCTTCCTCCTGCTTTGGACATGTAGAACGTTCATTCTTCCCCTTCACCTTCTGCCACAGTTGTAAGTTTCCTGAGGCCTACCCAGCCATGCTTCCTGTACAGCCTGCAGAACTATGAGTTAATTAAACCTGTTGTCTTTATAAATTACCCAGTCTTAGGTAGTTTTTTATAGAAAGGTAAAAATGGATAGAATACAGAAGTTGTATGTTTCCAGGAGTTTATCCATTTCTAGATTTTCTAATTTTTGTGCATAGAGGTGTTCATAACAGTCTCTGAGGAATTTTGGGTTTCTCTGGGATTGGTGGTAATGTCCCGTTTGTCATTTCTGATTGTGTTTATTTGGATCTTCTCTCTTTGTTATAGTCTAGCCAGAACTCTCAAACTTACTTATTCTTACAAGGAACAAATGTTTGGTTCTGTTGATCTTTGGTATGATTTTTGACATCTCAATTTCATTTAGTTTAGCTATGATTTTGTTTATTTCTTCTTCTAGCTTTGGGATCAGTTTGCTATTGTTTTTATAGATCCTCTAGGTGTGAGATTAGGTTATTAATTTGAGATCTTTCTTTTTCATGTCAACATTTAGTGCTATAAACCTTCTTCTTCTTCTTCTTTTTTTTTCTTTAGACAGAGTTTCACTCTTGTTGCCCAGGATGGAGTGCAATGGCATGATCTTGGCTCACTGCAACCTCTGCCTCCTGGGTTCAAGTGATTCTCCTACCTCAGCCTCCTGAGTAGCTGGGATTACAGGTGCCCACCACCATGCCTGACTAATTTTTGTATTTTTAGTAGAGATGGGGTTTTGCCATGTTGGCCAGGCTGGTCTCAAACTCCTGACCTCAGGTGATCCGCCTGCCTTGGCCTCCCAAAGTGCTGGGATTACAGGCATGAGCCACTGCATCTGGCCCAAACTTTTTTCTTAGAACTGCTTTAGTTGTGTCCCAGAGATTCTGGTATGTTGTATCTGTTTTCATTAGATTCAAAAAATTTATTGATTTCTGCCTTTATTTCATTGTTTACCCAAAAGTAATTCAGAAGCATATCATTTGATTTCCATGTAGTTGTATGGTTTTAAGAGGTCTTTTTGGTATTGATTTCTATTATTGTGCTGTGGTCCAAGTATATGGTTGGTATGATTTCAATTTTTCTTGAATTTATTGAGAATTGCTTTATGGCCAAACATGTGGTTGATTTTAGAGTAAATGCCATATGCAGATGAGCAGAATGTATATTCTGTTGTTGGGTGGGGTGTTCTATAGATATGTTAGGTCCGTTTGGTCATGTGTTGAGTTTAAGTCCTGAATGTCTTTGTTTAGTTGTCTGTCTCGATTGGTGTAATAATGTCCATGGGGTGTTGAAGTCTCCTACTATTATTGTGTCATTATTTACATCTCTTTGTAAGTTTCTAAGAACTTGTTTTATGAATCTGGGTGCTCAATATTGGATGGATATATATGCAGGAGCATTAAAATTTTCCTGTTTAATTGAACCCTTTATTACTACGTAATGCTCTTCTTTGTCTTTTTTGATCATTGTTGATTGTAAAGTCTCTTTTGTCTGAAATAAGAACAGCAATTCAAGCTCTTTTTTTTTGTTTGTTTGTTTGCTTGATCTTTCTCCATTCCTTTACCTTGGGTGTATGTGTGTCATTGCATGTGAGGTGGGTCACTTGAAGGCAGCATATAGTTGGGTCTTGCTCCTTTATCCAACTTGGCACTCTGTCCCTTTCAAGTGGAGTGTTTAGCCTGTTTATGTTTAAGGTTAATATTGATATGTGGGGATTTGATCCTGTCATTGTAGTGTTAACTGGTTGTTATGTAGACTTGATTGTGTAGTTTCTTTATAGTGTCAATGGTCTATATACTTAAGTGTGTTTTTGTGGTGGCCAGAATAGTCTTTTATTTCCATGTTTAACACTCAATTAAGAACCTCTTCTAAGGCAGGTGTAATGGTAATGAATTTCCTTAGAATTTGCTTGTCTGAAAAGGATTTTATTTATCCTTTACTTAAGAAGCTTAGTTTGGCTGGATATAAAATTCTTGACTGGAATTTCTTTTTTTAAGGATGCTGAATATAAGCTCCAATCTGTTCTGGCTCATAAAATTTCTGTTGAAAGGTCTGTTTGTTAGCTTGATGGTGTTTCTTTTGTAGGTGATTTGCCCCTTCTCTCTAGCTGCCTTTAATATTTTTTCTTTGGCATTGACCTTATAGAATCGGACTATGTGTCTTGGGTGTGGTCATCTTTTACGGCATCTTGCAGGATTCTATGAATTTTCTGAATTTGAATGTTTTTAGTGAGGTTAGCAACATTTTCACAGACAGTATCTTCAAATATATTTTCCAAGTTGCTTGCTTTCTGTCCTTCCCTTTCAGGGACACTCATGTTTGTAGTTTTGGCTTCTTTATATAATCCAATATTTCTCAGAAGTTTTGTTCATGCTTTAAAAAAATCTTAAAAAAATTTTTTTTCTGAGTTCATTTAAAAAACTGACCTTCAAGTTCTGAGATTGAACTTAACTTTGCCTATTCTGCTGTTAATACTTCTAATTGTATTTTGCAATTCTTGTAGTGAGTTTTTCAGCTTTATCTGATAAGTTTGCTTCTTTCTTAAAATGGCTGTTTTCTTTTTCAGGTCTTGAATCCTTTTACTGGACTCCTTAGATTCCTCAGGTTGGTTTTCAACTTTCTCCTGAATTGCAATCATAATTGCCATCTAGATTCTGATTTCTACATCTGTCATTTCCATTATTGCTGTGTGATTAAGAACCATTCCTGGGGAGGTAGTGCCAACTTTTAGAGGTAAGAAGACACTCTGCCTCTTAGAGCTGACAGAGTTCTTGCACTGGTTCTTTATCATTTTTGTGGGCTGATGTTCCTTATTCTTTGAAGTTGCTGTCCTTTGGATGGGGCTTTTTGCTTTTATATTTTTTGATGTCCTTGAGGGTTTGACTGTGGTTTAAGTTGGGTTTAATTGATTGGCTTTGTTTCTGGATGGTTTCTTGGGGTCAAGGCTTAGCTCAGCTCTCCTTGGTTGCATGCTGTAACCATGAGGGGGTGAGACCAGGTGCGCAGCTTTGTTCTCTTGCCTCTTGAATTTAATCACCTGCTGTTTGGAGGGTTCAAGGTGTTCCTGGCTTGATGGCAACAACACTCTGATGATGAAGGTTGCTAGGGAAAGCACTTCATCTGGGCAGGGCAGTAGCAGTGGGGTCTGTGTGCATGCTGTCCATGGTGGGGTAGTGGCAGCAAAGTCCTTATGCATACTGGCAAAGCAGTGGGGGAGACTGTGGGCAAGTATGTGCTAGTGGAGCCTGTCTGTAAAAGCCCTTTGATGTTAGGCAGAGTCTTCTGGTGATGGAGCTGATGGTGGTGGCCACTGGGAATTACCCCATTTGGGCATCTGAGTCTGCTGAGCAAGTGGGTTCAGCCAGGCAATCCCTGAGAGAGGCTGGCAGAAAAGGTAGTGCTGACATCAGACTGGCCCTGTGTCATGGGCAAGATAGTCCCATTATGTCTAGGTCCGGCAGTCAACAAAGGCAAGAGCCTCCTATAGGAGTATGGCAAGCCTTGGGATATGGGCATCCCTGGCTGTACTCCCCTGCAGCCATTCCTGTGCCTAACCCCCTGGGTTTATACAGGGTGAAGTCCTGTCTATGTGAACTCTCCGAGCAGCTCTCCCAGACAGCTCAAATGTCCTTGGGGGTCATGGGGTCTCCTGCAGCTAAAATTCTGGAGGTCGGTGGTAAGAGTAGGCTACTCCTCACTGATTTAACTTACCTGTTCTCCAGGAGCTGCTCAGGGCCAGGAATGATTCCTGGTGCTCAGCAACCCTGTATGGGGTTCCCAGCTTCCTTCCCCTTTAGTCCAGAATCTGCATCCTCCTTCCATTCACTCCCAATGCCTTCCTTCAGAAAATCTGCTCAGAGTGTGCTCATCTTCTTGATGGTTATGGTTTCTTGGTGGGAGAAGCTCTTTCTGGCTGTGTCTAATCAGCCATCATGGCTCCTCTCTCCTAGATTTTAGTGTTCGGATCTGGAAAAGCAACATCCTAAGCACAACAATGATACAAGAATAAGTAGATGAGATACTGTCAGGAAAGCAAATGCATATAATATTCAATAAATAATATATCCCAGATTTAATAAATGCTTCTAAGTGCTTCATGTATTGAATGGTTACTTCATTCCCTGAAGATTAATACTTAACCTCCCTTTGGGGCAGGTGGTCAGAATCATGCTCAGAATGCCTTCTCTGAGGAAGGCATTTTTGAGAAGCGGCTATAATGCAGAATTCTGTACTTCTACCAAACAAAACTGAAGAGCAGTGAGGAGAAAGGGGTAAGCTAAATCAGTGAGAAGTAGCCTATTCTTACCACTGACCTCCAGAATTTTAGCTGCAGGAGACCCCAAGACCCTCAAGGACATTCGAGCTGGCAAGGAGAGCTGCTTGGAGAGCTCACAGAGACAGGACTTCACCCTTCTCATTAGATTTCTTTACTCAAATGCCCCTCCTTACCTTAATGTTTTTCAAGTGAACATTCTAGAAAGTATTTGTTCTCTGTGGTTCCAGGCCATTTGTGTCAGCATCTCCTGAATGTGCGAGTTAAAAAAGAATGAATATTTCTGGGTTCCACCTCAAGCGGTAAAATACAGAGGGTAAAGCTTGAGAAATGAGTCCATATTTTCATAAAGCTCTTGAGCTGATTCTTAAGCATGCTGAAGACTGAGGAAGGCATTTTTGAGAAGCTGCTGTAATGCAGAATTCTGTACTTCTACAAAACAAAACTGAGGAGTGGTGAGGAAGAAGTGTCCAAGATCCTAGAAATTTCCAGAGGCTGAGGCTTAGAAGACAGCAGCTTCTAGCTCTGCTCAACCCCTAACTGGCTGCATGAACCTGGACAGGTACCTGAATATAGGGTAGGCCCAAACAGCCAATGATTCTTAGAACTGGGAGCCAATTCTGTCCTGAAATGCTGCTCAAGTTTTAGAAACAGGACTGCTGTCTATCATAAACCGATCTTGGCAAATCTGACTGTTCAACAATATTCAAGCCCATTTGTTAAACTTAAATTCTTCTACACATTCATTCCCTCCACAATTTTGTTTTTTTAATTATGGTTTTGAAAATTTTGTGGGTACATAGTAGGTGTATATATTTATGGGGCACATGAGATGTTTCGATATAGGCATGCAATACGAAATAAGCACATCATGGAGAATTGGGTATCCATCCCCTCAAGCATTTATCCTTGAATTACGAACAATTCAATTACATTCCTTAAGTTATTTAAAAGTATACAATTATTATTGACTATAGTCACCATCTTGTGCTAATAGTAAGTCTATTCATTCTATTTTTTTGGTACCTATTAACCACCTCCACCTCCCCACCAGCCCCCCACTATCCTTGCAGGTATCTGGTGACCAGCCTTCTACTCTATCTCTATGAGTTCAGTTGTTTTTATTTACTTTTTTTTTATTATTATACTTCAAGTTCTAGGGTACATGTGCAGAATGTGCAGTTTTGTTACATAAGTATACACATGCCATGGTGGTTTGCTGCACACATCAACCTGTCACCTACATTAGGTATTTCTCCTAATGCTATCCCTCCCCTAGCACTCCACCCCCAAAGGCCTCAGTGTGTGATATTCCCCTCCCTGTGTCCATGTGTTCTCATTGTTCAGCTCCTACTTATGAGTGAGAATGTGTGGTGTTTGGTTTTCCGTTCTTGTGTTACTTTGTGGAGAACGATGGTTTCCAGCTTCATCCGTGTCCCTGCAAAGGATGTGAACTCATACATTTTATGGCTGCATAGTATTCTATGGCGTATATGTGCCACATTTATTTTTATCCAGTCAATCACTGATGGACATTTGGGTTGGTTCCAAGTCTTTGCTATTGTGAATAGTGCCGCAAAAATAAAAAAATACATGTGCATGTGTCTTTATAGTATAATGATTTATAATCCTTTGAGTATATACCCAGTAATGGGATTGCTGTGTCAAATGGTATTTCTGTTTCTAGATCCTTGATGAATTGCCATACTGTCTTCCACAATTGTCGAACTAATTTACACTCCCACCAACAGTGTGAAAATATTCCTATTTCTCCACATCCTCTCCAGCATCTGTTTTTAATGATTGCCATTGTAACTGGCATGAGATGGTATCTCGTCCTTTTGATTTGCATTTCTCTAATGACCAGTGATGATGAGCTTTTTTTTTCATGTTTGTTGGCTGCATAAATGTCATCTTTTGAGAAGTGTCTGTTCATATCCTTTGCCCACTTTTTTATGGGGTTGTTTTTTTTTCTTGTAAATTTAAGTTCCTTGTAGATTCTGAATATTAGCCCTTTGCCAGACAGATAGACTGAAGAATTTTTCTCCCATTCTGTAGGTTGCCTGTTCACTCTGATGATAGTTTCTTTTGCTGTGCAGAAGCTCTTTAATTTAATTAGATCCCATTGGTCAAATTTGGCTTTTGTTGCCATTGCTTTTGGTATTTTAGTCATAAAATCTCTGTCCATGCCTATGTCCTGAATGGTATTGCCTAGGTTTTCTTCTAGGATTTTTATGGTTTTTGGTCTAACATTTAAGTCTTTAATCCATCTTGAGTTAATTTTTGTATAAGGTGTAAGGAAGGGGTCCAGTTTCAGCTTTCTACACATGGCTAGCCAGTTTTCCCAGCACCATTTATTAAATAGGGAATCCTTTCCCCACTTCTTGTTTTTGTCAGGTTTGTCCAAGACCAGATGGTTGTAGATGTGTGGTATTATTTCTGAGGGCTCTGTTCTGTTCCATTGGTCTATATCCCTGTTTTGGTATCAGTACCATGCTGTTTTGGTTACTGTAGCCTTGTAGTATAGTTTGAAGTCAGGTAGCATGATGCCTCTAGCTCTCTAATTTTTACTTAGGATTGTCTTGGTTATGCAGGCTCTTTTTTTGGTTCCATATGAACTTTAAAGTAGATTTTTCCAATTCCGTGAGAAAGTCAGTGGTAGCTGGATGGGGGTAGCACTGAATCTATAAATTACTTTGGGCAGTCTTGCCATTTTCGCAATATTGATTCTTCCTATCCATGAGCATGGAATGTTATTCCATTTGTTTGTGTCCTCTGTTATTTCCTTGAGCAGTGGTTTGTAGTTCTCCTCGAAGAGGTCCTTCACATCCCTTGTAAGTTGGATTCCTAGGTATTTTATTCTCTTTGTAGCAATTGTGAATGGGAGTTCACTCATGATTTGGCTCTCTGTTTGTCTGTTATTGGTGTTTAAGAATGCTTGTGATTTTTGCACATTGATTTTGTATCCTGAGACTTTGCTGAAGTTGCTTATCAGCTTAAGGAGATTTTGGGCTGAGACATGGGGTTTTCTAAATATACAATCATGTCGTCTGCAAACAGGGACAATTTGACTTCCTCTTTTCCTAATTGAATACCCTTTATTTTTTTCTCCTGCCTAATTGCCCTGGCCAGAACTTCCAACACTATGTTGAATAGGAGTGGTGAGAGAGGGCATCCCTGTCTTGTGCTAGTTTTCAAAGGGAATGCTTCCAGTTTTTGCCTATTCAGTATGATAATGGCTGTGGGTTGGTCATAAATAGCTCTTATTATTTTTAGATATGTCCCATCAATACCTAATTTATTGAGAGTTTTTAGCAAGAAGGGCTGTTGAATTTTGTCAAAGGTCTTTTCTGCATCTATTGAGATAATCAAGAGGTTTTTGCCTTTGGTTTTGTTTATATGCTGGATTACATTTATTGATTTGCATATGTTGAACCACCCTTGCATCCCAGGGATGAAGCCCACTTGATCATGGTGGATAAGCTTTTTGATGTGCTGCTGGATTCGGTTTGCCAGTATTTTATTGAGGATTTTTGCATCGATGTTCATCAGGGATATTGGTCTAAATTTGTTTTTGTGTGTGTGTGTCTCTGCTAGGCTTTGGTATCAGGATGACGCTGGCCTCATAAAATGAGTTAGGGAGGATTCTCTTTTTTTCTATTGATTGGAATAGTTTCAGAAGGAATGGTACCAGCTCCTCCTTGTACCTCTGGTAGAATTCGGCTGTGAATCCATCTGGTCCTGGAGTTTTTTTGGTTGGTAGGCTCTTAATTATTGCCTCAATTTCAGATCCTGTTATTGGTCTATTCAGGGATTCAACTTCTTCCTGGTTTAGACTTGGGAGAGGGTGTATGTGTCTAGGAATTTATCCATTTCTTCTAGATTTTCTAGTTTATTTGCATAGAGGTGTTTATAGTATTCTCTGATGGTAGTTTGTATTTCTGTGGGATCAGTGGTGATATCCCTTTTATCATTTTTTATTGTGTCTATTTGATTCTTCTCTCTTTTTTCTTTACTAGTCTTGCTAGTGGTCTATCAATTTTGTTGATCTTTTCAAAAAACCAGCTCCTGAATTCATTGATTTTTTTTTTGAAGGGTTTTTTGTGTCTCTATCTCCTTCAGTTCTGCTCTGATCTTAGTTTTTTCTTGCCTTCTGCTAGCTTTGAATGTGTTTGCTCTTGTTTCTCTAGTTCTTTTAACTGTCATGTTAGGGTGTCAATTTTAGATCTTTCCTGCTTTCTCTTGTGGGCATTTAGTGCTATAAATTTCCCTCCACACACTGCTTTAAATGTGTCCCAGATATTCTGGTGTGTTGTGTCTTTTTTCTCATTGGTTTCAAAGAACATCTTTATTTTTGCCTTCATTTCGTTATGTACTCAGTAGTCATTCAGGAGCAGTTAGTTCAGTTTCCATGTAGTTGAGCGGTTTTGAGTGATTTTCTTAATCCTGAGTTCTAGTTTGATTGCATTGTGGTCTGAGAGACAGTTTGTTATAATTTCTTTTCAAAAGTACATTTGCTGAGGAGTGCTTTACTTCTAACTATGTGGTCAATTTTGGAATAAATGCGATGTGGTGCTGAGAAGAATGTATATTCTGTTGATTTGGGGTGGAGAGTTCTGTAGATGTCTATTAGGTCTGCTTGGTGCAGAGCTGAGTTGAATTCCTGAATATTGTTTTTAACTTTCTGTCTCGTTGATCTGTCTAATGTTGACAGTTGGGTGTTAAAGTCTCCTATTCTTCTTGTGTGGGAGTCTAAGTCTCTTTGTAGGTCTCTAAGGACTTGCTTTATGAATCTGGGTGCTCTTGTATTGGGTGCATATATATTTAGGATAGTTAGCTCTTCTTGTTGAATTGATCCCTTTACTATTATGTAATGGCCTTCTTTGTCTCTTTTGATCTTTGTTGGTTTAAAGTCTGTTTTATCAGAGACTAGGATTGCAACCCCTGCCTTTTTTTGTTTTCCATTTGCTTGGTAGATCTTCCTCCCTCCCTTTATTTTGAGCCTATGTGTGTCTCTGCACATGAGATGGGTCTCCTGAATACAGCACAGTGATGGGTCTTGACTCTATCCAGTTTGCCCCTCTGTGTCTGTTAATTGGAGCATTTAGCCGATTTACATTAAAGGTTAATATTGTTATGTGTGAATTTGATCCTGTCATTATGATGTTAGCTGGTTATTTTGCTCGTTAGTTGATGCAGTTTCTTCCTAGCCTTGATGGTCGTTACAATTTGGCATGTTTTTGCAGTGGCTGGTACCTGTTGTTCCTTTCCATGTTTAGTGCTTCCTTCAGGAGCTCTTGTAGGGCAGGCCTGGTGGTGACAAAATCTCTCAGCATTTACTTGTCTGTAAAGGATTTTATTTCTCCTTCACTTATGAAGATTAGTTTGGCTGCATATGAAATTCTGGGTTGAAAATTCTTTTCTTTAAGAATGTTGAATATTGGGTCCCACTCTCTTCTGGCTTGTAGAGTTTCTGCCCAGGGATCAGCTGTTAGTCTGATGGGCTTCCCTTTGTGGGTAACCTGACCTTTCTCTCTGGCTGCCCTTAAATTTTTTCCTTCATTTCAACTTTGGTGAATCTGACAATTATGTGTCTTGGAGTTGCTCTTCTCGAGGAGTATCTTTGTGGCGTTCTCTGTATTTCCTGAATTTGAATGTTGGCCTGCCTTGCTAGGTTGGGGAAGTTCTCCTGGATAATATCCTGCAGAGTGTTTTCCAACTTGGTTCCATTCTCCTCATCACGTTCAGGTACACCAGTCAGATGTAGATTTGGTCTTTTCACATAGTCCCATATTTCTTGGAGGCTTTGTTCATTTATTTTTACTCTTTTTTCTCTAAACTTCTCTTCTCGCTTCATTTCATTCATTTGATCTTCAATCACTGATACCCTTTCTTCCAGTTGATTGAATCGGCTACTGAAGCTTGTGCATGTGTCACGTAGTTCTTGTGCCATGGTTTTCAGCTCCCTCAGGTCATTTAAGGACTTCTCCACACTGATTATTCTAGTTAGCCATTTGTCTAGTCTTTTTTCAAGGTTTTTAGCTTCTTTGCGATGGGTTCGAACTTCCTCCTTTAGCTCGGAGAAATTTGATTGTCTGAAGCCTTCTTTTCTCAACTTGTCAAAGTCATTCTCTGTCCAGCTTTGTTCTGTTGCTGGCGAGGGGCTACATTCCTTTGGAGGTGTAGAGGCACTCTGATTTTTAGAATTTTCAGCTTTTCTGCTCTGTTTCTTCCCCATCTTTGTGGTTTTATCTACCTTTGGTCTTTGATGATGGTGATGTACAGATGGGGTTTTGGTGTGGGTGTCCTTTCTGTTTGTTAGTTTTCCTTCTAACAGTCAGGACCCCTTCGCTGCAGGTCTGTTGGAGTTTGCTGGAGGTCCGCTCCAGACGCTGTTTGCCTGGGTATCAGCAGCAGAGGCTGCAGAACAGGGAATATTGCTGAACCTGCCTGATCGTTCCTCTGGAAGCTTCATCCAGAGGGGTACCCGGCTGTGTGAGGTGTCAGCCTGCCCCTACTGGGGGGTGCCTCCCAGTTAGGCTACTTGGGGTTCAGGGACCCACTTGAGGAGGCAGTCTGTCTGTTCTCAGATCTCAAACTCTGTGCTGAGAGAACCATTACTCTCTTCAAAGCTGTCAGACAGTGACATTTAAGTCTACAGAGGTTTCTGCTGCTTTTTGTTCAGCTATGCCCTGCCCCCAGAGGTGGAGTCTACAGAGGCAGGCAGGCCTCCTTGAGCTGTGGTGGCCTCTACCCAGTTTAATCTTCCTGGCTGCTTTGTTTACCTACTCAAGCCTCAGCAATGGTGGGCACCCCTCCCCCAGCCTCGCTGCCACCTTATAGTTCGATCTCAGACTGCTGTGCTAGCAATGAGCGAGGATCCGTGGGCGTGGGACCCTCTGAGCCAGGCACGGGATATAATCTCCTGGTGTGTCGTTTGCTAAGATCATTGGAAAAGCACAGTATTAGGGTGGGAGTGACCTGATTTTCCAGGTGCCGTCTGTCACAGCTTCCCTTGGCTAGAAAAGGGAATTCCCTGACCCCTTGTACTTCCCAGGTTAGGCAATGCCTTGCCCAGCTTCAGCTCACACTCGGTGGGCTGCATCGACTGTCCTGCACCCACTGTCTGACAAGCCCCAGTGAGATGAACCCAGTACCTCAGTTGGAAATGTAGAAGTCACCCATCTTCTGCGTCGCTCACACTGGGAGCTGTAGACTGGAGCTGTTCCTATTCAGCCATATTCTCCATTTGCTTATTAAATATTTCTCCATCCCTTTATTTTGACCTATTGTGTCTTTGCATGTGAGCTGCATCTCCTGGATACAGCCCACCGATGGGTCTTGACTCTTTATCCAATTTGCCAGTCTGTGCCTTCTAATTGGCTCATTAAGCCCATTTACATTTAAAGTTAATATTGTGATGTGTGAATTTAATGCTGTCATCATGATGCTAGCTGGTTATTTTGTACATTAGTTGATGCAGTTTCTTCTTAGTGCCATTGGTCTTTATATTTTGGTGTGTTTTTGCAGTGGCTGCTTTTTCCTTTCCATATTTAGTGCTTCCTTTAGGAGCTCTTGTAAGGCAGGCCTGGTGGTGGCATAATCTCTCGGTATTTTCTTCTCTGTAATGATTTTATTTCTCCTTCACTTATGAAGCTTAGTTCCACTGGATATGAAATTCTGTGTTGAAAATTCTTTTCTTTAAGAATGTTGAATATTAGCCTTCACTCTCTTCTGACTTGTAGGGTTTCTGCAGAGAGATCCACTGTTAGTCTGATGGGCTTCCCTTTGTGGGTAACTTGACCTTTCTCTCTGGCTGCCCTTAACATTTTTTCCTTCATTTCAACCTTGGTGAAACTTGGGGTTCCTCTTCTCGAGGAGTATCTTTGTGGTGTTTTCTGTATTTCCTGAATTTGAATGTTGGCCTATCTTGCTAGGTTGGGGAAGTTCTCCTGGATAATATCCTGATGAGTGTTTTCGAACTTGGTTTCATTCTCCCCATCACTGTCAGGTATACCAATGAAACGTAGATTTGGTCTTTTCACATAGTCCCATATTTCTTGGAGGCCTTGTTCATTCCCTTTCATTCTTGTTTCTCTAATCTTGTCTTCTCACTTTATATCATTAAGTTGATCTTCAATCTCTGATATCCTTTTTTCTGCTTGATCGATTTGGCTATTCATACTTGTGTATGCTTCATGAAGTTCTTGTGCTGTGTTTTTCAGCTCCATCAGGTCATTTATGTTCTTTTCTAAACTGGTTATTCTAGTTAGCATTTCCTGTAACCTTTTTTCCAGGTTCTTAGCTTCCTTGCATTGGGTTAGAGCATGCTCTTTTAGCTAGGAGGAGTTTATTATTACCCACCTTCTGAAGCCTACTTCTGTCAATTTATCAAACTCATTCTCTGTCCAGTTTTTTGCCTTTGCTGGAGTGGAGTTGTGATCATTTGGAGAAGAGGCGTTCTGGTTTTTGGAATTTTCAGCATTTTCCTGCTGGTTTTCCCTCATCTTTGTGGATTTATCTACCTTTGATCTTTCATGCTTATGGCCTTTGGATGGGGTTTTTCTGTGGCTGTCTTTTTTGTTGATGTTGATGTTATTGATTTCTGTTTGTTTGTTTTCCTTCTAACAGTCAGGCCCATCTTCTGCAGGTCTCCTGGAGTTTGAGTGGAAGTCCACTCCAGACCCTGTTTGCCTGGGTATCACCAGAGGAGGCTGCAGAACAGCAAAGATTGCTACCTGCTCTTTCCTATGAAAGCTTGGTCTCAGAGGGGTACCTGCCTGACGCTAGCCAGAGCTCTCCTGTATGAGGTGTCTGTCAACCTTTTCTGGGAGGTGTCTCCCACTCAGGAGGCACAGGGGTCAGGGACCCACTTGAGGAGGCAGTGCGTCCCTTAGCTGAGCTCGAGCGCTGTGCTGGGAGATCTGCTGCTCTCTTCAGAGCCAGCAGGCAGGAATGTTTAAGTTTGCTGAAGCTACACCCACAGTTTTGTCTTCCTCCAGGTGCTCTGGGAGATGGGAGTTTTATCTGTAAGCCCCTGACTGGGGCTGCTGCCTTTCAGGGATGCCCTTCCCAGTGAGAAGGAATCTAGAGAGGCAGTCTGGCCACAGCCATTTTGTTGCACTGCAGTGAGTTCTGCCCAGTCCAAACTTTCCAACAGCTCCCTTAATACTGTGAGGGGAAAACCACCTACTTAAAGCTCAGTAATGTGGACACCCCTCCCCTACACCAAGCTCTATTGTTCCAGGTCGACTTCAGACTGCTGTGCTGGCAGCAAGAGTTTCAAGCCAGCGGTTCTTCACTTGCTGGGCTCCTTGGGAGTGGGACCCACTGAGCAAGACCACTTGGCCCCCTGGCTTCAGCCCCCTTTCCAGGGAAGTGAACGGTTCTGTCTCACTGGGGTTCCAGGTGGCACTGGGATATGAAAAAAACTCCTGCAGCTAGCTCAGTGTCTGCCCAAACAGCCACCTTGTTTTGTACTTGAAACCCAGGGCCTGGGTAATGTCAGCACGTGAGGGAATCTCCTGGTCTGCAGATTGCAAAAACTGTGGGAAAATCATAGTATCTGGGCTGGATGGCACAGTCCCTCATGGCTTCCCTTGGCTAGGGGAGAGAGTTTCCCGGCCTGTTAAACACTTCCTGGGTGAGGTGATGCCCCATCCTGCTTCTGCTCACCTTCCGTGTGCTGTACCCATGGTCTAACCAGTCCCAATGAGATGAACCGGGTACCTCAGTTGGAAATGCAGAAATCACCAGCCTTCTGTGTTGATCTCGCTGGGATCTGCAGACCGGAGCTGTTCCTATTCAGCCAGCCATCTTCCCAGATCCAGTCAGATTTGCTCTTTTGTGGCTATTTTCTAGTTTCTGTAGGTTGCTTTATTATTTTCTATTCTTTTTTCTTTTGTCTTCTCTGACTGTATTTTCAAACAGCCTGTCTTCAAGCTCATTAATTCTTTCTTCTGTTTGATCAATTCTGCTATTGAAAGACTGTTGCATTCTTCACTATGTCCATTGTGTTTTTCAGCTCCAGAATTTGTTTGATTCTTTTAAATTATTTCAATCTCTTTGTTAAATTTATCAGGTAGAATTCTGAACTCCTTCCTTGTGTTATTTTGAATTTCTTTGAGTTTCCTTAATAGAGCTATTTTAAATTCCCTGTCTAGGTCACATATCTGTTTCTCCTGGATTGGTCCCTGGTGCCTTATTTACTTCATTTGGTGAGGTCATGTTTTCTTGGATAGTGTTGATGCTAGTAGATGTTCTTCAGTGTCTGGGCATTGAAAGGGTTAGGTGTTTAGTTTAGCCTTTGCTGTCTGAGCTTATTTGTAGCTGTCCTCCCTGGGAAGGCTTTCTAGATATTTGACAGGACTTGGGTGCTGTGATTTAAGATGTATCTGCTTTTGGCGGCATCCCAAGTCAAATAATGCTGTGATTCTTGCAGACTTAGACTTACAGAGGTACTGCCTTGATGGTCTTGGACAAGATCTGGGGGAGTTCTCTGGATTACCAGTCAGAGACCCTTGTTCTTTTCTCTTACTTTCTCCTAAAAATATAGTCTCTTTCTTTGTTATCAGTCACCTAAAGCTGAGTGACACAAGCACCCCTGTGGCCACCACCACTATGACTGCACTGGGTCAGACCTGAAGCCAGCACAGCACTGTGTCTCAGAAAGGCCTGCTGTAACCAGTCCCTGACCCAAGGCCTGCTGTAACCAGTCCCTGGCTACTGCCTATGTTCGCTGAAGGGCCTAGGGTTCTATAATTAGCAGGTGGCAAATCCATCCAGGCCTATGTCCTTCCCTTTAGGGAGAGGTCCCCCAAGCCCTAGGTGGGCCCAGAAGTTCTGTTTGGGAGTGGGGTACTAGAGTCAAAAGCCTTCATCTACCTGATATTCTATTGCAGTGTGGCTAAGCTGTCACTTATGCCACAAGATGGAAGCAGAGGAGCCTCACCCTGTAGCTACTACCAACCGAGGCCATGGTGAGTACTGCCAGACTAACACTCATCTTCCCTTAAGGCCCACAGTCTCTAAAGTCAGCTTGTCATGAAGGCTACCTGGCCTGGGACTCACCCTTCAGGGCAGTGGGTTCCTCTCTGGCCCAGGTTAGGTCCAGAAATGCCATCCAAGAGTCACATCCTGGAATCAGGGATCCCAAGAACCCTCTTGGTGCTCTAGTCCCCTGTGGTGATGGTGGTACCTATGGTGCAATACAAAGTCCCTTTTACTTTTCCTTCTGCTTTTCTCAAGCAGAAGTTTTGTCCCATAGCCACAGCAGCTGGCTATGTACTGAGTCTCACCTGAAGCCAACAAGTCTCAGAGGCTCACCCAAGGCCTTCTACGTAGTACCTGTGTATTACTACTGGTTATTTAAGGTCCAAGGGCTCTTTGGTTAGCAGGTGATGAATGCTGGCAGGACTGGGTCCTTTCCTTCAAGGCAGTGGGTTCCCTTCTGGCCCAGGGTGTGTCTAGAAATGTCATCTGTGAGCTAGGCCCTCGAATGGGGGCCTCATGACTCTGACTGGTATCCTATTTTGCTGTGGCTGAGCTGGTATCATAGATGTAAGACAACATCCTTCCTACTCTTCCCACTCCTCTCCTTAAGTGGAAGGAAGGGGTCTCTTTTGGAGTTGTGAGTTGTAGCCTGGGGTTAGAGGAGGTATGATGCGAGCACTCCCTTGGCTGCCACAGCTGGTGTCCACTATCTCTGGGCTTAGTTCAGCCCTAGGACTCGCCTAAGAGTTGTAGTCCTTATGGCCTAGATTGCCTTTCAAGTTTACTTGGAGACAGAGTGCTATAGCCCTTGGAGGCAAGGTTTGGAGGCACTCAAGCTCAGACTTCTGGGATTGGTGATTCCCCTCTGGCTAAGCCTGGCTTAAATGTTCCCTCTGTGGGTGGGTGTCAGCTGAGTTTGGTCTGGTTTTCCTTTCTGCTCTGACAGGACAGCAGTGAGTTCAGTGCATCACAATTGCTGTATTCTCCCTCCCCCAGCACCCAGAGAATCCCTCCATACCATGCCACCAAGGCAGGGAGTGAGGAAGGGGTCACAACGGTGATTCAGGACTGTTTTTAGTCTCTTCAGTGCTTCTTTCAGTGATATAAAGTTAAAAGGAGGTACTATGAGTGCTTACTTGATTTTTGGTTCTTATGAATAGGTGTTTTTTCTGTATAGATAATTGTTAACTTGGTGTCCTTGTGAAGGGCATGATTGGTAGATCTTTCTATTCCGCCATTTTGCTCTGCCCTCTCTCAACAACTTTCTTACCAGGTGGCATTTTGTATTGAAGATAGCCTTAAACCAAATTCTACCAAACCTTCCCATTTTTAATGAGTAAAGATACATTAAAACAGTTATACTACCTACCTATTCTTGTAAGCCCAGAAAGTGCCTTATTCTCCGACTTTTGGCATTTCTCTAAGCATCTTGAATGAGAGGCTTCCTGTGAGCCAATGCAACACCATTCTGGTGAGTAGATGTGAACTTCTTATTTGGGTAAATTGATAGTCTTCTGCAGTGTGAAAGGGACATAGGACCAAATACAGCCCTGGATTGTCCCAAGATATTAAGACACTGGGATTGCTGATTTTATTCTCCTGTTTTAAGAAAGGTTAGTGCGGCCCCAAGTATCTTTCTAACCCATGATATATCCTGAATTTTACTTATTTCCATTTATTTCACCAGAGAAAAATGATTTCTAATATTCTTTATGCTAAGAAACCCTCTGGTGTTTTTGGTAAGCATCTTTGAAGTTCTTACTAAAATACTTTGGAGGCTGGAATTCCTGATAAGTGAATTTCAGCTGCTAACCAGATGCCTTTTGATTTTATACAGTCTGCACTGAGCAATTTTGAGATAAATGACCACATAGCAAGTATTAGTACATGAACATTTCCTGTCTATCTAGTAGTCATTGGCATCAAAGTTTAGAAGTACCTAATCAATCTGTATAAAGTCTTTAATTAAAGGTGGGATAGTAGTAGATTGTCCAACTGAGGATGTGTTTTTAGATACATTTAAAATCTGAAAGAATAATATTGGGGAAATCGTAATTGCATTACGCATCTCTAGCATTCTCACTTCTACCACAAGGGGGCAGCATTAGCCCCAATTGAAGCCCAGTGTTGACAGCTATAATCTTAGAGTCTCTCCTAGTCATTGGTGTTGCTAAAAAGGATTAAAAAAAGCCATCACATTAAACTGAGCACCTAAATGGGTAGGTGCAGAGTTGGGCTTGAAGCTATTTGGCAGCAGGGGTAGCAAAGAGCTGGTCTGTTCTCTGAGTGGAAAGACCTGGGAATTGGGAGTGGGTGGGGTCTGAGGAGTGATTTGAGGCAGGTGGGGAACAGCCATCAGCCACATAAGACAGCGAAGTCACCTGAGGTGACAAAATAAGTGAGGAATCTCTGGCCTCAGGATAACAAAGGACTTGAAAAACAGGGATGTCTAATAGGGATTTTCTGTTTGTGTGATGCAGAATAGAATGCTTTCTTGCTGAGGGTCTTATGTGTTTCGATGCTTTGGAATTGTTGAAGTTAAAATTCAGCAGAGTCATGAAATTGGGGCCAGAGGTGACTTTGGGAATGTGAATCTCCTAGGAATTTATACAAATATTAGTAAAGGCAGTGGCCCTTCTATAGTATGGGGCCTGGTGATTTGAGAAAATCTTGTTTACATTTTAAGTTGCACAGTGACCCCACTCTCAGGCTAAAATCAGTGATTTATTTCAATAAATGTTTCTGGAGGAACTAATATTTGCTTAGCTAGGTGCTGTAGGGAGACAACACATTTCTAATTTAAATGTTTGTGCCAATGACTGTTATATTTGAAGCAACTGCACTGTCCAATTCAGAATATCCCAAGAGGGATGGACCTAGTGCCATAGTTGTCAGCTTTGTCTACGTGTTAGAATCACTTGGAGTTATTTAAAGCTTTTAAAGACACACAAACACACACATATTCCTAACCCAACATTATTTGTGTTCTCCATCTTTTTTTTTCCAATTCCAGATGGGAATCAAAGAAACCTGTTTCTTTTATAAAAATTATTATTATTTTTTAGATGGAGCTTTGCTCTTGTTGCTCAGGCTCAGTGCAATGGTGTGGTCTCTGCTCACAGCAACCTCTGCCTCCCGGGTTCAAATGATTCTCCTGCCTCAGCCTCGCAAGTAGCTGGGATTACAGGTGCCTGCCACCACGCCCAGCTACTTTTTGTATTTTTAGTAGAGACAGGGTTTCACCACGTTGGCCAGGCTGGTCTCAAACTCCTGACCTCAGGTGATTCACCTGCCACAACCTCCCAAAGTGCTAGGATTACAGGTGTGAACCACTGCGCCCAGCCTAAATTTCTTCTTAATACTCCTGTTCTTCAGTGATGCACAATTTCTAAAATGTCCCATTCTCTTTTTTAGCTTCCACAGTGGTGTAACAAGGCAATGGGAATTCACTCCACAAATCCCAGTACCACAAGAAGTTATCTGTAAGGTCTCCAGGGATGAGATAATCTACATATTTCCTCATGTCTGTTATAATGGCATTCTAGCCCAACATAATCATGTCCATCTCTTGGAATGCATTGTGTAGACTTTAACTTATATGGTTCTGCTCTACTAATGAAGTCAGTCTCTTTAAAAAATGTTCAGAGAAACTAATAAAGGATTATAAGCAACAAAAGGATACGGCCTAAGCCAAGTCAAGCCATTCTTGCTATCAATTCTGGAACAAATATATTAATGATATTCCTGTGTCTCTAATTTTATATAACAAACAGACAATCATTCTTCCATCATTTCTATTTCCTTTTTTTTTTTTTTTTTTTTTTGAGATGAAGTCTTGTTCTGTTGCCCAGGCTGGAGTGCAGTGGCATGATCTCGGCTCACTGCCACCTCCACTTCCTGAGTTCAAGTGATTCTTCTGCCTCAGCCTCCCGAGTAGCTGGGACTAGTGCCGCCATGCCTGGCTAATTTTTTATTTTTATTTTTTTGTATTTTTAGTAGAGATAGGGTTTCACCATGTTAGCCAGGATGGTCTCGATCTCCTGACCTCGTGATCCACCTGCCTTGGCCTCCCAAAGTGCTGGGATTACAGGTGTGAGCCACCGCACGTGGCCTCTTCCATCATTTCTTTGACCATGCCTAGGGACCATCAGTAACCCTAATGAAAAATGATCTTTGTTCTTTTCTGCTTTTGCTTAGTGCTGGTTTTTGGCTCTTCTAATCAAATGAGTCATTCCTGGAATGTTCAGTTTGTTTTATGGTTGTGGCACTCCAGGAAAGCAGGGCAGTTCACCTGCCCCATTCCACAGCTGACTGTAGCTGAGAAAGCTCCCAACATCTGTGTCTATAATAAAAAGCCTGCAAAAGGAAAATAAATCATGTTTCCACCTCCATTTTTTCCTGCACATTAAAGGCTGATCACTGAAAGTCATGATCTTGGCTCTGAATTGGGTTGCAGCATTTGATCTGATGGCACACAAAGCGAGATCAATATCTGCCACCATAAAAAGTCAATGAAACATAAATTAGGAAGAGAAAATTTTCTAACTCTGGCCCCAAGCAGTGACTAGTTGGGTGCAAGCCATACATTTGGGCAATGAAAAAAGAAAGCAGCTTTACTTAACAGCAGGGTAGACTATACTAGGATTATATTTTGTGCTATTCCTACTTCTCTTTATTGATCTGCATATAATGAATTGAAGCATGATGATTCTCTCTCCAAAGTTACTCAAGAGTTTACTAAAATGTTATCAGAAAGTTTCTAACTGTGGCTATAAAAGTATGTGAAACCAATCCAGGCACTGGTGACTGCTGACTATAAGCATTTTGATAATATAAGATGATATTGGTCAGCCCAAGACAAGGTCTTATCTGACATCTGTAAGAATGTTTTAAAGTTGTAATTCAGTTGGCTGTTGAGAAACAAATGTGTCTCCTCTCTGTCCTTGATTTTGGACATCATGCCTTTTCCTGATGTGGCCCAAGCTTTTTAAATTTCCAAAAATGAACATATACTTTTCTTTTTGATAATAAAATTAATGCAGATTTTTTTGAGGAAAATAATTCAAGAAACCCAGAAGAGTAAAAGAGGAAAATAAGCCTTACTTATTCCACCATCACCCAGCAATTGTTACTGATTATATGTTAGCATGTCTATTTCCAGTCCTTTACTTTTTTTCTTGTGTTGTCACACGCACACATTTCAAAAGTGGGAAAGTAGTACAGACGGCCTTGACTTATGATGGTTCAACTTATGATTTTTCAACTTTACCATGGTGTGAAAGTGATATACATATAGTAGAAATCATACCTTGAGTTTTGATCTTTTCCTGGGCAAGTGATATGCCCTGCAATACACTCTCATGATGCCGGGCAGTGGCAGTGAACTGCAGCTCCCAGTCAGCCACAGACACACCATCATGAGGGTAACCGACCGATACTCTGTAGTGTACTGTGTTGCCAGGTGATTTTGCTCAACTATAGGCCAATGCAAGTGTTCTTTCTGAGTGCATTTAAGGAAGGGTAGGCTAAGCAACAATGTTCAGAAGATTAGGTGTATTAAATGCATTTTGAATTTACAGTGGGTTTAACAGGATGTAACCCCATTGTAAGTTGAGGAGCATCTATACAGGTAGTATGTGATCTTTATGGAAATAACATAAATAGTACCCCCTTCTGCAGCATTCATTGAGAATTAACTACAGAGATTTAATGCAGGTTGAGGTCAAAGTGTCACATGAATTACTAATAAAATCTAGATTGCAGGGTGGTTTTACAGCTGTAGGCAGGAGGACTTCCTAATGCTGAGGCTTATGACGATCGACTTCCGTATCTAGCTACACACGTATTTCAAAAGTATATTGCTGGATTACAGGAGTCTCTTCATGTGAGGCCGTCTCCTTTTAAATTAACAGCATTGGAAGTCATAAAAGAACCTGGACTTTCATAGCTCACTCCCTGGACATCTGAAGGGGGAAAGTGCTGGGCTATGCATATCTATTTTATTTTCAAACCCAGTCACTTCTCCTTTTTGTGAAAGGATTGTGGGTAGAGGGTGGAATGTACTGCTAATGGGGTTTTCTTTACCTAGAAGGGGGGAAAATAAGCTCTCTGTTCTTATAATCTACTTTATTCAGTTAATAGAATATGCTCATCTTCATATATTCTTCTACTGTGTGTCCCTTGGATTGAATGTAATAAAAAGTTTAAAAACCAGTATAAACTTAGCAGCAGCAGAGAGCACAGTTCTATTAAAGAAGTAGAAGAGTCTACAGGAATCTAGGAGCACCCCAACTATTTTAGCTCTCAAAGGTGGGAACTAAGGCACCTCCAGAGATTGTTCATGCTCTGAGATCTGATAATGATATATGAGGGTATAGCTCACTCACCTCACCCAGTACACCATTGTCTCCAGAGTTTTGATGGTTAAATCACTATTTTTAGTTTCTCTATTAGTTATCTCTACAATTTTAATATTATAATCAAACGACTCTCTTTGCCTTTATTAACTTTCAACTATGTCCCCAAACTCCAACTCCCTCTCATCTTACAGATGAGTTGTTAATATCTCCTTCCCTGTCTTCAACCTCCCTCCAATTCTGGGGTTGTGAACTGAAGATCTGTATTCTCCCCAGATTCATATGCTGAAACTTAATCCCCAATACAATGCTGTTAGGAGGTGGGAACTTTGGGATATGATTTAGTCATGAAGATAGAGCCCAAGTGAATGAGATGAATGCCCTTATAAGGGAGTTAAGAGTCCAGATTTGTCTCTTTCCACCATGCGAGGACACAGGGAGAAGATGCCTTCTGTGAACCAGGGAGTAGGCCCTCACCAGACACTGAATCTGTTGGCACCTTGAGGAACTTCCCACCCTCCAGAACTGTGAAAATTAAGTGTTTGTTATAAGCTACTCAGTTTATGGTATTTTGCTATGGTACCCCTAACGGACTAAGGCATCTGATCAGCTGTGCCATGGTTTAACGTCATTAAGGGAGATGACTTTCATGTGTTTTTTGTAACCATAATTAAGTTCTTTCAACAAGCTGATTCTAAAAACAGAATACTAATACACAGTAATGCTTACATTAATATGATATGTAAAATTAAGTGTCAAACAAAAGTGCTCTGATAACAATTCTTTTCTACATTTCAATATTATAAATCCTGTTCCACTTAAGGCAAAGAAGAGTCTCCTTTCCTACATTTCACCAGTGACTTGAAATCATTCCTCATTTTAGTTACTTCACATATAATTCATTGCATGCTTATATGGATTTTTTCTCTTTTTAAAAACAGCTTTATTGAGGTATTACTTACATACCATAACATTAATCCTTTGTAAATATATAATTTAACCCTTTTAAGCCAGTTTATAGAGTAGTGTGACCATCACCATATCCAGATTTAGAATATTTCCATTGCCCCAAAAAGTTCCCTTTTGTTTCTTTGCAGACAATTCCTGCTGTCACCCTTAACTCCAGGCAAGTACTACTCTGCTTTTTGTCTCTGTACACTTAGTACATGTCATAAAAAGAGAATCATAGAATATGTGGTCTTTTGTGTCTGGCTTCTTTCACTTAGTGTGTTTTTGAGGTTCATTTATGTTATAGCATGTATCAGTACTTTGACTTAAAACAGTTAGTGAGTGGGCCAGGCATGGTGGCTCATGCCTGTAATCCCAGCACTTTGGGAGGCCGAGGTGGGCAGATCATTTGAGGTCAGGAGTTCAGGACCAGCCTGACCAACATAGTGAAACCCCATCTCTACTGAAAATACAAAAAAAATTAGCCAGGCATGGTGGTGTGTGCCTGTAGTCCTAGCTACTCAAGAGGCTGAGGCAGGAGAATCACTTGAACCGGTAGGCAGAGGTTGCAATGAGCCGAGATTGTGCCACTGCCCTCCAGCCCAGATACAGAGTGAGACTCCATCTCAAAAAAAAAAAAAAAAAAAAAAAACCACCAACAAAAAAACCCCAAAAACAAACACTGAGTGGTGTCCCAATGTATAGATATACTACATTTTGTTTATTCACCAGTTGATAAGCATTTAAATTGTTTCCAGTTTTTGGCTATTAGGAGTAATACTGTTTTAACATTTGCATTGTGTGGACATACTTTTTCATTTCTCTTTGGTAGATATTTAAGAGTAGAATCATTAGGTTATAAAGTATGTGAGTATATATGTATGTGTGTGTGTATGTGTATATAAATAAAAATATAAGTAATGTTTAACTGTTAAAAAAAAAAAACCTACCAACCAGTTTCCCAAGGTGACTATAACATTTTACATTCTCTCTAGCAATGTATGAAAGTTACATTTTCTCCATATTCTCACCAACACTTGGTATTGCCATTTTTCTGGATTAAAGTCATTCTAGTGATTATACAGTGGTATCTCATTGTGGCTTAAAATTGCATATTCTGAGTCACTAATGATATTGAGAATGGGGAGTTATTGTTTAATAGGTACAGTGTTTCTGTTTTCCAGGGTGAACAGAGTTCTGGAGATTATGGTGATTGGTTTCACAACATTATGAATGTATTTAATATCACTGCGGTATATACTTGAAAATGGTCAATACGATAAACTTCTTGTCTTTTATCACAACAAAAATATAAAAAAGAAAAACTCAATTGTTCACCATTAACTATCTTTTAAAAATGTGTGTGTGTGTGTGTGTAATTTATTTCAATAGCTTTTGGGGTATAAATGGTTTTTGGTTATGTGAATGAATTGTATTGGGGTGAAATCTGAGATTTTAGTGCACCTGTTACCTGGGTAGTGTACATTGTACCCAATGTTTAGTTTTTTTAATCTCTCACCCTCCTCCCACCTTCCCCCTTCTGAGTTTCCAATGTCCATTATACCACTCTGTATGCCTTTGCATACCCATAACTTAGCTCCCACTTACAGAGAACATATGGTATGTGGTGTTCCATTCCTGAGTTACTTAGAATAATGGCCTCTAGCTCAATCCAAGTTGCTGCAAAAGACATTATTTCATTTTTTTTTAATGGCTGAGTAGTATTCCATGGTGTATTTTCTTTATCCACTCATCAGCTAATGGACACTTAGGTTGGTTCCATATCTTTGCAATTGTGCATTGTGCTGTGATAAACATATTCATGCAGGTATCTTTTTAATATAATGACTTCTTTTCCTCTGGGCAGATACCTATCGGGGGAAATTCACCCCCGATATTTCATGTAGGTTCTTTTCTAATTTTCCTAAGTGTTGGCCGGTCTGAGAAATAAAGGGACAGAGTACAAAAGAGAGAAATTTTAAAGCTGGGTGTCTGGGGGAGACATCACATGTCGACAGGTTCCATGATGCCCCTCAAACTGCAAAACCAGCAAGTTTTTATTAGTGAGTTTCAAAAGGGAGGGAGTGTATGAATAGGGTGTGGGTCACAGAGATCACATGCTTCACAAGGTAATAAAATATCACAAGGCAAATGGAGGCAGGGCGAGATCACAGGACTGGGGCGAAATTAAAATTGCTAATGAAGTTTCGGGCACGCATTGTCATTGATAACATCTTATCAGGAGACAGGGTTTGAGAGCAGATAACCAGTCTGACCAAAATTTATTAGGTGGGAACTTCCTCGTCCTAATAGGCCTGGGAGTGCTATGTGAGACCAGGGCTTATTTCTTCCCTTATCTTCAATCGTAAAAGACAGACGTCCCCAGAGCGGCCATTTTGGAGACCTCCCCTTAGGGACGCATTCTCTTTCTCAGGGATGTTCCTTGCTGAGAAAAAGAATTCAGCAATATTTCTCCTATTTGCTTTTGAAAGAAGAGAAATATGGCTCTGTTCCACCCGGCCCACAGGCAGCCAGAGTTTAAGGTTATGTCCCTTGTTCTCTGAACATCGCTGTTATCCTGTTCTTTTTTCCAAGGTGCCCAGATTTCATATTGTTTAAACAAGTTTTGCAGTTAATGCAATTATCACAGGGTCCTGAGGTGACATTCATCCTCAGTTTATGATTGTGATGGGATTAAGAGATTAAAGTAAAGACAGGCATAGGAAATCACAAGGGTATTGATTGGGGAAGAGATAAGTGTCCATGAAATCTTCACAATTTATGTTCAGAGATTGCAGTAAAGACAGGCATAAGAAATTATAAAAGTATTAATCTGGGGAACTAATAAATGTCCATGAAATCTTCACAATTTATGTTCTTCTGCCATGGCTTCAGTCGGTCCCTCCGTTCGGGGTCCCTGACTTCCCGCAACAGATGCCCAGTAGTGGGATTACTGGATTGAATGGTAGATTTACTTTTAATTCTTTGAGAAATCTCCATACTGTTTTCCATAGAGGTTGTACTAATTTACATTCCCATCAACACTATGTAACTGTCCCCTTTTCACCACATCTATGCCAATGTTTATTGTTTTTTGGCTTTTTAATAATGGTCATTCTGGCTGGGGTTAAGTTGTATTTCATTGTGGTTTTAATTTGCCTTTCTCTGATTAGTGATGTTGAGCATTTTTTCATGTATTTTCTGGCCATTTGCATACCTTTTTAAAGTGTCTATTCATGTCATTTGCCCACTTTTTGATGGGATTATTTTTTCTTATTTGAGTTCCTTGCAGATTCTGGATATTAGTCCTTTGTCAGATGCATAGTTTGAAAATATCTTCTCCCATTCTGTAGGTTGTCTGTTTACTGTTTCTTTTGTTGTGCAGAAGCTTTTCAGCTTAGTTAGGTCCCATTTATTTATTTATTTTTATTTTCATTGCATTTTCTTTTGGGGCCCTCATTATAAATTATTTGCCTAGGCCAATGTCCAGAAGAGTTTTTCTTAGGTTCTCTTCTAGAATATTTCTGGTTTTAGGTCTCAGATTTAAGTATTTAATCTATCTTGAATTGGGTTTTGTATATGGTGAGAGATAGGAATCCAATTTCATTTTTCTACATGTGTCTATTCAGTTTTCCCAGCCCCATTTATTGAATAGGGTATCCTTTTACCAATTTATGTTTTTGTATGCTTTTTTGAATATCAGTTTGTTGTAAGTATTTGGCTTTAGTTCTGGGTTCTCAATTCTGTTCCATTTGCCTATGTATCTACTTTTATTATAGTACCATGCTGTTTGGTTACTATAGCCTTGTGGTATAATTTAAAGTCAAATAACGTGGTGCCTCCAGATTTGTTCTTTTTGCTAAGGATTGCTTTGGCTATTTCGGCTCTTTTTTGATTCCAAATGAATTTTACAATTGTTTTTCCTAATTCTGTGAAAATTTTAGCATTAACAATCTGATTTGAATGGCCCCAGGTTTCAGGTATATAAACATACTCAATCAGGCAGGATATTCTAAGTACTCACAGAGATCTCAGGAGTTTTTCAAAGGCCAGTTGTAAAGACCTTTGGAATATGCAGGGTTTGAGCAACCCAAGCCTCTTGAATTAATGTTTTACTGCCCAGATACTAATTGTACCAGCACAAATTGCTAAAAATAGATGATCTTTTCACCACAGAATTGCATTGATAGCTTTGTAGAAAGCCCATTGACCACAAAAATGAAGGTTTATTTCTAAAGTTTCTATTCTGTTCAATTGATCTACATGTTTATTCTTTTGCCAATACCACATTTTCTTGATTTCTGTAGCTTTGTAGTAAGTTTTGAAATTGAGTACTATAATTCCTCCAGTACTGTTGTTTTTTAAAACTGGTTTTGGCTTTTGAGTTTCTATATAATTTGTAGGATAAGCCTATCATGTGTTTTTTTTTTTTTTTTTTTTTTTTTTTTTTTTTTTTTGAGATAGAGTCTCACTCTGTCCCAGGCTGTAGTGCAGTGGCATGATCTCAACTCACTGCAAACTCTGACTTCCTGGTTCGAGGGATTCTCCTGCCTCAGCCTCCCGAGTAGCTGGGATTACAGGCATGTGCCACCACGCCTGGCTAATTTTTGTATTTTTAGTAGAGATGGGTTTCACCATATTTGCCAGGATGGAAGCCTGTCAATTTTGGCAAAGAAGTCTGCTAGGATTTTGGTAGAGATTTCCTTAACTATAGACAAATTTGGAAAGAATTGCTATCTTAACAATATTGAGTCTTATAATCCATGAACATGGAATATCTTTCCATTTATATATTGATCTTTAATTTTTAGTAATGTTTAATAGTTTTCAATATATACATATTATACTTTAAAGTATTTTTTATACATTTTTGATGCTATTGTGAAATAAATTGCTTTCTAATTTAATTTTTGGATTCTTCCCCTGCTAGGGAGAAAAGTCTTGCTGTCCTACCATCTTCCCTTCTCTCCTATCTTTTACTAACTTATTTAATACTTAAAATTATCCTTTTTTAAATATGGACTTTACTTTTTGGAGCAGTTATGTTCACAGGAAAATTGAGTGGAAGGTACAGAGATTTCCCATATAACCCCTGCCACCATACATCCTTCACCAGAGTGATAACGTTTGCTACAATAGATGAACCTACACTGATACATTATCATCACCTGAAGTCATTAGTTTCATTAAGCTTCACTCTTGGTGTTGTACATTCTATGGGTTTTGACAAATGTGTAATGACACATATTCACCATTACTGTATAATACAGAGTGTTTCACTGACCTGAAAGTCCTCTATGTACCTCCTATTCATCCCTCCCTCTGCCCTAATTCATGGCAACTATAATCTTTTTACTGTTTCCATAGTTTTGCCTTTTTCAGAATGTCAAATAGATGGAATCATACAGTATGTAGCCTTTCCAGATTGACTTCTTTCATTTAGTAAGGTGCATTTAAATTTCTTCCATGCTTTTTCATGACTTTTTTTTTTCTTTTTTTGAGACAGGGTCTTGCTCTGTTACTGAGGCTGGAGTGTGGTAGTGTGATGCCAGCTCACTGCAGCCTGAACCTCCTGGGCTCAAGTGATCTTCCAGACTCAGCCTCCCCAGTAGCAAGAGCACAAGTGCTCGCCACCACACCTGGCTAATGTTTTTGATTTTTAGTAGAGACTAGGTCTTGCTATGTTGCCCAGGCTGGTCTCAAACTCTTGGGCTCAAGTGATCCTCCCACCTTGGGCTCCCAAAGTGTTGGGATTACAGGCAGCAGCTACCATGCCTGGACTTCATAGCTCATTTCTTTATAGTGCAGAATAATATTCAATTGCCTTGATGTACCACAGTTTATTTATCTATTCACATATATACCTACGGAGGGATATCTTGGTTGCTTCCAAGTTTTGACAATTGTAAATAAAGCTGCTATAAACATCCATTTGCAAGTTTTTGTATGGAAATAAATTTTCAACTCCTTTGGGCTACCAAGGAGCACAAGAGTTGGATGTTTTGTTTAGTTTTATAAGAAACTGCCAAACTGTCTTCCAAAGTAGACATATCATTTTGCATTCCCACCAGCAATGAATAACAGTGGCTGTTGTTTCACATCCTCGCAGGCATTTAGTGTTGTCAATGTTTTGTATTTTGGCTATTCTGGTAAGTGTGTAGTTGTATCTCAGTGTTTTAATTTGTATTTTCTTGATGACATGGAATATCTTTTCATATGCTTATTTATCATATGCATATCTTCTTTGGAAAAGCATCTGTAAGGACTTTGACCCATTTTTTATTTCTATTTTTTTTTAAGAGTCTTGCTCTGTTACCCAGGCTGGAGTGCAGAGGCACAATCATAGTTCACTGCAGCTTCGACCTCCTGAGTCCAAGCAATACTTCTGCCTCAGCATCCTGAGTAGCTAGGACTAAAGGTATGCACCACCATGCCCAGCTAACTTTTTAATTTTTGTTTTTTAATAGAAATGGGGTCTTGGTGTGTTGCCTAGGCTGGTCTTGAACTCTTGGCCTTATGTGATCCTCCCACTTTGATCTCCCAAAGTGCTGGGATTACAGGCATAAGTCACTGTGCCTTACCTGTTTGACCCATTTAAATATCAAATTGTTTTCTCATTGTTGAGTTTTAAGCATTCTTTACTTGGATAGTAGTCCTTTACTAGATATGTCTTTTGCAGATTGTTTTTTGCAGTCTGTGGCTCGTCTTTTCATTCTCTGGACAGTGCCTTTTACGGAACAGAAAACTAATTTTAATGAAGTGCAGCTTATCAATTTTTTCTCTCATATACTGTGCCTTTGGTATCATATACAAAAAGTCATGACCAAACTCAAGGTCATCTAGATGTTCTTCTATGTAATCTTCTAGAGGTCTTATAGTTTTGCATTTTACATTTAGATCCATGATCCATTTTGAATTAACTTTTGTGAAGGTTGGACAGTCTGTGTTTAGCGTAGCTTAGTTTTTTTGCATGTGCCTGTCCAGTTATTCCACACCATTTATTGAAAATACTGTCTTTTCTCAATACTATTGTATTGCCTTTGCTCTTTTGTCAAAAACAGTTGACTAAATTGCTGTAGGTCTATTTCTGGTCTCTTGGTTCTGTTACATTGATCTATTTGTCTATTTTTTGTTAATTGCACACTGTCTTGAAACTTTAGCCTTAGAGTAGGTCTCGAAGTTGGGTAGTGTTATTCTTCCTTTCTTCTTTTAACACTGTTACCTAGATGAAGTTTTGGGTTTGGTTTTTCGTCATTGTTGTTGTTGTGTGTGTGTACCTGTATGTGTGTGCACCTGTATGTGTGTGCATTTATCCCACATGGTGTTCTCTGAGCTTCCTGGATCTGTGGTTTGGTGTCTGGCATTAATTTGTGAAATTCTCAGTTATTAACATTTCAAATGTATTCAAAATTTCAAATATTTATTCTGTTTTATTCTCTCCTTCTGGAATTAAAAGCAATACATAGGTCTAATCTAGATTCATGTGCTACATTTAGCTGATATGATTCAGTCTCTTTTTCTTGTAGAATATCCCACATTCTGGCTTTGTCTGATTGTGTCTTTATGGTGTCATTTAACTTGCTTCCCTATTCTCTGCATTTCCTCTAAATTGTACCCAAAGAATTGATTACAGATGGTCTCTGACTTAGGATGTTTCACCTTACAATTTTTCAAATTTATGATGGTGCAAAAGGAGTACACATTTAGAAGCCCTACTTTGAGTACCCATACAACCACTGTTTTTTATTTTCAAAGAAAAATTCAATAAATTACATGAGATATCCAACACTTCATTATAAAATAAGCTTTGTGTTAGATGATTCTGCGCAACTGTGGACTAACGTAAGTGTTCTGAACATGTTTCAAATAGGCTAGGGTAAGCTATGATGTTTGGTAGGTTAGATGTATTAAATGCATTTTTGACTTACAATATTTTCAACTTATGATGCATTTATCAAGACATAACCCCATATGAAGTCCAGGAGCATTCATATATTCAGGTAAAATATTTTTTCATAAAATCTTTGTAGGTTAAGTTGTATACTTCATATTGTATCACACAAGAGTGCACATTATATCAGGTCCTCCCAGTAACAGCAATACTAAATCCTATTATTTCATTAAGATAATGATCTCCAGATCTCCCCATTGGAATGGTAGCAGAGTTTCCTCCTTTGCAATTAGTAAGTAATCTCTGGGGTGATTTGATTTTCCTCAAACTTTTTTACCAGATGGTTTTTAGCATCAGTTGATGACCTTTACCTAAGTTAATTATTACATTTGAAATTGCAAAATGGTGATTTTCTTATTCTGTAATATTTGTACATTTAATAAAAGGCATCCTTTTACTGAGAAGAGTTTTAACTTTTTTTCCTCTGATTTTGAGTTTCACTGTGTACTCATATAACCTTTTTTTTTTTAAAGATTTTTAAATTTTTTAAATTTTTATTTTTTTTGAGATGGAGTCTCGCTCTGTTGCTCAGGCTGAAGTGCAGTGGTGTGATCTTGGCTCACTGCAACCTCTGCCTCCTGGATTAAAGTGATTCTCCTGCCTCAGCCTCCTGAGTAACTGGGATTATGGGTTCTTGCCACCAGGTCTGGCTAATTTTTGTATTTTTAGTAGAGATAAGTTTCACCATGTTGGCCAGGCTGGTTTCCTGACCTCAAGTGATCTGTCTGCCTCGGCCTCCCAAAGTGCTAGGATTATAGGCATAAGCCACCGTGCCCGGCCTATAAAATTTTTATTATTTAAAATGTAATCAATTGTAATTACTATTCTTTTTGATGGCCAAGTTGTTCCAAGTTTGGACACTGGAAGTTAATTCAATAAGATCCCTGTGTCCTTTTGTTGTGATTCAGTTGGTCTCTGGGTATGTCTATTACGTTTTGACACAAGATGTCCCAGGTTGCCTTGTACTTTTCTCTGCCTTAGATGTGGAATCAGCCATTTCTCCAAAGATACCTAGTTTCTTTTAGTGGGAAGTAGTATTTGGAAACCAAGATTTGGGTGGTACGTTTGTTCATTGCTACCAGTTGTGATGACTGCTGAGTTCTCCCTATAAACAGAGGTAGGCAAAAATCTCTTAAATTTCCAGTTTATCTATTACTATTTCCCATTTAAAATCTCTTATTTTGAAATTTTCAAAATCTCTTACTATTTCCAGTTCAAAATTAATATTAAAGAGTTTTTAAAAACTTGTATTGGCATATTTTTCTTAAACCCAGAAAATCTTTGTTTCTAATAAAATTAATGTACAAGTTAGCTTTCTCCTATAATATGTATAAAATAATTTCTACAATATTGTTACCAACAACAAACATACTGAGTGAAGTTTCACATCTCCCTAGTTCTTTTTGTTGTTGGAATATCACAGTAAGAATAAACAGTCGGCTTACTCTGCTTTAAATAATTCTTTTCTCTGTGTGGTTATCAATTTCATAGTTAGGTTCATTTGTTACTGCCTGTTTTTCAGATGTATGGTTTGCTTTCTTCTTTTTCAATTTAATTTTTTGAATAAGTAAAACCTTTACATGGTATGCCAGCTATTAAATTACTGTATTTCAGCCTTCTGCACTCTGTCTGCTTTGTGTTGCTGGGGCTGGGGCTCTGCAAACCATGTATCTGTTTTTCCAGCTCGTTCCTTGCTATGATCGCCTAAATGGGGTATTAGAAGAAGACTGCAATGTTGGAGGATGAAGAAGAAACTTGCTACTTCCTGTTTTTTTTCTCCCCCCATGGGGCCTTTTGTCTGTTTCTTGTTCCTGTGTGTATCACCCTAGCAATCAATACTTTTTTATGCCAGCAATATAAATTCCTTTCCATAGAAACAGTTGAATTCGGTTTGCAGTTTTTTAAATACTTGCAGAACCAGCCTCATCCTGCCTCCCTCTTCCATTGGCCCTTCCTTTGAGCTCTGAGACCCCACCAGCATCTGAGCAGTGACTTCTCAAAGTTCTGAGTTTCAGTTCAGTAGGGATCCTCTAAATTTTAATAATCTCTAAAGTTGAATAATCCCATCATCTTCTCGTTATTCTCCCTTCCCTAAAGATGGTAGTTGATTCCTGAAATTTCTACCATTCTGATGCCCTCGTGCTCTTTTTTACCTTTTCAGTTATCTAGTTAACAACTGTAAAACTAGTTAATTCTTTTTTTTTTCTTTTCTTTTTTTTTTTGAGACGGGGTCTTGCTCTGTCACCCAGGCTGGAGTGCAGTGGCACAGCCTCGGCTAACTGCAAGCTCCGCCTCCTGGGTTCACGCCATTCTCCTGCCTCAGCCTCTCGAGTAGCTGGGACTACAGGCGCCCACCACCTCACCCGACTAATTTTTTTGTATTTATTTAGTAGAGACGGGGTTTCACCCTGTTAGCCAGGATAGTCTCGATCTCCTGACCTCGTGATCCGCCCACCTCGGCCTCCCAAAGTGCTGGGATTACAGGCGTGAGCCACCGCGCCCGGCCAACAATTCTTTATATTCAATTATTTCTGTTCAAATACCTGATGTGTTTTTATAAGTTAAGGTATAACTAAACCTTAACTTAAACATGGTTCATGCTTAAAAATTATAAGAAGGCTTATTCAGAGGAATCTTTCTTCAATCTCAAACCTTTCTATCCCAATCCCATCTATTCTCTAGAAGTAATCATTGCATTAGTCATTGTATCTTTCTGTATTTGTTTTGGCTAAACAAGTTAAACACACACACACACACATTTTCTCTCTCGTGGTCTCTCTCCCTCTCTCACACACACGCATTTTCTCTTTTTATTACAAAAGATAGAATAATATAGATACTTTTTTGTGCCTTTTTTTCCCCTAAATAATATATCTTGAAAATAAGGATATGCACTTAATTCTTAGAGAATGAATATCATACCAATTCTTAGAGATTTTCTCCATTGATAGATATACCATGGTTTATTCCACTAATCTCTGATTTATGGGCATTTGGGTATGTTTCTGTGTCAATGGGTAAATGCATACATAATTTTATTACTATTCATCAAGTATTCTTCTATAGAGCTGTATCATTTCCCGTTATTTGTAATCTATGAAAGGTTTGTTTCTCTGTAGTTTTGCCAATTGAGTGTGCTGTCAATTTTTTGAATTTCTGCCAATTTGATAGGTGAGAAATGGCAGCTTCGTGTTAATTTGCATTTCTTTTACAGTAGTAAAATTGAAGCTCTTTTCATATGTGTCAGGGTTGTGTTACTTTCTTTTTCTATGAGCTGTCTATCTAGATTTCCTATTGTATTTTTGGTCTTTTTCTTCTTGATTGTTGAGTAGATTAGATACCAAGGAGATTAGCTCTTATTTGTGATATATGTTGCAAATAATTTTTTCAGTTTGCAATTTCTCTTGATTTTTGCTTATAGTGCAAATATTTTTAAATTTTCTTATAGTCAAATTTTTAATCATTTCTTTGACTGTTTTCATCTTCTGAACTAAAGTCAGAAAGTGCTCTAGTACAACCATCGTTTTGATATTGAAGAATTCTTTCATGTTCTATATGGGTTTTTTTCATAGTACTGTAGTATCATTTTATGAAATTAGTAACTTCTTATATCTCTCAGAGGATGTCAACTGGGAACTTCAAAAGTTCTCTTTTTCTGGAAATATCTGTTAAACTGGAATCAATTTTTCTGTTTATTTTTCTTTGTCATTCTTTTTCATGATGCATATTTTTCTTGAAAATCTAGTTAGCTCTGCGGCTCTCTCTTAAATATAAAACTATCTGAGGGGTTGTCAATATAAGGACTTCTCTTTGGGTTGTGTGTTCAGGGACCTGGCTATTCACCGTAAGAGGAGTTCCAAGTGTCTGAATGAAGAGGCCATTCTCTAGGTTGCTAACAAACTCATCTCTAATAGCTGTTCTGAGTAGGAGAAGAAATCATCACTTATAGGTATATGCTATAGTATTTGTGTTAAGATTATAATTTGTGGCCGGGCGCGGTGGCTCACGCCTGTAATCCCAGCACTTTGGGAGGCCGAGGCGGGCGGATCACAAGGTCAGGAGATCGAGACCATCCCGGCTAAAACGGTGAAACCCCGTCTCTACTAAAAATACAAAAAATTAGCCGGGCGTAGTGGCGGGCGCCTGTAGTCCCAGCTACTTGGGAGGCTGAGGCAGGAGAATGGAGTGAACCCGGGAGGCGGAGCTTGCAGTGAGCCGAGATCCCGCCACTGCACTCCAGCCTGGGCAACAGAGCGAGACTCCGTCTCAAAAAAAAAAAAAAAAAAAAAAAAAGATTATAATTTGTGAGTGGAGAGGCTTCTGTAAGAGTATATAGATCTAAATTACCTCCCTTGTTTTAAGCCTCACTTTTTCTCTTTTTTTTTTTAAAAAAAACATTTATTTTAAGTTCAGGGATAGATGTGCAGGTTTCTTATATTGGTAAACTTGTCATAGGAGTTTATTGTACAGATTATTTTATTACCCAGGTATTAAGCCTAGTACCCATTTTTTTTTCTGACCTTCTCCCTCCTCTCACCGTGCACCCTGCCCCAGTGTGTGTTGTTCCCCTCTATGTGTCCATATGTTCTCATCATTTAGCTCCCACTTTCAAGTGAGAACATGCGGTATTTGGTGTTCTGTTTCTGTGTTAGTTTGCTGAGGATAATGGCCTCCAGCTCCATCCATGTTCCTGCAAAGTACATGATATCATTCTTTTTTTATGGCTGCATAGTGTTCCATAGAGTATATGTTCCACATTTTATTTATCCAGCCTATCACTGATGGGCATTTAGGTTAATTCCATGTCTTTGCTATTGTGAATAGTGCTGCAATGAACATACATGTACATTTATCTTTATAATAGCACAATTTATATTTTTGGGGTATATCCCCAATAATGGGATTGCTGGGTTGAATGACATTTCTGTTGATAGGTCTTTGAGGAATTGTCACACTGTTTTCCATAATGGTTGAACTAATTTATACTCCCATCAACAGTGTATAAGCATTCCTTTTTCTCTGCAACCTTGCCAGCATCTGCTATTTTTTGACTTTTTAGTAATAGCCATTCTGACTGGTGTGAGGTGGTATCTCACTGTGGCTTTGATTTGCATTTCTCTAATGATCAGTGATATTGAGCTTTTTTTCACATGCTGTTGGTTGCATATATGTCTTCTTTTGAAAAGGGTCTGTTCATTTCCTTTGCCCACTTTTTTTTTCTTGTAAATTTAAGTTTCTTATAGATGATGGATATTAAGCCTTTGTTGGATGTGTAGCTTGCAAAAATTTCCTTCCATTCTGTAGGTTGTCTGCTCACTCTGTTGATAGTTTCCTTTGTTGTGCAGAAGCACTTTAGTTTAACTAGATCCCATTTGTCAATTTTTGCTTTTGTTGCAATTGCTTTTGGTGTTTTTGCCATGAAATCTTTGCCTGTCCCTATGCCCTTAATGGTATTACCTAGGTTTTCTTCCAGGCTTTTTATAGTTTTGGGTTTTGCATTTAGGTCTTTAATACATCTTGAGTTAATTTTTGTATACAGTGTAAAGAAGGGGTCCAATTTCAATGTTCTGTATATGGCTAGCCAGTTATTTCAGCACCATTTATTGAATAGGAAATCCCTTCCCCATTGCTTGTTTTTTGTCAGGTTTGTCAAAGATCAGATAGTTGTATATGTGTGGCCCTATTTCTGGGTTCTCTATTCTGAGCCATTGGTCTATGTGTCTATTTTTGTATTAGTACCATGCTGTTTTGGTTACTATAGTTCTGTAATATAGTTTGAAGCTGGGTAGTGTGATGCCTCTAGCTTTGTTCTTTTGCTTAAGATTGCTTTGGCTCTTTGGGCTCTTTTTTGGTTCCATATGAATTTAAATTTTTTTTCTAGTTCTGTGAAGAATCTCAATGGTAGTTTATATAGGTCTATTAAATCCTATAGTTTAATAGGAATAGCGTTGAATCTGCAAGTTGCTTTGGGCATTATGGCCATTCTTACAGTATTGATTCTTCCTATCCATGAGCATGGAATTTTTTTCCATTTGTTGTGTCATTTCTGATTTCTTTGAGCAGTGGTTTGTATTATCCTTATAGAGATCTTTCATATCCCTTGTTAGCTAAATTCCTAGGTATTTATTCTTTTGTGGCAGTTGTGAATGGGATTGCATTCCCAATTTAGCTCTTGGGTTGACTGTTGTTGGTACATAGGAATGTTAGTGATTTTTGCTCATTGATTTTTATATCCTGATACTTTGTTGAAGTTGTTTATCAGCTTAAGAAGCTTTTGGGCTGAGACTATGGGGTTTTCTAGATACAGAATCATGTTGTCTGCAAACAGGAATAGTTTGACTTCCTCTCTTCCTATTTGGATGCCCTTTCTTTCTTTCTCTTGCCTAATTTCCTTGGCCAGGACTTCCGAACTATGTTGAATAGGAGTGGTGAGAGAAGGCATTCTTGTCTTTGCTGGTTTTCAAAGGGAATGCTTCCAGCTTTTGCCCATTCAGTATGATGATGGCTGTGGGTTTGTCATAGATAGCTCTTATTATTTTGAGGTATGTTCCTTCAATACCCAGTTTGAGAGTTTTTAACATGAAGGAGTGTTGAATTTTATCAAAAGCCTTTTCTATGTCTATTGAGATAATCATGTGGGTGTTATCTTTAGTTCTGTTTATGTGATAAATAACATGTATTGATTTGTGTACATTGAACCAACCTTGCATCCCAGGGATAAAGCCTACTTGATTGTGGTGGATTAGCTTTTTAATATACTGCCGGATTTGGTGTTCCAGTATTTTGTTGAGAATTTTGGCATTGATATTCATCAAGGGTATTGGCCTGAAGTTTTCTTTTCTCTTATTTTTTTAAATCTCTGCCAGGTTTTGATATCAGGGTGATGCTAGCCTTATAGGATGAGTTGAGGAGGAGTCCCTGCTCTGTATTTTTTTTTGGAATAGTTTTAGCATGAATGGTACCAGCTCTTCTTTGTACATCTGGTAGAATTCAGCTGTGAATGTATCTGGTCCTGGGCCTTTTTTGGTTGGTAGGCTATTTATTACTGACTCAATTTCAGAGCTTGTTACTGATCTGTTCAGAGAATCAGTTTCTTCCTGGTTCAGTCTTGGCAGGGTACATGTATCTAGGCATTTACCCATTTCTTCTAGATTTTCTAGTTTGTGTGCATAGAGGTGTTCATAATATTCTCTGCTGGTGGTTTGTATTTTGGTGGTGTCATGGTAATATCCACCTTGTTATTTCTGATTGGGTTTATTTGAATCTTCTCTTTTTTGTGTGTGTCTAGCTAGTGGTCTGTTTAATTTTTTTTTTTAAAGCTCCTGGATTTGTTGATCTTTTGAATGGTTTTTCATGTCTCAATATCCTTCACTTCATCTCTGATTTTGGTTATTTCTTGTCTTCTAGCTTTCAAATTTGTTTGCTCATGGTTCTCTAGTTCTTTTAGTTGTGATGTTAGGTTGCTAAGATCTTTCTAACTTTTTGATGTGGGCATGTAGTGCTATGTATTTCCCTCTTAACACTGCTTTAGCGGTGTCCCAGAGATTCTGGTATGTTGTGTCTTTGTTCTCATTGGTTTCAAAGAGCTTATTTATTTCTGCCTTAATTTCATTATTTACCTAGTAGTCTCTCAGGAGCAGGTTATTCAGTTTCCATGTAATTGCATAGTTTTGAGTGAATTTTTCATCTTGATTTCTAATTTGATTGCACTGTGGTTCAAGAGAAGCATAGTGTAGTTCTTTTGCATTTGTTGAGGAGTGTTTTACTTTGAATTATGTGTTTGATTTTAGAGTATGTGCCACATGGCAATGAGAAGAATATATATTCTGTTGTTTTCAGTGGCAAGTTCTATACATATCTATCAGGTTCATTTGATCCAGTGCTGAGTTCAGATCTTAAATATCTTTGTTAATTTTCTGTCTTGACGACCTGTCTAATGTTGTCAGTGGGGTGTTAGAGTCTCCCACTATTATTGTGTGGCAGTCTAAATGTATTTGAACGTCTCTAAGAACTTGATTTATGAATCTGGGTGCTCTTGTGTTAGATGCATATATATTTAGGTTAGTTAAATCTTTTTATTGAGTTGAATCATTTACCATTAAGTAATACCCTTCTTTGCCTTTTTAAAAAAACTTTGTTGGTTTAAAGTCTCTTTAGTCAGAAACTAGGATTGCAACCCTTGTTTTTTTGTTTCCCATTTGCTTGGCAGATTTTTCTCCATCCCTTTATTTTCAGCCTATGTGTGCCATTACATGTGAGGTAGGTCTCTTAAAGACAGCATACCAATGAGTCCTGGTTCTTTATCCAGCTTGCCACTCTGTGTCTTTTAATTGGGGCATTTAGCACATTTACATTTAAGGTTGTTATTGATATGTGTGGATCTGATCCTGTCATCATGATGTTAGCTGGTTATTTTTCAGACTTGTTTATGTGGTTACTTCAGTGTTACTGGTCTGTGTCCTTCAGTGTGTTTTTGTAGTGGCAGGTAACAGTCTTTCCTTTCCATATTTAGTTCTTCCTTGTAAGGCAAGTCTGGTGGTAATAAATTTCCTCAGCATTTTCTTGTCTGAAAAGAATCTTATTTCTCCTTCACTTATGAAGCATATATTGGCTGGATATGAAACTTTGGGTTGGAATTTCTTTTCTTCTAGAATGTTGAATATTGGCAGCCCCCTCCCCCTTCTGGCTTGTAGGGTTTCTGCTGAGAGGTCTGCAGTTAGTCTGTTGCCTTCCCTTTGTAGGTGACATGACCTTTTCATATTTAGTTCTTCCTTCAGGAGCTCTCCTGTAAGGCAAGTCTGGTGGTAACAAATTTCCTCAGCATTTTCTTATCTGAAAAGAATCTTATTTCTCCTTTACTTAAGATGCTTAGTTTGGCTGGATATGAAATTTTGGGTTGGAATTTCTTCTCTTTAAGAATATTGAAAATTGGCCCCCAATCTCTTCTGGCTTTTAGGGTTTCTGCTGAGAGGTCTGCAGTTAGTCTGATGTTCTTCCCTTTGTAGGTGACCTGACCTTTCTCTCTAGCTGCCTTTAGCATTTTTTCTTTCTTTTTGGCCTTGGAGAATCTAATGATTACGTGTCCTTGGGATGATCCTTTTGTAAAATATCCTACTAGGGTTCTCTGCATTTCCTATATGTGAATGTTGGCCTCTCTAGATTGGAGAAGTTTTCCTGGATGATATCCTGAAGTATGTTTTCCAAGTTGGTTCCCTTTCAGGGACACCAATGAGTCTGAATTGTCTCTTTACATAATCCCATATTTCTCAGAGGATTTGTTTATTCATTTTTATTATTATTTTTTCTCTATTTTTGTCTGTCTTATTTCAGAAAGCCAGTCTTCAAGCTCTGGGATTCTTTCCTTCACTTGGTCTATTCTGCTATTAACACTTGTGATTGCATTATGAAATTCTTGTATTGTGTTTTTCATTTCTATCAGGTTGGTTATGTTCTTTTCTATATCGGCTATTTTGTATTTCAGCTCCTGCATTGTTCTATCATAATTTTTAGTTTCCTTGCATTGGGTTTCTACATAATCCTGTAGCTCAATGGTCTTTCTTCCTATCCATATTCTGAATTTGATTTCTGTCATTTCAGCCATCTCAGCCTGGTCCAGAATCCTTGCTGGAGTGGTGATGTGGTCATTTGGAGGAAAGAAGGCATTCTGTCTGGCTTTTTGAGTTCTCAGGGTTCTTAAGTTGTTTCTTTCTCATCTTTGTGGGCTTATCTATGTTTAGTTTTTGAGGTCACTGACCTTTGGATTTTTTTTTATCCTATTTGATGACTTTGAGAGTTTGATTGTGGCCTCATTGTGGGCGGGAACTGTACAATGGTATGAATACCGGAGACAAAAACCACTGGGGATCTTCTTAGAGGCTGCTTACCACAAATGGATAGGCAATATCCAGGCAGACAGTGGATACAGGAAGCAATAGACAATACTGAAGATCTCCTGAGCATGGTGGGTTTGAGTGTAGACACAGATGGATTCATACTCATATAAAACTGAATTATTATCTCTATTTTGTAGCATTAAGAAAAAAAAGTGTGGTTAGAATTCTTTTGGAAATAAATGTAAATGTTTGTCCAAAGTGGTTGTCTTTCAACATTTATTCAACAAATGTTCATAGTGTAACTTTTTGCACTGGACAAGGAACTAGACTAATTTATTATACTTGGTCCCCCCAAAATTTGCATTTTTATTTAATATTGCATTATTATTGATATATTTTACAGATGAAGAAACAGAATGAAAATGACAGGCCCAAGGCTGCTTAACTCAAGTGACAGAGTTGAGTTTCATCTCTGGGTCTTCTCTTCTGTTATGTGTTGTCTCCAACAAAGACTTCAGTCTTCACAAACTGAAGTTCTGGGATAGTTCTACCATTTGGGTTGATAAAAGGCAGAGCTGAGTCTTATACCTGATAACATAATGAGAACAGATACTTTGGAGCTGATCTCCACCCTTTGAACCATCCTATTGAGAAAACCAATGGGGCCCTCTGAGGATACAGGAAGAAACTGTGTTAGAACCACTGAGCAACAAAGTCTGTTTTTAAGTAAGAAGAAATTTCATTGCTTTCAGCATCCCTTGACCCACTGTAGTATAAGATTGATTTTTATTCCAACCTCCAGAAGAAGAAGAACATATTTCCCTACTTTCTGTTTCCCTATATAGATATACTTATCTACATGCTTATTCAGCAAATCAGCTACAAGTTTTTTAAAGGTAAAAATAATTCTCAATAACCTGGTAGTGTTTCATCTGGCTTGAGAAAGATGAAGTCTATATTTTTTCAGGCAACAATAATTACTAAACTTCTGTGTAGACATGCAGACCACCAAAATGTTGATTTAATTTAATGAGCATAGTGATGAGTATTAAACTACCAAACAGCACATCAGTGCCTCAGGATGTCAGGTTCGCCTGGGTCTAAGTAATTCACTTGGGATCAACTTTGAGACTTCTTACAGAGTAGATCCTGGGTTTTAAAACATTCAGAATTGTGGCTATACCATTTACCTAGGATTAACAAAGATGGTTGTGACCTGCTCAAAAGATTTTTAAAGAGAAATAATGTTGGAGGGCTGTAGGAAACTGCTTTTGCTGGATAGAAATATCTCTACTGGAGCTTTATCCAGTAATATCGCCATCTAGTATCCCTTTTCTGTGCGTCAGTATTACTACTGTCATCTTTGGTTGAGACTGTTTTTCCTTCCCACTGGCCTTAGATATTATCATGACTTACTTCTGATTATAACACCAAGGGAGTCTGGGTCTCTATAAAGTTTCACTTACCTAGCGAGAGAGGATCTGTATTAGTTTTCTTTTGAAACAAGAAAACTAGTCTTTTCTTAATCTGTTACAGTCTCCTTATTTTGGAACCCGTCTTTTTTGACTTTCCTGAGTTTGTTTCTATGTCAATTACTCTTTATTATAACACCCTGTTTCTTTCCTTTAAATTGCTTATCCCAGTCTGTAATGATCTTATTTGCTGATGTATGTGTTTATTATCTGCTTTTTTCCACTAGGATATAGGCTATATTTATGTGAATACCATGTCTGCTTTTGCTCACCACTCTTCCCCAGCACCCAGCCCAGTGCCTGAACCATACACAGATGTCACGTAGTCATTTGTTGAATGAATGAATGAATGAAAGACTATTTATTAAATACTCAAAGTGAAACTAGCAGATAACATTGATGCTCTGCCCATATTTCCTCCCTGTTGCTGCTTCAGGGCACACTAGCTCTCTTCAACAGCACTCAATTATCTGAGGCCTTTCTTTTCTTTTTTTGGGGCCACTGAATTCTGCTTTCCACCCCCAAAACGTTGGGAAGTACCTGGAAATTAATAGACACCTGGGAGTAGCCCTTAACCTGAACTGATTGGAGTAGAGATACAGATATCCCAGCTCCCTTGTCCTTGGGTGGCATAACTGAGGCATTTTTACACTGGTTTGCAGAGTTGGCCCAGCAGAATTAAGCGCCAATCTCAGTGTGCCAGCTGCCTTGACACTGCACCCTTTATTAGGTCCTTTCCATTTCTTTCTCACCTCCCTTCTCAACTCCCCTGTGTTTCCCCTGACTTCCCAAATAAATCACTTGCACTTGAAATTTCATCTCAGAGACTTTTCTGGAGAACCCAAGCCAAGATGGATAGGAAACAAAAGTTCACGAAAGCTTTACAGGCATTCTGTTTCTAAATGAAGGATGATGCGTCTGTTCTGAAATGAAAGTAAGTCAGAAAAAAGGTCAGTTTCTTTTCTAAAACATAGGCCTTATTATCTTTTGATAAGTCTTTTGGATCTTTTGATTAGTTTACATATTAAAAGCATGGCATCTTTAACAGATTATTCTTTCAACTTTGGTTTTTAATATATATTTCTGGATCACCATCTGGGCAATTGGAAACATGCATTTTGTGAGTCACCATGAAGAAATATGGTCAATAATTAAGCAGTCATGTATAGCACACTTACTTTACGAAAAGAAATGAAAACATGTTAGAGGATCCACATTTCTTTTTTTTTAAATTTATTTTTAGTTTTTGTGGGTGCATAGGTGTATATGTTTATGGGGTACATGAGATATTTTGATACATGCATGAAATGTATAGTAATTACATCATGGAATATGAAGTATCCTTCCCCTCAAGCATTTATCCTTTGTGTTACAATCTAATTATACTCTTTTTGTTACTTTTAAATGTACAATTATTATTGACTATAGTCACCCTGTTGTGCTATCAACTACTAGGTCTTATTCATTGTCTCTATTTTGTTGTATTCATTAATCATCCCCACCTCTTCTCCCACCCTCCTGCTACCCTTCTTAGCCTCTGGTAACTATCCTTCTACACTCTGTGTCCATGAGTTCAATTGCTTTGATTATTAGATCCTGCAACATTTGTCTTTCTGTGCCTGGCTTATTTCTCTTAGCATAATGACTTCCAGTTCCATCCATGTTGTTGCAAATGATTGGATCTTATTCTTTTTATGGCTGAATAGTACTTCATTGTGTGTAAATACTATGTTTTCTTCATCCACTCATCTGTTGATAAACATTTAGGTTGCTTCCAAATCTTGGCTATTGTGAACAGTACTGCAACAAACATGGGAATGAAGATATTGCTTCTGTATTAGTCTGTTTTCATGCTGCTGATAAAGACATACCTGAGACTGGGAAATTTACAAAAGAAAGAGGTTTAATTGGACTTAGTTTCACATGCTGGGGAAGCCTCACAAGCATGGTGGAAGGCAAGGAGGAGCAAGTTATGTCATACATGGATGGCAGCAGGCAGAGAGAGAGAGAGCTTGTGCAGGGAAATTCCACTGTATAAGGCCATCAGACCTCATGAGACTTATTCACTATCATGAGAACAGCATGGAAAAAACCTGACCCCATGATTCAATTACCTCCCACTGGGTCCCTCCCATGATATGTGGGAATTCAAGATGAGATTTGGGTGGTAACACAGCCAAACCATATCATTCAACCTCTGGCCCCTCCCAAATCTCATGTCCTGATATTTCAAAACCAACTATGCCTCCCCAACAGTCCCCCAAAGTCTTAACTCATTTCAGCACTAACTCAGAAGTCCACATAGTCTTATCTGAGACAAGGCAAGTCCCTTCTGCTTATGAGCCTGTAAAATCAAAAGCAAGTTAGTTACTTCCTAGAAACAATGGGGACACAGGCATTAGGTAAATACAGCCATTCCAAATGGGAGACATTGGCCAACACAAAGGGGCTACAGGCACCATGCAAGTCTGAAATCCAGCAGGGCAGTCAAATCTTAAAGCTCCAAAATAATCTCCTTTGACTCCATGTCTCACATCCAGGTCACACTGATGCAAGAGGTGGGTTCCCATGGTCTTGGGCAGCTCTTCCCCTGTGGCTTTGCAGGGTATAGCCCCCCTCCCAGCTGCTTTCATGGGCTGGCGTTGAGTGTCTGCAGCTTTTCCAGGTGCATGGTGCAAGCTGTCAGCGGATCTAGCATTCTGGGGTCTGGAGGACAGTGGCCCTCTTCTCACAGCTCCACTAGGCAGTGCCCCAGTCGGGACTCTGTATGGGGGCTCCTACTCCACATTTTCCCTCTGCACTGCCCAAGCAGAGGTTCTCCATGAGAGCCCTGACCCTGCAGGAAACTTCTGCCTGGGCATCCAGGCATTTCCATATATCCTCTGAAATTTAGGTGGAGGTTCCCAAACCTCAATTCTTGACTTCTGTGCATCTGTGGGCTCAACATCACAGGGAAGCTGCCACGGCTTAAGGCTTGCACCCTCTGAAGCCATGGCCCAAGCTCCATGTTGGCCCCATTCAGCCAGTGCTGGAGCAGCCGGGATGCAGAGCACCAAGTCCCTAGACTGCGCACAGCACGGGGACCCTAGGCCCGGCCCATGAAACTACTTTTTCCTCCTAGGCCTCCTGGTCTATGATGGGAGGGGCTGCTGTGAAGACCTCTGACATGCCCTGGAGACATTTTCCTATGGTCTTGGGGGTTAGCATTTGGCTTCTTGTCACTTTTGCAAATTTCTGCAGCTGGCTTGGATTTCTTCTCAGAAAATGGGATTTTCTTTTCTGTCTCCTCATCAGGCTGTAAATTTTCCAAAATTTTGTGCTCTGTTTCCCTTTTAAAACTGAATGCCTTTAATAGCACTCAAGTCACCTCTTGAATGCTTTGCTGCTTAGAAATTTTTCCTGCCAGATAACCTAAATCATCTCTCAAGTTCCAAGTTTCATAAATCTCTAGGGGAGGGGCAAAATGCCACCAGTCTCTTTGCTAAAACATAGCAAGAGTCACCTTCGCTCTAGTTCCCAACAAATTCCTTGTCTCCATCTGAGACCTCCTCAGCCCGGATTTTATTGTCCATATCATTATCAGCATTTTGGTCAAGGCCATTCAACAAGTCTCTAGGGAGTTCCAAACTTTCCCACATTTTTCTGTCTTCTAAGCCCTCCAAACTGGTCCAACCTCTGCCTGTTATCCAGTTCTGAAGTCACTTCCACATTTTCAGTTATCTTTTCAGCAGTGCTCCACTCCCAGTACCAATATACTGTATTAGTCTGTTTTCATGCTGCTGATAAAGACATACCTGAGAGTGGGTAATTTACAAAAGAAAGAGGTTTAATTGGACTTACAGTTCCACATGACTGGGGAAGCCTCACAATCATGGTGGAAGGCAAGGAGGACCAAGTCACATCTTACATGAATGGCAGCAGGCAAAGAGAGAACTTGTGCAGGGAAATTCCATCTTATAAAACCATCAGATCTCATGACACTTATTCACTATCATGTGAACAGCATGGGAAAGACCTGCCCCCGTGATTCAATTACCTCCCACCATGTCCTTCCCATGACATGTGGGAATTCAAGATGAGATTTGGGTGGGGACACAGCTAAACCATATGCTGATTTCCTTTTTGGGGGGTATATACCCAGCAGTAAGGTTGCTAGATCATATGGTAGCTCAATCTTTAGTTTTTTGAGGACCTTCCAAACTGCCCTCTGTAGTGGTTGTACTAATTTACATTTCCACCAACAGTGTACAAGGAGTCCCTCTTCTTCACATCCTTGTCAGCATTTGTTATTGCCTATCTTTTGGATAGAAGCCACTTTAACCAAAATGAGATGATATTGAATTATAGCTTTGATTGCATATGTCTTCTTGAAAAATATCTACTCAGACCTTTTGCCCATTTTTTGATCAGATTGTATTTCTTTCTATAGATTTGTTTGAGCTCCTTATATATTCTGGTTATTAATCTCTTGTCACATGGGTAGTTTTCAGATATTTACTCCCATTTTGTGGGTTGTCTCTTCACTTTGTTGATTGTATCCTTTGCTGTGCAGAAGCTTTTTTAACTTGATGTGATCTCATTTGTCCATTTTTGCTTTGGTTGCCTGTGCTTGTGGGATATTATTGCTCAAGAAATCTATGCCTAGACCAATGTTCTGGAGATTTTCCCCAATGTTTAATTGTAGTAGTTTCATAGTTTGAGGTCTTAGATTTAAGTTTAAGTCTTTTTTTTTTTTTTGTATATGGCAAGAGATGGGGTCTAGTCTCATTCTTCTACATATGGACATTCAGTTTTCCCAGCACGTTTATTGAAGAGACTGTCTTTTTTCCAGTGTATTTTCTTGGCAACTTTGTGAAAAATGAGTTCACTGTAGGTGTGTGGATTTGTTTCTGGGTTCTCTATTCTGTTCTATGGGTCTGTGTGCCAGGAGTATGCTGCTTTGGGTACTATAGCTCTGTAGTATAGTTTGATGTCAGGTGATATTATTCTTACAGTTTTGTTTTGTTTTGTTTTTCCTTAGGATGGCTGTGGCTATTCTGAGTCTTCTGTAGTTTTATATACATTTTAGGATTGGTTTTTATATTCTGTGAAGAATGTCATTGGTATTTTGATAATGATTGCATTTGAATCTGTAGATTGCTTTGGGTAGTATAGACATTTTAATAATACTGATTCTTCCAATTCATGAACATGGAATATCTTTTCTTTTTTTGGTGTCCTCTTCAATTTCTTTCATCTGTGTTTTATAGTTTTTCATTGTAGAGATATTTTCACTTATTTGGTTAATTCCTAGGTACCTAATTTTATTTGTGGCCTTTGTAAAGGGAATTACTTTTTTGATTTCTTTTTCAGATTGTTCATTATTGGCATATAAAAATGCTACTGATTTTTGTATGTAAATTTTTGTATCCTGCAACTTTACTGAATTTGTTGATCAGTTCCAATAGTTTCTTTGGTGGAGTCTTTGGGTTTTTCAAAATATAAGATTTTATTATCTGCAAACAAGGGTAATTTAACTTCTCCCTTTCCTTTCTGGAAGCCCTTTATGTCTTTCTTTTGTCTGATTGCTCTGGCTAGTACTTCCAGTACTATGTTGAATAATAGTGGAGAAAGAGGGCATCCTTGTCATGTTCCAGAGCTTAGAGGAAAGGCTTTTCACTTTTTCCCCATTCATTGTGATAGTAGCTGAGTGTCTGTCATATATGGCTTTGCCCTCCTCTCAGCTGTGACAGGGCAACACAGTTCAATGTAAGTTCTCCATTTGCAGTGCTCTGTCTCTAAGTGCACAGACTTTCTGAGCTGTGGGGCCACTGCTGGGGGATGGGAGAGGGGTGGTGTCAGTGATTCAAGACTGTCTCTCTCACCCTCTTTAATGTCTCTTTCAGCAATATGAAGTTAAAACCAGGTATCGTGATTGCTCACCTGATTTTCGGTTCTTGTTATTGTACATTTTTGTATACAGATAATTGTTACAATTTGTTGTTCCTGCAGGAGGGATAAAAGGTGTAGGCTTCTATTCCCCATCTTTCTCTGCCTCCCTCTCAGGATCCAAATTTGAACAGGACATTAGGCCCTACCCCACAAATGCTCACAACCCAGTAGTGGATAGAAGCACATATACATTCCTGTAATCCCAGCACTTTGGGAGGCTGAGGCGGGCAGATCATGAGGTCCGGAGATCGAGACCACCCTGGCTAACACGGTGAAACCTTGTCTGTACAAAATACAAAATAAATTAGCCTGGCGTGGTGGTGTGCACCTGTAGTCCCAGCTACTCCGGAGGCTGAGGCAGGAGAATGGCGTGAACCTGGGAGGCGGAGCTTGCACTGAGCCGAGATTAGGCCACTGCACTCCAGCCTGGGTGACAGAGCAAGACTCCGTCTCAAAAACAAACAAACAAATAAACAAACAAAGAGAAAGCACATATACATTAAAATGGGGTAAGCACTCTGGAAGCTAAACAGAATGTGCTATAGAATTTCAGAGTAGAGTTGAAAAGAACACTGAGGAATTGTTCAGGGTTTCCTGGATAGGGGGCCTGAAGGATGAGGAATTCTTCAGGGGAAACTTTCTGCATAGAATAGTAAGGTTGGAAAGCACAAAGTAGGATGATAAGGACTCATGGTCTCAGCACAGAACTCTGGGACCGTATCAACAAATGAGGCTAGAATTGAACAATCCAGGGACAAAGTAGTGAGAGCCAATTTAGCCATATATTGACAGCATAATGAGAATATTATGGGTTAGAACTGGGGGTTGCATTAATTTTCTAGTGATGGCATAATAATCACAGACTGGGTGTCTTAAGAGAAATTTATTTTCTCATAGTTGTAGAGGTTGGAAGTCCAAGGTCAATTCATTGGTAGGGTTGGTTTCTTCTGCAGCTTCTCTCCTTGGCTTATAGGTGGCCATCATTTTCCAGTGTCTTCACATGGTCTCCCCTCTGTGTGTGTCTGGTCCTAATATTCATCCCTTATAAGGACACCAATCACTGAATTAGATCCCATTCTAATGACCTCATTTTAAATTAATTACTTCTTTAAAGAGCCTATCTCCAAATAGTCATGTGCTGCATAATGACTTTTTGGTCAATGACCAACTACATATACCATGGTGGTGCTGTAAGATAATAATGGAGGTGAAAATTCCTATTATCTAGAAATGTCATAGACATCATAATCCTCAAAATGTAGCACAATATATTATTTGCTTGTTTGTGGTGGTGCTCGTTTAAACAATCCTACTGTGCCATCAGTCATATAAAAGTCTAGCACATACAGTTATGTAGAGTATATAAGGCTTGATAATGATCATAAACAACTATGTTACTAGTTTATGAATTTACTATATTTTCACTGTCATTTTACAGTGTATGCCTTCTATTTATAAAAAAAGAAGTTAAATGTAAAGCAGCCTCAGGCAGGTCCTTCAGAGCATATTCCAGAAGAAGGAATTGTTATCACAGGGGTTGACAGCTCCATGAGTGCTATTGTCCCTAAAGACCTTCCAGTGGGACAAGATGTGGAGGTGAAAGACAATGATATTGATGATCCTGACTCAGTGTGGGCCTAGGCTAATGTGTGTGTTTTTGTCTTGATTTTTAACAAAAAATCTTACAGAATAAGGACATAAGGAAAGAATACTTTTGTATAGCTGTAAAATGTGTTTGTTTTAAGCTAAATATTATTACAAAATAGTCAAAGTTAAAATTTAAAAATTTATAAAGTAAAAAATTTACAGCAAACTATGGTTAATTTATTACTGAAAGAATTTTTAAAAATTATGTAGCCTAAGTGTACAGTGCTTATGAAGTCTACAGCCATATACAGTAATGTCCTGGGCCCTCCCATTCACTCGGTATCCCAGTGCAGCTTCCAGTCCTGCAAGCTCCATTCATGGTAAGTGACCTATACAGCTGTGCTATTTAAAAAAAAAAAGTTATACTGCAATTTTACTATACATTTTCTATGTTTAGATACACAAGTATGCACTATTGTGTTACAATTGCCTGCAGTATTCAGTAAAGCATATGCTGTTCAGATTTATAGTCTAGGAACAATAGGCTATATTCCATATAGCCTGGGTATATAGTAGGGTATACCGTCTAGGTTTCTATAAGTACACTCTGTGATGTTTGCACAATGATGAAATTGCCTAATGACACATTTCTCAAAACATGTCACTGACAGCACAGTCATGTTCTGAGATATTGGGGTTAGAACTTCAACATATAAATTTGGGGACAGGGATACAATTTAGCCCATAATAGGGAGATAAAGTGTGATAAGGTATGTATGAATATATATGGGTTTACATGCATTTGAGGTGAAGTCAAGTCCACCTGATCTCAATGATGCGAACAAGGAATAGATCCATTGAACAAAAGAATGGGAAAAGAAAGGACCAAAGTAAGCTGGGCAGAAAGAAAAAAATAGAAAAGAGCTTAGAAGCAGCTATAGAAAGAAAAGGAGGTTGCAGAGATTAGGAGAAAGAGTAGAACAAGGGTCCAGAAAAATAGAAAACACGGTATCTTAATATGATGAATGGATAACAGTGATCAGCAGAGGAGGGAGGTGATCGTGGCAAGTGATGGTTAGCATGGCTAAATAGTAGAAAAACAGTGGCCAAATGGGCTTGAAGAAGAGAGACCAACTATTAATAAGTATTTTCCCCCAAGAAAAACACCAAACACGCTCTAAGAAAGTTACATGCTAAATTTAGTCAGAGGCAAGCTAGTATGTTTTTTAAATGTGGGAGAAACAGGCTCATGGTGACAAAAAAGTGTTATGGCATATATTATGTTTTTACCTGTGTTCCACATTTACATAATGGCAGCTGCTTTCGTATGAACACTACAGGATTCGTTATCAAATAATAGTGAAATGAGATTTTTACTGTGAGCCTGACAGTGTTTAGTACCAGCCTTCACACTGAGACCAAAGAGATAAGATAGGGCCTCTCTACAGAAGAAATTTACATGTTGCCGTTCAATGTATATCTTTACATATTTATGTTATTTTAACATCAAGGAAAGCCTTTTATTTCTCCATGCTTCATCTGTGTGGACACTCATTCCTGTCTGGAAACCTATTCCTGTCTGGAAACCTCAGCAGTTGGCGTGAAAGAGGCATTTTGTTATAGGAGTTGAGTTGCAAAATGAAGACTTATCTTACTGGTATGTAAAATATTCAGGCCTGGAAGTTTACTGGATAGCTTGAAAATTTAAACTACAGGTTCAGAGTTTGCACTGAAAACATGAACAACCTTGAAAACTTGCTGTTTTACCTAATACTACCAGTTTTTTTGTTGGAAGTCCATGATGTAGAATGCACCATGGAGGATCAAAAGAACTGTACAATGTGCATGTTTGGGGAGTTGATGACTTAGTAGCACGCTAGGTGGTACACTCTCCTGGACTGAAAGTCAGAAGAACTTATGCTAATGCGAACCATTGCATTGTAGCTTCAAAAGTCATTACTTCTTACATCTGATTCCCTCTCCACTGTCCTAACTTTTTATTTTGAAAAATTTAGAAGAATAAAGCAAACACTCATATAACCTATATTCACCAATAGATAACATTTCATTATATTTGTTCCATTTCTCTATATATCATTATCTATATATGTATTTGTTTACCATTTTTTCTGAATCATTTCAAAAAAGTTGCAGATATGATAGGACATGCTTAAATATGCTGACGTGTATCACCTAGAAACAAGACCAGTCTCCTATATAACCACATAACTACATACTTACATTGATATAGAAATATTATTTATAGTCAAATCTTCCAAATTGCCCCAACTGCATCTGTGTTGCTACAAAGGGCATGATTTCATTCTTTTTTTTTTTTATGGCTGTGAAGTATTTTACAGTGTATAGGTACCACATTTTCTTCATCCAGTCTACTACCATTGATCTGCACCTGGGTTGATTCTATGTTTTTTTTGTATTGTGAATAGCATAGTGATGAACATATGAGTGCATGTGTCTTCTTGATTTATTTTCCTTCGGGTGTACACCCAGTAATAGAATTGCTGTGTTGAATGATAGCTTTAAGTTTTTCTTTCTTTTTTTTTTTTTTTTTGACACGGAGTTTTGCTCTTGTTGCCCAGGCTGGAGTGCAATGGCAAGATCTCGGCTCACCGCAACCTCCACCACCTGGGTTCAAGCAATTCTCCTGTCTCAGCCTCCCAAGTAGCTGAGTTACAGGCATGTGCCACCACACCTGGCTAATTTTGTATTTTTAGTAGAGATGGGGTTTCTTCTTTTTGGTCAGGCTGGTCTTGAACTCCTGACCTCAGGTGATCCACCCGCGTTGGCCTCCCAAAGTGCTGGGATTACAGGCATGAGCTACCATGCCCGGCCTGTTTTAAGTTCTTTGGGAAATCTCCAGAATGCTTTCCACAGTAGCTGGACTAATGTACATTCCTATCAACAGTGTATAAGTGTTCCCTTTTCTCTGAAGCCTCACTAACACGTGTTGTGTTTTGACTTTTTCATAATAGCTATTCTGACTGCTGTGAGATCGTATCACACTGTGGTTTTGATTTGCATTTCCAGAGTGATTAGTGATGCTGAGCACGTTTTTGTTGGTTGGCTGCTTGTATGTCATCTTTTGATAAGTGTCTGTTCATATACTTTGCCCATTTTTAAAAGAGGTTATTTTTTATTTAAGTTTCCTGTATATTCTAGATATTAGGTCTTTGACAGATACATAGTTTGTGAATATTTTCTCCCATTCTGTAGGTTGTCTGTTTACTCTGTTGAATAGTTTCTTTTGTTATGCAGATGCTCTTTAGTTTAACTAGATCCCACTTACCTATTTTTGTTTTTGTTGCAATTGCTTTTGGGGACTTAGCCAAAAATTCTTTTCCAAGGCTGATGTCAAAAAGAGTATGTCCTAGGTTGTCTTCTGGGATTTTTGTAGTTGGAGGCCTTAGATCTAAATCTTTGATCCATTTTGAGTTAATTTTTTGTATATGGTGAAAGGTAGAGGTCCAGCTTCAATCTCCTACATATGGCTAGTCAGTTGTCCTAGCACCATTTATTAAATAGGGAGTACTTTCCCCATGGCTTGTTTTTGTCAGCATTGTTTAAGATCTGATGGTTTTAGGTGTTCAGCTTTATTTCTGAGTTTCCTATTCTGTTCTATTAATCTATATGTCTGTTTTTGTACCAGTATCATGACGTTTTGGTTACTGTAGCTTTATAGTATAGTTTGAAGTCAAGTAGTGTGATACCTCTGGTTTTTTTCCTTAGGATTCCTTGACTATTTGAGCTCTTTTTTGGTTCCATATGAATTTCAGAATAGGTTTTTTTCCCCAATTCTGTGAAGGATGATGCTGGCAGTTTCATAGGAATAGCTCTATATCTGTAGATTGCTTTGGGCAGTATGGCCATTTTTATGACATTGATAGTTCCAATCCAACATTGTGGAATGTTTTTCTATTTGTGTCATCTCTGATTTCTTTCAGCAGTGTTTTATAGTTTCTATAGGAATCTTTCACCATGTTAGTTAGCTGTATCATTGGATATTTCATTTTCTTTGTGGCTACTGTAAGTGGGATTGTGTTCTTGATTTCACTCTCAACCTGGATGTTGTTGATGTAAGGGAATGCTATTGATTTTTGTATCCTGAAACTTTACTACAGTTATTTATCAATTCTAGGAGCCTTTTGGCAGAGTCTTTAGGATTTTCTAAGTGTAGGATCATGTTGTAAGTGAAGAGAGATAATTTGACTTCCTCTCTTCCTATATAGATACCTTTTCTTTCTTTCTCTTGCTTGATTCTTCTGGCTAGGACTTCCAATACTATATTGAATAGGAGTGGTGAGAGTGAGCTTCTTTGTTTTGTTCCAGTTCTCAAGGGAAATAGTTCAAGCTTTTACCCATTCGTATAATGTTGGCTGTGGATTTTCATAGATAGCGTTTATTAGCTTGAGGTATGTTCCTTCAATGCCTAGTCTGCTGAGAGTTTTTATGAAGGGATGTTGGATTTTATCAAAAGCTTTTTCTTTGTGTATTAGATGATCATATGGTTTTTGCTTTCAATTCTGTTCGTGATGAATCACATTTATTGATCTGCACATGTTGAACCAGCCTTCCATTCCTGGAATAAAGCCTACTTGATCATGATGTATTAACTCTTTGATGTGCTTCTGGATTCAGTTTGCTAATATTTTGTAGAGAATTTTTGCATCTGTGTTCATCAGGAATATTAGCCTGAAGTTTTCTTTTTTGGTTGTGTCTCTGCCAGATTTTGGCATCAGACTGATAGTGACTTTATAAAATGACTTAGGGAGGAACCCCTCATCCTTGATTCTTTTGGGATAGTTTCAGTAGGATTAGTATCAGTTATTAAGTTTTTTTTGAGATGGAGTCTCACTCTGTCACCCAAGTTGGAGTGCAGTGGTGTGATCTTGGCTCATTGCAGCCTTCACCTCCTGGATTCAAGTAATTCTCCTGCCTCTGTCTCTTGAGTAGCTGGGAATGCAGGCACCCGGCATCACATTCGGATAATATTTTTGGGTATTTTTAGTAGAGACGGGGTTTTGCCGTGTTGGCCAGGCTGGTCTTGAACATCTGACCTCAAGCGATCTGCCCCTCTTGGCCTCCCAAAGTGCTAGGATTACAGGCACGAGCCACTGTGCCTGGCCGGTATCAGTTATTTGTATGCCTGGTAGAATTCAGCTGTGAATTCATCTGGTCCAGGGCTTTTTTTTGGTTGGTAGGTTCTTTATTACTGATTCAATTTTAAAAGTTGATGCCTGTTCAGGGTTTCAATCTCTTCCTGATTCAATCATGGGATCTTGTGTGCATGCAGAAATTCATCCATTTCCTCTAGATTTCCTTTTTTTTTTTCTTCAACTTTTATTTTAAGTTTTGGGGTACAGGTGCAGGATGAGCAAGCATGTTACATAGGTAAATGTGTGCCATGTTGGTTTGCTGTACAGATCAACTCATCACCTAGGTATTAAGCCTAGCATCCATTAGCTATTCTTCCTGATGCTCTCCCTCCCCATTGCCCCTGACAGGTCCTAGTGTGTTTTTCCCCCCCATGTGTCCATGTGTTCTCATTGTTCAGCTCCTACTTAAAAGTGAGAACACATGGTGCTTGGTGTTCTGTTCCTGTTACTTTGCTGTGGATAATAGCTTCCAGCTCCATCCATGTACCTGCAAAGGACATGATCTCATTCCTATTTATGGCTGCATAGTATTCCATGGTGTATATGTGCCATATTTTCTTTATCCAGCCTATCATTGATGGGCATTTGGGTTAATTTTATGTCTTTGCTATTGTGAATAGTGCTACAGAGAACATATGCATGCATGTATCTTTGTAATCACGATTTACATTCCTTTGGGTATATACCCCGTAATGGGATTGCTAGGTCAAATGCTATTTTTGCTTCTAGATCTTTGAGGCATTTCCATGCTGTCTTCTACAATGGTTGAACTAATTTACACTCCCATGAACAGTGTAAAAGTGTTCCTTTTCCTCGACAACCTTGCCAGCATCTATTTCTTGACTTTTTAATAATTGCCATTCTGACCATTGTGAGATGGTATCTCATTATGGTTTTGATTTGCATTTCTTTAATGATCAGTGATACTGAGCTTTTTTACATATGCTTGTTGGCTGCATAAATGTCTTCTTTTAAGAAGTGTCAGTTCCTGTCCTTTGCTTATTTTAATTTTTTTTTTACTTGTAAATTTGTTTAAGTTTCTTGTAGACTCTGGATATTAGACCTTTGTAAGATGGATAGATTGCAAAAATTTTCTCCCATTCTGTAGGTTATCTGATCACTCTGATTAGAGTTTCTTTTGATGTGCAGAAGCTCTTTGGTTCAATTAGATCCCATTTGTCAATTTTTGCTTTTGTTGCAATTGCTTTTGGCATTTTCATCATGAAACATTTCATTTGCCCATGCCTATGCTCTGAATGGTATTGCCTAGATTTTCTTCTAGGGTTTTTATGGTTTTGGGTTTTACATTTAAATCTTAATCCATCTTGAGTTAATTTTTGTATATGGTGTAAGGAAGGGTTCCAGTTTCAGGGTTCTGTATATGGCTAGCCACTTCTCCCAGCACCATTTATTAAATAGGGAATCCTTTCCCCATTGCTTGTTTTTTCTCAGGTTTGTTGAAGATCAGATGGTTGTAGGTGTGCAGTCTCATTTCTGAGTTCTCTATTCTGTTCCATTGGTCTGTGTGTCTGTTTTTGTACCAATACCATGCTATTCTGGTTACTGTAGCCTTGTAGTATAGTTTGAAGTTGGGTAGCATGTTACCTCCTGCTTTGTTGTTTTTGCTTAGGATTGTCTTGACTCTTCAGGCTCTTTTTTGTTCCATATGAATTTTAAGATCTTTCCAATTCTGTGAAGAATTTCAATGGAAGTTTAATGGGAATAGCATTGAATCTATAAATTACTTTGGGCAGTATGACCATTTTCACCATATTGATTCTTCCTCTCCATGAGCATGGGATTTTTTCCATTTGTTTGTGTCATCTCTGATTTTTTTTGAGCAGTGGTTTGTAGTTCTCCTTGAAGAGGCTCTTTACTTCCCTTTTTAGCTGTACTCCTAGGTATTTTGTTTTCTTTGTAAGACTTATGAATGGGAGTTGATTCATGATTTGGCACAAGGCTTAACTGTTGTTGTTGTATAGAAATGCTAGCAATTTTTGCACATTGATTTTTTTATCCTGAGACTTTGCTGAAGTTGCTTATCAGCTTAAGAAGTTTTTGGGCTGAGATGATGGGATTTTCTAGAGATAGAATTATGTCATCTGCAAACAAAGATAATTTGACTTCCTCTCTTCCTGTTTGAATATGCTTTCTTTCTTTCTCTTGCCTGATTGCCCTGGCCAGAACTTCCAATACTATGTTAAATGGAGTGGTGAGAGGGCATACTTGTCTTTTGCTGGTTTTCAGGGGAAATGCTTCGAGCTTTTGCCCATTCAGTATATTGGCTGTGGGTCTGACATATATGACTTTTATTATTTCAAGGTATGTTCGTTCAATACCTAGTTTATTGAGAGTTTTTAACATGAGAGATGTTGAATTTTATCAAAGGCCTTTTCTGCATCTATTGAGATAATCATGTGGTTTTTGTCTTTTGTTCTGTTTATGTGATGAATTAGATTTATTGATTTACATATGTTGAATCAACCTTGCATCCTGGGGATGAAGCCACCTTGATTTTGGTGGATAAGCTGTTTTATGTGCTGCTGAATTTGGTTTGCCGGTATTTTATTGAGGATTATTGCATTACTATTCATTAGGGATATTGATCTGAAGTTTTTGTTTCTTGTTGTATCTCTGCCAGGTTTTGGTATCAGGATGATGCTGGCTGCATAGAATAAATTAGGGAGGAGTCCCTCCTTTTCCATTGTTTGGAATAGTTTCAGTAAAAATAGTACCAGCACTTTGTACCTCTAGTAGAATTCAGCTATGAATCTGTGTGGTCCTGGGCTTTTTTTGGTCGGTAGGCTATTTATTACTGCCTCAATTTCAGAACTTGTTACTGGTCTATTCAGGGATTTAATTTCTTCCTGGTTCAGTCTTGGTGGGGTGTATGTGTCCAGACTATATCCATTTCTTCTAGATTTTCTAGTTTATTTGCATAGTTATTTATAGTATTCTCTGATGGTCGTTTGTATTTCTGTGGGGTCAGTGGTAATATCCCCCTTATCATTTCTGATTGCGTCTATTTTATTCTTCTCTCTTTTCTTCTTTATTAGCCTACCTAGTGGTCTACCTGTTTTATTAATTTTTTTCAAAGAAGCAGCTCCTAGATTCATCAATTTTAATTTTATTTATTCTTGAAGGATTTTTGTGTCTTTCAGTTCTGCTCTGATCTTGGTTATTTCTTGTCTTCTGCTAGCTTTAGGGTTTGTTTGCTCTTGGTTCTCTAGTTCTTTTAGTTGTGATGTTAGGTTGTTGATTTGAGATATTTCTAGCTTTTTGATGTAGGCATAAATTTCCCTCTTAATACTGCTTTAGCTATGTCCCAGGGGTTCTGGTTTGTTGTCTTTTTGTTCTAATTAGCTTCAAAGAACTTGATTCTGACTTAATTTACCCAGGAGTCATTCAGGAGCACGTTGTTCAATTTTCATGTAGTTGTGTGGTTTTGAGTGAGTTTATGATTCTTGAGCTCTAATTTGATTATGCTGTGGTGTGAGAGACTGTTTCAGGGTTTTTTTTGTTCTTTTTTTTTTTTGCATTTGCTGAGTAATGTTTTATTTCTGATTATGTGCCTTGTAAGGATGAGAAGAATGTATATTCTGTTTTTGGGTAGAGAGTTCTGTAGATAGCCATCAGGTCCACTTGCTCCAGAGATAAGTTCCGATCCTGAATATCTGTTAAATTTTTGTCTTGATGATCTGTCGAATATTGTCAGTGGGATGTTAAAGTCTCCCATTATTATTCTGTGTCATTATTCATTATTAAAAGTCTTATTCATTATTATAAGTCTCTTTGTAGGTCTCTAAAAATTTGTTTTATGAATTTGGGTGCTCCTGTATTGGGTGTATATATATTTAGGATAGTTAGCTCTTGTTGAATTGAACTCTTTACCATTATGTAATGCCCTTCTTTATCTTTTTTTGATCTTTGTTGGTTTAAAGTGTTTTGTCAGAAACTAGTATTGCAACTCCTGCTTTATTTTCTGTTTTCTATTTGCTTGTTAAATATTCCTCCATCCTTTTATTTTGAGCCTTTCTGTGTCTTTGCACATGTGATGGGTCTGTTGAAGACAGCATACTGATAGATCTTGATTCTTTATCCAGCTTGCCCTTCTGTGTCTTTTAATTGGACATTTAGCTCATTATATTAAAGTTAATATTGTTATGTGTGAATTTGATCCTGTCACCATGATGATAGTTGGTTATTTTGCAGACTTGTTCATGTGGTTGCTTCAAAGTGTCACTGGTCTGTCAGTGTGTTTTTTTAGTGGCTGGTAATGGTTTTTCCTTTCCATGCTTAGTGCTTCCTTCAGGAGCTCTTGCAAGGCAGGCCAGATGGTGATAAATTCCCTTAGAACTTGCTTGTCTTCAAACAATATTATTTCTCCTTTGCTTATGAAGCTTAGTTTGACCTGATATGAAATTCTGGGTTGAAAATTTTCTTTAAGAATGTGAAATATTGGCCTCCAATTTCTTCTGGCTTGTAGGGTTTCTCCTGAGAGGTCCACTGTTAGTCTGGTGGGTTTCCCTTTGTAGGTGACCTGGCATTTCTCTCTGGCTGCCCTAAACATTTTTTTCTTTCATTTAGACCTTGGAGAATCTGACTATGTGTCTTGGGGTTGATCTTCTCATTGAGTATCTTACTGGGGCTCTCTGGATTTCCTGAATTTGAATGTTGGCCTGTCTTGATAGGTTGGGGAAGTTCTCTTGGATGATATTCTGAAGTATGTTTTTCAACTTGGTTCCATTTTCCCTATCTCTTTCAGTTACCCCAATCAGTTGTAGGTTCAGTCTATTTACATAATCCTATATTTCTCTGAAGTTTTGTACATTCCTTTTAGTTCTTTTTTCTCTATTCTTGTCTGCCTGTCTTATTTCAGAAAGATAGTCTTCAAGCCCTGAGATGGTTTCCTCCACTTGGTCTATTCTGCTATTGATACTCATGATTGCATTGTGAAGTTCTCATGTTGTGTTTTCAGCTCCATCAGATCAGTTATGCTCCTCTCTGAATTGGCTATTTTGGTTACCAGCTCCTGTATTGTTTTATCATGATTCTTAGCTTCTTTGCTTTGGGCTAGAACATGCTCCTTTAGCTCAGTGAAGTTTGTTATTACCCACCTTCTGAAGTCTACTTCTGTCAGTTCAGCCATCTGAGCCTCAGCCCAGTTCTGTGTCCTTGCTGGAGAGGTGTTGTGGACATTTAGAGAAGAGGCACTCTGGCTTTTTGAGTTTTCAGCATTTTTGCATTCATTCTTCCTCATCTTTGTGGGCTTATCTGCCATTGACCTTTGAGGTTGCTGACCTTTGAATGTGGTTTTTGTGGGGTCTCTTTTGTTGATGATGTTGTTGCTTTCTGTTTGTTTTACTTTTAACAGGCCACTCTTCTGTAGAGCTACTGTGGTTTGCTGGGGGTCTGCTCCACACCCTATACACCTTGGTCCCTCCTGTACCTGGAGATATTACCAGTGAAGGCTGAGAAACAGCAAAGATGGCAGCCTGCTCCTTCTTCTGGAAGCTCTGTCCTAGGGAGGCACTGACCTGATGCCAGCCCAAATGCTCCTGTAGATGGTGTCTGGAGCCCCCTGTTGGGAGGTCTCACCCAGTCAGGAGGAATGGGATCAGGATCAGGGACCCTCTTAAAGAAGCAGTGTGGCTGCCCCTTGGCAAAGCAGGTACACTGTGCTGGAGGAAACCCCCGCCCCACCCCCCCATCCACACTGCCTGGCCTCGCCAGAGCCAGCAGGCTGAAAAGGCTAAGTTGGCTGAACCACAGAAAGGGTGGCTGCCCCTCCCTCCAGGGGCTCCATCCCAGGGAGAAGTCAGAGTTCTGTCCATATAACCCTGGCTGGAGTTGCTGAAATTTCTGCAGGGAGGCCCTGCCCAGTGGGGAGGGATGGAACAGGGTCCTATTTAAAGAAGCAGTCTGGCTACAAACTATCATAGCAGCTATGCTCTGTGTTGAGAGGAACTCCTCCTGGTCTGGACCACCCAGACTCCCTGGAGCCAGCAGGCTAGAATGGCCAACTCAAACCACAGAGGTAGCAGCTACCACTACCCCCGGGAACTCAGTCTATCTCAGGCAGTCTCTAGCCTGCTGCCACTGGCTGGCTGGAATTCCAAGCCAGTGGGTCTTAACTTGTTACGTGCTGTAGCCGTTGGGCCCACAGAATGATGCTACTTAGCTCCCTGGATTCAGAGAATGTGTCTGAGCTCAGATTTATCTGAGCATTCCCCTTCCTGGGGGAATGCTTGGATGGATCTCCCACCTTGCCAGAATTCCCAGGGCTTGGGTATACAAAACTCCTGGGTTTCTGTGTGTGCCTGAGTGTCCACTTTGCTGAGACTGCACAACTTTGTGCTTCAGACCCAAGGCCCTGGTGGCATGGGCTCACAAGGGGATCTCCTGATTCATGGGTTGCAAAGATCCATGGAAAAAGTGTGGTTTCCAGGTCACACAATTGCTCACCACCTCCCTTGACTGGGGGTGGGGCTCCCTTGGCTCTGTTCTGCTGCTGGGTGGGCCATTTGCCCCATCCTGCTTTTCTTTGCTCTCTCTGGGTCCAGCCATCCCCCTAGTCATTCCCAATGTAAGAACCTGGATACCTCAGTTGAAGGTGCAGAATTCACTTGCCATTTTCATTCCTCTTCATGAGCACCATGGACTGCAGCTGCTTCTAATTGGTCATCTTGGCCCACCCCTTTCCTCTAGATTTGTGTGCAAAGAGTTATTGATAGTAGCCTGAGGATCTTTTGTATTTCTGTGCAAATAATTGCAGTATCACCTTGGTCATTTCTGATTGTGGAACTTCTTTCTTTTTTTTGTTAATCTATCTAAAGATCTATCAGTTTTACTTATTCTTTTGAATAACCAACTCTTGTTTCATTGATCTTTTTATGGATTTTTTTTCATCTCAATTTTGTTCAGATCTTCTATAATTGTAATTATTTCTTATGCTAGCTTTGGGATTGGTTTGCGCTTTTCTTCTTTTCTTTTTTTCTAGTTCCTTTAGGTGTAAATTCAGGTTGTTAATTTGAGATCTAACTTTTTGATAAAGGCACTTAGTGCTATAAACTTTCCTTTTTTTATTTCTTAAACTTTTAAGTTCTGGGGTACATGTACAGGACGTGCAGTTGTGTTAAACAGGTAAACGTGTGCCATTGTGGTTTGCTGCACAGATCAACCCATCACCTATGTATTAAGCCATGCATCCATTATCTATTCTTCCTGATGCTCTACCTCCCTCCACCCCCACTGGAAGGCCTGAGTGTGCATTGATCCCCCCACTATGTGTTCATGTGTTATCATCATTCGGCTCCCACTTATAAGTGAGAACATGTGGTTAAACTTTCCTCTTAACACTGCTTTAGCTGTATCTCAGAGATTTTGGTAAGTGGTGTCCCTATTTTCAATAATTTCAAAGAATATTTAGACTTCTGATTTATTTTTGTTGTTTACCCAAGAGTTTTAATGTTTTAATTAATAAGTTTTAATAATGTTTTAATTAATTTCCATGTATTTGTGTAGTTTTAAGAGATCTTCTTGGTATTGATTTCTCTTTTTATTGCACTGTTGTCCAAGATTGTGCTTGCTATTTTTTTTTTTTTTTTTTGAGACTTGCTTTATGATGTAGCATGTGATTGATCTTGGAATATGTTCCATGTGCAGATGAGAAAAATGTATATTCTGTGGTTGCCTCTCCCTCCAGAGGCTCCATCCCAGGAAGAGATCAGAGTTCTGTCCATATAAACCTGGCTGGAACTGCTGAAATTCCTGCAGGGAGGCCCTGTCCAGTAAGGAGGGATGGATCAGGGTCCCACTTAAAGAAGCAGTCTGGCTACAAACTATCATAGCAGCTATGCTGTGTTGTGAGGAACTCCTCCTGGTAGATGTGTTCTGGTAGATGTCTTTTAGGTCCAATTGATTAAGTGTTGAGTCCAGAGTTTCTTTGTTAGTTTTCTGCCTCAATGATCTATCTAATGCTGTCACTGAGGTGTTTCTGCCTCAGTGATCTGTCTAATGCTGTCAGTGGGGTGTTAAAGTTTCCCACTATTGTGTGGCCATCTAAGTCTTTTTGTAGGTCAAGAAGAACTTGTTTTATGAATCTGGATGCTCTAATGTTGGGTACATATATATTTATAATAGTTTAGTCTTCTTGTTGAGTTGTGTCATTTATCATTATGTAATGCCCTTCTTTGTCCTTCTTAATTATTAAAAGCCTAAAGTCTCTTTTGTCTGATATGAGTAGTGATCCTGATCTTTTTTGTTTTTTGTTTGCACAGTGGGTCTTTCTCTAATCCTTTACTTTGATAATGTGGGTGTCGTTATGTGTGAGATGGGTCTTGTGAAGACCACAGACAGTTGGGTCTTGTCTTTTTATCCAGCTTCCCACTCTGTCTTTTAAGTTGAGTGTTTAACCTGTTTATATTCAGGGTTAGTACTGATATGTGAGATTTTGATCCCATCTTCCTTTCATTAGCTGGTCGTTGTGTAGACATGGTTGTGTAGTTGCTTTATACTGTCTTTGGGCTATGTGCTTAAGTGAGTATTTGTGATATCACATAATGTTCTTTTTTTTGGTATTCTTTTTTTTATTATACTTTAAATTCTAGGGTACATGTGCACAACGTGCAGGTTTGTTTCATATGTATACATGTGCCATGTCGGTGTGCTGCACCCATTAACTCGTCATTTACATTAGGTATATCTCCTAATGCTATCCTTCCCCCCTGCCCCCACTCCATGACAGGCCCCGGTGTGTGATGTTCCCCTTCCCCCTTCCTGTGTCCAAGTGTTCTCATTGTTCTATTCCCACCTATACATAATGTTCTTTTGATTCCATGTTTAGTACTCCCTTAAGGACCTCTTGTAGAGCTGGTCTAGTTGAAATGAATTTGCTTAGCATTTGCTTGTCTGAGAAGGATTTTATTTTTCCCTCACTTATGAAGTTTAGTTTGGTGGAATATGAAATTCTTGGTTGGAATTTATTATCTTTAAGTTGGTGAATATAGGGTCCCCAATCACTTCTGACTCATAAGGTTTCTGCTGCTAGGTCCACTGCCAGCCTGATGGGGATCCCTCTGTGTGTGACCTGACCTTTTTCTCTAGCTGCCTTTAAGATGTTTTCTTTTGTGTTCATCTCAATGAACCTCATAACTAAGTGTCTTGGGGATGGTCATCTTGTATTTGATCTAGGCAGGATTCTCAGTATCTCCTGAATTTGCATGTTAACATCTCTAGCAAGATTAGGGAAATTTTTGTAGACTATATACTCAAATACATTTTCCAAGTTGCTTATCCTGTCTCCTCTGTAAGGGATGCCAATGAGACATAGATTTGGTCTCCTTATATAATCCCATATTTCTCAGAGGTTTTGTTCATTTTAAAAAATTCTTTTTCTTTTTGTCTGACTGAGTTGATTCAAAGAGCTGATCTTTGAGCTCTGTAATTCTTTCCTCAGTTTGGTCTATTACATTGTTAATACTTCTGATTGTATTATGAAATTCTTGCATTCTGTTTTTCAAATCAAGGAGTTCAGTTCAGGGCTTTAAAAATGTCTGTTTTGTCTTTTAGCTCTTGAATTGTTTTACTGTATTGCTTGGCTTCCTTGGATTGGGTTTTCACTTTCTCCTGGATCTTGATGAGCTTCTTTGCCATCCAGAACTGAATTCCATGTCTGTCATTTAAGTCATTTCAGATTGGTTAGGAATGATTGCTGTGGAGCTAGTGGGCTCATTTGGAGGTAAGAAGACCCTCTGGCTTTTTGAATTGCTGTAATTCTTGCACTGGTTCTTTCTCATCTGAGAGTGTTGGTGTGCCTTTAACTGGGGTGTAAATTGAGTATAGTCAGTTGGCTTTATTTCTGGAAGTTTTTAGAGGGCTGAGGCTCTGTACAGGGTCTTTTGTTGAATTCTTGCCTTTGGTTTCATAGAAGGGAGAATTAGTGAAGTTTTTTTTTTTTTTTTGGTATTACAGTTAAAGCTGTGATCTAGTAGATGGTGCTGAGAGCAATGGGTGGTAGAAAGGCTCTTACTCAGCCACACTGCTCCTTTGGGTCCCTATCGGGGGAACCCACCCCTGATAATTTAACATGAGTTCCTTTCTATTTCCCTAAGTGTCGGCCGGTCTGAGAAATAAAGGGAAAGAGTACAAAGAGAGAAAATTTTAAAGCTGGGTGTCCAGGGGAGACATCACATGTCGGCAGGTTCCGTGATGCCCCCCAAGCCACAAAACCAGCAAGTTTTTATTGGTGATTTTCAAAAGGGGAGGGAGTGTATGAATAGGGTGTGGGTCACAGAACACATGCTTCACAAGGTAATAAAATATCACAAGGCAAATGGAGGCAGGGCGAGATCCCAGGACCACAGGACTGGGGCAAAATTAAAATTGCTAATGAAGTTTCAGGCACGCGTTATCATTGATAACATCTTATCAGGAGACAGGGTTTGAGAGCACACAACCGGTCTGACCAAAATTTATTGGGCTGGAATTTCCTTGTCCTAATAGGCCTGGGAATGCTACAGGAGACTGGGGCTTATTTCATCCCTTATCTTCAACCGTAAAAGACAGACGTCCCCAGAGTGGCCATTTTAGATACCGCTCCCTAGGAATGCATTCTCTTTCTCAGGGATGTTCCTTGCTGAGAAAAAGAATTCAGCAGTATTTCTCCTATTTACTTTTGAAAGAAGAGAAATATGACTCTTCCACCCAGCTCTCAGGCAGCCAGACCTAATGGTTATCTCCCTTGTTCCCTGAACATCGCTGTATCCTGTTCTTTTTTCAAGGTGCCCAGATTTCATATTGTTCAAACAATTTGTGCAGTTAACGCGATCATCACAGGGTCCTGAGGCAACATACCTCCTCAGCTTCCGAAGATGACGGGATTAAGAGATTAAAGTAAAGACAGGCATAGGAAATCACAAGAATATTGATTGGGGAAGTGATAAGTGTCCATGAAATCTTCACAATTCATGTTCAGAGATTGCAGTAAAGACAGGTGTAAGAAATTATAAAAGTTTTAATTTGGGGAACTAATAAAAGTCCATGAAATCTTCACAATTTATGTTCTTCTACCATGGCTTCAGCCAGTCCCTCCATTCAGGATCTCTGACTTCCTGCAACAGGTATCCTCATGTTTGCAGCTGTGCTCTGCAGTGCAAGTGGGAGAGAAGTTTTGACCCCCTTACCAGGTCTGCACCTGGGTCTTGGGAGAGCCACCTCTGATCACTGGCACTGTGTCCCCAATTTTTTTTTTTTTTGAAATGGGGTTTTGCTCTTATTGCCCAAGTTGGAGTGCAATGGCATGATCTCAGCTCATCGCAACCTCTGTCTGCCTCTGGGTTCAAGCAATTCTCCTGCCTCAGCCTCCCAAGTAGCTGGGATTACAGGCATGCGCCACCATGCCCAGCTAATTTTGTATTTTTAGTAGAGACGGGGTTTCTCCATGTTGGTCAGGCTGGTCTCGAACTCCCGACCTCAGGTGAGCCACCCACCTTGGCCTCCCAAAGTGCTGGGATTACAGGCATGAACCACTGTGCCCAGCCACAATTTTTTAAATTTGTTGTTAGATGTTTCTTGCCATGGGGCTCCCTTGGGCAGAGATCCAGCAGGGAAGTAGGCCCTACCCTTACTGGGCCAGCGCTGTGGAAGGAGACACACTTAGGTCTCACAGCAGCCAAGAAACCTGTGTGACCCATCCCTCTGTTTCCTGAGTGTAGACTCCGCCCCTGCTTGAGTTAGGCACAGATCCTGGCTCAGCACCCTGTTTATATTAATTTTTAAAAAATGTAATAGTGGTAATAGATACATAAAATTTACAATTTTAGCTATATCTAAATATACAGTTTAGAAGTGTTAAGTACATTCGTATTGTTGTGTGACCAATCTCCAGAATTTTTGCAAAACTGGGACTCTACACTTATTAGACAGTAACCCCTTATTCTCTCCTCCACCCATCCCCTGGAAACCACTGTGTTACCTTCTGTTTCAATGAAGTTGACTACTCTAGATACCTCAAATAAAAGGATCATGCAATATTTATCTTTTTGTGACTGGCTTATTTCACTTAGCATAATGACCTCAAGATTCATCCATGTTATAGCATGTGTCAGATTTTCTTTCCCTTGTAAGAATGAATAATTTTCCATTGTATGTATATGTGTGTGTGTGTACCTATATATGTGTGTGTGTATGTATATACATATATACATATATATACACATATATACATATATACACATATATACATATATATACATACACACACACACACACACACATACATAGAGAGAGCACATTTTGTTTACCCATTTGTTGTTGGGCACTTGGATTACTTCCACATCATGGCCATTGTGAATAGTGTTGCTATGAATAGGGTTGTGTAAATATCTCTTGGAGATCCTGTTTTCAACTTTTGGGGGGTATATATCTAACAGTGAAATTGCTGGGTCATATGAAATTCTATTTTTATTTTTAAAAGTAACTTCCATACTGTTTTCCTTAGAGGTTGCATAATTTTACATTCCCACCAACAGGTCATAAAGGCTCCAATTTCTTCACACTCTCACTAACACTTGTTCTTTTATTTTCTTTTCCCTTCCCTCCCTTCCTTCCCTTCCTTCCCTTCCTTCCTTTCTTTCTATAGTAGCTATCCTAATTGGTGTGAGGCGGTATCTCATTGTGGTTTTGATTTGTACTTTCCTTACTTAACATTACTATGTTAAGCATCATTTCATATGCTTTTTGGCCACTTGTGTATCATATCTGCAGAAATGTCTATTCATGTTCTTTAGTTATAGAATTTTTTTTTGAGTTGTAGGTGTTCTTTGTATATTCTAGATATTAACCTTTTGCCAGATATGATTTGCAAATATTTTCTCCCATTTAGTAGCTTGCTCTTGAATTCTGTTGGTTGTGTCCCTTGATGCACAGACATTTTACATATTGATGTAGTCTAACTTATTTATTTTTGTTTCCTGCAATTTTAGTGTAATGGCTAGGAAATCACTGCCAAATCCAATATCAGGAAGCTTTCCCTTATGTTTTCTTCAGAAAGTTTTATAGTTTTAGGTCTTACATTTAGGTCTTGAATCCATTTTGAGTTAATTTTGGTATATGGTTTAAAGTAAGGGTCCTATTTAATTACTTTTTATGTAGATATCCAGTTTTCTCAGCACTATTTGTTAAAAAGGCTGTCCTTTCCCCATTCTTTGGTCTTCACACCCTTGTTGAAGATCATTTGATCATGTATGTGAGGGTTTATTTCTAGACTCACTTTTCTATCCCATTGGTCTATTCCATATACCTGTCTTTTGCCATTACTACACTGTTTTGATTATGGTGGCTTTGTAGTAAGTTTTGAAATTAGGAAGTGTGAGACCTCCAACTTTTTCTTTTTCAAGATTGTGTTGGCTGTTCGGGCTCTGAGGCTTCATGTGAGTTTCAGGATGGATTTTTCTATTTCTGCAAAAAATGCCATTGGGATTTTTATAGGTATTGCAATAAAAATTAAATCTGTTCATCATTTTGTGAAGTGTTGACCTCTTAATAATGTTAAGTCTTCTAATTCATAAGCATGTCATGTCTTTATTTTTATCTTCTTTAATTTCTTTAAACAATGCCTTGTGGTTTTTAATGTATAAGTCTTTAATCTCTTTGGTTAAATTTATTCCTACATATTCATTCTTTTTTATGTTATTGTAAATGGAATTGTTTTCTTGATTTCCTTTTTGGATTGTTCATTTTTTTTTTTTTTTCTGAGACAGAATCTCACATTGTCACCCAGGCTGGAGTGCAGTGACGCAATCTCAGCTCACTGCAAGCTCTGCCTCCTGGGTTTGCGCCATTCTCCTGCCTCAGCCTCCCAAGTAGCTGGGACTACAGGCGCCCACCACCACGCCCGGCTAATTTTCTGTATTTTTAGTAAAGTTGGGGTTTCACCGTGTTAGCCAGGATGGTCTTGATCTCCTGACCTCGTGATCCACCCGCCTTGGCCTTCCAGGATTGTTCATTATTAATATAAAAACACAATTGGTGTATGTGTATATTAATTTTGTATTCTGCAACTTTGGTGAATTCATTTATTCTAATGGATTTTTTTGGTAGAATTGTTAGGGCTTTCTACGTATAAGATCATGTTGTCTGTGAACAGAGCTAAGTTTACTTCTTCCATTCAGATTTAGATGCCTCTTATTTTTCCTGAATAGTTGCTCTAGCTAGAACTTTCAGTACAGTATTGAATAGAAGTGGCAAAACATGATCTTTTTTTTCTCGTTCTCATTCTTAGAAAGCTTTCAGTCTTTCACCATCAAGTATGAGATTATCTGTGGGCCTTTCTTATAAGGCCTCTATTATGTTGAGATGGATTTTTTTTTGTTTCTGGTATATTTAATGATTTTATTATGATGCTCTGTTCATTCTTTGTTTCCTGGATTTTATTAAGTCTACTGACCTAATGTCAGATTTACTGATTCTTTCTTCTGCCAGTCAAAGCTACTGTTGAGTCCCTTTAGTAAATTGTTCATTTCAGTTATTGTATTTTTTAATGCCAGAATTTCCATTTGGTTTGCCTTAAAAAATAATTTCTATCTATTCTCTATTTAAAGAGACATTCTATCATAGCTTCCTTTCCTCATTCAAGTAAAATTAGTTCTTGGAAGATATTTATAAAGATAATGTTGACATCTTTCTTAAATTTGATATCTGAGCTCTCTCATAGACTGTCTTTTTGCCCCCCCTTTTTTCCCCTACATATGGGTCACTCTTTCCTGTTCTTTGCATATCTTTTTTTGTTGTTGTTAAAAAGTGGACATTCTAGGTAATATATTGCATAATTCCATCGACCAAGTCTGTGCCCCCTGTGGACCTTGTTTTTGTTGTTGTTGCTTGTTTATTTAGTTACTTGGCTAGACTATTTAAGTGAGTTGTTTATCCTCCCAAGTGTGAAGCCTTTGGTTTTGCTCTGCACAGGGAGCAGCCTTGGGTGTGTGCACAGTTATCCTGGCCCTGGGACCATCTGTTTTTCTCATCCATTAGAACTTCATTTGTTATTACAGCCACAGAGTTTTGGTTCCACTCCTTGCCAGGTGACCTCTCTATTCTTCTAGACAATTCCCTGGGGGCACAAATTATTCCACACTATGATCCAATTAAGCTTGATGGGGATAGCTTGTCTTTGAGGTTTATTCTGACCCCAGGAGGGGTCTTACATTTCTCTCACTCTGTCTGGTGAACTAGCTGGCCTATGGTTTGTTGTTCTTAATTAAGAGAACCTATTGTTTTTGAGAGCATTCTGAAGCTTGAACTTCTCTACCCTCTGTTTCAAAAAAAAAAGTAAGCTTATTTGGGGAGAGTTTTAGAGCTCTGTTCTTATGAACTGCCTCTCCCCTTGGGTAAATTCTTTAAGTCACTCTTCTGGAAGCTGGATGGGGAAGTCTTTTTACTCGGAGTTGGAGGGTGTGAGAAATGCTCTGACCTATGCTGTGGGTAAGAAACTGTATCCCTTGACTGGAGGCTGAGGGGAGAGGGAGCCCTGAAATGGTAGCCACATCCACCTAGAGTGGAGCTTTTGTCAAGCTAAGTTGAGATTAGGAGAAAGGGAAGGAATGGGTTTACCTCAAAAGTTACCTTGCAGTGTTTTTATTTGTTTTTTGTTTTTTTTTAAGCAAGTTTTAGTAGATCTTTTTTGAATAAATTTTTTTGTTTCACTGTATGCCCTTGGGACAATTTTCACAGACTATTGTCTTTCAAACAGTTTTCACTGGTCATTTTTATTTCACTGGACAGTTAGTTTATAAGGTTTCTCATATGACTATCTTAGAAGATCCTTATCAATTTTTGATCACTTCTTTTCTGGCACAATTATATTCTAGGCTCTCCTGTCTTTCACTGCCCCAATCTGTAATGTAGCCAACTTCTCAAGATCTTCAGTTCCATTCACTGGTGAATGGCATTTACAAATTAGATTTGTGTGCCAGCTGTGTTACTTGCTATTCTGAGGTGTCATTGCTTTTAGTCCTTTTCAAGTTGACACAGCTAGCAGGAAAATATACATACATATATATTAATTCTGATTCTTTAATTTCAGTCCAGTGCTACAGGGTCCTTCCTCTTGTTCCTGTGTTCTTATTCCACAGTGAGAAACCTGTGAGTAATATCAATATATTTATTTATTTGCTCTATCTTACAATAAATATATTAAAAATCAACACCAATACAGTTACGAATAATAAACCTTAAGTAAAATTTAAGATTCCTTTGCAGTTGATACTGTTCTTATACTATGCCATGGAGGACAATATCAGCATACTGGGTTCAAGATATATTTGAATTAATTTTAAAAAACAATGTAGATATTATTAATTTGATACACAACTTAAGGTCAGTTTCAGAATTCTATCCTTTTTGAGTTAATTTTAGGTTTTGAAGATGTAAAAATCTTAACATGATTTAAAGTAAAAATTATACAGTCCCTGTTGCCACCCATCTTATATAGGTAATACTTTTATTAATTTCTGGTTGCTCCTATATTTGTTTCTTTTTGCAAATTTAAAATTATTATAATATTAAATATAGGCCAGGCATGGTAGCTCATGCCTGTAATCCTAGCATTTTGGGAGGCTGAGGTGGGAGGATTGCTTGAGCTCAGGAGTTTGAAACCAGCCTGGGAAATATAGTGAGACTTCGTCTCTATGAAAAAAAAATATTTAATATATATATTCATAGTCTTATTTCTCCTTTTTTCTGGCACAAAAATTTGCATACTATACATGCTCTCTTGAAACTTCATTTTATCTCTTAATAATATGATGTGGAAATAGTAACATATTTTACAGAGCTTTACTTTTTTAAAGCGCTGAATTGTTTAAATTGTTCCATGTATAAATATACCATAATTTAATCAACCAAATTTCTTTTTTAAAAAACAGCATATCTATTTGTAACAGAGATAGTGTCTCACTGTGTTGCTTAGGCTGATTTTGAACTCCTGGTCTCAAACAGTCCTCCTACCTCAGCCTCCCAAAGTGCTAGGGTTCCAGGCCTGAGCCACTGTGCTTGGGCATTCAAAGCATTTTCTAACGAATGGACATTTGGCTTATTTTTCATACTTGGTACAAATAACACTATTTTAACAACCTTATATCTATTTTTTTCTTTTTTTGAGATGTATTCAGGTTAAATTCCTGAATGTGGGATTTCTGAATCAAAGCTTAAATGTATATCTAGTTTTGTGAGATATTGCCAAATTCCATATCATAGGAGAGTTTATTAGTTCCCTAGGGCTATAATAACAAATTATCTCAAACTGAGTGGCTTAAAACAACAGAAATTTTTTCCCTCACTGGAAGCTAGAAGTATGAAATTAAGGTGTTGGCAGGACTATGCTCTCTAAAGACTCTAAGGGAGGATCCTTTCTTAACTCTTTCTAGCTCCTGGTGGTTGCTGACGATCTTGGAGTTCCTTGGCTTGTAACCCCTGCCTCAGTCTTCACATGGTGTTCGTCCCTCTGTGTGTGTGTGTCTGTGCACAAACTGTATATTTCTGTATTCAGTAAGGATACCAGATACTGGATTAGGGCCCACCCTAATCCAGCATGACCTCATCCTAACTTGATTGCATCTGTAAAGACCCTATTTCTAACTAAGGTCACATTCATAGATGCTAGGGGTTAGGATTGAACCCATCTTTTTGTAGGACACAATTCAACCCACTATAATGTGCTACCCTTTTCACTGCCATTTGCTACAAAAGAGTACGTGCTTCCTCATTGTCTTCACAAAAGACAGTGTTGCCAAATTGTTGAAATATTTTCTAACTATATAGGTCCTACATGATATCTCAGCATTTCTATTTCTCTTATTATGAAAGATGTTGACTATCTTTTATATTTTCATGCACCATTTTGTCTCTTCTTTTTATGCTATAATTAAAAGTGTTATGAAAATTTCAAACATTCAGAAAGGTAGAGTTCTATATGTTAAATATAGAACTTAAAAAAAGACAGCAACATAATAGCAGTACCATCATTATACCTAATAAAATGACAAATTATTCCTTAATTTTATGGAATTACCAGTCTGTGCTCAAGTTGCCTCAAATTTTTTTTTTTTTAGTATATCTCTTTAATGTATTAACTGAAAGGATAGGACAAGATTGTGCCTACTGTCCTCTTTCATTTTAAAATTTGGAGATTTACCCTGTAATTCTGCATAATAAATGAAGAGAAATCTTGCTATTGTTAGCCTTGAACTACTGCTGGGTAATGATCTCATTACTTACTGGTGAATGCCACGGAGCACTGTTTCCATGTTCTCTTCTTCAGTCTGTAATAGTCTTATCTATTGTGCTACCATTAGATTGTTATCTATTACTTTCTTGGAAATAGAGTGACTAGGTTCTGTAATGGGACTTTGCTCTGAAAGCATTTTTCACATGTGACAATAGACTATAGTGTCACCTTAATCTTGCTGTGGGCTTAATAGGGAGTGAAAAATGTCATTGGTGATGGTATGATTATAGGGCCATCATTTTTTCTCATTTGCTGTATCCTATTAATTCTTCCACAATCCTGACTTTACCTTTTCACTGTTCCCCACACATTTGCATTACTGCCACAAGCTATGTGTTATCCCTCCCAGTCAGACTTCCGGGATTCACATCTCACTTCTGCCATTCACCAACTATGGTTGTGGGCACTGTTTCCTTACCTGTGAAAGAGAAAAATAATAAATTTAGCAGCCACATGTGCTTAGTGGCTACCATATTGGGCAGCATAGATATAAGCATTTATCTCCATCATTGCAAAAAGTTCTATTGCATGTGCTGCTCTAGATTTTTTCTACCAGTGGTGGCTCCAAGACCAGAAGGGAACTCTTTTTTAAATTTTATTTTTACTTTAAGTTATAGGATACATGTGCAGAATGTGCAGGTTTGTTACACAGATATACATGTACCATGGTGGTTTGCTGCACCTATCAACCCATCATCCAGGTTTTAAGCCTCGCATGCATTAGGTATTTGTCCTAATACTCTCCCTCCCCTTGCCCCCCAACCCTCTGACAGGCTCCGGTGTGTGATGTTTCTCTCCCTGTGTCCATGCATTCTCACTGTTCAATCCCATTCATGAGTGAGAACATGCGGTGTTTGGTTTTCTGTTCCTGTGTGAGTTTGCTGAGAATGATGGTTTCCAGCTTCATCCATGTCACTGCAAACGACATGAACTCATTCTTTTTTATGGCTGCATAGTATTCCATGGTGTATATGTGCCATATTTTCTTTATCCAGTCTGTCATTGATGGGCATTTGGGTTGGTTCCAAGTCTTTGCTATCGTAAATAGTGCTGCAATAAACATATGTGTGCATGTGTCTTTATAGTAGAATGATTTATAATCCTTTGGGTATATATGCAGCAATGAGATTGCTGGGTCAAAAGGTGTTTCTGGTTCTAGACCTTGAGGAATTGCCACAACTCTCTTCCACAATGGTTGAACTCATTTACCCTCCAACCAACAGTGTAGAGGCATTCCTCTTTCTCCACATCCTTGCCAGCAACTGTTGTTTCCTGACTTTTTAATAATCGCCATTCTAACTGGCATGAAATGGTATCTTATTGTTGTTTTGATTTTCATTTTTCTAATGACCAGTGATGATGAGCTTTTTTCCATAGGCTTGTTGGCCTCATAAATGTCATCTTTTGAAGTGTCTGTTTATATCCTTTGCTCACTTTTTGATGGGGTTGTTGTTTTCTTGTAAATTTAAGTTCTTTGTAGATTCTGGCTATTAGACCCTTGTCAGATGGATAGATTGCAAAAATTTTCTCCCATTCTGTAGGTTGCCTGTTCGCTCTGATGATAGTTTCTTTTGCTGTGCAGAGCTCTTTAGTTTAATTAGATCCTATTTGTTAATTTTGGCTTTTGTTGCCATTGCTTTTGGTGTTTTAGTCATGAAGCCTTTGCCCATACCTATGTCCTGAATGGTATTGCCTAGGTTTTCTTCTAGGGTTTTTAGGTTTTAGGTTTAACATTTAAGTCTTTAATCCATCTTGAGTTTTTTTTTTTGAATAAGGTGTAAGGACGGGGTCCAACTTCAGTTTTCTGCATATGGCTAGCCAGTTTTCCCAGCACCATTTTTTAAATAGAGAATCCTTTCCCCATTGCTTGTTTTCGTCAGGTTTGTCAAAGATCAAATGGTTGTAGATGTGTGGTGTTATTTCTGAGGCCTCTGTTCTGTTCTGTTGGTCTATATATCTGTTTTGGTACCAGTACCATGCTGTTTTGGTTACTGTAGCCTCGTAGTGTAGTTTGAAGTCAGGTAGTGTAATGCCTCCAGCTTTGTTCTTTTTGCTTAGGATTGTTCTGGCTATACAAGCTCTTTTTTGGTTCCATATGAAATTTAAAGCAGTTTTTTCTAATTCTGTGAAGAAAGTCAGTGGTAGCTTGATGGAGATAGCATTAAATCTATAAATTACTTTGGGCAATATGGCCATTTTCACAATATTGATTCTTCCTATCTATGGGCATGGATTGTTTTTTCCATTTATCTGCATCCTTTCTTATTTCCTTGAGCAGTGGTTTGCAAATCTCCTTGAAGAGGTCCTTTCAGTCCCTTGTAAGCTGTATTCTTAGGTATTTTATTCTCTTTGTAGCAATTGTGAATGGGAATTCACTTGTGATTTTGCTCTCTGCTTGTCTATTGTTGTATAGGAATGCTTGTGATTTTTGCACATTGATTTTGTATCCTGAGACTTTGCTGAAGTTCCTTTATTAGCTTAAGGAATTTTGGGGCTGAGACAATGGGATTTTCTAAATATACAATTATGTCATCTGCAAACAGAAACAATTTGACTTCCTTTCTTCCTATTGAATACCCTTTATTTCTTTCTCTTGCCTGATTGCCTTGGCCAGAACTTCCAGGACTATGTTGAATAAGAGTAGTGAGAGAGGGCAAACTTGTCTTGTGCTGATTTTCAAAGGGAATGCTTCCAGCTTTTGCCCATTCAGTATGATATTGGCTATGGGTTTGTCATAAATAGCTCTTATTATTTTGAGAGATGTTCCATAAATAGCTAGTTTATTGACAGTTTTTAGCATGAAGGGGTGTTGAATTTTATTGAAGGCCTTTTCTGGATCTATTGAGATAATCATGTAGTTTGTGTCATTGGTTCTGTTTATTGATTTGCATATGTTGAACCAGCCTTGCATCCTAGGGATGAAGCTGACATGATCATGGTGGATAAGCTTTTTGATGTGCTGCTGGATTCGGTTTGCCAGTATTTTATTGAGGATTTTTGCATCGATGTTCATTAGGGATATTGCCTGAATTGTTGTTGTGTCTCTGCCAAGTTTTGGTATCAGGATGATTCTGGCCTCATAAAATGAGTTAGGGATGAGTCCCTCTTTTTCTATTTGGAATAGTTTCAGAAGGAATAGTACCAGCTCCTCTTTCTACCTCTGGCAGAATTTGGCTGTAAATTTGTCTGGTCCTAGGTGTTTTTTGGTTGGTAGGCTATTAACTACTGCCTCAATTTCAGAGCTTGTTATTGGTTTATTCAGGAATTCAACTTCCTGGTTTAGTCTTGGGAGGGTCTAAGTGTTCAGAAATTTATTTCTTCTAGATTTTCTAGGTTTTTTTTTTTTTTTTTGCATAAATGTGTTTATAGTATTCTCTGATGGTAGTTTGTATTTCTGTGGGATCCGTGATGATATTCCCTTTATCATTTTTTATTGCGTCTATTTGATTCTTCTCTCTTCTTTATTAGTCTGGCTAGAGGTCTATTTTGCTGATCTTTTTTTTTTTTTTTTTTTTTTAAAACAGTTCCTGGATCCACTGATTTTTTTTTTAAGGGTTTTTTCATGTCTCTATCTCTTTCAGTTCTGCTCTGACCTTAGTTATTTCTTGTATCCTGCTAACTTTTGAATTTCTTTGCTCTTTCTTCTCTAGTTCTTTTAATTGTGGTGTTAGGGTGTCGATTTTAGATCTTTCCTGCTTTCTCATGTGGGCATTTAGTGCTATAAATTTTCCTCTTAACACTGCTTTAGCTGTGTCCCAGAGATTCTGGTACATTTTGTCTTTGTTCTCATTTGTTTCTAAGAACTTCTTTATTTCTGCCTCAGTTTCATTATTTACCCAGTAGACATTCAGGAGCAGGTTGTTGAGTTTCCATGTAGATGTGCAGTTTGAGTGAGTTTCTTAATCCTGAGTTCTAATTTGATTGCACTGTGGTCTGAGAGACTGTTTGTTATGATTTCTGGCTTTTGCATTTTGCTGAGGACTGTTTTACTTTCAATTATGTGGTCAATTTTAGGATAAGTGTGATGTGGTGCTGAGAAGAATGTATATTCTGTTGATTTGGGGTGGAGAGTTCTGTAGATATCTATTAGGTCCACTTGGTCCAGAACTGAGCTCAAGTCCTGAATATCCTTGTTAATTTTTTGGCTCATTGATCTGTCTAATATTGACAGTGGGGTGTTAAAGTCTCCCACTATTATTGTGTGGGAGGCTAAGTCTCTTTGCAGGTCTCTAGGAACTTGTTTTATGAATTTGGGTGCTCCTATATTGCATGCATATGTATTTAGGATAGTTAGATCTTCTTGTTGCATTGATCCCTTTACCATTATGTAATGCCCTTCTTTGTTTTTGTTGATCTTTGTTAGTTTAAATTCTGTTTTATCAGAGACTAGGATCACAACCTCCACTTCTTTTTTCCTTTCATTTGCTTGGTAAATATTCCTTCCTCTGTCCTTTTATTTTGAGTTTATATGTGTCTTTGCACGTGTGATGGGTCTCCTGAATACAGCACACTGATGGGTCTTGAATCTTTATCCAATTTGTCAGTCTGTGTCTTTTAATTGGGGCATTTAGCCCGTTTACATTTAAGGTTAATATTATATGTGAATTGGATCCTGTCATCATGATGCTAGTGCTTATTTTGCACATTAGTTGATGCAGTTTCTTCATAGTATCATTGGTCTTTATATTTTGGTGTGTTTTTGCAGTGGCTGGTACCAGTTGTTCCTTTCCGTATTTAGTGCTTCCTTCAGGAGCTCTTGTAAAGCAGGCCTAGTGGTGACAAAATTCCTCAGCATTTTCTTGTCTGTAAAGGATTTTATTTCTCCTTTGCTTATGAAGCTTAATTTGGCTGGATATGAAATTCTGGGTAGAAAATTCTTTAAGAATGTTGAATATTGGCCCCCACTCTCTTCTAGCTTGTAGGGTTTCTTCAAAGAGATCTGCTGTTAGTCTGATGGGCTTAACCTTTGTAGGTAACCTGACCTTTCTCTCTGGCTGCCCTTAACATTTTTTCCTTTGTTTCAACCTTGGAGAGTCTGACAGTTACATGTCTTGGGGTTGCTCTTCTTGAGGAGTATCTTAGTGGTGTTCTCTGTATTTCCTGAATTTGAATGTTGGCCCGTCTTGCTAGGTTGGGGAAGTTCTCCCGGACAATATCCTGAAGTGTGTTTTCCAACTTGGTTCCATTCTCCTAGTCACTTTCAGGCACCTTAATCAATTGTGGGTTTTGTTTTTCACACAATCCCATATTTCTTGGATGCGTTGTTCATTCCTTTTCATTCTTTTTTCCTCTAATCTTGTCTTCATGCTTTATTTCAGTAAGTTAATCTTCAATCTCTGATATCCTTTCTTCCGCTTGATCAATTCAGCTGTTGATATTTGTGTATGCTTCAGGAAGTTCTTGTCCTGTGTTTTTCAGCTCCATCAGGTCATTTATGTTCTTCTCTAAACTGGTTATTCTAGTTAGCCATTCCTGTGATCTCTCCCAGTCAGGAAGCATGGGGGTCAGGGACCCACTTGAGGAGGCAGTCTGTTTCTTAGCAGAGCTCAAGCTGTGCTGGGAGAATCCTCCTTGTCAGGATCAGCTGCTCTCTTCAGAACCAGCAGGCAGGAATGTTTAAGTCCACTGAAGCTGTGCCCACAGCTGCTTCTTCCACTGGGTGCTCTGTCCCAGGGAGATGGGAGTTTTATCTATAAGCCCCTGACTGGGACTGCTGCCTTTGTCTCAGAGATGCCCTGCCCAGTGAGGAGGAGTCTAGAGAAGACAGTCTGGCCACAGCTGTTTTGCCATGCTGTAGTGAGTTCTGCCCAGTCTGAACTTCCAGGCTTCCTTAGCACTGTCCGGGGAAAGCTGCCTACTCAAGCCTCAGTAATGGCAGATGCCCATCCCCCAACCAAGCTTGAGATCGTCCTAGGTCTACTTCAGATTGCTGTGCTGGCAATGAGAATTTCACACCAGTGGTTCTTAGCTTGCTGGGCTCCATGGGAATGGGACCCACTGAGCAAGATCACTTGGCTCCCTGGCTTCAGCAACCTTTCCAGGGGAGTAAACAGTTCTGTCTCATTGGGGGTTCCAGGTACCACTGGGTTACAAAAAAATAAAATAAAAAAAAAAACTCCTGCAGCTAGCTCAGTATCTGCCCAAACAGCCACCCAGTTTTGTGCTTGAAACCCAGGGCCCTGGTGGTATAGGCACACAAAGGAATCTCCCGGTCTGCTGATTATAAAAACCATGGGAAAAGTGTAGTATCTGGGCAGGATTGCGTAGTCCCTCACAGCTTCCCTTGGCTGGAGGAGGGAAGGCCCTGGTTCGTTGCACTTGCCAGGTAAGGCGACGCCCCACCCTGCTTCTGCTCACCCTCCTTGGGCTGTACCCACTGCCTAACCAGTCGCAATGGGATGAAATGCAGAATTCACTCACCTTCTGCATTGGTCTCCCTGGGAGCTGCAGACCGGAGCTTTTCCTATTCAGCCATATTGCCAGATCCCAGAAGGGAACTCTTATTACCCCTTCTCCTCTTCTTTAAATGAAGACTTTTCCTTTACCTTCTGGGAGATAGTAGTTTTAGAAGACAATTTACTTAGTCCTCTTTATGTAAGAATAACTTAATTGGATGAAGAACCAGAAAGATCCACTGGACCAAGTTCCTGTGGGAGAGGAAAATATTTTAAAATATATTAAGATTCTTTCCTCATGTGTGGCACTTCCTCTGGTTTCTTGCTTTTTTTTTAGACATATCTGTCTGCAAATGATGTTTCTTATCTCTTCTTCTGCCCCTCATGTGGTGAATACACTAGGGCACATATTTTTGGCTGTGTATCCTCTATCCCCTACTCCTCAAATGATTCTCTGGTGTCCCTACTTATGACTGGGTAGGTAAGAGAAGGGCTGATATAAATATTTTTGGACAGGGATCTGAGCTGCATTAGCCATTGCAGTTTGCCAGGGATCTTGGTATTCAAGGACATAAATATAATATCTTTTAAAAATTACCACATATTTCTCTAATTAGATCATCTGGAGGAGTTGGGATCAGTTGGTATCCTAGAAAAGTCTCACTCCTACAATAGCTCCCAAATACCTAGCACATCAAGCCTAATTTCTGCTGCCTGTTTTTCAGAGCTCTCTGCAGTCTAGAAAAGGGAAAACTTACATATTAAGGAAATCCCATCAGACTAATAGCAGACTTCTTAGCAATACTTTACAAGCCAGAAAAGACTGGGGCCTATTTTTAGCATGCTTAAAGAAAAACAAAAGTTGAACAAGAATTTCATATCCTGCCAAACTAAGCTTCATAAATAAGGAGAAAGTCTTTCCCAGACAAGCACATGCTAAGAGAATTCATCACCACCAGACTGGTCCTATGAGGAACACTCAAGAGTAGTAAGCATGGAAATGGAAAAATACTTGCCATCATAAAATCACATGTAATTACAAAGGCCACAGACCCTATAAAGCAAACACACAATTGAGACTACAAAGCAACTACCTAATAACACTATGACAGGAATAAAACCTCACATATCAGTATTAACCTTGAAAGCAAATGGTCTAAATACTTGCCTTAGAAGACAGAGTGGTAAATTGGATTAAAAAACAAGACCGAACCTTCGGCTGCCTTCAGGAGGCCCATCTCACTTGTTTTGACACTTATAAACTCAAAGCAATGGAGAAAGATCTATCATGCAAATGGAAAACAAAAAAGAATAGGGGTTGCTGTTCTTGTATCATAAAGTGGACTTTAAACCAATACAAAAAAAAAAAAACCAAAAAGGGAATTATGTAATTGTAAAGGATTTAATTCAATAAGATATTTAAATATCCTAAGTATATATGCACCCAGCATCAGAGCACCCAGATTTATAAAACATATACTACTAGACCTAAGAAAAGATAGTCATACAATAATACTGGTAGTGGATTTCAACATCCCACTGGCAGTAGATAAATAATTGAGGCAGAAAACTAACAAACTCTGGGCTTAGACACTTGACCAAATGTACTTTGTAGACATCTGCAGATTACTCCACCCAACAATCAGATGATATATTATTTTCATCGATGCATGGAATTTTCTTTAAGATTGACCACATGCTTGGTCATAAAGCAAGTCTTAATGACTTTTTTAAAAATAGAAATTATATCAAGCATCTCTGACAATAGTGGAATACAATTAGAAATTAATACCAAAAGGAACTCTCAAAACCACACAAATATATGAAAATTAAACAACTTGCTCCTAAATGACTTTTGGGTAAACAACAGAATTAAGGCATAAAGCAAAACATTATTTGAATTACATGAAAACAGATACAACATACCAAAACCTTTGGGATATGGTGAAAGCAGTGTTAATAGGAAAGTTTATAGTGATAAATGCATAGTGCAAGAAGATAGAACTTAACTTAACAACTTAATGTTGCACCTAAAGGAACTAGAAAAAGGAATTAAATCCAAAACTAGCAGAAGCAAAGATCAGAGCTGAACTAAATGAAATTGAGACCAAAAAACCATACAAGAATAAACAAAATGAAAAATTGGTTCCTGGAAAGGAAAAACGAGATTGCTAGACCAGTAGCTAGCTTAATCAAGTAAAAGAAAGAACATCTAAAAAAGCTTGATCAGAAATGACAAAGGTGACATTGCAACTAATGTTACAGAAATACAAAAGATCCACAAAGACTACTATGAACTTCTCTACGTGCTAAACTAGAAAACTTAGAGGAAATAGATAAATTCCTAGATACATACAATCTGCCGAGATTGAACCAGGAAGAAATAGAAATCCTGAATAGACCAATAACAAGTTCCAAAGTTGAATCAGTAACAAAAAGAAAAATCTACCAACCAAAATAAGTCCTGGACCAGACGGATTCACAGCCAAATTCTACCAGACATACAAAGAAGAACTGGTACCAATGTTTCTGAAACTATTCCAATAAATCAAGGAGGGAAGGATTCTTCCCTACCTCATTTTAGGAAACTGCCATCATTTTAATATCAAACTCTGACAGGGACACAACTAAAAATACTAGACCAATATCCCTGATGAAGATAGATGCAAAAATTCTCAACAAAATACTAGCAAACTAAATCCAGTAGCACATCAAAAAGATTTTATCATGATCAAGTGGGCTTTATTCTTGGGACACAAAGATGGTTCAACATACATAAATCAATAAATGTAACTCACCACATAAATAGAATAAAAAACCATATAATCTCAGTAGATGCAAAAAAAACACTTTTGACAAAATCCAACATCACTTCATGATAAAAATTCTGAAGGAATTTACTGGAGGCATCAAAGGAATGTACCTCAAAATAATGAGCCATCTATGCCAAACTGACAACTGTCATTACACTGAGTGGGCAAAAGTTGGAAACATTCCCCTCATAACTGGAATAAGACAAAGATGCCCATTCTCACCACTTCTATTCAACATAGTATTGGAAGTCCTAGCAAGAGCAATCAGGTAAGAGAAAGAAATAAAAGGCATCCAAAAAGGAAAAGAGATAGCCAAATCATCTGTTTGCTGATGATATGATTCTACACCTAGAAAACACTCACCATTCCTCCAAAAGACTCCTAGACCTGATAAATGACTTCACTAAAGTTTCAGAATACAAAATTAATGCACAAAAATAGGTAGCACTTCTATACAACATAATATTCCATCTGAGAACCAAATCAAGAGTGCAATCCAATTTATAATAGCCACACACAAAAGAAAATACTTAAGCTTACATTTAACGAAGGTGATGAGAAATCTCTACAAGGAGAATTACAAAACACTGTTGAAAGAAACCCTAGATGACACAAAGAAATGCAAAAACATTCCATGCTCATGGATTGAAAGAATCAGTATTGTTAAAAAGACTATACTGTGCAAAACAATCTGTGGATTCAATGTAATTTCTATCAAATTACCAACGTCATTTTTCACAGAATTAGAAAAAACAATTCTAAAATTTATATGGAGCCAAACAAGAGCCTGAACAGACAAATCAATTCTAGGCAAAAAGAACAAGCCAAGGCATAACATTATTCAACTTCAAACTATACTACAAGGCTATAGTAACCAAAACAGCCTGGTACTGGTACAAAATAAACATAGATCAATAAAACAGAACAGAGAACTGAGAAATAAAACTGCACACCTACAACAATCTAATCTTTGACAAAGTTGACAAAAACAAGAAATGAGGATAGGATCCCTATTCAATAAAGGATGCTGGGAGAACTTGCTAGTTACATGCAGAATATTGAAGCTAGTCCCTTACCTTTCACCATACACACAAAAAAACCTTACATTTAAGTCTTTAATCCATAGTAAGACTCAAACTATGAAAATCCTAGAAGACAACCAAGGAAACACCTTTTTGGACATTGGCCTAGACAAAAAATTTGTGACTGAAACCTCAAAGGCAAATGCATTAAAAACAATAAATAATCAAAAGTGTAAATGGGAAACCTACAGAATTGGAGAAAATATTTGCAAGCCTATGTATCAGACAAATATCCAGAACCTATAAAGAACTTAAACAAGAAAAAAGCAAGTAACAACATTAAAAAGTGGGCAAATGACATGAACAAAGACTTCTCAAAAGAAAACATAGAAGTGGTCAGGAAACATGAAAAAATGCTCGACATTGCTAATTATCAGAGAAATGCAAATTAAAACTCCAATGAGATAGCCATTCTGACTGCTATGAGATGACATCATTAACAAGTAAAAAAAAAAAATGATGTTGGTGAGGATGCAGACAAAAGGGAATGCTTATACACTGTTGGTACAAATGTAAATTAGTACAAACTCTATGTAAAACAGTTTGAAGAGTTTTGCTTAGAACTAAAAATAGAACTGACATTTTCTCTCAGCAATCCCACTACTGGGTATCTACCCAAAGGAAAAGAAATTGTTCTATTATAAAGATACTTGCACTTGTATGTTTATTGTAGCACACTATTCACAATGAGTAAGTAATGGAATCAACCAAAATTTCATTCAAGGATGATTTGATAAAGAAAATATGGTATTCTATGGTATATACATAGAATACTTTGCAACCACAAAAAAACGGTAAAGTCATGCCCTTTGCAGCAACATGGGTTCATCTGGAGGCCATTATTTTAAGTGAATTAACACTACATCAGAAAATCAAATACGACATGTTCTGATTTATAAGTGGGAGCTAACAATGGGTACACATGAAAGTAAAGATGGAAACAATAGGCAAAGGGGGAGAAAGGAGGGAAAGGGGGAGAAAAGCTACCTGTTCACTACTTGGTTGATGGATTCAATAGATGCCCAAACTCCAGCATTATGCAATATAGCCATGTAACAAACCTACACGTGTACTACCCAAATCTAAAATTAAAAACTATTTATAGTCTTATTCCACTAATTATTCAGTCTTAGAACTATTGGCTGAATAGCTATTATATTTTATTTCCTCAGCTTGACCTTATGAAGATGATGAGATATGGAATCTTCTCAAAAGTCCTATGTATTGGTTTGATAGAAAGACATATAAATAAATAAACAATATATGTAATGTGCTAAATACCAGAGTTGAAAGATGTTCTGAGTACTATATGAACATGAAAGATAGCAGTAAGTTCTTCCTGGAGAGAGACAAAGGGACAGCATCAAAGACACACACACACACACACACACACACACACACACACACAGACTGAATGGCTGATAAGAGTTTGTGAGGTAGAAATGTTGGGAGAGGGCATTCTAGGTAAGGGGAACAGCATAAAAAATAAGTCATGAACTTTATATTCCATACTCTATACGGGTCTCTGTCTACAAGCCATGACTACATGTATGTGTTTAAGTTGCTGTGTAAGCTTGTGAAACTTGTGGAAGAAATCAACTTAATACTCCATTAGATAAGCACTGTCAGAGGCTAGTCAAGATCTTTTGTGGTTCCAAACAAATTTAAAGCAATTCTGAACAGAAAGCTGGAGATATCATACTACCAGACCTCAAAATATACTACAAAGCTGTAGTAATCAGAACAGTATGATACTGGCATTAAAAACAGACACATAGATCAATAAGACAGAGCAGGAAAGCTGGAAATTTATCCACATATCTACAGCCAGCTGATTTTTGATGATGCTACCAACAACACTCACTGGGGAGAGGATAGTTTCTTCAAGAAATGGGAAACTGGATATCCATATGCAGAGAATAAAACTAAACCACAACCTCTTACCCTATACAAAAATCAACTCAAAATGGTTCAAAAACCTAAATGTCAGACTAAAAATAACATTAGCAAAAGAAAACATAGGGGAAATGCTTCAGAACATTTGTCTGGGAAAAGATTTTATGAATAAGACCTCAAAAGCACAGGCAACAAAAGCACAAATAAACAAATGGGTTTATATCAAACTAAAATAAGTTATTACAGCAAAAGAAACAACCCTTAATGTGAGGAGGCAACTTACAGAATGGAAGAAAATAGCTGCAAACTACTTATTCAACAGGGGACTAATATCCACAATTGACAAGGAACTCAGCAGCAAAAAAAAAAAAAAAAAAAAAAATCTGATTAAAAAAATGGACAAATGATCTGAGTAGACATTTCTCAAAAGAAGACATACAATTGACCAGCAAATACATGAAAAAATGCTTAAAAATTTCTCTAATGATTAGTGATGACTAATGATTAGAGAAATGCCGATCAAAACCACAAGGTGGAAGTATCCCCTCACCCCAGTTAGGATGGCTATTATCAAAAAGACAAAAAATAATACATACTTGTGAAAATGTGAAGAAAGAACTCATATGCTGTTGGTGGGAGTGTGAACTGATACAGCCACTGTGGAGAGCAGTATAAAGATCTGTTAACTACAAATAGAACCATCATATGATCCAAAAATCGTGGGCATTTATCCAAAGGAAAAGAAGTCAGTATATTGATTGAGACATCTGCATTCCCATGTTTATTGCAGCACTATTCACAATAGCCAAGGTATTTACTCAACCTAGGTGTACACACACACACACACACACACACACACACACACACACACATCATGGAATATTATTCAGCCATAAAAAAGAATGAAATTCTATCATTTGTGGCAACATGGATGAAACAGGAGGACATTGTATTAAGTAAAATATGTCAGGAACAGAAAGTTAAACACCATATATTCTCACTCATGTGGAAGCTAAAAAAAAGTTGATCTCATAGAAGTAAACAATAGAGCAGAGGATACCAGAGGCTGGGAAGGGTAGGCAGAAGAGTGAAGTAGGGAGAGATTTGTTAAAGGATACAAAACAACAGCTAGATAGGAGGAGTTAAGTTCTAGTGTTCTTTACCACTGTAGGATGACTATAGTTAACTATATATTATATAGTTTAAAATAGCTAGAAGGAGGATATTGACTATTTCTAATGCAAAGAAATGATAAGTATTTGAGATGATGGCTATATTAATTACCCAGATCTGATCACAATGAATTATATTTATAAAATCATCACTATGTATTCCATGAATATGTACAATAATTATTTGTCAATGAAAAACAATAACATTTAAAAAATGAAGGGTTTTTTTTTACAGCTATAAGAGAGAGCCAGGAAAAGTGCTTTCTCTTTAATAAGAACATACACCACATGTGCAGTGGAGGATTGATTACCACAACGCTCTTAAATTCATTTGCAGAGGGATGGTTTAATTACCACAATAGTTGGCAAATTCATTTACAGTAAAAAAAAATTCAGTTTCCTCTAATAAACATATTATATAGATTACAGTTTCTTATAACAAATTCTTTTATAGATTATGCAAACAAGTAAATTTTCCCATATCTAAATTCTGTATAATTAATGAATAAACGCAATTTTCCCTACAAAGAAGCTTTGTAATCATCATAGACTTCAAGTTTAAAGATGATGTTCCGTGGAAAGGAAATAAAAAATAAATGAACAAACAGAGAAAAACATTTATGGTTAACAGTTGAATATCTTGGAGTACTTTGATATACATTAAAAAGGGATTATAATTCATCATATCAAGAATTAGAGCACATAGAGACATAGATCATTCTAGTTTTCTACAAGTGCTTTCTATTTTTTTTGTATTTCTGCGATCAGAATATAAACTTATAATCCTCTTTCTTATCTTATTGTAAAGAGCAATAGCCAGCTCAGTAATGAATTACTAGTCTCTTTTCAAGGATTTTCATCAAATATAATTGTAACTTCTATTTTTATAGCTTTGGTCAGTAAAAAAAGAACAAAGTCTTAAGTTCCTGTTTTCAGCAATCTATATTCTCAGTTCCTTCTAGATAAGGCTTCGTGATTGATTGGGTATGTGGGTGCTACGATCTGGTGAGGAATATGGCAGAGTTAAGATTATATTTAGTCTTCTCGCCTGGGATGCTCCATGGATGGGGCTTGGGATAGGGATATATAATATTGATTGATGGAGAAGAAAAGAAAACATTGAATTCAGCTTTGGATATGTCAGATTGGAGGTACTTGCGGCATAAACAAAAACAAAATAAGTTTTTTTTTCAAATAAAATTTTGTGGGATATCTCAAAATAGGAATAAGAATGAAGCAAGTATCAGAGTTCCCGATTCCTACCTTTTCCAACATAACCTAATCATGTTCTGACTTTTTGGAGTGGTCTTTGAGTTCTTATAGTTCTATATAATATACTCCAAAAACCCGGATTTAGTCTACTACTCACCTTTCGTAAGTGAGGAAATTAAGATGAAAAGTAGCTTGTTAAAGGAGACATCTCAGGTAATTAGTGACTGGGTCATGAGCAGAACTCAGGTCTCCTGGCTCACCTGTCCATTACTCTGTCTAGAGTGTCTTGTCTACAGTTGGACACATAGTAGGTTGAAGGATGTAATACTTCCAAGTGCTTATGTGTTGATTGAATATCATGCCTAATGCCTACCACTTTTCTTTTTTAGCTTGATAGTTTAAAATTGGAATATTAAAAGTTCTGGAGATTTAATTCTGGTTACATTATGACAAGTCAAGTCATTTTATAAATATATTACAATAAAAGCATTCTATATATACTTTGAACTAGCAGTAAAATTCCCAAGCCTCAGGACACTATGTATTTACTATATAGATATTTGTTGCATTGAGCCGCCATTATGACAAAAAATCCTTAGGGTTCATTATAATGGGATATAAATTATGTCTGGTATGATCGATGACAATAATAAAGTTATAATATATTAATAAACACTGTTTACAAAACTTTTCCACATATATTATCATATTTTCATTCCTTAACAATCCTCGGGGAGAAGTTGTATTTCTCAGTTTTACAAACACATAAACTAAGACTTAGATGACTTTATTTCAAAGGTTAGGATTCTAGTAGAATTCATTAGGTCTGCCAAATGATAAGATTATATAGATTCAAAGCACCATATTCTAGAGATCAGCACCTGAATAGAAGGGTGTATAGGTGCAATAAATCTAAAAGTAGACATTTATCCATTTGTTAATTCATTAAGCATTTATTGAGCACCTTCTGTGTACCCAGCCAAAAATCTGAGAGAAAAAACAGTTGCCATTTTCAAGAATTTGACAGTGCTAATACAGCTAGATTTAAGCAGCGGGAATGATTCAGCTGGAGACTAGGCATACTGTTTGTAATCAGACAAGAGCAGACAAAATAAATAAATAGATAAAAACCCAAGAATTTTTACAGCCCGTGATATAATGCTGGCAACAAGGACAGAAGACTGGTTCCTCTGGAAAGTTCTAACAATTATAATGTATGAGTTCCTAGCATATGCCAGTATATGATAATATTATGCAATGTTGAGAATAAGCTATGTTAACAAACTAGACACATTTAGAGTCTCACTATTTAAAAAAGATGAAAGATCTGATTCTTCCCATTGGTCCCAGATTAGATGTCGTTTTAGCAAGAAGTAGGAACTTTGTAGAGGATGCTTAGTAACAATTTTCCCTTTTACGTACGAGCAGGAAGTAACAGTGACATTGAGGTAAGAATTTTCTGTCTGTCATCTTTCTCTTTTCCTATCCCTGTTCTCTGTCCCCAGCCCAGTCCTTGAATAAAGTCTTATACTTTGGGAAGAAAGTAGTGGACTTGTAGAATTACATGTATGGTCTATTTTTATGTTTCAACTGATGTAAAATATTAACTTTTTAATACTAGGTGCTAAATGTGCATAAGATTAAAATGTTAATGAAGAGAAGTACAATGATTACATATAAACCAATACATTGTAAAATTGAAACTAGCATTCTTTAAAAAAAATTTCTGTAAGTTCTTGGGGTACAGGTGGTATTTGGTTACATGAGTAAGTTCTTCAGTGGTGATTTGTGAGATTTTGGTGCACCCATCACCCCAGCACTATACGCTGCACCATATTTGCAGTCTTTTATCTCTCACCCGCCCCCACTCTTCCTCCCAAGTCCCCAAACCATTGTATTCTTACGTCTTTGCGTCCTCATAGCTTAGCTCCCACATATCAGTGAGAACATGTGATGTTTGGTTTTCCATTCCTAAGTTACTTCACTTAGAATAATAGCCTCCTATCTCGTCCAGGTCCCTGCAAATGCTGTTAATTCATTCCTTTTTATGGCTGAGTAGTATTCCATCATATGTACATATATATCATCATATATATCATAAATATATCATCATATATATCATATATATCATCATATATCATATATGTCATCATATATATCATGTCATATATCATCAATCATCATATATATCATATATATCATCATATATATGATATATATCTCATATATATCATCATATATATATACACACACACACACACAAACACACATACACACACACCACAGTTTCTTTATCCACTCATTGATTGATGGGCATTTGGGTTGGTTCCATGATTTGGCAATTGTGAATTGTGCTGCTATAAACATGCGGGTGCAAATATCTTTTTGGAATAATTACTTCTTTTCCTCTGGGTGGATACCCAGTAGTGGGATTGCTGGATCCAATGGTAGTTCTACTTTTACTTCTTTTAGAAATCTCTACAGTTTTCCACAGTGGCTGTACTAGTTTACATTCCCACCAGCAGCGTGGAAGAGTTCCCTGGTCACCACATCAATGCCAACACTGACTGTTTTTTGATTTTTTTATTATGGCCATTCTTGCAGGAGTAAGTTGGTATCACGTCGTGGTTTTGATTTCCCTGATCATTAGTGATGTTGAGCATTTTTTCATATGTTTGTTGGCCATTTGTATAACTTCTTTTGGGAATCGTGTATTCGTGTCCTTAGCCCACTTTTTGATGGGATTGTTTGTTTTTTTCTAACTGATTCATTTGAGTTTATTGTAGATTCTGGATATTAGTTCTTTGTCAGGTGTATAGATTGTGAAGACTTTCTCCCACTCTGTGGGTTTTTTCTTTACTCTGCTGACTGTTCCTTTTGCTGTGAAAAGGCTCTTTAATTAGGTTCCAGCTACTTATCTTTGTTTTTATTGCATTTGCTTTTGGGTTCTTGGTCATGAAATCCTTGCCTAAGGCAATGTTTAAAGGGTTTTTCCAGTGTTATCTTCTAGAATTTTTAATTTTCAGGTCTGAGGTTTAAGTCCTTAATCCATCTTGAGTTGATTTTTATATAAGGTGAGAGACAAGGATCCAGTTTCATTCTCCTACATGTGGCTAGCCAATTATCCCAGCACCATTTGTTGAAAAGGGTGTCCTTTCCCCACTTTGTTTTTGTTTGCTTTGTTGAAGATCAGTTGGCTGTAAGTATTTAGGTTCATTTCTGGGTTCTCTATTCTGTTCCACTGGTCTATGTGCCTATTTTTATACCAGTACTACACTGTTTTGGTGACTATGGGCTTATAGTACAGTTTGAAATCAGGTAGAGTGTTGCCTCCAGATTTGTTCTTTTTGCTTAGTCTTGCTTTGGCTGTGTGGGCTCTTTTTTGGTTCCATATGAATGTTAGAATTGTTTTTCCTAATTCTATAAAGAATGATGGTGGTATTTTGATGAGGATTGCATTTAATTTGTAGATTGCTTTTGGCGGTATGATCATTTTCATATTATTGATTCTACCCATCTGTGAGCCTGGGATGTGTTTCCATTTGTGTCATCTATGATTTCTTTCAGCAGTGTTTTATAATTTTCCTCATAGAGGTTTTTTTACTCCTTGGTTAGATATATTCCTAAGTATTTTATTTTCTTTGCAGCTGTTGTAAAAGAGGTTGAGTTCTTGATTTGATTCTCCACTTGATTGCTGTTCGTGTATAGAAGAGCTACTGACTCGTGTACATTAATCATGTATCTGGAAAACATTGCTAAATTCTTTCATCAGTTCTAGGAGCTTTTTGGAGGAATCTTTAGGGTTTTCAAGGTAAACAATCATATTGTCAGCAAACAGTTACAGCTTGACTTCCTCTTTACTGATTTGGATGCCCTTTCTTTCTTTCTCTTGTCAGATTGTTCTCACTAGGACTTCCAGTACTATGTTGAAGAGGAGTGGTGAGAGTGGGCATCCTTGTCTTGTTTCAGTTCTCAGAGGGAATGCTTTCAAATTTTCTGCATTCAGTATTATGTTGGCTGTGGGTTTGTCATAGATGGCTTTTGTTACATTAAGGAATGTTCCTTGTATGCCAATTTTGCTGAGAGTTTTAATCATAAAGAGATACTGGATTTTGTCAAATGCTTTTTCTGCATCTATTGAGATGATCATGTGATTTTTTGTTTTTAATTCTGTTTATGTGGTATATCACATTTATTGACTTGAATATGTTAAACCATCCTTGCATCCCTCATATGAAATCCACTTGATCATGGTGGATTATCTTTTGTTTTTTTTTTTTGTTTTTTTTGTTTTTTTCCTATGCTTTTCTCATTTATAATTGAAGTCTACTAGATAACATTTTTTATTTTAAATTATATTCTTAACATTGTGTTGGACTCATTTTTCTGCATTAAAAAATTCCACCAATATATGTTTTTCAAACGCCTTTATATAACCTTTTAATGATTAAAAAAAAAACAATACTGAACACACTAGAAACAGGAGGGAGTATCTTCACATGATTAAGGGCAGTTGTGAAATACCCACAGCTGACATCATACTTAATGGTAGAAGACTGAAAACCCCTCGCTAAGATCAGGAGCATGGTAAGGATGTCCATTCTCCCAACTTTAGCTGGAGGTTCTAGCTAAGGCAATTGGGCTTGGAAAAGAATTAAAAGGCATTCAGTTTGAGAAGAAAAATGTAAAACATCTCTATTTTTAGATGACACAATTGTATAGTTGTATACAATTATGTTTTATTTTATATTGCTATATTTTTATGGAAAACTGATGATAAACCTAAAAACATTTTTAAATTAAATTTAATTTAATTTATTAAAAATATTTCCTGAATATTTTAATAATGTATTTTTTCAATTGTGTATAGGTTTAAAACTTTTTGTTAAATTTAATTGTTATTATACTTTGAGTTTTAGGGTACATGTGCACAATGTGCAGGTTTGTTACATATGTATACATGTGCCATGTTGGTGTGCTGCACCCATTAACTCGTCATTTAGCATTAGGTATATCTCCTAATGCTATCCCTCCCCCCTCCCCCCACCCCACAACAGTCCCTAGAGTGTGATGTTCCCCCTCCTGTGTCCAAGTGTTCTCATTGTTCAATTCCCACCTATGAGTGAGAACATGCAGTGTTTGGTTTTTTGTCCTTGGATAGTTTGCTGAGAATGATGGTTTCCAGTTTCATCCATGTCCCTACAAAGGACATGAATTCATCATTTTTTATGGCTGCATAGTATTCCATGGTGTATATGTGTCTCATTTTCTTAATCCAGTCTATTGTTGTTGGACATTTGGGTTGGTTCCAAGTCTTTGCTATTGTGAACAGTACCACAATAAACATATGTGTGCATGTGTCTTTATAGCAGCATGATTTATAGTCCTTTGGGTATATACCCAGTAATGGGATGGTTGGGTCAAATGGTATTTCTAGTTCCAGATCCCTGAGGAATCGCCACACTGACTTCCACAATGGTTGAACTAGTTTACAGTCCCACCAACAGTGTAAAAATGTTCCTATTTCTCCACATCCTCTCCAGCACCTGTTGTTTCCTGACTTTTTAATGATTGCCATTCTAACTGGTGTGAGATGGTATCTCATTGTGGTTTTGATTTGCATTTCTCTGATGGCCAGTGATGATGAGCATTTTTTCATGTGTTTTTTGGCTGCATAAATGTCTTCTTTTGAGAAGTGTCTGTTCATATCCTTTGCCCACTTTTTGATGGGGTTGTTTGTTTTTTTCTTGTAAATTAGTTTGACTTCATTGTAGTTTCTGGATATTAGCCCTTTGTCAGATGAGTAGGTTGCGAAAATTTTCTCCCATTTTGTAGGTTGCCTGTTCACTCTGATGGTAGTTGCTTTTGCTGTGTAGAAGCTCTTTAGTTTAATTAGATCCCATTTGTCAATTTTGGCTTTTGTTGCCATTGCTTTTGGTGTTTTAGACATGAAGTCCTTGCCCATGCCTATGTCCTGAATGGTATTGCCTAGGTTTTCTTCTAGGGTTTTTATGGTTTTAGGTCTAACATGTAAGTCTTTAATTCATCTTGAATTGATTTTTGTATAAGGTGTAAGGAAGGGATCCAGTTTCAGCTTTCTACATATGGCTAGCCAGTTTTCCCAGCACCATTTATTAAATAGGGAATCCTTTCCCCATTTCTTGTTTTTGTCAGGTTTGTCAAAGATCAGATGGTTGTAGATATGCGGCATTATTTCTGAGGGCTCTGTTCTGTTGCATTGATCTATATCTCTGTTTTGGTACCAGTACCATGCTGTTTTGGTTACTGTAGCCTTGTAGAATAGTTTGAAGTCAGGTAGTGTGATGCCTCCGGCTTTGTTCTTTCAGCTTAGGATTGACTTGGCGATACGGGCTCTTTTTTGGTTCCATATGCACTTGAAAGTAGTTTTTTCCAATTCTGTGAAGAAAGTCATTGGTAGCTTCATGGGGATGGCATTGAATCTATATATTACCTTGGGCAGTATGGCCATTTTCACGATATTGATTCTTCCTACCCATGAGCATGGAATGTTCTTCCATTTGTTTGTTATCCTCTTTTATTTCCTTGAGCAGTGGTTTGTAGTTCTCCTTGAAGAGGTCCTTCACATCCCTTGTAAATTGGATTCCTAGGTATTTTCTTCTCTTTGAAGCAACTGTGAATGGGAGTTCTCTCACAATTTGGCTCTCTGTCTGTTATTGGTGTATAAGAATGCTTGTGATTTTTGTACATTGATTTTGTATCCTGAGACTTTGCTGAAGTTGCTTATCAGCTTAAGGAGATTTTGGGCTGAGACAATGGGGTTTTCTAGATATAAAATCATGTCATCTGCAAACAGGGACAATTTGACTTCCTCTTTTCCTAATTGAATACCCTTTATTTCTTTCTCCTGCCTAATTGCCCTGGCCAGAACTTCCAACACTATGTTGAATAGGAGTGGTGAGAGAGGGCATCCCTGTCTTGTGCCAGTTTTCAAAGGGAATGCTTCCAGTTTTTGCCCATTCAGTATGATATTGGCTGTGGGTTTGTCATAGATAGCTCTTATTATTTTGAGATACGTCTCATCAACACCTAATTTATTGAGAGTTTTTAGCATGAAGGGTTGTTGAATTTTGTCAAAGGCCTTTTCTGCATCTATTGAGATAATCATGTGGTTTTTGTCTTTGGTTCTGTTTATATGCTGGATTACATTTATTGATTTGTGTATGTTGAACCAGCCTTGCATCCCAGGGATGAAGCCCACTTGATCATGATGGATAAGCTTTTTGATGTGCTGCTGGATTCCGTTTGCCAGTATTTTATTGAGGATTTTTGCATCAATGTTCATCAAGGATATTGGTGTAAAATTCTCTTTTTTGGTTGTGTCTCTGCCAGGCTTTGGTATCAGGATGATGCTGGCCTCATAAAATGAGTTAGGGAGGATTCCCTCTTTTTCTATTGATTGGAGTAGTTTCAGAAGGAATGGTACCAGCTCCTCTTTATACCTCCGGTAGAATTTGGCTGTGAATCCATCTGGTCCTGGACTTTTTTTGGTTGGTAAGCTATTGATTGTTGCCACAATTTCAGAGCCTGTTATTGGTTTATTCAGAGAGTCAACTTCTTCCTGGTTTAGTCTTGGGAGGGTGTATGTGTCGAGGAATTTATCCATTTCTTCTAGATTTTCTAGTTTATTTGCATAGAGGTGTTTGTAGTATTCTCTGATGGTAGTTTGTATTTCTGTGGGATCAGTGGTGATATCCCCTTTATCATTTTTTATCGCATCTATTTGATTCTTCTCTCTTTCCTTCTTTATTAGTCTTGCTAGCAGTCTATTGATTTTGTTGATCTCTACAAAAAACCAGCTCCTGGATTCATTAATTTTTTGAAGGGTTTTTTGTGTTTCGATTTCCTTCAGTTCTGCTCTGATTTTAGTTATTTCTTGCCTTCTGCTAGCTTTTGAATGTGTTTGCTCTTGCTTTTCTAGTTCTTTTAATTGTGATGTTAAGGTGTCAGTTTTGGATCTTTCCTGCTTTCTCTTGTGGGCATTTAGTGCTATAAATTTCCCTCTACACAGTGCTTTGAATGTGTCCCAGAGATTCTGGTATGTTGTGTCTTTGTTCTCATTGGTTTCAAAGAACATCCTTATTTCCGCCTTCATTTAGTTATGTACCCAGTAGTCATTCAGGAGAAGGTTGTTCCGTTTCCATGTAGTTCCATGTAGTTGAGCGGTTTTGAGTGATTTTCTTAATCCTGAGTTCTAGTTTGATTGCACTGTGGTCTGAGAGACAATTTGTTATAATTTCTTTTCAAAAGTACATTTGCTGAGGAGTGCTTTACTTCTAACTATGTGGTCAGTTTTGGAATAAATGCGATGTGGTGCTGAGAAGAATGTATATTCTGTTGATTTGGGGTGGAGAGTTCTGTAGATGTCTATTAGGTCCGCTTGCTGCAGAGCTGAGTTCAATTCCTGGGTATCCTTTTTAACTTTCTGTCTCGTTGATCTTTCTAATGTGGACAGTGGGGTGTTAAACCCTCCCATTATTATTGTGTGGGAGTCTAAGTCTCTTTGTAGGTCACTCAGGACTTGCTTTATGAATCTGGGTGCTCCTGTATTGTGTGCATATATATTTAGGATAGTTAGCTCTTCTTGTTGAATTGATCCCTTTACTATTATGTAATGGCCTTCTTTGTCTCTTTTGATCTTTGTTGGTTTAAAGTCTGTTTTATCAGAGACCAGGATTGCAACCCCTGCCTTTTTTTGTTTTCCATTTGCTTGGTAGATCTTCCTCCAACCTTTTATTTTGAGCCTATGTGTGTCTCTGCACGTGAGATGGGTTTCCTGAATACAGCACACTGATGGGTCTTGACTCTATCCAATTTGCCAGTCTGTGTCTTTTAATTGGAGCATTTAGCCAGTTTACATTTAAAGTTAATATTGTTATGTGTGAATTTGATCCTGTCATTATGATGTTATCTGGTTATTTTGCTCGTTAGTTGATGTAGTTTCTTCCTAGCCTTGATGGTCTTTAGAATTTGGCATGTTTTTGCAGTGGCTGGTACTGGTTGTTCCTTTCCATGTTTAGTGCTTCCTTCAGGAGCTCTTGTAGGGCAGGCCTAGTGGTGACAAAATCTCTCAGAATTTACTTGTCTGTAAAGTATTTTGTTTCTCCTTCACTTATGAAGCTTAGTTTGGCTGGATATGAAATTCTGGGTTGAAAATTCTTTTCTTTAAGAATGTTGAATATTGGCCCCCACTCTATTCTGGCTTGTAGAGTTTCTGCCGAGAGATCTGCTGTTAGTCTGATGGGCTTCTCTTTGTGGGTAACCCGCCCTTTCTCTCTGGCTGCCCTTAACATTTTTTCCTTCATTTCAACTTTGGTGTATCTGACAATTATGTGTCTTAGAGTTGCTCTTCTTGAGGAGTATCTTTGTGGCATTCTCTGTATTTCCTGAATCTGAATGTTGGCCTGCCTTGCTAGATTGGGGAAATTCTCCTGGATAATATCCTGCAGTGTGTTTTCCAACTTGGTTCCATTCTCCCCGTCACTTTCAGGTACACCAATCAGACATAGATTTGGTCTTTTCACATAGTATTATATTTCTTGGAGGCTTTGTTCATTTCTTTTTATTCTTTTTTTCTCTAAACTTCCCTTCTCACTTCATTTCATCTTTCATCACTGATACCCTTTCTTCCAGTTGATCACATCAACTCCTGAGGCTTCTGCATTCTTCACGTAGTTCTTGAGCCTTGGCTTTCAGCTCCACCTGCTCCTTTAAGGACTTCTCTGCATTGGTTATTCTAGTTATCCATTCATCTAATTTTTTTTTCACAGTTTTTAACTTCTTTTCCATTGGTTTGATTTTCCTCCTGTAGCTTGGAGTAGTTTGATCGTCTGAAGCCTTCTTCTCTCAACTCGTCAAAGTCATTCTCCATCCAGCTTTGTTCCATTGCTGTTGAGGAGCTGCGTTCCTTTGGAGGGGGAGAGGTACTCTGCTTTTTAGAGTTTCCAGTTTTTCTGCTCTGTTTTGTCCCCATCTTTGTGGTTTTATCTACTTTTGGTCCTTGATGATGGTGACGTACAGAAGGGTTTTTGTGTGGATGTCCTTTCTGTTTGTTAGTTTTCCTTCTAACATACAGGACCCCCAGCTGCAGGTCTGTTGGAGTTTGCTAGAGGTCCACTCCAGACCCTGTTTGCCTGAGTATCAGCAGCGGTGGCTGCAGAGTAGCAATGGCTGTAGGACAGCAGATCTTGGTGAACTGCAAATGCTGCTGCCTGATTGTTCCTCTGGAAGTTTTGTCTTAGAGGAGTACCCGGCCGTGTGAGGTGTCAGTCTGCTGCTACTGGGGGTGCCTCCCAGTTAGGCTGCTCGGGGATCAGGGACCCACTTGAGGAGGCAGTCTGCCCGTTCTCAGATCTCCAGCTTAATGCTGAGAGAACCACTACTCTCTTCAAAGCTGTCAGACAGGGACATTTAAGTCTGCAGAGTTTACTGCTGTCTTTTAGTTTGTCTGTGCCCTGCCCCCAGAGGTGGAGCCTACAGAGGCAGGCAGGCCTCCTTGAGCTGTGGTGGGCTCCACCCAGTTGGAGCTTCCCAGCTGCTTTGTTTACCTAATCAAGCCTGGGCAATGGCAGACGCCCCTCCCCCAGCCTCGCTGCCGCCTTGCAGTTTGATCTCAGACTGCTGTGCTAGCAATCAGTGAGACTCCATGGGCACCCTCTGAGCCAGGTGCAGGATATAATCTCCTGGTGTGCCATTTTTTTAAGCCTGTTGGAAAAGCGCAGTATTAGGGTGGGAGTTACCCGATTTTCCAGGTGCCGTCTGTCACCCCTTTCTTTGACTAGGAAAGGGAACTCCCTGACCCCTTGTGCTTCCCGAGTGAGGCAATGCCTCACCCTGCTTCGGGTCACGCACTGTGCGCTGCACCCAGTGTCCTGCACCCACTGTCTGGCACTCCCTAGTGAGATGAACCCGGTACCTCAGATGGAAATGCAGAAATCACCCATCTTCTGCATCGCTCACGCTGGGAGCTGTAGACCGGAACTATTCCTATTTGGCCATCTTGGCTCCGCCCCTGGATTATCTTTTTGATATGTTGTTGGATTTGGTTAGCTAGTATTTTGTTAAGGATTTTAACATCTATATTAATCAAGGATGTCAGTCTGTAGTTTTGTTTTTTGGTTATGTCCTTTCCTGGTTTTGGTATTTAGGTGATGCTGGATTCGTAGAATGGATTAGGGAGGATTCCTTCTTTAGCTTGTGCAATAGTGTCAAAAGGATTGGTACCAATTCTTTTTTGCATGTCTGGTAGAATTCTGCTGTTAATCTGTCTGGTTCCTGCCTTTTTTTTGTTGGTAATTTTTAAATTACCATTTCAATCTTGCTGCTGTTATTGGTCTGTTCAGGTATTTAATTCTTCCTGATTTAAGCTAGGAGGGTTGTATTTTTCGAGGAATTAATCCTTCTATTCTAGGTTTTCTAGTTTATGTATGTAAAGGTGTTCATAGTACTCTTGAATGATCTTTTGTATTTCAGTGGTGTCAGTTGTAATGTATCCTGTTTTATTTATTAGTTTATTTGGATTTTCTCTCCTCTTTTTTTAGTTAATCTAGCTAATGGTCTGTCAATTTTATTTATCTTTTCAAAGAACCAGCCTTTTGTTTCATTTATCTTTTGTATTTTATTTGTTTCAATTTCTTTTAGCTCTGCTCTGATCTTGGCTATTTTCTTCTGCTGGGTTTGGGTTTGGTTCATTCTTATTTCTCTAGTTCCTTGAGGTGTGACCTTAGAATGTCAGTTTGTACTCTTTTCATCTTTTTGATGTAGGCATTTAAGTCTATGAACTTTCTTTTTAGTACTGCCTTTGCTGTATCCCAGAGGTTTGGGTAGGTTGTGTCATTATTTTTGGTCAGTTTGAAGAATTTTTAAATTTCCATTTTGATTTCATTTTTGACCCAATGCTCATTCAGGAGCAGGTGATTTAATTTCCATGTTCTTGCATGGTTTGAAGTTTTCTTTTGGAGTTGATTTTCAGTTTTATTCCACTGTGGTCTGAGAGAGTGTTTGATATAATTTCAATTTTCTTAAATTTATTGAGGCTCATTTGATGACCCATAATATGGTCCATCTTGGAGAACATTCCATATGCTGTTGAATAGAATGTGTATTCTGCAGTTGTTGGATGAAATGTTCTGTATATATCTGTTAAGTCCATTTGTTTCAGCGTGTAGTTTAAATTCATTGTTTCTTTGTTCACTTTCTGTCTTGATGACCTGCCTAGTGCTGTCAATGGAGGATTGAAGTCCCCCACTATTATTGTGTTGCTGTCTATCTCATTTCTTAGGTCTATTAGTAATTGTTTTATAAATTTGGGATCTCCAGTGTTAGGTGCATATATGTTTAAGATTGTGATATTTTCCTGTTAGACAAGGGCTTTTACCATTATATACTGTCCCTCTTTGTCTCTTTTAACTGCTGTGGCTTTAAAGTTTGTTTTGTCTCATATAAGAATACCCCTGCTAGCTTTTGGTGTCCATTTGCATGAAATCCCTTTTTCCACCCTCTTTAAGTTTATATGAGTCCTCATGTGTTAGGTGAATCTCTTGAAGGCAGCAGATAGTTGGTTGTTGAGTTCTTATCCATTATGGAATTGTGTCTTTTAATTGGAGCATTTAGGCCATTTACATTCAATGTTAGTATTGAAATGTGAGGTACCATTGCTTTCATCATGCTCTTTGTTGCCTGTGTACTTTGGTTTTGTTTTTTGTTTTTTATTTCTGCTTTTTAACTTGTATTTTTGTTTTATAGGTCCTGTATGATTTATGCTTTAAAGAGGTTCTGCTTTGATGTGTTTCCAGAATTTGTTTCAAGATTTAGAGCTCCTTTTAATGGCTCTTGTAGTGATGTTTTGGTAATGGCGAATTTTCTCAGTATTTGTCTGAAAAAGACTATATCTTTCTTTTAAATATGATGCTTGTTTTCACTGGATACAACGTTCTTGGCTGATAATAGTTTTGTTTGAGCAGGTTGAAGATAGGGCTCAGATCCTTTCTGGCTTTGCAGGGTTTCTGCTGAGAATTCTGCCATTAATCTGATAGGCTTTCCTTTACAGATTACCTGGTTTTTCTGTCTCACAGCACTTAAGATTCTTTTCTTCATCTTAACTTTGGATAACATGATGACAATGTGCCTGGGTGATGATCTTTTTGAAATGAATTTTCCAGGTGTTCTTTGTGCTTCTTGTATTTGGCTTCTAGGTCTCTAGCAAGACTGGGGAAGTTTTCCTCAATTATTCCCCCAAATATGTTTTCCAAGTCTTTAGAATTCTCTTCTTCAGGAACACCAATTATTCTTAGGTTTGGTCACTTAACATAATCCCAGTCTTCTTGGAGGCTTTGTTCATGTTTTCTTATTTTTTTCTTTGTCTTTGTTGGATTGGGTTAATTCGAAGACCTCATCTTCTAGCTCTGAATTTCCTTCTTCTATTTGTTCAATTCTATTGCTGAGACTTTCCAGAGTGTTTTGCATTTCTAAAAGTGTATCCAAAGTTTTCTGAATTTTTGATTGTTTTTTTCTTTAAGCTATCTATTTTCTTGACTATTTCTCCCTTTATGTCTTGTATCGTTTTTTGGATTTCCTTGCATTGGGCTTCACCTTTCTCTGGTGCCTCTTTGATTAGCTTCATATTTTTATTAAGCTGATTATTTTTCACATAAATCAGGGATTTATTCTTGGTTTGGATCCATTGCTGGTGAACTAGTATGATTTTTTTGAGGGTGTTAAAGAGACTTGTTGGTTTTCTGAGCTTTTCAGAGTTGGCTTTCTGGTTCCTTCTCATTTGGGTAGGGTCTGTCAAAGGGAAAGTCTAGGGCTGAAGGCTGTTGTTCAGATTCTTTTGTCTCATGGGGTGTTCCCTTGATGTAGTACTCTCCCCCTTTACTGTGGATGTGGCTTCCTGTGAGCTGAACTGCAGCGATTGTTGTCTGTCTTCTGGGCCTAGCCACCCAGCAAGACTACCCAGCTCCAGGCTGGTACTGCCTGTTGTCTGCACAGAGTCCTGTGATGTGAACTGTCTACGGGACTCTCAGCCATGGATACCAGCACCTGTTCCAGTGGAGGTGGCGAGGGGTGGGCAATGGACTCCATGAGGGTCCTTAGCTTTGGTGGTTTAATGCTGTATTTTCGTGTTGGTTGGCCTCTTGCTTGGAGGCGGCACTTTCCAGAGAGCCTCAACTGTAGTAGTATGGAGAGGGACTGGTGGTGGGCAGGGCCCTAGAGCTCCCAAGATTATATGCCCTTTGTCTTTCCCTACCAGGGTGGATAGGGAAGGACCATCAGGTTGGGGCAGGACTAAGTGTGTTTGAGCTCAGACTCTCCTTGGGTGGGTCTTGCTGCAGCTGCTGTGGGGGATGGGGATGAGATTCCCAGGTCACTGGAGCTGTGTACCTAGGAGGATTATGATTGTCTCTGCTGAGCCATGCAGGTTGTCAGGGAAGTGGGGAAAAGCCAGCAGTCACCAGCCTTACCTAGCTCCCAGGCAAACTGAAGGGCCGGTCTCACTCCCTCCATGTTCCCAGGTGGAGGGTGAGATAGGCTCCAAAACTTGCTCCAGGCTACCTGCCTCCCGGCTGCGAAAGAAAAGAACTTGGTTCTCCCCTGAGTCTGCACACCAGATTTGCACCCTCCCCCAAGTTCTGGCCAGGAGGCTTCTCACCCTGTTTAAATTGTTACAAAGTTCAGCTAGAGATTTCATTCTTCCTGTGGAGTTTTATCCCCTGCACCTCTGACCACCCTCCCGATGGATCCCTGTGGTGCCAGGCAGGAATGGGCTGCCTGGGGACCCAGCGAGCTCCCAGAGCCTTTCTGCTGCTTCCTCTACCCCTGTATTTAACTCAGGTCTCTAAATTGACTCAGCTCCAGGTAAAGTCGGAAACTTCTCCCCCAAACAGGCCTTCAGATTCTCCAGTTGTGGTGTGTGTTTGGAAGAGGAGGATCTGCCTTAGGATCTGCCTTTTCCACTTCCTCAGTTGGGACACTCACCGTATTTGGGGTGTCTCCCGGGTCCTGCAGGAGCAGTCTGCTTCCTTCAGAGAGTACGTGGGTCCTCTCAGGATTTCTGGTTTGTTCTTGCAGTTGATCTGGAGCTAAAATTTACAATGTGAGCTTCCGCATGCTGTTCTGTCTGGAGCTGCAATCTAGTCCTGTCTCCCATCCACCATGATGATCCTGATCCCTCAAAACTAGCATTCTTGATGAATACTCTTCAAAAATCTTGCACGTTAAAGAAAAATCCTAGATTTGTAAAATATATATATATATATACACACACCATGTATTTTAAAAACACACACACATTTTAAAATTTAAAAGTACATAATTTTTTCTATAAACAATTTTTTTTTGCCTTTCTAAACTGACACAGAACATATCTATGGAGTACAGTGTGATATTGTACATGTTTATAATTTATAACAATCAAATCAGGGTATTTAGTTTCACTCGCCTCCATGTGAAGAGACCACCAAACAGGCTTTGTGTGAGCAACAAGCCTGTTTATTTCACCTGGGGTCAGGTGGGCTGAGTCCAAAAAGAGAGTCAGTGAAGGGAGATAAGGGTGGGGCCATTTTATAAAATTTGGGTAGGTAAAGGAAAATTACAGTTAAAGGGGCGTTGTTCTCTGGTGGGCAGGAGCGGGGGTCACAAGGTGCTCAGTAGGGGAGCTTTTGAGCCAGGGTGAGCCAGGAGAAGGAATTTCACAAGATAATGTCATCAGTTAAGGCAGAAACAGGCCATTTTCACTTCTTTTGTGGTAGAATGTCATCAGTTAAGGCAGGAACTGGCCATCTGGATGTGTACATGCAGGTCACAGGGGATATGATGGCTTAGCTTGGGCTCAGAGGCCTGACATTCCTGCCTTTTATATTAACAAGAAAAATAAAATGAAATAGTGGTAAAGTGTTGGGACAGCAAAAATTTTTGGGGGTGGTATGGAAAGATAATGGGCGATGTTTCTCAGGGCTGCTTTGCGCGAGATTAGGGGCGGCATGGGAACCTAGAGTGGGAGAGATTAAGCTGAAGGAAGATTTTGTGGTAAGGGGTGATACTGTGGGGTTGTTAAATGAAATATTTGTCATGTAGAATTATTGGTGATAGCCTGGATACGGTTTTGTATGAATTGAAAAACTAAACAGAATAAGAGAAGGAGAAAAACAGGTATCAAAGGACTAAGAATTGGGAGGACCTAGGACATCTAATTAGAGAATGTCCAAGGGGGTTCAGTGTAATTACTTACTTGGTTGGCAAGTTTCTGGGTTCTATCCTTGAGTTTTTTATGTTGTCATACACCAGGCCAGATTGATTTAGGTAAAAACAACTCTCTTCATTTAAGAATATACAGAGTCTTCCTTTTTCAGCAGTGAGTAAGTCAAGGCCTCAGCGGTTTTGGAGGACAACTGCAGCTAAAGAGTCAACTTGGGCCTGGAGGACTGATAAAGTTTGTGATATGTCTGTGATGCTAGCAGAGAAGTCATTAGAGAGGCTACAGAAGGTTGTGACAGAGGTTGAAATGCCTGCTATTTCAGTACTGAGAGCAATAGCGGGGGCAGAAGGTCTTAAACTGACAAGCAAGGGAATTAGTGGAATAACTCTTTTTTTGTCATGTTGGTGTCATGAGGGGAACAGGGAGCTCTTCAGTCCTATTTGCAAATTGAATTTTGGGAGTAAGGAAAACTAGTGTTCATGTGCCTGTCCAATTACCAGGTAGACACATGTAGGTAGAGGATACACAGAAGAAGAAGATACCTTGTGTGAGGCAAAACTGGAAATGCAAAGTAAAAAGATGAGAAGGAGTGCTGAAAGGGGTGTCTTGTACCTAGACTTGTAGGGATGCAGCTAGGGCGGCAGTCATCAGAGGTTGTAATGGGGACTGATAAGTTAACTGCATAGAGGGGGAGGTTCGATTTTCATGGTGTGTGAGAAAATGTCAAGAATCTACGAGCAACCTTTCATGTTATTTTTGGGGCTGGGTATAAGTAAACAAGAAGAGGGCTTTGGAGATGAAGAGTAAAGGGACATTGAGAAGGTGAAAGGTTACCTAGGGGAATTCCAGTGGGTCTTTGCTGAGAGATACATAAAGGAGCAGCCAAAGGAATAGTAGTTTATGTTGTGAGAGGTCTGAATATGGGGGGAGTAGAGTTGATATAAGGAGAAAGGTTTTTTAAGTAAGTGCGGAGGAGGGCGGCAGCTTGCTGATGTGATATGTTTGGGGAGGTCTTGCTGGGCCTGTCTAGAAAGTAAATGAGTTCTTCAGGAGGGTAAAGGTGAGGGCTGTTAAAGGAAGTTTGGAGGTGTAGGAGACAGGAGATGTTGCCTAGTCTGCATGTAAGGCGGGGACAGCTGTGTAGGCACTGGAAGAAAGGGAAATGCAAAGCCAGTGGTTGTTCACTAAGGAGGGATTATAAATGGCTAGGATAGAATGAGTAAGGTTGATAGTGTGGTGGAGATAGCTGGAGAGAGGTAGAGGGTGGCATAAGAATGGGAATGAGAATAAGAGTGAGTATAAAAGTAAAGAATAGAACTTCATCAGGGTAAAAGTATTGGAGGGTTCCCTGTGAGCAAAGATCATCTATCCACTCTAAGAGGGAGTTAAGAGTTGCCAGTCCTGGGCAGGGGCAAACCCTCGAGCTTGATGTGTAGGGAATGGAGGGGGCCTGAATAATCCCGGAGGAGTAGTAGAATAGCAGATGGAACACTGAGAAGTTATTTCCTTGAGGATAGATTTCCACCATGGAAAGGAAATGAGAGGTTCTAAGAGGTGGGCTGGTGGCTTCTACTATAGCATAGTCTGGCTTTGCTGGTGTGTGGTGATTAGGCCTGTTGGAACTACCATCAATAAACCAAGTGTGTTCAGGGTGTGGAACAGGAAAGAAGGAAATATGGGGAAATAGGGTGAATGTCAGGTGGATCAGAGAGATACAGTCATAGGGGTCAGGTGTGGTATCTGGAATACTGTGGGAGGCTGGATTGAAGTCTGGGCCAGGAACAATGGTAATTGTGGGAGACTCAACAAAGAGTGAGTATAGCTGAAGGAGCCAGGGAGCAGAAAGTCAGGTGGGAGAAAGAAAATAGATTTTGGAAGTTATGAGAACTGTAGAGAGTGAGTTGAGCATAGTTTGTGATTTTTTGGGCCTCTAAAAGTATTAAAGCAGTGGCAGCCACTGCATATAGACATGAGGGCTAGGCTAAAACAGTAAGGTCAAGTTGTTTGGACAGAAAGGCTACAGGGTGCAGCCCCGGCTCTTGTGCAAGAATTCTGACTGCACTAACCATGCCTAGGAAGGAAAGGAGTTGTTGTTTTGTAGAAGGGATTGGGGTTTGGGAGATTAGCCGGACATGATCAGCAGGGAGAGCACGTATGTTTTTATGAGAATTATGCCGAGATAGGTAACAGATGAGGAAGAAATGTGGGCTTGACTGAAGTAAGGGCGGCTGTCAGTGAAGCCTTGAGGCAGGACAGCCCAGGTAATTTGCTGAGCCTGATGGGTGTCAGGGTCAGTCCAAGTGAAAGTGAAGAGAGGCTGGGATGAAGAGTGCAAAGGAATAGTAAAGAAAGCATGTTTGAGATCCAGAACAGAATAATGGATTGTGGAGAGAGGTATTGAGGATAGGAGAGTATATGGGTTTGGCACCACGGAGTGGATAGGCAAAACAATTTCATTGATAAGGTGCAGATCCTGAACTAACCTATAAGCCTTGTCTGGTTTTAGGAGAGGTAAAATGCGGGAATTGTAAGGGGAGTTTATAGGCTTTAAAAGGCCATGCTGTAGCAGGCAAGTGATAACAGACTTTAATCCTTTTAAAGCCTGCTGTAGGATGGGATATTGGCATTGAGTGGGGTAAGGGTGAGTAGGTTTTAATGGGATAGTAAAGGGTGCATGATCGGTCACTAAGGAGGGAGTAGAGGTGTCCTATACTTGTAGGTTAAGGTGGGGAGACACAAGGCAAGGATGTGAAGGAGGCTTTGAACTGGGGGAAAAGGCAGCAATGAGGTGTGGCTGTAGCCCAGGAATAGTCAGGGAAGCAGATAATTTAGTTAAAGTGTCTTGGCCTAAGAAGGGAACTGGGCAGGTGGGGATAACTAAAAAGGAGTGCTTAAAAGAGCATTGTGTAAGTTGGCACCAGAGTTGGGGAGTTTTAAGAGGTTTAGAAGTCTGGCCGTCAGTACCCACAACAGTTGTGGAGGCATGGGAAGCAGGCCCTTGAAAAGAAGGTAATGTGGCGTGGGTAGCCTCCGTATTGATTAAAAAAGGGATGGACTTACCCTCCACTGTGAGAGTTACCCAGAGCATCTGTGGTGGTCCTGTAGGCTTCCGAGGTGATTGGGCAGTGTCAGTCTTCAGCTGCTAAGCCGAGAAGATCTGGGAAGGAGTCAGTCAGAGAGCCTTGGGCCAGAGTTCCAGGGGTTCTGGGAGTGGCTGCTGGGAGAGTTGGACAGTCTGATTTCCAATGGGGTCCCGCACAGATGGGACACGGCTTAGGAGGAATCCCGGGCTGTGGGCATTCCTTGGTCTGGTGGCCAGATTTCTGGCACTTGTGGCAAGCTCCTGGGGGTGGTGGGCCTGGAGGAACACCTGGCCACTGCAGTTTAGGCATTTGGAAGTTCTTGTGTGCTGGAGATGTGGCTGGGGTTTCTCTCACAGTGGAGGCAAGGAATTGCAACTCAGAAATATGTTGCTACTTGGCTGCCTCTACTCTATTACTGTACACCTTGAAGGCAAGGTTAATTAAGTCCTGTTATGGGGTTTGAGGGCTGGAATGTAATTTTTGGAGTTTTATTTAATGTCGGGAGTGGATTGGGTAATAAAATGTATATTGAGAATAAGATGGCTTTTTGACCTTTTAGGGTCTAGGGCTGTAAAGCATCTCAAGGTTGCTGCCAAAAGAGCCATGAACTGAGCTGGGTTTTTATATCTGATAAAAAAGAGCCTAAATGCTATCTGATTTGGGATAAAGAAAAAGGAGCATTAACCTTGACTATGCCTTTAGCTCCAGCCACCTTTTTAAGAGGAAATTGCTGGGCAGGTGGGGGAGGGCTAGTCATGGAATGAAACTGTAAGCTGGACCCAGTGTGAGGAGGGGAGGTGATAAGAGGATTATAGGGTGGAGAAGTGGAGGCTGAGGAAGAATTGGGACCTAGCTCAGCCTGGCGAGGAGGGGAGAGGTCAGATGGGTCTGTAGAAAAGGAAGATTAGAAAGACTCAGTGACGCTTGGGGTTGGGACTGAGGGGATAGGCGGGAGGAAAAGAAGGAAGATTTGGGATGAGTTGCATTGGGAACAGAGACTAGGGAGGGACCGGTGTGTAAAAGAATGCCTGGATGTCAGGCACCTCAGACTGTTTGCCCATTTTATGACAGGAATTATTTAGATCTTGTAGGATGGAAAAATTGAAAGTGCCATTTTCTGGCTATTTGGAACCACTGTCGAGTTTGTATTGGGGTCAAGTGGCATTGCAGAAGAAAATAAGGCATTTATGTTTAGGTCAGGTGGGAGTTGAAGAGGTTTTAGGTTTTTAAGAACACAGGCTAAGGGAGAAGAAGGGGGAATGGAGGGCGGAAGCTTGCCCATAGTGAAGGAGGCAAGCCCAGAGAAAAGAGAGAGTAGAGACACAGAGAGAAGGCATTGGGGGGTTCTTGCCCTCCAGAAAAGTGGAGAAGGGGTAGAGACACAGAGAGAAGGGGTTGGGGGGTTCTTGCCCTCCAGAAAAGCAGAAAAGGGGTAGTGACATGGAGAAAAGGGGTCGGGGGGTTCTTGTGCCCTAGAAAAGCAGTACTTGCCGCTAAGAGTGAAGGAGAAGGGATTGGGGGGTTCTTGCCCCCCAGAAAAGTGGAGAAAGGGTAGAGACATGAAGAGAAGGGGTTGGGGGGTCCTTACCCCCCAGAAAAGCGGAGAAGGGGTAGAGACACGGAGAGAAGGGTTTGGGGGGTTCTTGTCCCCCAGAAAAGTGGTACTTGTCACTAAGAGTGAAGGACCAAGGCAGGCGTCCCCGTGTGGTCAGACACCTCTGAAACATGGGTGAATAATCAGGCAGGTGTCCCCGTGTGGTCAGACACCTCTGAAACATGGGTGAATAATCAGGCAGGTGTCCCCATGTGATTAAACACCAAGGGAAGACTGTCTTCCTGAGTCCATGACCGGTGCTGGGGTTTTGGGTCCATGGATAAAACGTGTCTCCTGTCTCTACCAGAAAAGGAAAGGAACTGAAATTAAGCGAAGGGAGAGATTGAAGTGTGGTGCCAAGATTGAAAGGAGAAAGAGGTTGAGGGATAGTGAGAGAGGTTGGAGAAGAAAGTAAAAAGAGGCCGCTTACCGGATTTGAAATTGGTGAGATGTTCCTTGGGCTGGTTGGTCTGAGGACCAGAGGTCATAGGTGGATCTTTCTCACGGAGCAAAGAGCAGGAGGACAGGGGATTGATCTCCCAAGCGAGGTCCCCTGATCTGAGTCACGGCACCAAATTTCATGTGTGTCCATTTGAAGAGACCACCAAACAGGCTTTGTGTGAGCAACAAGGCTGTTTATTTCACTTGGGTGCAGGCAGGCTGAGTCTGAAAAGAGAATCAGTGAAGGGAGATAGGGGTGGGGCTGTTTTATAAGATTTGTGTAGGTAAAGGAAAATTACAGTCAAACGGGGGTTGTTCTCTGGCAGGCAGGAGTGGGGGTCGCAAGGTGTTCAGTAGGGGAGCTTTTGAGCCAGGGTGAGCCAGGAGAAGGAATTTCACAAGATAATGTCATCAGTTAAGGCAGGAACAGGCCATTTTCACTTCTTTTGTGGTGGAATGACATCAGTTAAGGCAGGAACCAGCCATCTGGATGTGTACATGAAGGTCACAGGGGATATGATGGCTTAGCTTGGGCTCAGAGATCTGACATTTAGCATTTTTATCACTTCAAATGTGTATTGGGAACATTCAAAATTCACTATAGGGTGACTATAATTAATGACAATATAGTCACCCTGTAGTGCTATGGAACACTAGAACTTATTCTCTTTATTTAGCTATACTTTTGTGTTCATTAACCAATCTTTGGCTATCCTCTCCTTCCCCCTACCCTTCCCTCAACCCAATCTCTCAGCTGGCTCCATCCCTCTGGGGGACAGGGGACAGGGATAGGAAAAGAGAAAGATGAGAGACAGAAAATCCTGACCTCAACATCACTGTTATTTCTTGGTCACATGTAAAAGGGAAACTTGTTAGTAAGCATCTTCTACTATGTTCCTACTTATTGCTACAGCAACATGTGAAATGGGACCACTGGATAGAATTACTACACCGTTTTATATCAGACATGAGCATCCATGAATTTTGGCATCTGTAGGAGGATGCCTGGGACCAGTCCCCCAAAAATACTGAGGGATAGCTGTATACAAATGTTGGTTACATTACTTTCTGGACTTTCCTCTACATTTAAAATAATGCATAATAAAAGTATCAATAGTAAAAGAAGTCAGTAGCCCTAAAAAGCAGATTCTTTCATATAATATTTATAATATTTTCCAGTGTTTAAGATAATATTTGAATATGTTTTTAATGATGAAAAGGTAAAAGTTTGTTTAAAAAACAATTTCCAAACAGATTTTCCCTCCATATCCTCTAGCATGAAATGATGAACTTAGTCAATAGTCTAAAGTCATAATTTCTTCCAACAGAGACATTTGATTGTAGTGTGCCTATTTTTTTTTTCTTTTTTTTCTTTTTTTTTCTTTTTTACCTTGCTTAGTTAGGAGAATTAGATCTTGGAGCAAAATACTGCAAAATGTCAACTTAATATTCACAGGTTTTATTCCAGAAAGGAGAAGGCTATAAGGCAACACATCCTTATTGGGCTATAAACCCCTCCTTTGGGGGCAGGGGAGAGCTTGATGACCCTGTGAATGTGTGAGACTAATTAAGCCTTCCTAAAAAGACTCCAGGGAAGAGTTTGCTCAGAGCCCTCAAGTCATAGAAAGAGTCCAGAAAGGCTGGGGGAAAGCAGAGAAAATAACTAAAGGTGGAAACGTGTGGCTAATTGAAGCTAGACATCTGTTTGTGGAAATGCCTTTTGTAGATAATCTGAACCAAAATATTTTTCAGGGGGTTCCTAGTTTCAACACAACTTGCACTAACACAAGCCTATCAGCTAACAGTGTGATATGTGATATTTAGTGGGAAGATAGTTGCCATCCTGTGCTTCTCAAACTTTAGAGTGCATCAGAATCACCTAGAGGAGGGGTATTACATTGTGGATTCCACTGCCAGTGTTCCTGATGCAGTAGATGTGGGATGGGGACCAGGAATTTGCATTTCTAACAAGTCCCCAGGAAACTACTCATTGGGATGCTGTAGCAAATATGCATTCCTCCTCTTGCTGTTTCAGGTGCTGCAGTTAACAGCACATTCCTGCTAAGCTCTCCAGAAAATTACCCTTGGCTGACAAGACTGCCTTGGAAGAGATGCCTGGGAGGTTACCAACCTCTCCAGCACCTCTTGTCAGAGATTGGCTGATAGTGTTACTGGAAAGGGATCCCGATCCAGATCCCAAGAGAAGGTTCTTGGACCTCACGCAAGAAAGAATTTGGAGCAAGTCTATAAAGTGAAGCAGGTTTATTAGAGATGCAAAGAAACAAAAGCATGGCTACTCCACAGGCAGAGCAGAACAGCATGGAGGGCTGATGGTTGGCTATTTTTATGGTTATTTCTTGATTATATGCTAAACAAGGGGTGGATTATTCATGAGAAATAGGGTGATTATTCATGAGAAAGGAGTGGGGATTTTCTGGAACTGAGGATTCCTTCTCCTTTTTAGCCCATATAGAGAAACTTCCTGATACTTCCATGGCATTTGTAAACTCATGGCACTGATGGGAGTGTCTTTCAGCATGCTAATGCATTATAATTAATGTATAATGAGCAGTGAGAATGATCAGAGGTCACTTTCATTGCCATCTTGGTTTTGGCTGGCTTCTTCCCCACATCCTGTTTTATCAGCAGGGTCTTTGTGACCTGTATCTTGTGCTGACCTCCCATCTCATCCTGTGATTAAGAGTGCCTAACCTCCTGGGAATGCAGCCCAGTAGGTCTCAGCCTTATTTTACCCAGCCGCTATTCAAGGTAAAGTCACTCTGGTTTGAATGTCTGTGGCAACAGGAGCATACCAAAGCCGAGCCCAGGACCTACCGAAAGGATGGCTCAGAGGTATTACAGGCCAGAGGAGTCCCCACTCCCTGACTAGCCCCTTTCCTCCCACCTTTGAATGAGGCCAAGCCTGTTTTCTCTTCTCTCTTCTGTTTTCCTCACTCTTCTATGAGTATTTAGTGAAGAATATATCCTCAATAAACCTCTGGGCCCTAATCTCTGTGTCTGGTTCTGCTTCTAGGGAAACTTGACCTAAGACAACAGTTAAATGTAAACTTTGATTTTAGGGGTTATGTTAAAATTGGCAAACATCTGCTTTGGAGCCTTGAAGGTTCATGTAAAAGCTGTCCCCTAAGAACTGTACTCTGGTTAGTTGTCGCTCTCTGAAGGAAATTAAAATATTATACCCCAAAATATATTTCTTTGATATATATTTTTAAATGGCTGCCACTTGGCCAGCAGGCAGAAGTGGCCTTGCAAAGCTGTCTTAAGTTGGGAAAATTTGCATCTGTAGAGAATCTGCATTAATGCATCATGCTCCCTCCTCTTTCTATTCCTTTCCTCAGATCCAAGACAGGTTGACAGTCTGACAACTTTAAAAGAAACATTTACCGTCTGTTCTCTCTGAGGGAGGCTTTATCTACATAACAAGGCCACCTTTGCTAGCCAAGCCTCTTCTACCCTCTCCCATAACCTGTTCTACCAGAATCTTATCCCCCATTCTTTTTGTAACCTCAAGATGGTATATAAGTTTCTGTATCTCACGTTTACACGTTAAATAAATTTGTATGCCTTTTCTTCTATTAATCAATATGGCTTATGTCAGTCATTTTTTTTTTTTTTTTTTTTTTGAGATGGAGTCTCACTCTGTCACCCAGGCTGGAGAGCAGTGGCACGTATCTCCACTCACTGCAAGTTCCGCCTCCCAGGTTCACACGATTTTCCTGCCTCAGCCTCCTGAGTAGCTGGGACTACAGGGACCGCCAACATGCCCTGCTAATTTTTTGTATTTTTAGTAGAGACACGGTTTCACTGTGTTAGCCAGGATGGTCTCGATCTCCTGACCTTGTGATCCACCTGTCTCAGCCTCCCAAACAGCTGGGATTACAGGCGTGAGCCACCATGCCTGGCCATGTCAGTCAGTTTTAGTGAATCTTTAGGGGACCAAGAGCCTATGGCCCCTACATCTCTCTGTCATTAAACATTTAATACTTGAAGCCCAGGCGTGGTGGCTCACACCTGTAATCCCAGCACTTTAGGAGGCTGAGGCAGGTGGATTACCTGAGGTCAGGAGTTCAAGATCAGCCTGGCCAACATGGTGAAACCCCATCTCTACTAAAAAATACAAAAATTAGCTGGGCTTGGTGGCATGCACCTGTAGTCCCAGCTACTCAGGAGTTTGAGGCAGGAGAACTGCTTGAACCTGGGAGGCAGAGGTTGCAGTGGGCTGAGATTGCACCACTGCACTCCAGCCTGGGCAACAGAGACTCTGTCTCAAAAAAGCAAAACAAAGCAAACAAACAAAAAGACCCCAAAAAACCCAAAAACATTTAATACTTGAAAAAGAAAATCTGTGAATTTGACATGCAGGACTATTTTATTTAAAACACATTTTGAAGAATCAAAGCTGCTTTTTCCAACTTCTAACACTTTTAGTTCTACATGATTGAAAACAGTAATAAAACATAAAGTCGATCAGACCAAATTTTGGCCATGGAAAAAAGTTAATAAGGTCAACTTTACAAATCTTGAAAGTCAGGAGGGAAGAGATGTGTGCTTGTAATGGAAATGACAAGGTGGACCGAATTTAGGAAAAGAGGAAGGGATACTCAGTTTGAAATGCATTTCTAGTTAGCTCATATTATGTGAGGAGTCCAAACTCTCATTAGCTCTAATGTGCCATTTTGTTATGGCATTGATATGCCTTCCCCTAAGGGCCGTAGGTCTCTAGCCATAGGTAGGGCGATGCTAAAAGGACTTTCTTGGCTTCAAGTTGAAAAGGGATCTTAGGGCCTTTGCCTTCCCACTCAAATCTAGTACTGTTTCTCCACAGTTTTGAACTGTCAACAGCTCAACTTTGTGTCTGTAAATTGTGTGGTGAATGAGTGTTGACATGATGATTGATCAGACAAAGGTTTCAATTTTGGTTTTGCCCTGTAGCTGATCAAGGGCAAGTTGTATCAACCTTGACAACGTTAGTTTCTCCTTCTGTTAAATGTGGGTGAGTGAGCTAATGTTTATAAAATCTGAAACATTGTTTCTGGGCACATGTATTGGGGGAACCCACCCCCAATATTTCAACGTAGGTTCTTTCTATTTTCCATAAGTGTTGGCCAGCTGAGAAATAAAGAGAGACAGTACAAAGAGAGGAATTTTACAGCTGGGCCACCGGGAGTGACATCACTTATCAGTAGGACCGTGATGTCCACCTGAGTCTCAGACCAGCAAGTTTTTATTAAGGGTTTCAAAGGGGGAGGGGGGTGTAAGAACAGGGAGTAGGTACAAAGATCACATGTTTCAAAAGGCAAAAAGCAGAACCACAAATAAGGGTCTAACAAAGATCGCAGCCTTCTGAGGGAACGGGACAAAGGCAAAAACAGAACCACTGATAAGTGTCCAACAAAGATCACAGGACAAAGGGCAAAAGCAGAACCACTGATAAGGGTCTATGTTCAGCAGTGCATGTATTGTCTTGATAAACATCTTAAACAACAGAAAACAGGGTTCGAGAGCAGAGAACTGGTCTGACCACAAATTTACAAGGGCAGAGTTTTTCCCCACCCTGGTAAGCCTGAGGGTTCTGCAGGAGACCAGGGCGTATCTCAGTCCTTATCTCAACTGCATAAGACAGACATTCCCAGAGTGGCCGTTTATAGACCTCCCCCCCAGGAACGCATTCCTTTCCCAGGGTATTAATATTAATATTCCTTGCTAGGAAAAGAATTTAGTGACTTGTTTCCTACTTGCATATCTGTTTATAGGCTCTCTGCAAAAAGAAAAATATGGCTCTTTTTGCCCGGCCCTGCAGGCAGTTGGACCTTATGGTTGTCTTCCCTTGTTCCATAAAAATCACTGTTATTGTGCTCTTTTTCAAGATGCACTGATTTCATATTGTTCAAACACATGTTTTACAATCAATTTGTGTAGTTAACACAATTATCACAGTGGTCCTGAGGTGACGCACATCCCCAGCTTACAAAGATAACAGGATTAAGAGATTAAAATAAAGACAGGCATAAGAAATTATAAAAGTATTATTTGGGAACTGATAAATGTCCATATTAAGGTGAAATCTTCACAATTTATGTTCCTCTGCCGTGGCTCCAGCCGGTTCCTCCGTTCAGGTCCCTGACTTCCCACAACAGACATGTGAAAGGCCCATTTTCCTTGCTATCTGAGATACTTGATATTATCCTGTTTCCTCCTTGCTTGTGAAGTAAGCACACTATCAGGGACCCTTCCCAGTAGGATTGTTTTGATTGTGGATTCTAGCACTCTGTATGAAACCACCTTTGCAAAAATTACAACAGAGAGAAAGTTATGATAGTGAAAGAGATCTGATCTAGCCAACCCTCATCCTGCCTTTAACCTCCAAACTGCTTTTGGTCATTCCTGAGCTTGGCCCAAGCTAACTTTGGGAGAAATTTATTTTATAGTTTAAATGATAATAGCCCTTCCCCAAAACTAAACTGCCTTTTTAAAACTAATGAAAGGTCACCAGTTTAGGATGAGAAGGGCCTGAATTCTGCTAAGACTTAGGTGTAGTTAAATGATTAGCAGCCACTATTCGGGAGGTCACAAGATTTTTTGTTTTTAATTAAAAAAATTTTTTATTACCCTTTAAGTTCTGGGATACATGTGCAGAACATGCAGGTTTGTTACATAGGTATACACATGCCATGGTGGTTTGCTGCACCCATCAACTCGTCACCTACATTAGATATCTCTCCTAATGCTATCCCTTCCCTAGCCCCCCACCCCCTACAAGCCCCAGTGTGTGATGTTCCCCTCCCTGTGTTCATGGGTTCTCATTGTTCAGCTCCCACTTACAAGTGAGAACATGCGGTGTTTGGTTTTCTGATCTTGTGATGGTTTGCTGAGACTGAGACTTTCCAGCTTCATCCACGTCCCTGCAAAGGACATGAACTCATCCTTTTTTATTGCTGCATAGTATTCCATGGTGTATATGTGGCACGTTTTCTTAATCCAGTCTATTGTTGATGGACATAAGATTTTCAACTTCCTCAATTCACTACTGTAGAACCTAAAATTGGCCTCTTGAGACGTCACTTTTCAGACTTTTGTATTTCTGACCTACTTGGACAAGTGACTTCTCTGTGGTCCCCACCCAGAAGCGGACTTAGTGCACGAAGACCTTTTTCCCCATCCCTATGATTACATCTCCAACCAATCAGCAGCACCCATTTTCTTGCCCTGTGCCCACCAAACTATCCTTGGAAAAACCCTAGTCTGAATTTTCAGACAGATTGATTTGAGTAATAACTTCATCTCCCAGGTGGCATGGCCAGCCTCATGTCAATCAAAATTTCTTTTTTGTGATACCATGCTCTCAGTGAATTGGTTTTGTCTGTCCAGTGAGCAGGAAGAACCCATCAGGCGATTACACATATTTCTTTATGTCTTTGATTTTTAACAGGTGGCTTGCACATTTTGTGCAACACTGGGGAAAAATCTGGTCACAGAGGCTATCAGTGGCTCTGCAATTTTCTGATGAAAGGTGAGGGGGATAAGTGAGTGAACAAAATGATGTAGCTGAATTTTAAAAAAAAGAAACCAACCAAAGAAAAAACTAACACCGTTTCTCAAGAACTTGTAAATCGGAACAGCAATCGTTTGCAATTGCAGAGGAAATGTAAATCAGTTATTGCATTCCACATCCAGTCATTTAATTTCATTCCTAATCTGTACATTTTAGCACCAAAATTATTTTAAAGAACTGACATTCTTTTGATCTTCTGGGACAACAATACTTTTGTCATGTTTTCCTGGCAAACGATGATACAGCCATACCCGACAGTTTGATTACTTTAGTAAATCAAAGGCTAACAGAAGTTAGGGAGTGGTTCCATCATATACTATAGCTCACATTGTAGAAAACCATGGAATCAACTCTCTCAAATGCCAGTTTTGAGGTAAAATCAGTGGGAATACACTTGTGGACTTCACTCATTGCCAGACACGTTTTACCCTTAGATACTTAGTCTGAAATACAAAATAAACCAAAAATCCAATCCTCATCTCAGATTTCCAGCAGGAACATGGAGGGGTCCCAATAGCAGAACAGTAGCAAAGCCTTCTGAATCTCTATTAATCTGTGTATTGAATTGTAAGACGCTCTAACTTCAGGGGTGTAAAATAAATCAGAACAAATTAATTAGCACATTCTACCACAATTAGATTTAAGTTCAGTGTTCTGGGTAAGGAAATTCAATACAACAGTATGTGTTCAATTAGGCATGTAGAAGAATACTGAAATGAATTAGATCATCTGCTTGGTCTTAATTTAGTGAAAGAGATAGATACACTTACTTATGTCCATAGGAATGTGTGGCATTTCACTTTACTTTTCCCATTGAGTCAACTACTAGTTCATTAGTCCATGACCAGATGGACCACTAAGAGTCCGTCCTTTCTGTCCCTCTCTTTGCTACCTTTATGGTTCTGTCCATATTTTTACCCATCTTTTCTCCCCTTTTTTTTTCTGGTAGCCAGGGAATCAGAACAAAATTGGTTCAAATTCCAGCTATTTTCTGCCTCAGGAGCTACAGCTCTAGTTCCTGAGCTCTGTCCCAGGGTGCTCTGGGGCACAGCAGCAAATTCACAGAAGCACCATTTCAATGAAAGTTTTAAACTTTTGAGGAAAACAGGACAGCTTCTGTTGGACATCATGTGAATGACTGTTTGAATATCAGAGAGTGCTATGTTGTTTTCAGTGAAGTGGTATCTTAGCAAAGTTGGGCATTTGAGAGTTCTATGATAAAAAAAAGTTAGCACCCTCAAAAATCAATGTGCAATAGAAATGAGGGTGGCTATGCCCAATCTAATTCCAAGGGTGAGAACTTGCACAGTGCCCAATAGGCACACGTATCCCATTAGCTAAGCAATCATGGTAAGTTTACTCTTAAGAGTAAATTTAAACTATTTTTTCTTTCAATTTATATATAGTATTTTTCCAAACGATTCTAAGTTGTTAGGCCTAAAGTACTTATTAAGTGTTTGGACTTAAACAGAACTGCTAGGTGTTTCTTTTGGCCTTGGGTGAAATTAAAGTTTCCTTGAGTTGAGAACCCTGAGCTGGAGGGAAGGTAATAATTCCTTAGGCTTCAGGTGAAGGATGGAAAAACTTTACATGGTTTCCCATTTATAAGAAAAATGATGTCTTCTGACTGTAATATTAACCAGCGATTTGGCCATAACTTTTATGTTTTCATAATAAGATGCTCTCTTGCTTTCCTCAAAGATCCCCTTTGAGGGAAAGAGTATGAATGTCAGGGGGTGGTGGAGGTAGAACTGGCTGGAGTTCAGAGCACATATGCTCAGCTATAGTATTTGGGGATTGGAAGTGCTCTCAGGAATGTTCTAATATTAATTATTAAAATTGTCTCATTTTAGAGAGGAGGGAGCAGACCTACAGAGGGAAAGTAATTTGTGGAAGGTCCCAACAACAGTGTTCGGTCTAAGCCTAGAGCCCCCACCTTCCTATCTGCTTTTCAAGCATATCCTTATGTGCCACTGGGGGCATGGCAGCTGGTGAGCGCAGCAGACTTTTGCTCTGCCTGCCTGGTATGGCATCATAGGTAGCTGAACTCTCATATCAAACATCCAGGGGGAAAATGTCCACAATGCCCAAATCTTACTACCAGATTAGGTATATATTCATCCCTGAGAAAGGTTTCTCCCCTTGGTTTCCTCCTCTTCTGTCCAGTTTGCTGCATCTAGTTCAGTGCTCTCGCTTACCATGCTGCACATCTCTCAAGAGGTACTAATTATTAATATGGCCAGATGTTATTCTAGAAGGTCATAACCTGAGAGTAAGGGCATTGTTATCAATTGCAGGTTATATATTAGCCTCTATTGTTGTTGTCCAGGGCCCTAAAAGGAAGAAGCCTATCAAAATTTTAGAAAACCAAAAAGTATTCAGGAATCATAGGTGATGGTTTTTTCCTTGAATTATATGTATATATATAAATAAAATATTATTTGATTAGTTCACTGTCAATCAGATATTCTGTTACTTATAGCCAAAATGCTGCTCTTTCAATTCCATACTTGAAAGTTATCTGTTAGAATAACTTGTAGCAGTAAGTACAACAATCTCTCTGATCTTGGTTATCTCATCTTTAAAAAGGGAGATGAAAACCCTGAATATATGTTCATCGAGCTTTTTCTCCTATAAAAGGAGACAATGACTATATGAGATTCACTATTTGAAATTGTTCTCTTTGTACACCAAATTCTTCTTCTAATTATATGCTATGAGCATTCTGCTTCATCTGCTTCAGCCACATGAAACAGAAAGGCTAGTAGGAATTGTGCCAACATTAATTCTACAAACCTGCTGGAAATGTGAATTCTCAGGGATATCTGGAAAGTACTTTACTGGAATGTAAAAAAGCATATCTATTCCAGAGATTTGATATGTCCATAACTTCTAAAATAGATACTACAAGCTGGTGAGAAATTTTTTAGAATAAAAGAAAGGGCTAATGAAATACAGAAGATAAAGAGAACATTTTAATAGAAGAGTTGGGGAAGACCAAATGCAGCAGGATCTTGTAGAAAGATGTGCAGTTATTTCATAAAATAAAAGACATCTTAAAGCTATTGTTTGCTAGCTATGGGAATATACAGCATCTTGTACTGGAAGGACAGGGCTTAGAACAACACAGTTCTGGGTATTTGTGCCCAGGTTCTATGGGCTCATAAATACATGTCCAAGAGGAACCCCAGAGCCTTATAAACTTAGGGCAAGTCATGGGTGACATGGTGCACTGCTATAAACTTTTGCTGTTTTTAACTATGAACACAAATTCATAGAATTAACATTTATTATCAGTGTGGATGGGTGGCAAATCTCATCTGTGCATCATCGAAGACAGAGCTCATCTATCATGTCAACAGCTTCATTTGTTTCTTTAAAGAGGCTTTCTTTGAGAAAAAGGATTTTATTTGTTTACTTTAGCTGGTCTTCTCTGAGTATATGTAGCTTACTCATGACTCTAAATGGATCACCTCATGGTGGCTGTATTTCCAAATGATTCTGTACTCACTTTTGACTTCCACAGTTGCCCTTCTGGATGAAATTAGACTCTGGGACAAGTGGTGAATGTTTCTCCAGGAACTTTTAGGTTTTGACAATTTTAGGCCATTTATTCTGTCAACTTCAGTCTAAGTGATCTAGACCTGCAGCCATCCTGTGCCCATGATAAGAATCACAGAGAAGTGGACCCAAGCATCCGGCTGAACAAATCCTTAAATTACTTAATTCCAGACTTCTCGTTATTTAAAAAATATAAAATATTATTTGATTAGTTCACTGTCAATCAGATATTCTGTTACTTGTAGCTAAAATGCTACTCTTTCAATTCCATACTTGAAAGTATCTGTTAGAATAACTTGTAGCAGTAAGTACCACAATCTCTCTGATCTTGGTTATCTCATCTTTAAAAAGGGAGAGGAAAACACCTGCTCTGGAAAGTTGTTGAGACAATATATGTGAAACAAACCTGATATGCTGCCTGTAACATAGTAGATGCTCAATAATATTTCCTTTTACTGGCTTGGTTCTGCTAGAGGTAATACTTGTTCAAATTGTTTAACCATCTATTCATCAACTTGTAACTCTCTTGAATGAGGATAATATTAATATCTTCCATCTTTTTTTTGACTTTCCACATATAATCTATTATGCTAATGGAATATGTGTTAAAAACAGTTTTACTACTTTTCCCTATGCTTGTAGACTTAGGACATAGATTAGTAACTAAGTGCTCCATTAATTCTTCCAGGCCCTTAGAACACAATAAAATAAAGTATTTACTATAGAGCAATATAGAGCTAAATACAAGTGTTGTGAAAACATTTTTATAGAATGATGTGGGACCACAGGATCATATTATTCTAGAACATTTAGGGCCAGAAGGGCACTTAGAAGCACTTAGCCTAATTTCCGTATATAGATGAGAAAACAAATATGGGGTAGGAGGAAGTAACTTTACCCAAAGTCAAATAGATAATAGGACCAGATTATTCTGCAAAACAAGATTTTTTCTGGGTGAAAAACAAGAACATTCAGGCAATAAAATCTTATAAAACTCTAAAAGAGACTATGGGCTATTTGCTCCTAGAATTTGTATTTTAAAATAATCTATTCTATTTGAATAATGATTAAAGAAAACACAAGATGGTGTTTTGTCATTTCAATTCAATTAATGAATTTAGATACAATTCAATGGGGCAAATACATAAAAAGATCACAGGCATATTTTTGTAAAAAATTTAGTCTTCTGCTTTTCTGTTAAAAACGTTTTCATTCTGGGAATATTTTCTCTACAGAAACACAGAGCAAATTTTGCACCAGGAGCAAAATTTTTAATGCTATGTGATGAAATCAACATTGTTAATAAAATAGAATTGCATAAAATAGGATTTGGTTTAAGGCAAATATTTTCTTGATGGGAAGACTGAGTCAAAGATTCAGACTAGATTGGAATATGGATCTTTCAGCTAACTCTGTGTCTGAACTCTGTAGTGCTACCATGCACCATGCCTTATTTAGAATATAAACTCTGAAGTTGCTGGTGATGTTCCACATCGGCAACTCTATGTGTTGCTTTTACCTTTGCCTGGGATTGTGTAAGTGAATATGAAATAAGGATTTCAAGAAAGTTCAGGTGCACATGTCAAGCATGGGCAGGCACATAAGAGCCACATGTTCTTGGAAAGCCCCTGGATTTATAGTAAACTGTGAGCCTGTGTACAATGCCCATGCTTAAATGCGGGTTCTCCAGTCAAGTCAGCCAGTCTAAGCACTTTCACAAATGGACCTTCAGTGTGATCTGGATTACAAGACCTTTCTCTATATAACATACAAACCTCTCTCCAAAAATAAAATTTATTTGAAAATATTGTCCTTTCCAATAAGCTCATTACTATCTACAGAGGACCATGGAATAGCCTCCAAGCCTCACATGTGGAATGCCCCAGCAGCTTGTTCAAGTTTCATGAGCTCATCTGTTGTCTTTTGCTAACAACTCCTCACACCTCCTCCCCTGCACCCTCTACATACACACAGGTCTTCCAGTATTTAAAGAATTTTTAGAGAAGGGAGGTGATTGCAAGCTCGAGCCAAGCCAAATTCCACAGCTGGCCCACACACGTTGCTTCACATGTCCAGTGATCGGTCAGGGAGGTCATGGCCACGTGTTTGCAAAGTATATTTAGACCCCTTATCAAAGAAGTAGACTCTCATCATGGGCCGTAAGTTCTTCTTCATGCATGTTAAATGCTGTTCATGGAAAAGTGAAGCCCCTGGATTTTCAGACTCAGAGGTTTTATGTTTGTTTTAGGGAAAAAAGCTCAATGATCTCCTCTCTCAAAGCATCAAAATAATAGAAAATTAAAGAAAACCACTCTGTGTCACTGCAGTGTTTTCTGTTGGTGGGAACTTTTTTGGAATGACTAGTGAATTGAGTAACTTTTGAATGTGGTGCTTTTATTTCTGGGAATAAAGAAGCAAGAATGGTCAATGTCACCGTAACCTCTTAAGCTGTTTGTCCCATCTTGCTAGGGATGAACAAAGCAAGATATTTTACCCAATTAAAAGTGGCCAAGATTGACTTTCCGTCTCTGTCTTATCTGAGTGAAGAATATCACAGTTTCAGAATCACATTTACATGCATTTCCTCATTTTATTCTCACACCTCCAGGTATTACTGTTTTCCCATCATACAGATGGCAAAACCAAGGCTTGGAGAGGAGTATGCTTTCTTGCTCATGGTTTCACATTAAAGAGCAAAAGCTAGGATTTTATCTTGGACAAAGAACCAGGCTTTATTCTGGAAAATAGTTTACCCATGGGGCTGTTTCTCAGAGCAATTTCAAAGGATTTCCAATAATAATTTGAGCAATTATTTCATTTGATAATCATGATGTTCCCTGAGGTGATTCTCCTAAAGGAGCCATCATTCACTTTGACACTGAAGTCCAGGATATTTACTGCTGAGAGCTCCATCCCTTTTCTGGGCCCGTTCCCTAGTTCTGTGTCCAATGCTCTTCCCCTCTACCTCAGTGCCTCAGTGATTTCTGTCTTTGTTCTTGTGGAAAGAATGCTGTTAGATGACCCTTTCTGGTAGAAGCATCCTACAATGAGGTGACAAAGAAGCTCCAAACATGTCTTCCCAAAAGAAAGGGAAGAAAAAAATTGACCCCAAAGCTGCACGAGCCAAGCAAAATTCCTAAGCTTTCTCTGCTTAAGTAAGTGACTCTAATATGGATTGGACAGATCTATCTGTCTACTGGAAAGGGAAGGGTATGGTAGAAGATTACATGGCTATACAGTTCTACAATTATTACAGGACATGGTCTAGCAATTAGTGTCCAAGTTAGAGCATAAAACTTTCAGCCTGTCAATCAATGAATTGAGGGCAGGTGGTTTACATAGTGAGAAGACATGGGCTTTGGATTCAGATTTTGTCTTTGAAGTTCTAGGCCACAGCAAGCTACAGGATGTCAATTAAGTAGATCTCTTCTAAGTTCACGTCCTCTTCTGTAAAACTGGAATGAGGGCATCTATCTTATAGATTATTGGGAATTTTAAATAAAACTTTGAATGTAAAGAACTTAGCCAAGTACTTGATATATAGTAACAGTAATATTCTTACTAGCAATAATAAGAACTTGAAAGGCTGTGTGGTGTACTGGAAAGATAGTCAGGGGGAGTCAAAGACTTGAACTTGTGTAATAATTCAGCTTTTAGCCAAGGGATTTATGGTCATGGACTCTTGTAATAAACTGTGGGAATAGAATAGGACTTATCTGAGATTCCTTTCAGTTCTAAGCCTTCAATTATTCTAGTGCTTGAGTTTGCCTGTGATACTGTGCATAGGATAAATGGAAATCCCAGGTACCCACCTTCCCACCAAGTCAGTCCTGGTGCCATCTAACATGTATCTTATTTAGACTCCATAAAGTCTAATGTGCATTTGATTTAGACTCCATGAAGCCACTGAATTTACCCCTGTGTCTTCTTACAAGAATTTAGAAATTCCTTCTACCTCTATTTTTTTGTTTATGGATTTAGCAGCAATGTGGGAACATGTGGTTTCTGGGGAAGGATGATTGACAGTTGATGACAGTGACAGTGCCCAGGACATGGGCATTTACATAGGTTACTCCTTGTTCCCTTGTCAATTTGTATGACTCGTGGGGGAATTAGAAGCAATAGTAATCTCTCAATGCTAAATCTAGCAATCCTTTTACGGTGCTTATCTTTCTTAGTAAATCAAAAACATTAAATCCTACCATGACCACAGTGGTGGCATCCCTATTATGTGTGTCTTAGTTGGAGTTCACCAGAAACAAAACTGGAGATGAGAATTCAGATGCCTATAATTTGAGGAAGTACATTTAAGAAAAATCAATCAGTCAATGGGGAGGCAGGAACAAGCCAAGTAGCGGTGCCATCTCAAGTGATGTCTCAGCTTCAATGTGATCCCTGAGGGGATCTCTGCCAGAGTCTGTCTCCACGCAGAACAAGGGATTGAGCTTTCACACATCCACACCAGACAGACAGTCATTGGCTGTGTGTCACTCTGGGGAGTTGGGAGTCATAAACCTCCTAGGCCCTTCCAGCTCTTTTAACATGGGAAAAGCAGCTCCAATAATCTTGGATCAGTCCTCTGAAGAGAGTCAAAGGTGCAGGCTGTTTGTAATTAAGAACTGAGGACATCTGGGAAGGGCACCAACAGTGTCCAGTGATCTTTTATATCTCTTTTGAACACATTCCTTTGTCCATTTTCTACATTCCCCTGATTATAACATAATAAAGCTGGAGATTTTGGAATCTTTATCTGTAAATTTGAGCTCTTACTAAAACTTGTAACTCCCTTTATATCAAAATTTGACACAATATCAACATTTTCCCCCTGGCTAAGGATTGCCTTAGTAGGGGGCAGTGGGGAGCATTTCCTGTGGCTGACTCTGAGTCATCTGCTTGACCACTGCTGCTGCAATGGCCAGCGCCCCCTGCTCTCCACTGGGCTATGAGCCACTCCTCACTGTGGGGAAGGCTGTGGTAGTAGCTCAGTCTATGGATCCAGACTGGGCCATGCTGTGGGCAGACCTGTTGTCTTGTTGTGACATCTCCAATTTGCCTCTATATACCACACAAAGTTTGAAGACTTTATAGAAGGGTTGTGAAAAAAAATAGGGTTTTGTAATACATGACTTTAAAATTGCATATTTAGTACGATTTTTTCCATAGCTAAGAAGTTAACCATTCATAAGAGCTGTCTTCACAGAACCAGTTCCTTAACTTGCTCTTTGGTGCCCAGATTCTTGTCTGTCTTCATGGAAATTCAGTAAACTTCCAAGGTACAAATCTCCAGTCTCTTTTTGGAAAACCCTACCTTCTATCCATTGGGGCTTTGTCTCATCTTCACTAGGTTCCATTATCTTACATCACTGGGCTCTTTGTGGGATACAGTGCTTCCCAATGGTGCATTTCCTAAGTCTGGGTTTTCATGTCTGGAACAACATTCACTATAAGAGTGAAAATCAGCATTGTGGAAAAACACATGAGCAGGGTGGTCTACCACTGACACACATACACACACACACACACATGCGTGCACACACACACACACACATGCTCTTCCCCAACCCAAGTTTTAAGAAAAAAGATTGTTAGATACTATATGGTCTATATAAAGAAGAGGAAATTCATTTTGTCAAATGCTCCATACTCTATTAGGCCACTTCTTTCCACAATGGCAATAGTAATTTGTGTTTCTATAGAGACAGCTGTGGTTCTTTTTGTTTATCCTTAGCCCCTACACCTTACCTTTGAAATTGTGACCTAGTGGTAGAGGCCAACTATCTGTTTAACAAAGTTATTTCCTTATCTTCTTGGCCTCATAGTTATTTCCATATTTCTGAGCCTCTCTTACAGTTAAGTTATAGCAACGTGACTGAATTCTGGCCAAAGAAATGTGGGCAAAAGTGATCTATACCATTTTTAGGCTTGGTCCCTAGAGCTCTTCTATAAAATTTTTCATTCTCTCTCTTGTTCCCTGCTAATTGGGCAATACTACTAGGATGGCCTTGGAAGCCAAGATGAAAGAATTTTCATAATCCTGGGTCCCTGAATGACTGCATGGAGTCCCCCCTTCTCCTGCCAGTGGCAACTGAATGCAAATGAGTGAAAAAATAAATTCTATAATGCTAGGCCACTGAAATTTGATAGACTTTCTATTCATAGGAGCTACTATTGCCCTAACACATGCCTTTCCTTGAAATAAGTAATGGCCCCATTTTTGGCCACATACTTCTTAATGGCTTGTTTTATTCATTACACAAACATCTAGCTACTTATAAAGCCTAACTAAGTTCTTAGTCAAATCACTATGGCTTCTGGATGTGGCGTATAGGGGTAAGGATGCAGCAAGGAGGATAGGCCATACAGTTACATGTTTTCATGACAAATATCTCTGAACGCTGGACACAGTGAAATCTGAACTCATCATCTACAAGCATGCTCTTCTGGTTTATTTTTAATTTCAATAATTAGCATTACACTTATAATTACTCAGACCAGTTTCCTTCTTTCCCTACATTTTCTAATATAATTAGTCAGAGTCCTTTTGATTCTATATTTTCAACATTCCTCACATCTATCTCTTACCTTCTTCCCATTTTTACTCTCACTATTGTAGATCTGACCCTCATTATTTCTTATCTGTATTATTACCCTGGCCTTGTAACTCCTCAGTTTCTTCCAAAGTATTCTACATCTTACTGCCAGATTAATCTTTTCAAAGCTTGATTCTGATTATATCATTTCTCTATTAAAAAACCTTCAACAATTCTCCGTTAGCAGACACAAGTGTTCATATTACTTTGTGAGAAATTCAGGGTACTCCATGACCTGATTCCAAGCCAAATTTCCAGCCTATCACCCACTACTCTTCTTTATATGACTTGTATTCCATCCAGCCACACTGGATGGGTCACTGTTCCTTAAGCATGCATTATTTCCTAACTGTTTACCTTAGCTCTCTTTAAATGATTTCTCTCACTATTCAATTTCCTCTATGCCCATTGCTGCCTGTCAAAATGCTGCCTTCCTTCAGGGCTCGGATCAAATACCTCCATGAAATCTTTTCTGATCTCCTCAGCAAGAAGGAATGCCAATAACACTCTGCATATCCCTTCGTTTTGGCACTTGTGACATTTTACTTTGACGTGTAGAGGCAACAAATTCTAGTGCATTTGGTGTCGGCTAACTTTGCCCATTTATTTAAGATTTCTTTTTATACTTCCATTATTAAATCCTAATGGTACAAATTCACACTATCTATTTACACTTATGTAGTATTTCTCTCAGTGTTTCTAGTCTAGTCTAGCCAAAACTTTTATAAATTGTATCTTGAGTCTTTTGTTGAACAAAATTATTTGCTTACTTGTTTCAGAATGGAAATGTTCTGGAAATCTCCACATATAATTTTGTAGTACTATCAATTTGGGAATTTAGATCTCATCATTTTTTTAACCTCAAATAAAGCCAACACACACACACACACACACACACACACACACACACACACACACACACAAGAGAAAGGTGTTTTGCAAATCAGATTTCTTACAAAGTGATTCTTCTTCCTTTTGCTCTAAAGGCTCATCTAAGTGTGAGAAACCAGATGGTAAAGATCTAAGATGTATATGTGGTATACATATGGTTTATACTTTTTCATACAGCCTGACTTGCCTTTTGGTCAATTAAGATGATTGCCTAAGAGGACTGTTACTCTTCATTTCTCTCTTCTGTTCCTTTTTTTTTTTTTTTTTTTTTGAGACGGAGTCTCGCTCTGTCGTCCAGGCTGGAGTGCAGTGGCGGGATCTCGGCTCACTGCAAGCTCCGCCTCCCGGGTTCCCGCCATTCTCCTGCCTCAGCCTCCCAAGTAGCTGGGACTACAGGCTCCCGCCACTACGCCCGGCTAATTTTTTGTATTTTTAGTAGAGACGGGGTTTCACCGTTTTAGCCGGGATGGTCTCGATCTCCTGACCTCGTGATCCGCCCGCCTCGGCCTCCCAAAGTGCTGGGATTACAGGCGTGAGCCACCGCGCCCGGCCTCTTCTGTTCCTTTTAATGCCATTGGTCCAGTGCCCTGCCTCAGAACTATCTAGCAGTTAGGAAAGAAAACCACAGGGGAAGGGAATGACGAAAGATACGGAAATATTAAATAGACAACAGTTTAAAGCATGTGGACCACAATGAGAAGGTGTCACTCAGTATGAAGTGTTCATCTAGAAAAAAATCACTATTATCCATTTCTGTAATTATATCAATACAGAATAAAGTTAAGAGATTCAAGATCTTATGCCTGGCCTGTAGAAAGAACTGAAGGTGTACCCCTTCAGTGGGAAAAAAACTTGTTTAGGTTATTTCAGAGGCATCATAGGATTGAGGAGTGACATAATCCCTTTCTTGGAAGAGTCTGGCTGGATTTTGTGCCATTTTCGGAAAGTGTGGGTGATGCACCAAGAATGACAGACTGCTTGGAAAAAGAACTATGTGGAAACCTCCTAACCCCCTTGAGTTTTATCTGAGGAATATCAGGAGGGCAAAAAACCTCTAGGCATTAATGTACAAGTTCCTGTTAATCCTGATATTATAAAGTTGTGTGCCCGGAAAACTGAACAGCAAATTTTTCTGATCCCATGGGGACTGTGTACATTTAGATGGAATCTTAAATAGTCGCAAAGATTCCTATGTAGCATGTTCCATCTTGTCTCAAGTTGCAGGAGGGTATTTCATGGGAAGAAAAGGAATGATGCAAATGAAAGGATTGTAAGAAGCTGTGTTGAATCAAGGAGGCTATAGGGAGTTGTTCAAATAGAAATGAAGCATACTTTATTTTTGAAACTCTTTAATATTGTCATTGCCTCTGAGCACTCTAAGCTTGTGTAATTTGTGGCTGGAGGATGGGATCTGGTTTATAATTCCGTGTTCTCTGAGGTTTTGATGCTGATGGAGAAGGCAATGGCAGATTGAGTAATCTGGCAGATTGAGATTGTACCTTTATATTGAATTACTCAATCTCTCTCTCTCTGTCTCATTCATATTCTCTCTCTCTCTCTCATTTCTGACTTTCTGGGAGAGAGCATTCTGCTCCTTTTAAATAATCTTTCCCAATTCTGCTGGGCTGTCTTTCTTACTCTCCATATACCTTCTCTTCTTTCACTGCTATTGCTGGCAGCCAAGTTCATCTAAATAAAAGTAAACATGTTTCTGGCAAATTGACAAGTAGTAAATAAGATCAGCCTCTTCTCTTCAAAAGGCCAAACAAAGGTAAGTTGATTAGCTTAATTCAAGATAGAAGTTGAATTCTAGAAGAAAAACAAAAACAAAAACAAAATAAAAACCAGACTTTCAAAGAAACCCACTCTGTCCTACTGACCTGACCGAGGCTGCATGCCTAAAGCCCTTGTCTCCTGCAGGGTGGGGTTATGTTATATAATTCTACTTTCTCACTTTCTCACAGCTTCTTGCTGGTGACTTTTGAATGAACACACTAGAAATATTGGTCATCAAAGGAGCTGATAGAGAATGTTGATGATACCATCCTTGCTGAAAAAATATCTCAATGTGACACCTTCTGGACTTGTAGGCAGAAATGTATTTTGAATTCTAAGCAGTTCAAAATAATGACCTGGAGAAGGGGGTGGAATGAGGGCAAGAATGCTAATTTTAACTACTTTTAGGCTTTTGAATAAAACCTCTTTGTGATCAGTTTACTTTTTTAATCCTTTAAGGAGTCCTGGACCCCAGTGTCTGGTCTGGGGAGGCAGGGCTAAATGCAAACTCCTCTTAGCCCGGCGACACCTACATGGTTAACTAGAAGCACACATGGGTCCAGTTATTCTAATTAAAAACAAACCTTAATGAAAAGATATCTGCATCGTGTCCCAATACCTCCATGTCCAACAAGTTATCAGCGGGATGTGTGGAATGAAAAGGTCTTCCAGCAGCCCGGGCTCATCACTGCCTGGTGATTTAATTCAAGAGCCCAGATCATAAATTGGACTTGACGTCAAACAGCAGCCAAGGCTGAGAATCCGCCTGGCCTGGGTGTGCTGGGCTTGCTGTGGGCTGACTAACCAGCAGGCATGCTGTCACGTCTGGGTCATCTGCTGTCAGCGGACGGTTCCCTGTGGGAGGTCCAGGTTGCGAGCACTGCTGTAGTCTAGACAGGAGGTGACAAACATGTTGACCTTTGGGACAAGATTGATCTCTTTGTTTTTTGACAGGAGACCTTTCCAGAGTGGAATCTCAGGAGGAAGAGTCTAGAAGTTTCATCATTTGTGAACGGAATCAAACCTATGTGTCTGCTCCACCCAGACTGGAATGCCAGTTTCTTGAGTTTGATATTTTAGAGTTAAGGAGTGATGTTTATTTACTTTATCAGTTTTCCTGAAATATTTGGACTCCAGGATGGGGGAGGGTGGCAGGAGGGGGGAGGGAGGAAGGAAAAGGGGGAAAATAACTTACTTTAATGGTGTGTCAACTCTGAAACCAACTCTAGGAAAGTTGCTTTTCCACATACTACTTCATTTAAACCTCATACAATGTTAGGAGGTTTGCATCATCACCCTCATGTTAAAGAGGCAAATTAAGAGGCTTAGAGCTGATCAGACCTTCCCCAAGGCCACACAGCAAATAGTTGCTAAAGTCCAGATCTGAGCCTTGGTTGATTTCAATATTATGCCACAATGCCTTCCCAGGGTGTGTTATTTCTGATACAGTGACAATGATTTCAGCTCTTCCTGCCACTTGGGGGGTTATAAAAATGTCAAAATAATTTTTAAAATAGACCTTTGCTTCCCCTCAAATCATGTAACTTTAAGTAAAATGAAACTAGTCTCCTCACTTTGTAGCTATGGTAGTAGTCATCTGGTTACCCCAAAAGAAAATGGAGATTGTTTTGTGAAGGAGGTGAAGTAGGAATTGATGTAGACCAATGTGTCCTAAAGTATATTCCATGGGACGTTAGCCCATGGAATGGCTAAGGGTTGGGAAACTTGGCATAAAATACCCATTTTGTGGACAGTCACATGATTGGATTTGCATTTTGTTGAAATCCAAAAATCCAAGTTTCTCAAACTTATGAATTATGCAATCTTTCCTCCCTGGAAAACTGATCAACATCACATGGGTCTAAAATTTTGTGGATTATATTTTGTAAACACTTGTTTAAGGTTTTTTTTTTTTGTTTTTTGTTTTTTTTTTTTTGTTTTCTTTTCTTTTCTTTTCTTTTTGTGAGACAGTCTCACTCTGTTGTCTGGGCTGGAGTACAGTGGCGCCATCTCAGCTCACTGCAACCTGTGCCTCCTGGGTTCAAGCAATTCTCCTGCCTCAGCCTCCCAAGTAGCTGGGATTACAGGCATGCATCACTACAGTGGCCAATTTTTGTATTTCAGTAGAAATGGGTTTCACCATGTTGCCAGGCTGGTCTTGAACTCCTGACCTCAGGTGATCCACCCACTTTGGCCTCCCAAAGGGCTGGGATTAGAGGCATGAGCCACTGTGCTCTACCTTGTTTCAGTTTTAATGGTAGTAATGTTTCCCTGGATCTAGACTCAGAAGCTTTATTAACTTCATCCAGTCAACAAGAACAGGATCTATTATCCAGGTTTTTAGCTACTTGCTGTGGCCCAGGCTCTGACCTATTTAGAAATACAAGGATGATCTCAAACAGCTTGAGAATGACTTGAATCCTGTTTTGAAGATGTTGAAGATATTTTAAATCTGAAAGAAATATACAAAGCTGGATATATAGTTTTCTAAATTGTATAGCATGTGTTTCCTTATACCCATAAATCTAAAACTTTTTCATAGACCATCTTTCAGTAATGTGTGATTATCAAGCACAAATGTTCTAAATCTAGAGGCCGTGGAACTTCTGCAGATAAGAAAAACAACAAAACCTAAACTAAACAACATAAACCTAAACTAAAATGCTCTTGAGCCATCAGGCAAAATGGGACTTTTCTCTTTTTGTCTTTCTTTTCCTTATCCCCCTTGGCTTTCCATTCTTCCTCCACCTTCTTTCTCCCTTCTACACCTTGTCTTCACATCTGACCTCATCTATATCTGTCTTCATCTGAACACTTTGTCACTATGGGAATAGATGTGATAATCATGCATACATAGACAATTCCATATCCAAAAGTCATCAACTATCTTCAAGCTGACTTCATGTACCTATAACTGACTGATCATTTTGAAAAGAGATTTCCATTGAGATCAACCAGGGTTTGGGGATTGCTAAAAACCATCCCGGCTGGAAATAAGTGTCAGCCACTACCTCATTGTATGGGCTAGCAAATAAGATTAGGCCATTATTCCAGTTATTTGTTTTGGACTTCTTCCTGTTTCTAATAGTGCACTAGAGATGCCTTTTATTTGATTTTTTAAAATAATTATATTTAGCTGGGAGTGGTGGCTCACACTTGTAATTCCAGCACTTTGGGAGGCCAAGGCGGGTGGATCATGAGGTCAAGAGGTCAAGACCAGCCTGACTAACATGGTGAAACCCCGTCTCTACTAAAAATACAAAAATTACCTGGGCGTGGTGGCACACACCTGTAATCCCAGCTACTCAGGAGGCTGAGGCAGGAGAATCACTTGAACAAGGGAGGTGGTTGCAGTGAGTGGAGATCGCACCACTGCACTCCAGCCTGGGCAATACAGCAAGACTCTGTCTCAAAAAAAAATTATATATATAAATATATATAAATATAAATATATAAATATTTATATAAATATAAATAAATAAATATATATATAAAAATATAAATATATATAAAGATTTCAAAGCCCAGGGAAATATATAAGCATATATGCTACTTCAGTTGCCTCAGGTTATTTACTGATTTATTTTACAATAATAAAACATTTCACATGCACTGCCTGTTTAAAGGGGGACAATATGTGGTCCAAGGATTTTCTTTATATTTATTAGGAGGCTAAAATTTTATTTGCCCTGATAAACAGAAAATCAAATATCCCAGATCTTCAATTCAGTACTTAAAAGAGTAAGTCCCTCCAGAAGGACTATGAGACAGCTGGATTTCTCCAGTGGGGAAGCTTTATGTATATGTAACCCAGGCATAACTTGGCATTTCAGTAAGCTTGGCTGAAGACTCCAATTTGAAAATGTTCTACAGCCACAACCAGTAACATACTCTCTAAAATAAAAAAGGAAACAAATTACCTACCTCTTGACTCCTTTACCACTTAGAAAATAACTTGTCTACCAAGGAGGGGAAAAAGAAGTCTTGAAATAAGATTTAGAAGCCTGAAGAGTATAGACCCTTCATCTACAAGGATTTTTGTTTTCAGACCACTTTTAAGTTGGTTGCTTGGTTTGCATTATCAAAGCAGAACACCTTACAGTCAAGAAACAAAAGCTAGGTTCTTCTTTCCCCCCAATTTTTTCCTTTACAGCAGGTTTTCTTTCTTGTGTCATAAGGAGTTTGTTTACACAGGAATTCAAATTACTATTAAAGGAGGTAATCAGCACAGTGACAAATAAAAGTTAAAAAGATGTTTGTCTTCTATGATAAAGCTCAAATAATCCCAGACTTCAAACAATCAAGGTAACATACATATTTCTGTTTTTATTACATTAAAAAGTAGAAAAAAATGATGTCCCCCAGAATAGTTTAATGGATTTTCTAAAAAGTTCTTTCTTCAGAGTGAAGCAAATTCAGCTCAAATTGTTTTTCAAACTGGGGTAGGTGGACGAAATGCTGGAGCCGAAGCAAAATGAAAATACCATAAAGATAGTTCTTAAGTGCAGACTGCCTGGGTCCAAATCTGAGCCTTGCCATCTACTAGCTATATAACTTAGACCAAGTCACTTAACTTCTTCCAGCTCAGTTTTCTCCTTTGTGAAATAGACTAATAAAAACACCCATCTCATACAGTTTAGTGGGGCTTAGAGAATGTGTATGTAGCCCATCAGAGAATGGGCTCTTATTATTTCTCTTATTATTTTTATTATGAAATGTCTCTGATACCTACCAATACCTAGGCCCATGGTCTCTCTGGTATGTACCATGCATTTTTGTGCTCCTAGATGGATAAACAAGGAGTGGGAATTCCTGACATGTTAACTGACTTATTGAGTCAGTTATTCACCCATAGTTAATGCATGGCTGCTACGAGCCTGGTACTGTGCTGGGACTCAAAACCACAATGAGATACCATCTTGCACCAGTCAGAATGGCTTTTGTTAAAAAGTTAAAAAAATAACAGACGTTGGCAAACTTGGAGAGAAAAGGAAACACTTGTATGCTGTTGGTGGGGATACAAATTAGTTCAGCCCCTGTGGAAAGCAGTTTAAAGATTTCTCAAAGAACTAAAAATAGAACTACCATTCAACCCAGCAGTCCCATTACTGGATATATACCCAAAGGAAAATACATTGTTCTACTGAAAAGGAAATAAGATCCATGTCCTCATGAAGCCTACGGGGAAGATAGTAAATAAACACATAACAAAACAAGTAATTTCACTGATCCTAAAAGCTTTGAGGAAAATAAAACAGAAAAGTGATTGGAGCAGTCTATTATAGATTAGCTGGTCAGAAAAGGTCTCTTTGAAGAAATGTTATCCAAGCCAATGCCTAAATTAGGAGACAATGCCATTATAAATACCTGGGGAAGAGGAAGAGGGAACATCAAAAACAAAGCCTTTGAGATGAGGAGGTGTTTGGAGAAATAGAGTGATAGAAAGCAAGGGTGGTTGAGACAGAGTGAGCAAGGAGGAGATTGGTTAGCAAAGTCAGAAAGCCAGATCACAGTCTAAAAAAAAATTTTGAAAGATTTTATTCTATTGTGGAACTCATAAAACTATATTGTAGGCTTTCACATATACAAATGCAATGGAGCTTCTCTGGAAAAGCTGAATGCTTCTCGTTGTTTTCTGAGCAGCAGAAGTAGTTTTACATTGTTCTTCCATTCTGTCTACACATTTTGGATGCAGTCAGCCAAATAGAGAGGCTAATAAATAAAATGCTTAATTTGCTCAATAAATAAAGTGAAACTTCAAGAACATTCCACCTATGATCTTGGCCGTATCAGAACTAGGCCTCAGCCTGATGTTTTCAACCTATGCCTAGTTTTGATAAATACTCAGAACATCTCCTATTGAAAATCCTAATATGCCATTGGGTGAGGGGACTGGAAGTTGGTGTGATTCTTTTTTTTTCTTACCCTTGTTAAGGAAAAAAAAAATAAAAGAATCTCCATAATTCTACCAGCCAAGAGGATTTGGTTTAGTTGTTTTTCTCCATAGTCTGTAATGTAGAAAAGGGTTTATACAATTTCCAAATATTACACTGTGTTATAATTTTTTCATACCATATCCAACTTCTGCCAATCTGAGCATCATGATCTAACCCTGGGAACTAACTGACTGAGGATCATTTAAATACTGCACTGGGTTTGAGGGACACTATCAATGTAGTATTTAAACCTGCAGTACTAAACCTGGGATAGAGACATTATTCTCTCTATCCCAGTAATTCCTGCATTACTATGCAGGAATGCAGTAATTCCTGCATTACTATGCAGGAATGCAGTAATTCCTGCATTACTATGCAGGAATGCAGTAATTCCTGCATTACTATGCAGGAATGCAGTAATTCCTGCATTACTATGCAGGAATGCAGTAATTCCTGCATTACTATGCAGGAATGCAGTAATTCCTGCATTACTATGCTACCAGAATCAGTCCTATGGAAATAGAACTTTGCAGAAAGATCAAAGGGGGTTACAGTCTGTAGTTAGGTGTCAGGAGACCCCCACTGTAGACTCAGCTCTTTCTCTGCCCTGTTAAATAACCCGAGCATGTCATTTGGTCTCTTAGCCCTGCCCCCTACATAACTGTTCACCTGCAGAATGTGAAAACTTTATCAGCTCATCAATAAGGTTTTGTTAAGGAGCAAGCATCTATTGACCAAACTGGCTTATAACCCAAAAGATGCAGGGTCAGTTCTTGGCAAAACTATGAGGAAGGAAAAAAAATTGGCACTGTTTCCTGACTTCCGTATTTCTAAATCACCATTTTGAAGGCAAAAAGCTCAAAATTTGGTACTTCTGATATTATTCAGTGAACGGAAAAATATTCTAGAGGGTAGTGAGCTTCCCATGTGCTTAAGCACATATGGTGCAGGTGATAACGTACTCCATCTCTGTAAAGAAGGTTGTCTGGAAGCTTTTGTGCTTTGAAAGAACTCCGTATTTATGTGTGTGTCAAAGTTAAAAATGCTCCCTACTTTTAAGTTATGTTTTACAAAATTAAATTTCTTTTCCTTCCTTTCCACTTCACATTTCCACCCCTTTCCCTCATTTATCTGTTCTTACCTTAGCAGAGAGCTAATAACTATTGTGACCAAGGATCAATTCACTGAGTACCCAGACATATTGGTAGATGAACAGAATGTACTGTTTGAGGTGAAAGCTGAGGCTAAGGATGTAGGAAGACTGTGTTGAGACCCAGATCAACTAGTCTGTATTTCAGTCCATAGAATAAAAATGGATTTGGCAGAAACATATTCTGTGTGCCACAAGTAAACCATTTTCTCTTCTGCCAGTCCATACAGTCTGGAGGAGGTGTCTGCTTCCTCAAATGCACAGACATGTAAAATGCAAGGCTACAAGGATCATGAACAATCAGGAAAATATGACACCACCAAAGAGTACACAATGAATGTCCAGTAGCTGATCTCAAAGAAATGGAGACCTACAAATTACATGACAAAGAATTAAAAAATAATTGTTTTAAAGAAGCCTAATGAGCTATAAGAGAAAACAGATAAAGAATCTAACAAAAATCAGGAAAACAAGAACAAAAGAAGTTTAAAGAAGAGAAAACATTAAAAAAATAAATTCTGGAGCTAGAAAATGCAATGGCTGAATTAAAATATGCTATAGAGAACTTTAACAGCAGACAATCAAGCCAAAGAATTGGTGAACTCAAATACAGCTCATTTGAAATTATCCATTTGAAGGTTAGAAAAGAAAAGGAGTGAAGAAAGCCTATAGGATTTATGAAACACCATCAAGTGAATGCATATATGTATTATAAAAGAAAGGGAAAAGTTATTTTCCCCTTTCTTTGAGTTATTTAAAGAAATAACTCAAAACTTCACAAATCTGGGGAGAGAGACAACTATCCAGGCTCAAAAAACCCACAGGACCCCCATGTAGGTTAAACATAAAGAGCCCTACATCAAGACACAGTATAATTCAATTGTCAAAAATCAAAGACAAAAAATTTTGAAAGTAGCAAGAGAAAAGCTAGTAGTCACATACATAGGAACACACATAAGACTCTTGGCAGATTTCTCAACAGGGACCTTGCAGACTAGGAGAGAGTGGGATTATATATTCAAAGTACTGGAAACAAAAATACTGTATCTTTATAAAGGTATTCTTTTAAAATGATAGTCTTTTTTGCTTGACAAACATACAAAATATTTTGTAAGATATAGTATATTTTGCCAAACAAAAGTACTATATCTTTGTAAAGATATTCTTTTAAAATGAAGGAGAGATAGTCTTTCCCAAACAAACAACAGCTGGGGAAGTTTGTCAACATTGGACTTGCCTTACAATAAATGCTTAAGGAAATTCTTCAAATGGAATTGAAACACTAAATAGCAATGTAAAAGCATTTGAAAGTATACTGTCACAAGCAGAGGCAAATATATAGCCAAATACAGAATAATGTAGCACTGTAATCGTGGTGCACAAGTAACCCATAACCTTAATATGAAAATTAAAAAATGAAAGTATTAAGAATAGCTAAAACCACAAAAATTTGGTAACAGATTTATAATAGAGAAAAAAGTAAAATCTGACTTCAAGAACAAGAACGGGGGAGGAGAAAGTTAAATTCAGTTTTTATATGCAATTGAACTTAAGTTGTTAACAAGTTAAAATAGTTGGTTATAACTACAAGAAGATTTATACAAACCTCATGTTAACTACATATTGAAAACCTATAGCAAGTACACAAAAGATAGGGAGAAATGAGTCAAACCAAACCACTACAAAAAATAATCAAAGAACAAAAGAGAAAACAAAAGGGGAAGAGAGGAATAAAAGAACTGCAACACAGTGAAAAAACTGCGAACAAAATAACAATAGTAAGTCCTTACCTGTCAATAATCACTTTAATGTAAATGGGCTAAGTCCTCAATCAAAAGACATATAGTGGCTGAATGGATTAAGAAAAGGAAATCAACAAGATGCATTCATATTCTGTCATAGAGACTCACTTTAGCTGTAAGGACACAAATAGACTGAAAGTGAAGGGATGGGAAAAGATATTCCATGCAAATGGTAATCAAACCTGCAAATAATAACCAAGGAGAGCAGGGGTAGCTATAATTATATCACACAAAATAGACTTTAAGTAAAAAACTGTGACAGGAGACAAAGGAGGTCATTATATAACAATAAAAGGTTCAATTCAACATAAAGATAGAACAATCACAAATTTATATGTACCCAACATCAGAACACCTGATATAAAATAAGTATTGACAGGTCTGAAGAAAGAAATTGACAATGAAACAATAAGAGTAGGAGACATCAATACCCCACTTTCAATAATGGACAGAGCATCCAGGCAGAAAATCAGTAAGGAAACAGCTGACTTGAACAACACTACAGACCAAATGGACCTAACTGATATATATACAGAACTTTCCACCCAATTGTAGCAGAATACACATTTTTTTCAAGTGCACAGGAAACATTCTCCAGTATAGATCACATGTTAGGTATCCACTGGATGTCTTGAAACATATTCCTCATGAATAAGGGGGACTACTGTGCCATATGGTTTCAGCAATCCTACTTTTAGGTATATATCCGAAGTAATTGAAAGCAGCATCATGAGATCTATGCTCCCATGTTCTGCACTTTTATGTACATTGCAGCATTAGTCACAATAGCCAAGATACAGAAACAACCTAAGTGTCTGTCAACAGATGAATGGATGAAGAAAATGTGGCATAGACATAACGAATGAATAGAATACAACAGAATGTTATTCAGCCTTAGAAGGGAATCCTGCCATTTGCAGTAACATGGATGGAGCTAGAGGAAATGCTAAGCAAAATAAGCAAGGCAGAAAAAGAAATACTGCATGATCTCACTTTTTGTGGAATCTAAAATAGTCAAGTGCATAGATGCAGAGAGTAGGATGGTGGTTGCCAGAGGCTGGGGAGAGGGGATGATGTCAGTTTAAGGGTACAAAAATGGTAACTATGTAGAAGTGATAGGTATGTTAATTAGCTCAAATGTGATCACTTCACAATGTATATCAAAATATCAAGTTGTATATTTTAATTATATATACTTTTTATACACCAAAAATAGTTACAAAGTAAAGAATTTGAAAACACACACACATACAGAAAGCAAAAAAGCAAAAATTAAACAATAAAATAAAGAATAGGGCTGTCGGTCCAACCAGTCCTTCTTTGTGGGAGGACCACGAGTTACTGAAAGGAAGACTAATTTAATAGAAAATTGTCCCTTTGACACGTGCTGAAGACAGTAACCACCTGTCAGCCTGTGGTGTGCAGAAAGGGTGACCGTCTGTGCAGCAAAGGATCCAGGAGGGCTGTTAGGCTTCTACAGACCTGTATGCTGCTGCCTCTGGTTACTTCATTTTCTTTGCATGATGGTGAAATGACATCTCTGTAAATTTATTAAAAAGGTAACACTCAGGAAAAGAGCAAGACTATCAGTCTTCTTTTAAACATTTTCTAATTTATTATCACAAATTTAACTTTTCAGAAAATCTCATACACTTTAATTTATTGAAGGGTAGAGTTGCGTCATGGAGAGAAACTTAGACCTTCAAATGGCTCTTCCATTGTGGTGGATCTATAACTGTTAGCCTAATCTGTTTCCGTCCAAGGTTGAAGATTCTGTCTCCCCACAACATTCATGTTGGTCTTGCTTTGGCTAATGCAATATGAGTGGAATGACACATGCCATTTCTGGGCAGAAGTTTTAAAAGCAATTTGTGATTCACCCATTCTTTTTTCCCTCAGGTATAACTCTAGGCAGTGGTCCAGCATGGGGGTCTTATCCACCTGAGTCATAGAGTAGAGGTGATGATGATGAGAAAACACACTTTATAATAAGCCTCTGAGATTTTGGAGAGAGTTTGTTATCGTGGCATGACAGCATTTTGATGGCTACAGAAACACTAGCTTTGCCATAGCTGAGAGACAGGGCAAGTCTTCTAATACTTACAATCATAATAATTGTAATAATAGCATTAATCAGCCCTTTCTTTGTGGCAGGCATTGTATTCAGTGCTTTATATACATGACCTCCTTTCTTCCTCATCACCATTTAATGGAATATTAATATCTATTCTATAAATGAGAAAACTGAGGCAGGGAGTTTAAGCAACCTGCTGAGTGTCACATGGCTATAGGGTGACGGAGCTAGAATTTGATCTTGGTCATGAGTGAGTCCAGAATCCAGGCTCTTGGGCAGTGTGCTGTGTTGTATTTCCTTATCATCGCTCTGATTCTTAAACTTCTCATCTATAAAATGAGGCTAGAAATACCACCTCCACATCACTTTTTCTCCTCTTGATGCTGTTTTGAGGGAAGACCTAGATGGAGAAAAGGCTTTCTGTTTTTTTCACTGCCTCCCAGAATAATGGAGGCAGAATCTAAAAGCAGATCCCAGAAGGCAGGTGTCTGTGGGACACTTAAACCAATAGCGGGTTATCCTTGTTTGACCTTTTTTGAACATACATCAAAGCAAGCAATCAGTAGGATCTGATGGAACACCTGGCAGGATGCGATCAGCCCCAATGACTCCAGAATGGCTGCTGTAAGCTGAAAGGCCAGGACAGAAGCTGTCCTCATGGCTCATTTATGACAAGTCCTTGAGGAAGGTGGCATGGTCTCAGTGTGGCTGGGGATGCCTGTGCCCAGAGAGACCCAAGAAACTTGTCTCCCATTATGGTCTGAATGAAAGCAGGAGGCATATGCGGAAGGCACTCCAGAAAATCCAGCAAGCAGCCTGGTCCTGTTGGTTCATGAAACAGTAAGTGGACTGGAGACCATCATAACAAACCACAAACAGCCACAGAAATAATTTGGCACAGATTTTACTTAGATTGTTTAGATATCAGTTATTCTTTCCAAAACACTGGGAAATACACCACACTTGGAATTTTCACATCCCTAGGGAGAGAATTGAGAGGTCACTATTTTTTCCCTTAGCAACTGTTTGTTTCTTCTAGTCTAACAGCATTTCTTCTCACAAAATTAGCCATTCCCCTGGTTTCCTAGTATAAAATTACCGTGGATATATGCAGTTGGATCTACCCATAGTGTAACTGAATCAGTCCTTTGTAGAAGGATTGTATAATCATTTTGTGATTAATCCCACTTACCTTGGACTTTTTAGAAGGTGGTATTATTAGATTGGGTCTAAAGTTAGCAAAATTATCCACCTATCTAAACAATATCAAATGTGAGTGCATTTGTGTGTAGTGGTTGAGGGGAGGGAGATGGAGGTGGAGATGAGAGGATATAAATATATTGTAATTTTCATTGATCTTTTTATGGTGACTTGTACTCTTCCAAGTTAATATTCATTCCAGTTCCTTTGCAGAAGTATCAGAGTCACAAGCCAATGAAAATAAATAGAGAAGAAGGGGCTCAGGATGAAGGAAGCAGTGTGGCAAGGATCTTCAACTTTCTCCAAATAGTAATATAAGTGGTGATGGTTGTTGTTTCTCCTTCTTTTTATCCTCTTCTTCACCTTCTTATTTTTAAAAAGTTACATGTACATAATTTACATGGTAAAATTCTGACCTCAGGGGTTTAATGGATGGATACACAGTATCCATGCTATGAAGCAGAAAGTGGACTGACCTATGAGAGAGTTGGAAATAAGCTAAGTTCACTTTGGGGTCTTATAGCACCATGGGAGTTTCAGGGTTACTAATGTCCTGTGTGCAAATCACAGGCCAAAGACTGCATGAGAGAAGGTGACAAAATGGGATTGATGGATGACAGAGCCAAAGTCTCTGTTCAGACAACACTGTGTAAAAGAGGCTGCTTATGGGGATTTACCTCTCCCAGACACTATGATTGCAACCACAGCTATCAGTTAGGCCTGTCCTGTTCAGGTTCCATCAAGTACTACCCATAGGGGCTATTTAAATTCCAGATTTCATAAATTGACAAGAAAAAATATTTGTTGAGAAAGTTCCTATATATAATGCACTAAACAGTTAACTTAAGCACTGGCCTATATACAGCTATAACTCCAAAGTAGGTTACTCCTTATTAAGAGTAACCAAGGAGGATGTCTCTACACTGCTCTCTCTGCATCCTCCTCTCCATGGAAGTCCTGGCTTCCAATGGTGTCTTGATTTGTTTTTTGGTTTTATGCTAGTTCAAATTGGTCCATGTGATACTAGTCGCTTCCTTGGTTCGGAACAGCAATACTCATTCACTACAGATAATTCTGTCTCTACTTTGATATTTTGACGAGATTTAAAAAGTAAACGTTTTATCACATCACATTAATCTTTTATATTTCATCCATAACTCATCACTTTCTCAAATTCTAAATTTATTACACCCTAAATTTCAGCTCCATAAAAGCAGGACTTGTTATCTTGTATCCCCACTACCCAGCACCTGGCACATTGTGGGCACTCAGTAAATATGTGTTGACTAGATAAGTGTATTTGTGTGGATTTAGCTATTTTTGTTCGTTTGATATTGCACAAATCTGTGCAAATTAGGATTTCTGAGTGTGCAGCATTCTTCTAATTTTGTATGTTCAAATATCTTCCGAAAATGTGTTCTTCTCTGTGCCTCTCTGTGGGAGAGTTTTTATATTTCTCTGATTTTTGGTAGGAGGAGGATAACTTCTGTGTTGAGCACTCATAAAGAGGCTTCCCGCTGTTTAGATGTTGTATAATTCCTCTCCTAGTACTTCCTGTGCTACGTCATTAAATGTTTAGCCTTGGCTACACAGTTGGATTCTTTCAGTGACTCTTTGAAGTTATGTGGTTTAGTCCGTTAATTCCTTCTAGACAGAGTAGATTACAGAGCCAGGCTGCCTACTCTGCCACTAACCAACATCTAGGTAAGCTGAGCAAGTTATCAAACTTCGTTGTGCCTTGTTTTTCTCATATTTAAACTGGGGATAGTAATAGTAACAATAATTGAAATTGGTTGGGCCCGGCCTTTTTATAAGCATTTTGCATGTAATAGACTTTAATGTTTGTCTGAGTCTGTTTTGTGTTGCTGTAATAGAATACCATAGACTAGTAATTTATAATGAGCAGAAATTTATTGGCTTACAGTTCTGGAGACTGGGAAGTCCAATATGAAAGTGTTGTGATCTTATGAGGGGCTTCTTATGCATCATAGTATAGTGGAAAGTACCAGTTGGAGGAAGGGCCAACAGAGAGAGAGAGCGCGCACGCTTGAGAGACAGAGCGAGAGTGAAAGAGCGCCTGCGCAAGAGGAGGTGAACTCACTCCCTCAATCATGGCATTAGTTTGTTCTAAGGGTGGAGCCCTCATGGCCTAATTGCGTCTTAAAGCTTTGTCTCATCTCTTAACACTTACAATGGGAATTAAATTTCAGCGTGAATCTTGGAGTGGACAAATATTCAAGTATAGCAATGTACTAAAATAATCCCATGAAGTAGGTGCTATTATTGTCCTCATTTTATAGATAAGGAAATTGAAGTACAGAAAGGTTAGCTTCAGCCAAGTTCTCATAGATAGTAAGTGATAGAATTCTAATCTATGGAGCTAGACTCCAAGCTAGTGATTTTAGGCACTACTATCCTAATCGAGGGATTATAAAGAGTACAAGAGATAATAAATATAAAGTGCATGGCAGAGTGCCTGTACCAGTCAGCATCTATAGATGTCAATTAGCTTTTGCTAATAACTAATTTCCCTTTGTTACAAATTCAAAGAAGTTCTGAAGATCACAACCACGTTTTGAAGACTGCAAAGGAACACAGTGAAAGAGGACAAAATGGAATAAGGTTATTTTAATTGGAAGTTGAATCCTGAGTAGGAAGTAGAAAAAGATCTAAACAAATCCAGTTGTTACAAATAAAGAAGCAAGAAGCTTAAGACCTTTGATTAAGGTTAACTTTGAGAAGAGTCTATAGAGCAGGGCTGTTCAATCTTTTGGCTTCCATGGGCCACATACAAAATATACTAATACTAATGACAGCTGATGAGCTTAAAAATATTGCCAAAAAAACCTCAGGTTTTAAGAAAATTTATGAATTTGTGTTGGGCCACATTCAAAGCTGTCCTGGGCTGCATGTGGCCTTCAGGCAGTGGTTTGGACAAGCTTGCTATAGAGGCACTGGGAGTTCTGCACATAATACCAATGAAGGAAGGAGGAGAGTACATGAAAATAGGGGAGTGATACCAGTCACTGATTCAAATATACCAGCTATGGGAAGAGGAGATCTCCATAACAGATGTACCACGTGGATGGGAGTAGTGTCAGGAAGGGGAGTTGGTTCCAATCTCTGAAGAGAAAATCTCTATGGTTTGTTATCCTCTATGTGTTTATTGTATCCTGCAGGGAAGTAAGGTCTTTGAAATTCCAGCAGGAAGGTAATGGAGGTGACTTCCTTAGGAGAGAGTTAAGCTACTGGCATTTGGCCCTTTTGCCAAACTCAAATACATTTAAAGAGTAATAGGGCCCTTCCCATTTATTAGGAAAATTGTATCTTTAGGTCACATTATAGCACATTGCTGAGAAGATTGAGAGATCTGGGAGATATCACACACACACACACACACACACACACACACACACCATACAAAATAATTTCAAGACTTGATTTAAGAACATGGAAATGAAGATATCACACCTGATATAAGACACTGGAGAGCTAGAACATTTTTAGGAAAGGTGAGAAAGTTAACAACGTCTAAACACCCAAAAGAAAAACTACCTAAGAAATATGAAGTAAAAGAGAAGTGGTGTTTAGGTTTGGGAGATGGGATGGGAAGGCATCAAAATGCTTTTCTTTGCAATTTCACGCCATCACACCACTCCTCAGGAGACTAGAATCTTCCCTGGGCAAACATTTCATCCAAGCTTGTCTAGTTCTTAGAGGAAAGTGTGCTATGATAAAAAACAGGTGGTCAGGGTGGCCATGACAAAGCTAGGGGTGAGGTACAACCCCCTATCTTTTATTTAGACCCAGCAGGCAGATGAGATAAAGGCTTCTCCAACTTTGATGTGCATGTGAATCACATGAGGATCTTGTTAAAATGTAGATTCCGATTTATTCCATATGTGTGATGGGGATGGAGGGTGATCTCCGGAGGGACCTGAAATTCTACATTTCTAATAAGCAGCCAGGTGATGCAGGAGATGCTGGTCCATGGACCATACTTTGAGTAGCAAGGGTAGACCATATGATAGCAATGGTGACAATTGAGAAAATATGTGCAAATTTGGAGAGATCTAAGGAGACTTAGGAATGTGTGTACATGAGAGAGAGAGAGACATAGTTGGTGAACTCCTTTCAGGGCAGCTTTGGGATTTTAATGAGACAAAACAAATAGGAAGGGGGACAGGAAGAGTGGGAACATGGTAGCAATCAGAGAGTGAGACCAGTGCTCCAAGCTTTAGAGTCTCTATGCTCCCTCCTTACTGGACACCCTTCCAGCATTCTCTGTTCTTTCTCATTTCATGGATGTGTACAGCTCCTTCCATTTCCTTAAAATTTTCTTACCTTCACCATTCAGGAAAGACTTCTCTTACCAGCTAATATCTTCATCAAATGTTCATATAGCATATTTCTGGCATATTTCCTTTTTCTTTTATTAATCTTTTTTTTTTTTTTTTTTTTTTTTTGAGATGGAGTCTCGCTCTGTCGCCCAGGCTGGAGTGCAGTGGTGCAATCTCGGCTCATTGCAAGCTCCGCCTCCTGGGTTCAGGCCATTCTCCTGCCTCAGCCTCCTGAGTAGCTGGGACTACAGGCGACCCCCACCACGCCTGGCTAATTTTTTTTGTATTTTTAGTAGAGACTGGGTTTCACTGTGTTAGCCAGGATGGTCTCAATCTCCTGACCTCGTAATCCACCTGCCTTGGCCTCCCTTATTAATCTTTTTACACTTATAAATGTTATCATTTTTCAAGTGCAGGAGTTGGGTCTGTTTTATTCTTTCCAGTCTCTTTAGCACCTAACTCAACACAGAGCCTGGCTAGTCTAGTAGGTGATCGATGAACATTTTAAGTGAACAGATGAAATAGTGTGAATGATCGCATGCCTTGGGCCTTTCAAACCATATGTATTGCCAGTTGTTTTGAAAAATCCAGCCCCAGAGCCATCAGAAAAAAGTATTAACAGGATGAGTTGAGGGGAAAAGGAAAAGGAAGCAATAAGTTGATACAATTAGTCAAATGTAAGCAATTTAAAAAGGACAGAAACAGACATTCATCCAAAATATATAAGACAAAACCAACAGATAATATGAATAATATCATTTTCTTAAGCACCCGGTATATGATCATAATATATGTGATCTTATCTTACTGAATCCTCATAAAAATACTGTATTAGGTGGTTTAAAATGTGCATTTAAAATTCAAGAATGGGTATTAGGTGGTGGAAACCATGGCCTGTAGTGGGTAATAATTTGCCCAGGTCACTTAGCAAGGAAGTTGTGAAGACGAACCAGATTCAGAAGCTGAGTATAGATGCCTTGGAAACTTGGTCTTGTGATCTGCCATCAATGTGGCACCCAATGTCCAAAGCTGGCCTTCCCCAGCAGCCTGGGAGCCCCATGAGGTGGGGTTCCTGCTCCATTCTTGGCTGTGTCCCCAACACTCAGCATATTTTTTCACATAATATGACCTCAAAAGTAATTGTTGAATAAACTATTGGTCAGGCCAACTGGCAATTAGTTCCCCTTTCTATTTATTGCATTATGTAGCCTGTAGAATATTAACAAGAAGTTTTGCCAAAAGACTTGTGTCTCCTTGCTGGGCCTTGATATATGTTTCTGAAAGCTCCTGTTTGAGGTTAGAACAATGTTTCTCAACCTTTTTTCATTATCCCTTCTACCACCCAAAGAGTGTTTTGAAATTTATTTTTCTTAAAAGCCTCTCCCATGAAATTTTAATGCCACAGTTATACTGTAAATCTCTTATGTATTGTATATATTTCTGTGTCTAATACATATAAGATTTTTTTTGCCTCCTTCCAAGAACCAATTTCACCCCCTTGGGAGTGATGTTGCCCTGTTAAGAATGCATGGGTTAGAGGGATGCACATCATAAGTAAAACTGTGAAAGCAGTTAAAATGTTCTGTGTTCACTTAATAGAGATCCAGTGATGCAGGAGAGATTGCCAATTTTCTCCCAATATACATTCTCTTCTTCTTAAGTAACCAGTTGCAGAGAGTTATCTAAGCACATCACCATCAAAAAAAGGGGCTATATTTCCTAGCCTCCCTGGACATCTTTCTTTCAGCTGGCTGGTCACAATGACACTGAGCTGAATAATTACATCTCTTAGCCTCCCTGATAGACTCCCTTTGGCCAACTGACCAAATTATAGCCAATGAGTTATAAGCAGTGAAAGAGCAATAAATGTCTGTATTAAGCTACTATATTTTGAAAGTCTGTTACACACAGCTGAACCTAATACCAACTGATACAAATCTTATTTTCATTAGATCTTAAATTAATTTCTAATTGTATGCAATAAATACACATTAATTTAACCTAAATTATTAATTATATAATAATACAATGATTAATTGTATTAATTGTATGTAATTATTTTACATTTATCAGACCTCACACTCTATAGATTCTTTAGGATTTCTTCCTATGCTCTACTTTTCTATCAACCACCATAATTGTAATGAGTTGCATTAAATGCTTGTATAGATGTGGAGACCAAAAAGTAATGACACGTTGTATGTATAATACTTCCTACAAAACATGGTGACTATAACAAAAGTCCACTAATTTTGAACTTGGCATAAGTTATGACTTGAGTTCATAAGTTTAAAATTAAGTCTGTGTGTAATTGAATTTTGAGTAAGGGGGCTTCTCAATTAGGGAATGATGATTGAATACTGGAATAATCAGGAGAGAGTTGGAAGAAAGAAATCAGAGAAAAAAATGATAAAATTCAATAAAATCAGAAATGATGCAAATTATTCTTTAGACTCATTTAGAGAAGAACGAAGAAGAGACAAAGCAAGGAAATATTTGAGAATTCACTCTGGGTTGCTATTGATTAGCAGGGAAAATAAAGGCCTAAAGGTTAAAGTAACTGTCAGAAGAAAAGTCCAAGAACGTAAGCCCTTAAGGAGAGTATGGATCCTAGCCATAGTCGGGCTGTTGCTGATTGGGGTTAGGCATTTTCCCACTGCCACAGGAAAGCCTCTGGAAGACTTGTCATCTGCAAGCTTGGTACAAAAGCCATCAATTATTTAGCTTAAGAATGAAGGGTAAGAGGTGACATCTGGAATTGACTTTAAGTGTATTTGTGCATGTGTGTGTGTGTGTGTGTGTGTGTGTGTGTGTGTGTGTGTGCTGGGAATTTGATTGCAAAGCTTTTTAAAGTGGTAACCAGTGGAATGATTCACAATGAAATACAAAATTGGGCAATAAAATTGTAGACCCCTTAGAGATTTGAAAATACATTACAAAACACAGAAAGACAAAGGCAGAGTTCGGTTGTTTTGTGAAGCTGGATCAAGAGAAAACATTTGACAGGATGGAGAGTTTTGCTTAATATAAAATTATATAAACACACAGATTCTCCTCCCAAGTCATGAGTCATGCAAAAAAAAATTTAATACATGTTATATGGAATGTCTGCATGGCAGACATGGTTTGTGTCTAACCAATAGCCATTTTTCTCTACTTTCTTGTTACCAAATCCACATTTTGGTCAGAGAGGCAAAGTGCCCTTACCCCAAAGATTGAATCAGCCTTGGTCTAAGTCAGTCATGGAGTCTCCTTTCTTTTGTACCAGATTTTCACTTTCCCAGCCACCCTTGCAGTTGGGTGGTCATGTGACTCAGTTCTGACCAATGACCTATCATTAGAAGTCTGCTAGGCAGTACCTGGGGAAGATTTTCCTGCTTTGATAAAAGTGCAATTATCTGCAAGGAAAAAATTTGTTTCCCTTGCCCATTTTGCCTTATTTGAGATGCTGACTAGATCTGTATAGCTCAATTTGTGACCTTGACATGACACATAAGATAAAAAGCTTATAGATGGAGGTAGATGAAGCATAATTATGGAAAAAGCCTCAGTTTTTTTTTTTGGTTGTTTTTTAGACTGAATTTTTGAAGATATTATTCAGTTGCTAAATTGCCCTCATGGTGATCATGGACAAGATGTTATAGGCTTGATGATGCATGAGGAATAGTACACAGAAATAACTAGTGAGTTAAGAATCTCTTTATATGATAGTAGAACAGGCCATTTTGTGCTGGCATTGCCCTCTCTGTCAGCTAAGTGGTATCAAAGGCAGTGAGCATGCAGTTCTGAACTTCCCTGACTTAGTGAATTCCTTGTGTTGCCACTAGCATTTGACATCAAATTTGGGCACATTCTTGAGAAATAGGGAGGGCATCAGAGAATCGCTAAATTGTATTGCTAAGGTATAATACATTATTTTTTGCCAGTTGGTAGTAAGTGAAGCGGGTAGTAAAATAAAAGTACTTTAATTCTGAATTGTTCTCATCAATGTTTGAACCTATATTGTCTTTGGAATCTTGCCTAATTCAAACATCCTCATGGTTTAAGCCTCTGACAGCTGGGTTGTCTGTTACTTGTAGCCAAAAGCATTCCTACTGAATGCCAACACAAATCCCACAAATATTGGGTGAATTGTAAAGGAGAAAAGGGGCCATTGGAGGGGGATGGTCAGTGTCTGGGCAGTATCATCTTTTATGCTGATGACATTCAAATGAAACATTACACAAATGAACAAGAGTTCTGAATGATGTATAGATAGAGGAGAAGATACTGTATAGACTCTGAACCCAGTGCCAGCCAAGTCCAGACAGTAGAACTGGTAGAAGTTCAATATAGCAGCACAAGAGAGTTGGAAGACCTGAGTTTAAAAATTATCTCCAGTACCTACTAGCTGAGTAGATATATCACCTCACTTAGCTCAAGGCTACTTGTTTGTAAAAGTAAAGAATAACAACTTCACAGGATCATTGTGAGATAATTTGAGATGGCTTATAATAAGTTTATGTTGCCCAGTATGCACTAGATTCTGAGTGATAAAATGTGAATAATAAGTTGTTTTCAGATTGTGATGAGTACAGAAAACTCTTGTAGCTTTTAAAAAAGTCACTGAAACATCTTTGGAGCTATGTTTTATAGGAAAGAATTGGACTAGATATTTTCTTTTTGTTCTAGATTTACATGTCTATTTCTACATATATAGGAATAAATTAAGTAGGGAAGGGAATTAGAAAAATATGAAGAGAGTGAAAGCCTATGGAAGACTGGTCCTTTAAATAGGAAGAAGGTTGTAGGCAAATCCCATCTTTGTGTCCTCCTTTGAGCCCCACAGAGCAAGGCTGTGCTCCCATCTCCCAATTTTTTTCAAAGAAGAAGAATCACAGAGGAGATTCCTAAGGTAACTAGAAGGAAGGTGTATTAGTCTATTCTTGCACTGCTATAACAACATACCCAAGACTGGGTAATTTATAAAGAGTACAATTTAATCGACCCACAGTTCCATAGGCTGTACAGTACGCATGGCTAGAGAGGCCTCAGGAAACTTACAATCATGGCGAAAGATGAAGAGAAAGGAGGCACATCCTGCATAGCTGGAGCAGGAGGAAGATTGGGAGCAAAGGAGAGGAAGTGCTACAAACTTTCAAAAGACCACATCTCGTGAGAACTCTATCACAAAACAGCACTAGGGGGATGGCGCTAAGCCATTAGAACCCACCCCCATGATTTAGTCACCTCCCACCAGGCCCCTCCTCCAACACTGGGGATTACAATTCGAAATGAGATTTAGGTGGGGACACAGAGCCAAACCATATCATTCCACCCCAGCCCCTCCAAAATCTCATGTCCTTCTCACATTTCAAAATACAATCATGCCTTCCCAACAGTCCCCCAAAGTCTTAAGTCATTCCAGCATTAACTCAAAAGTCTAAGCCTCACCTGAGACAAGGCAAGTCCCTTCCACAGATAGCCTATAAAATAAAAAACAAGTTTATTATGTCTAAAAGATACAATGGGGGTGTAGGCATTAGGTAAATACAGCAGAGGCACACCGCTGCCAGTCTCTTTGCAAAAGCATAGCAAGAATGATCTTTACTCTAGTTCCCAATAAGTTCCTTGTCTCCATTGATACCTTCTCAGCCTGGACTTCACTGTCCATATCACTATCAATATTTTGGTCACAGCCATTCAACAAGTCTCTAGGAAGTTCTAAACTTTCCCTCATCTTCCTGTCCTGTCTTCTTCTGAGCTCTCCAGACTCTTCCAACCTCTGCCCTTTACCCAGTTCCAAAGTCACTTCCACATTTTCATGTATCTTTAGAGCAATGCTCCACTCTCAGTACCAATTTTCTGTATTAGTTTATTCTTGCACTGCTATAAAAAACTATTTGTTACTGGGTAATTTATAAAAAAAAGAGGCTTAATTATGCTCACACTTCTGCAGGCTGTACAGGCTTCTGCTTCTGGGGAGGCCTCAGGAAACCTACAATCATGGCAGACAGCAAAGCAGAAGCAGACATATATTCACATACCTGGCAGGAGAGAGAGAGAGTGAAGGGGGAGGTGCTATATACTTTCAAACAACCAGATCTCGTGAGAACTCTATCACAAAACAGCACTGGGGGATGGTGCTAAACCATTAGAAACCACCCCCACAATTCAATCACTGTCCACCAAGCCTCTCCTCCAACACTGGCGATTACAATTCGACATGAGATTTGGGTGGGGACACAGAGCCAAACTATATTCCAAGTGTTGGGGCCGTGGCTCATACTCTAAGTCTCCTTCACATCTAGTTGATGCATTAATTTATATACACAGCTGTCTCACCACCAGGCAAAGAGGAATTGAGATGCAATTTTAAATCTCTTCTGGGCCATGATGCTATCAATTGTTGTGACTCTGTATGTGGCTATTTTGATACCTGTAATTTAGATACCACCAGGTATAGTGGGAACTAGTAGAAACTTTAGGGAAATGAGGTGAGCAAGGTAAATTGGGGCATAAAATCACATCTAGGCAAATTTTGGATGAGGATGTGATTAGAAGTGTAAGTGAGGAATGTAAAGAACAGAGCAATATTATAGCCTCAGAGTGGGGGGCTATGGGAGACAATGAGAAGTGGGGTTAGGGGGGATTTTATGAATCTTTATGGATGAGTGGCTAGTATAAATAATGTGCATGGATAATTTCACTCCAAATTATGAAAACATACATTTTCTTCTCTTTTAAGAATAAAATGTCTATTAAAATAAACTTTGTATAAAAGTATTACAGATCAAAAGCTGTATTTATACGTATTGATTTGAGGTCCAATTATGCATCAAACCCTGAATGGGCCCAGCAAGTAAACTGGACACACAAACACTTAGATTCCACCTCTACTAAACAATTTGATTAACGCAAAACCGGAGGGGCGTAGCAACACAGGAAATCTGCCCAGAAACTAATTTGGCAGAGATGTGAAGTTAAACTGTTGAAAGTTACAAATTTCCAAAAAGGCATTTCTTTCTCATGATAAAAGTGCTTAAAACCTAAACATGAACCCTGTGCCTAGCTTATTTCTTCAACAAATGCAAAGAGCTATAGACTATTAATATCAAGTTTCCACACAAAATGGCCCAAGAATTTATTTGAAATACCTTACTTATGAACTGAAATAAACTTGGCAAACTACAATTATGTTAAAGTATTATACCAAAAATTCAAATCAGCCTACTCCTGAAGTTTCACCATTGCAATTTCCAGAGATGTCTTTTCTATCCTAATGTTACATATAACATTGCCCGTAAACCTTTGGATCATGATTGTGTAAGCTGGATGCACCATTTAACCTTAGGGCAGAAGAAATTAGCAGCAACTAAATCTCAACTGTGACAACTTGTATAACAAGCACAATACCTGGAATATTCTCATGAGAGGCATCTTAAGTAATATACTACACTCTGCGGCAATTACCTAATTTTTACACATGATCTTAAGACTTTTGTGCCTTGATTCTATTAAAAATGTCAACTAGCATGAACACTAAATCATACCCATTGTTTTTGAGTAAACAAGTTCTCTGAAATTTAATAGATCTAGTTAATATTGCTACAGTATGTCTAAAAGCTTAGGTTTTATGAGTGGATTCCAGGGCTATTTCAACACCAATAGAATCAAATACGCTTTCATAAAATTGTCATTTAAAAATAATTCAGGAACTAAGCAGTGGGAGAGCACCACTAGGGGCATGGTTATGATGTGGGGGTTGGTGGGAAACAGAGAAGAAACTGCAGAGAGCAAAGTATAACTAGCAATATGCTTTCTATGATATTCCAGAAACATGTGTGTCTAGTGAGATTAACTTGATTGGAGTTTCTTATACAATAGACTGATCACTGAGATTCTTAACTCAGGTTTCAATCAATGACAAAATCGAAAATGTTAACAAGAGATTTTAGAAATGGATGGCAGGCTGTGAATTTTGCAGATATTATGCTTGCATTTCAAATTCCTCTTTCAGACTTTTCAAGTAAGCGTGCACATTCCCAGGGCCAGGATATTTGGCGAAATACACCAGGATATCAGTTGCACACCGTCAGTCTTGCTGCCGGCAGAAACTGCAGTTGTAGATTTCTCAACAAGGTGGGCAATGCCACTAGAGCATGCCTGACCTCTTCAGCATAAGAGTTTGGAAGGCAGGAGCCGCAGACTTAGCCTTGAATGCCCTAGCAGTCTGGGTTTCTGCAGTTTGTTTTGGTAGCAATAGTTTTCTGACACCATTGATAACAAGTAGAGCCCAGGGAATCGTTATATATCTTCTTTGGAGAGTTGCTGCAGTTGGCCTCCAACCCTTCCTCTGTGATTTCTTCCCCTGGGTGGATTATATGCAGAAGGGTCATGGATGAGCTGGAGCGGCGAATTCTGGGCGTGTCATCTTCCTTCATGCAGCCATCCACTGTCTTGCTCCTTCTCACCAACGTGTCCTTATCCTCTTCTTCTTCCTCTTCTTACTCCTCCTCCATGAGTAGAGCGCCAAGGGACCAGGGGACTTGGTGAGAAGAGGAGCACTCTGTTCAGGGTTTCTCCTGGAAGCAACATCCGGGAATGTACGCCTTGGGGATGTCCTTGATTGTGAGTTGGAGCCTGGGAGGGAACGTCTTCTAAGGAACAAGCCAGGGAAGCTTTCTCACTCTGACATGCGTTTTCCAGGCATTGCTTTGTTTTGCTTTATACTGAAAGCCTTTTTCTCCAAAAAAATTCATGCCACCTTTATCTTCTGAATCGGAACTGGAATTGGTTCCAGAATTCTCTGAGGGTTCGGGGAGGGGGCTCTGCTTTTTTGTTGGCTGCTCCCTTGGTATTTCGCGCTGGAAGCTTCATCACCACCCTGAGAGGTTGAGTGTCTGCACTGGGTGCGGGTCCTACAGCCTTCTCAGACTCACTGGGAAGCCTTATGTTTGCAAAATTATCGGCAGCGACGCCATCACAACTGTCATCAGAGCGTGACTAGGTTTCCATGGAAATCAATTTCACATATATGAATTTCTCTAAGTTCTTTAATCAGATCCTTTTGCAGCACGCCGCGAGTGTTCATACTGGCGGCAGGCGCCTAGGCCGGCTTGGAGCAGGGAGCCATTTTCTTTTTCTTTTTCTTTTTTTTGGGGGCGCGGGGGACGGAGTCTCGCTCTGTCGCCCAGGCTGGAGTGCAGTGGCCGATCTCGGCTCACTGCAAGCTCCGCTTTCCCGGGTTCACACCATTCTCCTGCCTCAGCCTCCCTAGTAGCTGGGACTACAGGCGCCCGCCACCACACCCAGCTAATTTTTGTATTTTTTAGTAGAGACGAGGTTTCACCATGTTAGCCAGGATGGTCTCGATCTCCTGACCTTGTGATCCGCCTGCCTCGGCCTCCCAAAGTGCTGGGATTACAGGTATGAGCCACCGCGCCCGGTCCAGGGTGCCATTGTCTTATGCTTGACATTTATTTCTCCAAAATAACTGATGAACCCAGTTGTCTTCTCAGCATTGTGGGTTCACCTTTAACTCTTTATTCTACTTCAGCCCCAGACTTGCTCAGTTAGCAAGTCCACACCCCTCTTTGGATGCACTGGCTGGAATTCCTTACCTAGATTCAACCACCACCCTCTGCCCTCTGATTTAGGCCAGAAGTCATCGAACTAATCTCTGTGAGCCAGATCCCCACACCCTTAATATCTGGTTTCATAAGACTGTTAATAAGTGCAAGTGTTGCTCTGAATATACCACAAATATTAATTTACTTAATCCTCCAAATATTTAATAGCTTGGTGAGGTGAGAACTATTATTATTCCCATTTTGAAGGTGAGGACACAGGTTAAGTGACTCACCCAGGGTCACGGACCGAGAAAATGGTGGAGCCAGGATTCAGAGAGAGCCTACTTGGCTCCAAAGCTCGTACCCTTAACCACCATGCTACGATGGAACTCCTTTTCTGAAATACTGTTTTCATGATGTTTCTTTCCTGCTTCAAAACCTGTAATGGCTTGTTTACTTTTAGGAGGAATTGCAGGCTCTGGGGTCTGATAGAAAGCTGTCCATTAAGTGATCCCACTTATCCAGCTTTGCCTTTCATGCTCCTCACCGGGGCCCCTCTCCTATCACCCAACTTGCCTCCTCCCAGAGATCTTCCTCAGTGCTGGAAGCTGTGCCTTCTATCACCATTCCCTATTTCTCTTTGCCGGGCTCAGCCGGGGCCACCTTACAGTAATTTTTTTTTCTCTGAATTCCTGTAAAATTTGAAGTCTATGTTCGCTAATGTAATAATGGATTAAAATGTGCTTTGGGTTTTTTTTTTTGAGCTGTTTCAAGGACTATGTCTTATATCGTTAACTGGCTCTAAAAGTTCTTTAAGGCAAGAGCCAGATATTCTAAATAAATCTAAATTTTTCTTATCTCTAACATGATAAAGAATTCCTAAACTCTTGTCTCGTTCTATAGTTTTGTCATGTTTCTGGCTGTGTTAGAACATGCAGCAAAGCTCTGGGAAGAAATACGTCCTTAATAAATATCAGTAGGTTTGACTCGTCCTGAAATCCTGTGAAATAAACCAAAGAAGAGAATTTCTGCCATTTGATTAGGGATTTTGGAAGCGTAGAGTCATTGTAGGTTTTAAGCTCCTATTTCCCATCATGGAGAAATGAAAGATGAAAATCACTGTGTTGAATGAACTTATCAGTCACTCAGCATCCCTATGTAGTTTCAACAGCTTTGTCAACAGCTCAGGGGAGCAGGACTGGTTATTCTTTGAGCAGGGAAGTCCTTTATTACATCAGGAAGGTGCGTCAGACTTAAGGCAGCCCAATCTCAGGAGGTGAACTGGAAAAATGGATAGGATTCAGTAGGTAGGCGGGCCATGAGGTGAGCCTATTTGATTGGCTGCCTCCAGAATTAGACTATAGGGTGAGTAGGAGAGTGGCCAATGGGAAACAAATAAGGAATGCAAGAGAGATGCCATTTTGAGGTAGACCCAGAGGTAGAGGTAAAGAGAGAGAGAAAGAAAGATTGAGAACAGGGAGGATAGCCATGCTGAGAGCTACATTCACTGTAGCTTTTTATTCCAGTTCTGGTCCTTGTATTTTCTTTGGATATACATCCTTCTTATCATTAAATTCATGTAATTAGCCATATGATATTTGGATTACACAAATCTGCCAGCACAAATAGCACTTTGCCTTAAAAACAAAATAAAATTATCTTTTCCTTAGAGATATCTCTTCAGCATCTTGTATCTTCAATTAATTGTAGTTCAAGAGAAAAAATTTTATTAGATGTTTTCTTTTTCTTTTAAACTCAAGTGTTTTAGGATAAGACTTCAAAGGATCTTACAGGGGGAAAAGTACCACAACTCATACATTATAAAGAAAAAAGGATTTTGTTTTTAAAACAATATCTTATGTAATTGGGAGCCAAGTGAACTTAATTACCATGTGAATAATTCAGAGAGGCAAATTAACCACAATAAAAATAATTTCAGTCCATGATGGACCTTTATATTCATGCAACTCAAATGACATGACCCTGGAAGAGTGAACTTAAGGTTCTGAAATCTGATTGTTGCATCAGGAAATATTTGTTGACCACCTTCTGTGTGTCCCTACCCTAAATTACCCTAAAGGATTTTGGAAATGTAGTGTTCTTATTGCCTTGGTTCTGTCCACCCATTTCCACTGGGGCAGGCCTACAAGCCTTCCTTTCAACCTGTACTTTTCCTCAATCCCACTCATCTTCCCTGCAACCCTTCTAGTCTCCACACCGGAGGACAGAAGAAAGAAGCATCAAGATGGCAGGAATGTAACTTGTCACTTTCAGGCAGGGTTGAAGCTGCATGGCAGCACTCCAATGAATTGAATTCAGTAGTATCTGTGGTGGGGGTGTCCTTGTAATAGGCCTCATGCCAGACTCTTCAAGGAATTCAAAGAAACTAGAACACTACCGTGTTTTCAAATAATAATATCTTATCAAATGGTCTTCCCTTCATTGGACAACAGGTCTGCTTACAAATCATTGGAATTCAAAACACAGGACATGTGCTTTATTAATGGCCCAAAGATCAGCAAGAGGAAGATGAGGAGCAGACATGGAAAAGGATCCCTGAAGGTAAAGAATTTCAGGTTGATCTCTGAATCAAAAGGACAGACTCTTCATAGTTCAGGGTGAAGTCAGGTAGGAGGATGTACACAAAGTAAAACAGGGAAAGTGTCTGGAGGTAGAGAAGTACAGGCACAAATAAGCAAGTGTGTGTTTTGTAAAATTTGAAGATCTTCGGATGAGCAGACACAGCACACTGACACATGATGAGAGGCAGAATTCTTTGTTACTTACAGCTCCAAATTAGAGGAGGCTGCCGCACAGGCCCATGCGCAGGACTGTACTAGGGAACAGGCTAACAGCAAGCAGGAGCTACAAAAGGCAGCTTATGTACGGCAAACAGGGTAGGGGTAGTTAGGTTTTTGGGACTTACTAGGGATTGGCTAATTTGAATAATTAATTACACAGCTCTAGAGCATAGAGGCTGTTCCTAGTTGTTTAGTATCTGGTACAGGAGTGTGAAAGCTCCCTAAACAGGGGCCTCTGTGAGATTATTCTTAATGGCACCAGAGAGTAGGAACCTGATAAGAGAAGCGTTTTTTTTTTTTTTTTTTTTTTTTTTTTTTGTCCTCAGAGGGGAATTGAGAGTTTTTAGCCATGACTTCAAAACTGGGTCAAGACAGCCCTTGTGAAAGATTACATTTTGGAGAATGTAAGTGCACTGCACTTAGCTTGGGGGTGGATATGTGGGAAAGCATGAGTTAGGGCATTAGTTTATAAAATTAGATTGAGACCAGATCTTGGGGAGCCCTGGATCTCTTGTTAATAAACGCTGCACCCACAGTGGTAGAGAAATGCGATCTTTTGAGGAAATAAAGATATCATGGGAGAATATACATAAGGAGATGTGCTATATTTACCAATATTTTCTCATGACATTTACCTTAATAATGGGTATATTAGGGATACAAATATTATGTGGGATTCTCTAACCCCAGAGGATTTATTTGATCAATGAAGACAGAAAATGTTAAAGCAAAAGTGTAACAAATTGAAGATTTTATGACTACTATATACTTGTGTTGAGATATAGTTATAAGGAGAGAATTCTCATCTGAGAGTCTCACAACTAATTTCTGAATATGAAAATCATATATACCAAATGGAAAAACTGTTCACTTAATTTTGGTGGTCCTATTTGAAAATTAGCATGTTAAAGTCCATTGAGCATCCATATTTCTAGATAAAGTTGTGAAATAATAATTCTCATAAAGGCAAAGGGAAGTTCTGGAAAATATGGAAGGTATTGATTAATGCTAATATTTATTCTAAGGAGATGAAATGCAAATTTTAGTGCAACTAAAGCATATGTCATAGGTGTAATGATGTACCATCAAATATCTCCATTCTGGACCACATATGTTCATTCCCTCAACTACTGCAGATGACTCATAAGTGAGCCTCTCTCAAGGACTTGTCCTTGGCCTAAGGGAGCTGCCTCAACCAATGTTAGATCCCTGTCCAGAGGCAACTTCCATCCAATGACTGGTTGATGTAGAACTACAAAGGCCTGTCCCCTCTGCCTCATTTGGGGGAATAATGACCAATATTATGGATCAAGTTGACTGGGCCACAGGGTGATGAGATATTGGATTAGGCATTTTTTTCTGGGTGTGTCGGGGAGGGTGTTTCAGGGTGAGATTAGCATTTAAATGTGTGGACCCAGTCTTCTCCTGCCCTCAGATGAGAACTTACACCATTGGCTCTCCAGGTTTTCAAGCCTTCAGACTAGGACTGTGAAACTGCCTTTGAAAAATTACAACAGTGAGAAAATTGCGAAATCTGATCTAACCAACCTCAATCTTGCTTTTTACCTCCAAACTGCCCTTAATCATTCTTGTGCTTAGGCCAAGCTAACTTTGGGAGACATTTAGTTTACAGTTTAAATGGTAACAGCCCTTCCCTAAAACTAAACTGCCTTTGTAAAGCTAATGAAAGACCACCAAGTTAGGAGGATGTGAGAAGCCTGAATTCTGCTAAGGTGTAGACATAAATAAATGGTGATTAACCATTATTCCAGAAGTTGCATGATACACAACTTCCCCAAGTACTCCTGCAGATAACATCACTATTGTAGAATCTAAAATTGGCCTTTTGAGATGTCTCTTCCGGTTTTTGCATTTTTGACAATGATGGCTCCACTCAGACCAGCCAACAAGTCTTGTGGCCCCATCTAGAAGAGGACCAATTTCCACTCCCTCATTCCCTTGCCCACCAAACTATCCTTGAAAAACCCTAGACTCTGAATTTTGGGGAAGATTGGTTTGAGTAATAACTCAATGTCTACCACGTGGCAAGGCTGGCCCCATGTCAATTAATCTCTTTCTTTATTATAGTCCTATGATCTCAGTGAATTGGTTTCCTCTGTGCAGTGGGCAGGAAGAACCTATCAGCAATTACAACTGGATATTATAGCATTGGCTCTTTTGAATTTTCAGCTTGCAGGTGGTAGATTGCAGGACTTCTCAGCCTCCACAGTCACATGAGACAATTCCTATAATAAAACACACACGTGCACGCACACTCTCTGTGTGCCTGCACGTGTGTGTGTGTATTTTTTTCCTAGTTCTAGTGCTCCTGGTGAAATGGGCTAACACTTCTGTTGATTTCATCCTACCCGCTGCCTCTTTCTGCTTTTTTTCCTGTGCTCAATCCTGCCTCCTTCATTCTTCTTGGGTCAAAAGTCCTTAAAGCACTCCCCAGTAAACTCTGCACCCTAATCTCTATATTACAGTCTATTTCACAAGGAATTCAACCTGTAACACTATGTATCAATAGAATGATTAAATAACTTCAGAAAGAATGAATGCCTTCTATAGGACTAAATCTCCTTTTATTCCAAATTGAAAGATGAGTCATGAAAAAAAGAACATGTATAAGTTTTTCAAAATTTTATCTATCCTTTAAAATAAAAAAGTTCCAATGATATTTGAATTACTGCAGACCATAGAAAAGGAACAAAATCTTCCTGACTCTATAATGTTAGCATAGCTTTAATACAAAGAAAAGACAAAAATAGTTTTCTATATAAATATAGTTACAAAAATTCTGTATAGTATATAGCTACTGATTCCAGCTGTATAGTAAAAGAACAGTGTAGCACGACCTAGTAGAGTTTATTCTAAGACCATAAGGATGGTTCAATATTAGGAATCTATCAATGTAATATATCAACACATTAAATTTAAAAAGCTGATGATTATATCAACAGATGCCTAAAAGGTATCATAAAATTCAAAAGTTATTTCTAATAAAAATTCCAAGTAATTCAGAAATAAACTATTTAGAAATGATAGATTTTTTTTTTTTTTGGCCAAAATTCAACAGTAAACATGATAAAAAAAAAAACAACAACTATGAAATGCTGGAGCTATTTCCATTAAAATGAGAACTGATTTGTCATTAAACATAATGTGTAGTGAAGTTGATCACACCTTTCAACCCCCACTGGTCTAGGACATTCCCCCGGTGTGGCAATTGCAAGAATGTATTTAAACATCATTGTCCCATTTGATTGTGACTTCCTAGAGGCAGGTATATGCCTTACAAATTTTTATATCCTTAGTTTCTGACACAATTTCTGGCACAACAATTTCTTAAAGACATGAACAATTTAATATATAGAGAGTACAAAAGAAAGTACAGTAGAATTTTGTACTTTATAAGAGGCCATTTTTCCTTTCTTACGAGAGGATTGTGTCACTTTGATTTACGTATGGGATGCTGAGCATAATTTGCAAAAACTGTTTCCAAAAAGTGCAACAAAGAATTATATCTGAATTGAGGTTCAAAGACTGATGAGCCCAAATATTTTCATTTTTAAAATTATGTTGTGTCTTCTTCAGATTTTAAAATCTCAGTTTCATCATGATCATTTTTAAACTCTTTTTATGATTTTTCTAGGTTTATCCATTATATCTAGACGTTGAGCTGTGAACTGCTTAGAAATAAAGTAGTGTAAGTTTATAAAGTAGCTTAAGATTATATACCTTAGAAACCACAAGATTAAAAACCAACAAACAGGCTGGGCATGGTGGCTCATGCCTGTTCTTTTCCTGCTGATGCTGTGTGTTTCTCAAGGATGTCCTTTGGAGGCAACAAGGAAACAAAAAGCCATGTTCTTATATACAACCAATCTAATTAAGGGGTGACTTAAAGAAGTAAACATTTTCTTTCATTTCTCCCTCTCTTATCTACTTACCTACCTACCTACCTATGTATCACATCTATTATCACATCTATTGTATGTGTGTATGTATGTATCTATTATCATTTACCTATCTGCCTACCTGCCTACTACTTACCTATCATATCTATTGCATCTATCTATCTATCTATCTATCTATCATCCACCTACCTACTTACTACCTATTATATCTTTTGCCTATCTATCTATTTTTGATCTGGCTAACCTTTAACCTCACCCTATTGCTTTTGAATAACAGCACCCTGTTTTTCCTTGAGGAATCCACCTGCTTCCCCTGCCAGCCCATGTGGTTGAGTGAGGCTGAATGTCCACTTCAACTTCAGGAGAGGGCATGGGATCCAGGTCTGGTTAGTGAGAGGAATTCCTGGAATTTCGACTGGAGTGACCAGGAAGAGGCACTCTCATCTAGGCTTGCTAAATTGGAAGAGTTTAAGCTTGGGGCTGCTGGTGGCCATCTTGTCATCACAAATGGAGAAATTATGTGAACGTGAACCTAAACATAGAGGAAAAGGAATTGAGTGATAAAAGGAGATTTGTGACGAGACCACCTGAGGACTTAAATTCAACCGGGCTCGAAACTAGGCCGACAGGCATGAACCAATAAATTCTCTTTAAATAAAAATCAGTTTGAGAGGGGGCTTCTTTCACCTGCAACTAACACCATCTAACAGGGACACCTAATGCAGTCCAGGGGAGTGAGAGAAGGCTCCTGAGAAAGTGATATCTAAATTATCTCCCAAAGGAAGTGAGGCGAAGGAGTTGGAGGGTGCTTCTGGTGGAGAGTGCTTTCTGGGGTTGAAAGAGAGCACAACTTGAAGAACTGAAAGCTGTTCTGTCTGGTTGGTACACATAGTGCAAGAAGAAAAGGAGGAAAAAGCATGCCAAGGGGGCAGGAGAGAGACCTGCAGGAGTTAGAATATAGAGGCTTTTGAAATTGACCGAGTGGTGGAAAGGAAGGAGGAGTCAAGGAAGACACTGAGATTTCTGGCTTGGGCACCTTTGGGCAAGGGCCGAAGGTGGTGCTGAGCAGAAATCACAAGAGGAGGAAATTTTCAAAAGAAGATGAATTCAGCATTGGAGAATTTGTGTTTGAGACATTTGGCATATTTGAGGGAAAATATGGAATAGGCTGTGGATATTCTGGTCTTAGGTCAGGAAAATGAGAGTCGTGCTAGAGATATAAATTTGAAAGATGTGGTATAAATAAAGCTATGATTGTAGATAAGATATTTTGGAGTCAATGTGCTAGGTAAGAAAAAAAGGCTTGATTATAACCCTGAGAAACGCCAATAATTAAGAGATGGATGGAGGAGAAATATTTATGAAGGGCATGAGGAGAACAGAAATCACCTTAAAAGGACCCCAAAAAGAATTAACCAGAAGGACAGAAGAGGCCAGGCATAGTGGCTTATGTTTGTAATCCCAGCACTTTGGGAGTCTGAGACAGGAGGATTGATTGAGGCCAGGAGCTTGAGGCTGTAGCGAGCCATGATCATGCCACTGCACTCTAGCCTGAGGGACAGAGGGAGACCCTATCTCTAAAAAAAAAAGAAAGAAAGAAAGAAAGAAAACGAAGGGCAGAAGAAAAATTGGGGGAGTATGACATCTCAGACGCCAAAACTAAGTATGTGAAGAAGAGGGTGTCGGAGAGGGTGTCGGAGAGTCTGAATTACTACTTAGGGTCCAAGAACTGTTGTCAGTTACTGTTGCTGCTTGTCTTCAACAGGTAATACCAGCAGCCAGCACACTTATTATGAAGAGATATGAGCTTGTTGAAAAAAATCTTGATAAACACTTGATAATAAAACTATCCATGTCAGGGTTTCAAAGGAAGAAAAAGTTGATCTTCAAGGCAGGAGAATTTGGAGGCCTTGGGGGTAATTCTGGAAGGGAAGGGTGAGGAAGGGAGATGGAAGGAAATGAAAACCAGGGAGAGAGCAGAGACCCCCAGATCTCTGTGACGTGTGCCACTTTTATGGAACCTCACAAAGTAACTCTGGAAAACATAATTAACGTGTGCTTGATTCAAGTGGTGGTTATTATTTTTTCATTATGAATGAGGGTCTGACTTGCATGCTGGAGAAGGTGTGGTGAGGGACAGACAGCAGGTGAGAAAACGAAACTGGGGCTACAGAGGAGGCCTGGAGATCAGGGTGGGCAGAGTCAGGCAGGGGTGGGGCTGGGCTGTTTAGGTTTAAGTCTAGATCCCCCACCCATCAGCCATGAAGCCACCCCAAGCCACAGTCACTTTATCTGCAAAAATAAGGACATAAGGTTTCTACTTCATAGGACTGTTGTCTATATGTTCCCAGCATGCAGTAGCTCTTAACAGATATTTCACCAACTTTTACAAAGCCATTTGGAAGGGCTTTGGGCTTTTACAGGCCATTGAATTGGGAGAAGGGGTGTGTGGACTGTGACAATTTCCCTTATGGCTTGAGGGCAGGGGAGGTTCCTAAATGATGCCTGCATTATAGAAAAGAAGGATTGACGAAACAAGTGTCTGCCGATTGTCACTGGACTTTCTATCCCAGACCATTTGGACTTCACAGAGCAGCTGCCATGAGTGTCTGGCCACATGGAGCTGCTTTCTGGGGAACAATAAGGTTCAGACCAGTATTTAGGGGACTGAGAAAGCACAGGCTTCATGAGTGTGATGAAATCTCACCAAAAGTGTCCAGAAATCGGCTAAGATAGGGCTCAAAACAGGAGATTCCTCTCCTTTTACTGTGTCTTGTATTAAGTACAGGCTTTAATAATTTAATTTTTTGTAGAGGAAAATCTATAGATTATGTATAAGAGAAACATAATTGGGATTACAACCTTTAGTATTTATTTGGTTTTGAACATTAAGAGACCCATAAGTTTATCAGCTATTTACAACCTTTATTTCATCACAATCTATGGCTTGCAAAAAACAAAAAAAAAAAAAAGAAAAAAAACTTTTGTAATTTTGTGTGTTTATTCACCTTCTCGCCTAGTATCTCATAAAGATTCCATGGTAGGTCTTGTCACCTTGGCGGTGCATAACAGGTTGTGTTTGAACCTAGTAGGGGAGTAAACAGGCTTTATTACTTTGGTTTAATTTGAAGTGTTTTAATTGTGAAGTCAAAAACTTGGATCAACTAAAATGGAGAGCAAAAGAGAGAATGAAAAGAATTGATTTTGGACCTCAGACCTTGCTGTGGCTAAATCTTTACCCTCTAATGGCTGATGGGATAATGTTGGAAAGAAAGGTCCTGAATCCTTTGGCCACATTTTGCCCTGCTTCTCTCAGGGTTGAGAGTTCTGGAAGAACATTAAGAATGAGATTGCAATTGAAAATTGTCATTTTGAATCCTATTGATTTTTCAAAAATTCAGGCTGATTTGTCTTTTATCGGAGGTAGGATTCTGTTTTATGGTATAAAATCTACTTTATCCTTCCTTTTAATAGTTCCTTTTGACCTGTGAAATTTCTTCGCTACATTTAATACTTGTCCTATTTCCCCGTCCCCCATATCAATTTTCCTTTTGTCTCTGGGGCCGAGTAAATAAACATGTTCTGTCACACACACACACACCCAAAAAAACAAAAACAAAAACCAGAAAAGAAGGATTGAGAATTGAGAATTGTCTGTGAGATTTAGCCACAGGGATGGTGCTACTAATTCTGGAGAGAGCAGTCTAAGAAAGTGATATGGGCAGAGAAAAAAGGCCGTGTGTCCATTCAGAAGCGAGTGGATGGGTTTAATGACAGTTTTTAAGGACGTTTGGCTGGGAAAGGCAGGAGAGATAGGAAAAGAGAGACAGAGAATAGCTGAGGCAGGGAGGCTGGAAACGGGTGGGGTGGGGGGGATTGTTTTATGATGAGAGAAATTTGAGCAAGTTTCAGTGTTGGTGAGATAGAACCTTATCTCAGAGGCTGCCCATTCATCCAGGGTAGTGTAATTATTGTCTCTTCAAATAAAGGCAATACCTTCTTATCATCAAATTTGCCTTCCCTGTTCTTTACTCTATGTTCCTGTTGTCACTTAGATTTAAAGAATATAGTCAAGACATAAAAAGCGTAGCCTGTTGAGAAGTTTAAATTTAAATCTGTGCTTTAAAGAGGCATATTAAATTGCTGTGTTTATGAACTGAAACCTAATCTGTGCTATATAGTCCCTCATATTTTCTTCTTGAATGGAGAGAAACATCTCACTGGCATATCATCACTCTTCGATAGCTAGAGATGTCATCAAGAATGGAGATAATTACCCTTAACAGGAATAAATGAATTTTGAGTGCATAGGCTCCCACCCCTTAAGCAGAGCAAAAGAGGTTAACAAGGCAGGGTGACTCCTGGCTGGAGGAGCACACATAAGTCATTCTTAATTGGAGGTTTCACCTTTGTTCCCCATAGTAGCTGCCAAAGAACTTTCTACATGTAACTTGAGATAAATGAGCAAGTCAGGGAAATGTTTGCATCTCTAAGATGAACTGCTGGGCTATTCCTTTGAAATCCTAAAAGGGATGGTGGTGATTAAAGATACATTTTTTACAACCTAGTGAAAAAGAGTTAAGACATCCTGAAGGAAGAGGCAAGACTCAAGGAAGCTGACACCTGTGGTTCTGGGAAGCTGTCTTTGCTTTGCTTATCTTATTAATGCTGGAGGGAGGCTGATTTGGAAGACACATCATAAGGAGAAGTGTAGAGTATGAATCAGAGCATCAGTTCTGTTCTGGAAAGAACAAAGAAAGGGAAGTCTGGAAAGTCATGTGAATACACTCACTCTTACAGAACAATCTCTTCCTCTACTCGACGGAAGAGACCAAAGTCCATCCTTTTCTTGAGACTCTGGTCTCAGTAGCTGTATGTTGAGCGTGATCCTATGACACCATAGAAACAGCTCTCAGTGGAGAGTCCGGGGCTGAAGTTATAGGTCTAGCCTATTCACATTTCTGTCACTCATTTGTTGACTCTGGGCAAGCCTTGACTGCTCAGAACCTCCTTTTCCTCTGTGTCTAAAATGGTAAAAATCACATGACCACTGGGATTTTTGTACATTCTAGGGTTCTGAGCATCTAGAAAGAGGAACAAAGGAATGTGTTTATACATACAAAAGAAGACAGCTTCTTGTGTATTTTGCTTTGGGAATTATATGTGCCATTTGATTATATGAGAAAAGGAAGAATGGGTGTGAAACCCAGACATCATGGGTTGGCATACTTGGGTAATAATATTCTGATATAAAAATTCGGATAAACACTTATTATACACTTGTTTTCACCCCAAATATTTGGTTTTCAATTTCTTAATCTTCTGGAATGCTAGAAATTACTTTTGTCATTTTCATCATTCCTGGGATACAACTTTATGCTATTTGAAACGAAAATGGTTTCAGCCTCAAAATAACACAGTTCCTGCTAATCAACTCAAAATCTTCCAAGTCACACAGACTATCAGAAGCCAGAACCCAATTTTCTGGACAGGGATTGTATTTGCTCAGTCCGTGAGATTGAGATCAAACTTGGATATTACTATACAGGTCCCAGTCTTTGGAAAACACACAAAGAATGCCCTCATGGCATGAGATGTTTTCTGAATAGCAAACTCTATCAACATTTTCTTAAGAAGCACATTTTGTTCTGTGAATAAATTAGGTAGGTCATAGGTATATTTCCATAAACTTATTTTTATCTTTGAATTCCTCATGCTTAGCGTGGAGCAAGGTACATATTTAGCATTTAAAAATGTTTGTTGAATACATGAATGAATGCATACGTAGACGGCATTTAAAAGAGACAGTGAGATCTTTCATTAGAAATTTTCCTAATTAAAATTTAATTACTGCTATCAATTTTGATCTATTATGTACATAAAAGGATTGACAGTTAATGAATTTCTGAGTAGATTCTCCTGAATTCGTCTTGAGATACAGCCTTATTAACTTTGAAAGGCTTTTAATGGCATCTGGCTTGCTTAAAAAAATCGAGAAGTAAGAGAACCAGCCTGGCTGGTTATCCAGACTTCTATGGTTCCGTCAGGGAATAGCTTCCCAAGTGAGGTAGGATGTATCTGAGGGGCATCTCTCCATCAAAACCTTCTTGAGTCCATGATGATTCTATTTGAGTTGTGGGCACACTTAGATTTGAAGAGAGATCTGGAATAGAAAAGGGTTAATTAAAGAAAGGTATGATCGCTTTTGACACTAAAATAGGACCCTCACTGAGATGAGTAGGAATGTGCTAACTATTCATTTATTATTCTGGCCCAGGATTAAAACTGTGAGTGGAAACAATCCTATCTCTCTCCTGTGGGCTGCAACTTGACAATATCTAATTTTGATCAACTATTTTCCTTTTTGGTTAAGATAATTTTTCCTCGAGGTGTTGCCTAGGGGAAACAAGATCCACCATTCAGGGCTAATGTCAAGGCTTCCTCTTATCATTATGTCTGCTCATGAATCTACTAATGTGTATACTACAAAAGACTACAAAGCTGGACCAAATGCCCAAAAAGGCTCTTTACATCTTGCCAGTTGACATTTGTAGGCTGAAATATCATTCCATGTCTGTTTGATCCACCTATTTATTAGAGGAGCAAGGTGCTATTTTTTTTTTCAAGCAAATAATTGCAGAACACCAGGGCTGAGCAACCAATCCAACATCTTTATTTTATGATGAGAAACTGAGGCCTGGAGAGGTGATGTTACTTGGCCAAGGACACTATGAGGGTAGAACTAGAATTCAGGTCTCCTTGAAGCTTTGGAACTTGGAAAAGTTCTATACATTTATTGGGGCTTCACTCAAGGTAGAAAATGGTATTTTGAAGAGCTCCCAATGTATGACTATTCCTACTCTAAGATGTTTTTCCTAATCAGTCATAAGCTCATAGAGCTCAGGACACCTTCTTTCTTAGAATCTGACCCTAGGTCTTAAATGCAACAACTAATCTGTACATCACTAAAAGGATAGAAGAGAATCTCCCCGTCCCCACCAGATTCTGAAGCATATAGACTTACACGTCTGCAAATAAACTTCAGAGCATCAAACTGGTTTGCATAGTATTTAATTCTCAACCAGCTGATCATCATCTTGGAGAGAGGTGACAAGCATTGACTGCAGATACTGGGCCCTCACATACTGGGTCTCAAACTCTAGGACTGCAGGACTATGGGCTATTAGTGTGAACACTGGTACTAGGACTGGACCACTGTGGGCTGTTAGCATGATCACCAGCACTAGGACTGGAGGACTGTGGGCTGTTAGCATGAACATCAACACTAAGACTGGATGGCTGTGGCTATTAGCATGATCACTGGTACTAGGACTGGATGACTGTGGGCTGTTAACGTGATCACCTGCACTAGGACTGGATGACTGTGGGCTTTTAGTGTGAACACCCACACTAGGACTGGACAACTGTGGGCTTTTAGTGTGAACACCCACACTAGGACTGGACGACTGTGGGCTGTTAGTGTGAACACCCACACTAGGACTGGCCGACTGTGGGCTGTTAGCGTGAACACCCACACTAGGTCTGGATGACTGTGGGCTGTTACACCAACACTAGGATTGGAAGACTGTGGGCTGATAGTGTGAACACCAGCACTAAGACTGGACAACTGTGGGCTGTTAATGTGAACACCAGTACTAGGACTGGATGACTGTGGGCTGTTAGCGTGATCACCAGCACCAGGACTGGATGACTGTGGGCTGTTAGCATGATCACCGGCACTAGGAGTGGAGGGCTGTGGGCTGTTAGCATGATCACCGGCACTAGGACTGGAGGACTGTGGGCTGTTAGCATGATCACCGGCACTAGGACTGGAGGACTGTGGGCTGTTAGCATGATCACCGGCACTAGGACTGGAGGACTGTGGGCTGTTAGCATGATCACCGGCACTAGGACTGGAGGACTGTGGGCTGTTAGCATGATCACCGGCACTAGGACTGGGGGACTGTGGGCTGTTAGCATGATCACCGGCACTAGGACTGGGGGACTGTGGGCTGTTAGCATGATCACCGGCACTAGGACTGGAGGACTGTGGGCTGTTAGCATGATCACCGGCACTAGGACTGGAGGACTGTGGGCTGTTAGCATGATCACCGGCACTAGGACTGGAGGACTGTGGGCTGTTAGCATGATCACCGGCACTAGGACTGGAGGACTGTGGGCTGTTAGTATGATCACCAGCACTAGCCATGCCCAGTCTCAGCATTTCCTGTGGGGGCTGGCTTTTGCTTTCCAGCCATACTCTCCCAGCATGGTAGGGAGGCACATATTAAAGCGGTGAAGCTACCCAGAGCCTTTGAAGCCATCTTGGGCCCCTTGTCAATTTTTTCACCTTTTTATACTTCAGTTTCTTCATCTGTATATAGGGATAATGTTTGTGTCTTAAGAGTAAGGATATGTCGAATGAGAAACAGGACTGTCAAAAATAGCCTTGAGTGATGATCTGAGATAGACTGGTGCAAGCTAGCTGAAACTGAGAGCCGTTGCCTTCACCCCAGCTGGATAAGGTAGCATCTCCAACCCCCAAGTCTCATGAGACTGGTGACTTCCTCCTCTCAGCAGTTGGGGCTACAGCATCCTACAGGCTGCTGAAGTCTTTAGGCACTGAGTAGCTGCCTTTTCCAGCAGTTGATGTCAATGTTCAGCCTTAGCAAACAATGCTTCTGGTGTTTACTCATACCCTTAGATTATTAGGTTGTTGTGAAGACTAAATGCACTGATACATAAAAACAACTAAGGATAGTGCTTGACGTTCTTAGCTCTCAAATGAGCATAGTCACCCAATTTAAAGGACCCTAATGAGACAACAGACATAAAAGCCCTGTGTCAACAGAAAAGCCTATATATATGCCAACTCTAAAGCATGTACATATATTAGCTATTAGGATTATTAGCTATATTTGCCTTTTGTTCCATAACGTCATCTTCATCCAACCTGAGGTATAAAAAGAAATAGGGGTCGTGTCAGTATTTATTGAAGAATGAAAAGAAATGAATTGTATATAGCAGTGACCAGTGAGGCAGGAAAACTTCCATTTTAACTATTTCTTCCTCCAAGTATTAACATCTTTATTTATTTTTGATAGGATCTACAAGGATGGGAAGAAACTTGTGTGAGAGGCACTTGTCTTCCATGTCTTAAGGATGAGGGATGCCTTTTTATTCCCATGCAGTAACTACCAAAAATCACATCCGGGCTGGGCGCAGTGGCTTATGCCTGTAATCCCAGCACTTTGGGAGGCCAAGATGGGCGGATCATGAGGTCAGGAGATGGAGACCATCCTGGCTAATACGGTGAAACCTCATCTCTACTAAAAATACAAAAAATTAGCTGGGCGTATTAGTGGGCGCCTGTAGTCCCAGTTACTTGGCAGGCTGAGGCAGGAGAATGGCATGAACCCGGGAGGTGGAGCTTGCAGTGAGCCGAGATGGCGCCACTGCACTCCAGCCTGGGAGACAGAATGAGACTCCATCTCAAAAAAAAAAAAAAAAAAAAAAAAAAAAATGAAAATCACATCTGTGCCTTTCCACCGAAAGTTGCTAAAACCCCAGTTCTTTTTTCCTCACATTTTCAGATGCGTAAGGACATCTTTATGTGCTCCAACACAATCATCTCAATATGTTATGAGAAGGATAAATTTCTGTTAAAAATGCCACCAGATTCCTACTCCCTAGAATAAGAAATCATATGTCAATAAGTCTAGAACACGAATCTGATTAGCAACTTACATGCACAGGAGGGCTTTACCATGAATGTGACAGCAAGGAAAATATTCAACTGGCTGTAACTACTCCATAAATGACACCTCCAGAAACCTGAGAGGCAGCCTCCGTTCCCAATCACTCTCCCCCTTCACATAAAGGCTTTTCATTTCCACTTTCAGTATATCTTAAAGACATTCACTTCTATTACCTTCACTGCTGTCTTAGCCTAAGTGCCATCATCTCTCACATGAACTACTACAAGATCCTTCTGTCGTCTTTCTACTTTTGCCCCACTCCAATCAATTTTCTACAAAGAAGTTAGAGCGATCTTTTAAAATATAAATTGGATCATGTCTCTTCCCAGCTTCAGTAGCCTTTCATTGTACTTGGAGCAAAACCCAAACTTATCAACATGGCTATAACAGCCAGGATGAACTCACAGAATTCTCCCCCTTTGTGTGGGAAGATGCAGCTACACTGGATTTCCAGTTCTTTCTTTAGTTCCTGAGAAGTGTCAGCTGTTCCAGAACGTTTGCATAGGCCGATGTTTTTTCACAGTACTGCTTCCCCCAACCCCTTTCACCCTCACTCCCTTTCACTCACCACTCCTCTCACCCTAGTGCTTTTTCTGACATGTGCACACACACACACCTCCATCTAAATAGACACACACTTCCATCTGAATACACACCTGCATTTCCATCTAAATACGCACACACACCCCTCTGTCTAAATACACATACTTCCATCTTAATATATACACACTTCTATCTAAACATACATATACGCACATACTCTCTTCGAAATACACACACACCACTCCTATCTAAACACACACACACACACACACACACCAGTCTAAATACACGCTTCCATCTAAATACATGCACACACACACACACACCCCTATCTAAATATACATAGACACACATACATACTCCCATCTAAATACACACACACACACACACACACTTGCATCTAAATATACATACACACATACACACATACACACATATTCCCATCTAATGAGGTCCCTTCCTTTATTCTCGCTTAGAGCACTCTGGGCTTTTCACTCATTCGACTTATATCAGAATATATTAATACATCCATATTTGTTAGTATATGTCTTAGTCTGTTTGGCTGCTATAACAAAACACCATAAAATGGGTGGCTTATAAACAACAACAGTTGTTTGTTTATTGATTTTGGGAATCTGGGAATCCCAAGATCAAGGCCCTGGCAAATTCTATGTCTGGTGAAGGCCTATTTCCTGGTTCATAAATAGTGTTTTCTTGCTGTGTCCTCACATGTTAGAAGGAAGAAAGCCGCTCTCCGGGGTCTCTTTTACAGCTGTTTTATGGCTCAAATCTCATTCATGAGATCTCCATCCCTATGACCTAATCACTTCCCAAAGACGTCACCTCCTAATACTATCACCTTGGGGTTGAGGATTTTAACATGAATTTTGGGAGGAAGTAAACGCTCATGATATAGCATTGTATTTATTTAATAGTTTTCTTCTTAGTGGAGGGTAAGTCCCACGAGGACAGGGACCATGTCTCTTTTGCTCACTAATGATCACTTAGTATCTAGCACAGTACCTAGCACATAGTAGGCACTCAAGAAATTTTGATAAGTGAGTAAATACCTGCATTGCTACAAGTTGTAATAGTATGCTCTAAAAGCTAAGAAAACTCAAGTATTTTTCATTGAGCTGACAGCCTACTGTGTACGGAGGGAATCATATGGAACCCGTGCGAAACCTTAGATGTGAGATCTGTCAGACCTTAAGCAAGTTGCTAAACTTCTCTGAACACATTTTTATCTTTGAGGAAAATAATCATAATACGTGTTCCTTTTGCCCACAGAAGGATTTTGAGGATCAAATGAGAGAATCATTATACTAGTGCTTTGGGAGCTTAAAATACTTATTCAAATGTACATTGTTGTTGTTATTAAATAAAAAAAATCATGTCCGAAAGCAGAGTGGGAAAAGAAGAGAAGGCAGTCAGAATAAGAAGGGACAAATGGCTGATAGCCAAGAGGTCATTAGTAAATGAACACAGTGTCCTGAAGTTTGTTTTCTATCCTTTTAAACTCTAGTATTTGAGAAAAAAAACAATCAAAACAATCATAAAACATTGATAATACATATATTTTTGGGCTGCTTACATCTTTGGGAAGTTTCCTAGCAAATGAATCTCACTTGATTGAGAGCAGATGTTATCTATATTTTAAAATTTCTTAGATCTTCATGATTTTGAATATTGCTTCAACGTTCAGTACTTACTTTTGTCATACGTCATTTTCTATCTTCTCCAATTTTTCTTTCCTTTTGTAAATTGTATGCTAATTTCCAAACCTGTATAAATTCCTTTCTGATGTTAATGATTCCTTTTCTCAGGCCCATTTAATTCTGAAATTCTCAATTCATCAGGCAGTTTAAGCAAAACTTATAAAACAACCATTATAATCTGTCTCATTGCACTTATGAAGAATGATTGTAGCTCGGAGGGTATTAATTAAGCCTTAGCTACAACGTTTATTAGTGACATCATTTGACTCCTGATTTCACAGTGGATTTTATGTAATGACCACCATTCTTATTTCTGATCAAGTATGATGAAGAAACCTCATCTCTGGTTTCCAAGTGAAAAACAAGTCACAGTGAATATAACACTCTAATTAGCTGTCATTTTCATAATGGATCAAGGAAGTGTCTTCTTTCATTCAATCTGAATTTAAACTCTTTAAAGAAATTGTGTATTTGGCACATAGAGGTGCTCCGGTGTGCTTACAAATTCACCCATCCATTTATTCAATAAACTACTATTTTAGGTGCTAGGCATTTTATAAAAGACTCTGTGTTTTTACTTTCCAATGTGTTTCCTTCTTGACTTAGATTTTAGTTATGTAAAACTCATAAAACTCAGGCTTGGTATGAAGATTTTTGATAATTTAGAGGCTTACTAGGCCATTAAAAATGCTTGATGGCTGATATCCAATGCTAGTTTTGCAAAACCTGGGTTATCACTAGTCACACAGACACACACATGCACACATCTCTTAACCACTCATTTAAATTCATTTTTATTTTCTAAAAATAAGGATGCCACAAAGCACCTTGTTGATAAGCTGTGTCAGTCAGGATACTGGTTTGACTGCTTTGACAGAAAGCATGATAACACTGGCTTAAACCAGATAGGAGTTTATTTCTTTCAGATGTAAAAGTCCAGGTTGGCAGGGAGTTCAGAGGAAGGTAGCTTTGGTTGACAAGGTTATGCAGGCACCCAGGGTTCTTTCTGTTTTGTGACTCTGGCATCTCCTAGAGTGTTGCCTTTATCAGTGTGGGCAGTGCTGTCTCACTACCACCTACCTGTGGCCCAGCCAGAAGGAAGGGGAAAGAGAAAGAGAAAGTGGAGGACACAACTTCCTTTCAAGAACGTAACCTAGAAGATGCACAGGTTACCTCTTTGCACAGCCCACGGTATAGAACTATGTGATTTGACTACACTAAGCCACATGAGGGGCTGGGAAAGTTAGTCTTTAGCTGAGTAGCACATGTCCAAAAAAACTCAGGAAGAAGAGTAGAATGGATACTGGGGGTAAACTCCTGACCCTTAGGAGATATCCCAACCCCCTCCCCTGCCCCGCATATACTCTGAATTTTCTAAGGTTTTGATTATGTTCTGTAAAAAATAAACATATATGAAAAGAGACATAGAGTTTTAGAATGCCCATGGATCCAACATCCAGAATCTAAGATTTTATTCTACTTCTTGATAGAGTCTCAAGGGATGACAATTCAAACTATCCAACTCTTCGTTTTAGTCTTAAAAACTAGTAGTGTAAATTTTTTTTCCCTCATTAGACAGAGAGAAGCCTATTGGGAGAGAATGGGCTAAGCAGAAGCAGTCTATTAGTGACAAAATTATACAGTTTTACTCATTGTAAGGTAACCTCCCAATCGTAGCATATCTGGAGTTGGGTCTGAATTTAACCATCTCACTACCTTAACTATCCTTGCAGTCATTCATTATTTCTCTCTGAAATCAACCCTGTCTTCTGGGGACTCTTTAAAGTGTTCATTTATTCATTCACTCAGTCAATATTTATTGAATAGCTGCTATGAGAAAGGCACTGTGATGGCTGTTAGAGGCATGAGGTTAAAAGAGTGGAAAAGTGTACAATCCTTGCCCTTAAGGTATTTATGACCAAGGAGAAGACGAGGTGAGGGATTTACACATGTAATTAATTGTGTAGTGTGTGATGGATGTTGAAGCTATGGGGTGGGTGGCAATTCAGAAGCAGACTCAATCTTACCTGGTGAGGAGATCTGCTTTGGGTGGGAAATGGCTGGTTAGGATGTGCAGGGGTTTTAAAAAGGTAATAGCATTGGCCGGGTGTGGTGGCTCACACCTGTAATCCCAGCACTTTGGGAGGCCGAGGCGGGCAGATCACCTGTCAGGCGTTCAAGACCAGCCTGACAAACATGGAGAAACCGTCTCTACTAAAAATACAAAATTAGCTGGGCGTGGTGGCACATGCCTCTAATCTCAGCTACTCACAAGGCTGAGGCAGGAGAATCACTTGAACCCGGGAGGCAGAGGTTGCGTTAAGCCAAGATTGTACCATTGCACTCCAGTCTGGGCAACAAGAGAAAAACTCCCTCTCAAAAAAAAAAAAAAAAAAAAAAAAAAAAAGCAATAGAAGAGTTTCTAAGCTGTTGGAACAGCATAAGGAAAGCAGCAGAGATGAGGAAATCTAGGAATGATATCACCCAGACCGTTTCCTAGAATGTGCAAGAAAGGTGGGAAGCACAGTGGCATGGGAGACACAGACGCCAGCTTCCTAAGGCAGCTCTTGAGGGTATTACGTATCTCCAAGCCTGTGCTACCTGTTTATTCCATAGGCTCCACAGCAGCAGCGCCGGCACAGGGGCACATAAGGACAACTCCCACGTCCTCATGGGCCCTCTTAATGTCCCTGCAGCCTCCCTTCCTTTCAGAATAATTGGGCTTATTAATTCCTTATATAAATGAAAAGCATTCCAGTACCTGGCTCTCCAAGTTAACTTCCACACATCAACATGCTCCAATACACTTCTTAACATATAGAAGGGTCAGTGTGTTGCATTAATGTTCTTTTTGATGTTGTTTAACTTGCAAATAGCAAATGATCCTCTACTGTAGAGGATAGGGGAAATTGTCCTTCCACCACTATTTGGGCAAGTACTGGGAAATCAACAGACAGGTGTGATTTAGGAAGGTAGATTATCCAGAGTCACCTAAAAATCATTGATCAAAGAAGACTGTTTTTGCAACTTTTTAGGACTCTCAAAAGTGAGACTCCCATGAGTTAATTTCTCAGGTAAAGGAGAAACACTACATCCTTAGGGCATCCAAAAATCTTAAAAGTTGAATCTTAAAAGTTAAATAAAAACATTTGAATTTTTGGTGCTGAGCATAGAGGATACTACATGTGACTCTTGCCTGGAACTGGAGCTGAAACAGAACACAGGCAAAAATCTAAAAATGATATTAAAATGTCAATTTCTCTTCAATATTTCCACTTATAACAGTTTCTGAACTCACTGAGTTGAAAAGAATGGTTTCAACTTTGTCACAATAGGACAATTTCTGACTGAACTGTGATCATTTCAAATCTGGAAGTGTTTTGATTTTGATTTAAATTTAAATGAGACACTTTGCAGGTGGGAGACTTACAAAAATCTTCTTCTTCTATCCTGGTAGGAATAGGAATCTAAAACAAAGAGAAGGGATTGGGGGACCTGCCAAGTAGCTGATTATATTGGTCCTATGTTCTAGTCTCAACAGAGATCAATACTAGTGTAGGTGAAATGTTTGGCCTCCCAGGAAGAAAGGGAGTACAACAACCTCGGTGGCATGCATATCGTTGCCATTATTTATAAAGTTTAAAACTGGGTGAAGAAGCTTGGAGAAATTTTGATGCAGTTCTCTTCTTTCATTGGGAAATACACATTCAACTAGTGAGTGAGAACTGCTAAGTGCTTTTTGATTCTATGGCCCAAAGCCCTGTTTACTTATCACTTATTGGCTCTCTTCTAAGTATCTGAGACTGAATATGTAGATTGCGCATAGGGCAGTTTGGTGAGTAATAGACCAATGAATAATAAATCAGCATTAATGTCCAACCTAGACTCTTCTAACCTTTTCTACTCTTATTTTCATGAAAACTTTTCTGTCTCCCAGCATATTACTGTGGATTGGAGGAAGAATCCTTCTTTCTTCCTTTCTCTCTCTCTTCCCTCCTTCCTTCTCTCCCTCCCTCCCTCCTTTCTTCCTTCCTACCTCCCTCGCTTCTTCCTTTCTTCCCTTCCTCTCTCCCTCCCTCACTTCCTTCCTCCCTCACTTCCTTCCTCCCTCACTTTCTTCTTCCCTCACTTCCTTCTTCCCTCCCTCCCTTCTCCCTTCCCTTCCCTTCGCCAAAATGACATTTGGTAGACTATTAAAATAGACTTGCTTTGTTAATTACATTGACATTCTTTAACCCAACTGAATATCTGCAACTAGGCAGAAAGGAAGGAAGGTGAATCTTAAAACTCACCTTGTTCTGAGTTGACTCCAGATACTCATGGGGTGGGTTCAAGGCAAATATCTTGGTATGCTAGAATGGGTTTTAGAGCCAGGGAGAATGTTGTATGCTGTTTGCTGCTAGGTCAATTGTGAAACACCTGTTGGCTACATTTAACAAGGAGAAAAGCAGCAGTACCTAGGAGACTTAATATGAACTGGAGTAGTCAGGAGATGCTGCGTTTGGATATAATGGCCCATCCTTTTCTTGATTTCTAATTTCCAAACCCTGTGTCTGTGGGAAACCTGCAACACAATTGGCTATCATAATTCACTTTCATCCTAACTAGATACAACCTTCTTTAACTTCTGAGACTGAGGTGTTCAGGTCGATGGACCCCTAAAGTAGGCAGCTCTTGCTTGTGTCCGTTGGGAAATGCCTTTCATGAAGCCAGCAGAAGCAGCTTCTGGGAAATTGTTGTGCTTGCTTTTTATGATTGGCCTCACACTATCACTTTGGCTGACAGTGCATAGAAACAATACTATGGGATAAAGGGGACAAATAATAAATGGCTGGACCAAATAATAAAGGTCTTTTTTAGGGACGTAGCCTGAGGAAATCCCATTCAAATTCTGTTAGATAACCTGGAATCAATGAGCACATCAACTTGGTAACAGTGAAAGTGGCTAGAAAAGATCCTAACCCTCCTGAGTGAGCCATTCACTCATTTTCTGAGTAGGAGATGGCTGTTTGTATGATTATTCTGGCATTTTCCCATTGACTAAAGGGCAGTATGAACTGCTTGCACTTTGTTTAGGAGAGAGGAAGCATTACTTGGCTAATACTGCAGAAGACAGTGCCGCAGCCCAGCGTCTGGACAGTTTGGCCAGCCAACTTTGTGGAGATTGTCTCAACATCCATATCATCTCTATAGCCTCATAACTCTGCAGCTCCTCACCTCTCTGAGCACTTTCAGCCTCCAGAATGTTGACACCACATTCAGGACCTGCCCATCTCTGTCCCCTCTTAATCTTCGGTGAACTCTTATTTTTCCCTCTATATCTTTCCCCTCAAAAGCTCCTTCTCATGCCTACCATTACTCCTCCTCAGGGCATTATCTCTTGAGAAAGTTTAGGCGTTTTTAGTAAATGAGAAAAAGCTTTGAACTGAGGAAGAAGCATATGCTTTCCACACTGAAAAAAAATTACCAAGGCAATAAGATATGAAAGGTTGGCAACCTGCTTAAAATAGAGGGGCATGGGAAATACAAAGAAAACAAACACAAATAAAACATCTCAAAAATGTGTTCTGTCATATCAGTCCATCATCATTTCAACACAACTCAACAACAATATATTTCACACTCTGTATACTAGCCGGACAAAGAGACTAGCATGATTAAAGGTATATGGGCTTGAATGTGCAGACCATGTTTAAGAACAAAAGATTGTCCAAGGTGGTAAACAGATAAGGCACAGCAAATGTTGGTGGGTCAAGGTCTGTGGGAAGAAGGATAAGTAGGGAGTATCCAGAGTTCAGCTGTGATGGTACAAGCCAGCGGTCCCCAACTCCTGAGCCATGAACTGGTAACAGCCCTTAGCCTGTTAGGAACTGGGCTGCAAAGCAGGAGGTGAGCGACAGGTCAGCAAGCATTACCACCTGAACTCTGCCTCCTGTCAGATTAGCAGCAGCATTAGATTTTCATAGGAGCACACACCCTCCTATGAACCGTGCATGCAAGGGATCTAGGTTGCATGCTCCTTATGAGAATCTAATGCCTGACAATTTGAGGTGGAACAGTTTCATCCCAAAACCATCTCCACACCCCCTCCCAGTCTGTGGAAAAATTGTAGTCCACAAAACCAGTCCCTGGTGCCAAAAAGGTTAGGGACTGCTGGTGTAAGCAACAGATGCTGTGGATTATTTTTAATCAGAGACTTCTTGATATGGTTGTGTCTGTTTTTAAAGGATGATGGTGGGCACAGTGTAGAAGATGAATTGAGCAGAAGAAAAAGGCAATGAGTCTACTAGGAGGCTTTGCTTTTTAGGTAGTGATAAAGGCAGCCTTCCCACAACAGTCATTTCATTTGCAGGGCCAGGGGCAAAAGTACAAACGCAGACCATCTCCCCATCCCCAAGCTCCCATCCTACCAAGGCTTACCATCTTTTAGTCCCATCTGCTGTTCAGGGCACTTACACCTCTGCATCCACATGAGCAAGCTCCATCTCATCTGTCTGCCCCTTCCCCATCCCACAGAAAGCTACCTCTTTGTCACAGTTCAGACCTGGATCGTGCTGTCTGCTCTCAGGAGGCTGCTCCCTTGCAGGAGGCTCTGCAGGCTCCGAAGTACATTCCAGGATTAGTAATCCCAGGGTCCCAGGTACTGAGAGCTTGGTCTAGAATTTGGGGCATGGGTTCCAGGTGGGCAAATATCCTTAGTCCTGTGGACTTCTTGCTCCTGCCCTGTAGGAAGTCCAGAGTGGGGCCTTCTGAAGCACAGAACTCATGGCAGGGGTCCCAGTTGCCTGGATATAGGGGAGGTACAGTAGAAAAGATCCAGTTTCTTCTTAGGAAACATTCTCATTTTACCAATGTGTAGAAAAGCCACAGAGAAAAACCACACCGTTCCTGAGTATCAAGTAGACACAAAAAATGATGTCTACGAGCAAGGTCTGGATGCCATCACACTATTCTCTTATTATAAAAAGACAATACAAGAGAGATAATAACAAAGACTCTATGCTCTTCTCATAGACTAATTTGAGAAAGTTTCCCGTTACCTTTTCCTCATTAAAAAATTGGTCTAGGTGTTAGCAGGCCAAATTTCCCCTTTTCTGTCCCTTGGCCTAAATTTTTTTTTTTTTTTTTAAAGAACCAGGGTTCTTCCAGAATGCAAACAGACCTCAGTGAACCAATCCATTCCATCATGAATGTTCACCATATTCTTGATGCAAGACATTCCCTGCCTTGATCCATATCCAGCAGCTCTTATTTTTCTTCTTGGAACCATTATCTAATAAAATGTGTATAATTGTGTGTGCGTGTGTTTGTGTGATGCATGGAGGAACAGAGAGCAAGGGTGAGAGGGTAAAACAAAACAATGCTTTGAAGAAGGTAGTATCCTCTTTATTCTCTCCTATCTTCATTTGTCCAACAGAAATACAGAGCTGAGTCTTAGGGGAGCTGAGTTCTGCTAAAACCTATTAATTCCCAGTAACATGGACCAGTCACTCAGCTTCAATGTATTTTCGTTTCCCCTTTTGCAAGGTCGGGGTAGCACATGGAATCAAATGAGATGTGAGGCCGAATTTGAAAAGCAAAGGAAGCCAGTACTCTGCACAATGCCTTTAGGACTTTCTACTATTGCCCTCTATTTTTCTATAATTCCAGCAGCTGACTTGGGATGCTGGGATAGGAAAAGGCAGAGGGGGAAAAATAGAATCCTAGACAGTGGAGCATTGTTTATTTTACAGGAGAGACACTCCCTCTGGTACCAGGACTGCCTTCTGTTTCTAGCTCACACAACCATATCATCAAGCTCTCTGCAGTGAGAGTATTCTTACAAGGGCTTTGAATTCTTCTAATCTTATCTTCCCCTCAATAAATCAATTCTTTGTCCAGGTGTTTCTCCATCCCCTGGTGGTGTTTCATACTACTTGCTTCTGTGATTATCAACCAAAGTTGGGTTTGCTAATGCAATGTCCTTTGTCCTACACAAGCTGCTCTCTAACCAGCCTCAGACTTTCAGTATCATACTCTAGTAAAGCAGACAGGCCCTGTGTTTTCTCTAGGGATTCTGGAGGGGTCACAAAAACATGCATAAATCAAATTATTCCAAAGCAGTCTTAAGAAAAACAATGATTATTTGGTTTTTTTTCTTCTAACTCAGTATGGACCTCCTATTTTTGGAAGCTAGGAAACTAAGCTATTTCTTGTCTTCTCTTTTGTAAGAAATATCAGAATAGGAAGTGGAAAAGCAGCTGAGAACTCAAATTCTGGCTTCATAATTTACTGACTGCTGTTCAGTTTTTAACCTCTTTGAACCTTAGTTGTGTCATATATAATAAATTTAATAGTATATATCTTATAAGGTTGTTTTGAAGCCTTAAACAAGTGGCATAGATGTATACAAAAGGACAAGAAGTAATCTACTGGATACCTAACACATTTCTTTTTTTTATCTTCAATTTTTATTTTAAATTCTGTGGTACATGTGCAGGGTGTACAGGTTTGTTGCATAGGTAAACGTGTGCCAAGGTGGTTTGCTGCAGAGATCAACCCATCACCTTGGTATTAAGCCCAGTATCCATTAGCTATTTATCCTGATGCTCTCCTTCCCCCAATCCCTCTCCCCAACAGGCCCCAGGGTATGCTGTTCCCCTCCCTGTGTCCATGTGTTCTCATCGTTCAGCTCCTACTTATAAGTGAGAACATGTGGTGTTTGGTTTTCTGTTCCTGCCTTCGTTTGCTGAGGATAACAGCTTCCAGCTCCATCCATGACCCTGCAAAGAACAAAATCTTATTCCTTTTCATGGATGCATAGTATTCCATTGTGCATATGTACCATGTTTTCTTTATCCATTCTATCATTGACGGGCATTTGGGTTGATTCCATGTCTTTGATATTGTGGATAGTGCTGCAATGAACATATGCTTGCATGCCTACCCAGTAATGGGATTTCTGGGTCAAATGGTATTTCTGTCTCTTACCTAGCACATTTCAATATGCAAGTTAAGTTTTAAATTCTGTCTTTCCTACTGATTTACACAAAACACTCAATTTCCACAAAATTCAGAAAGCAAGTAGTAATAATGCACATTGGAGAGAGTAACTATTTGCAGGGTCACACAATATTTGCAAATATCATTCTAAGTGATTGCTTGTTTATGTGTGTGGAGGTGTTCTAGCTCTTAGTCTAACTAATTCAGAGCAGAATGTTCCACTTTTGATTGAACTTGGATTTTCAAATTTTCTACTTTAGCAAAATAAGTGACAAAGATTCATCTTGCTCATTCAAAGGAGATTAAATCATCTTTGGCATGCTTATGTTGGCTCTTCTCTGAAGAAGGAGGGAGTGAGTTTCCTTCCCACTTCCCAACACAAATCATCAGGGTATACCCCAAGGAGGTGGCTGGCAAAAATGTAAAATCAGACTGCTTGTGTTTTGAAGCTCATGGATCCTCTAGAGGCAGTTAGGTAGCACTCCTAGATGGTGGAGGGGTAGCCCTCTTGAGCACCAAAAGTGTGTAGTAAGGTTCATTTTGTTTCAGGGATTAATGAGGAAAGCTTCCAGATATTAGGGAAAAAAGAAGTCGTGGATCCCAGGGAAGGAACAGTCAGTGGCTCTGTGTCCACCATGGGCTGAAACTCGACCTGCTATGATGGGGCTGGGAAGTGGGTGTTATCTTTGAAGGGATGGCTGCCCAGGAAAAAGCTGAGCATTCAGGGCTATGATTCTGGGAACCAAAGAATTGTGGATCAAAGGTACTCTTGAGGGAATAAGATCACTTTTCCATGGAGATCTGGAGTGGACTCTGTAGGGACTTGGATGGGCCGCAAGCCTGGGTGATGATGGAGGACCACCACCATGTGGCAGGGAGAGCAGGGGTAGCTGTGGGCAGATCAGACACCAGGGTCTGTCTTTTCCAGATGTGGATGTCAGAATCAGCCCAACTCTCTTTTTTTTTTTTTTGGAGCTCTAAACTCCTAGGCCTTTTAAATGTTTTCAAAACGGTAACAAGGGGGAGGGTACCAGCCATTCTACTAATTTGGCAAGGGGGACTCAAGACAGATTTATTTAGGGAAAATGAAAGACATGTGATGTTAATTTTTTCTTGAAAGTAGGGAGCAGACCCATTTACATGGGTCTGCATTAGCATTTGCTTGATTTTTCCTTTTGCCCAATAGTTCAAGTTATTATTTTTTGATCTGTTTCTTTTTATTTTCCATAAGAAATACAACAAATTATAGAATGGCTGATTATCTGGCAGACAGATTGGATTGGGGAAGCAGGACATGTTCTTATTGCCAGTTATGGCTTGTCTTTCACCATTCCTGGTCATGGGTTGTGACCTGTGCCCTCAGCTTTTGCTGGGAAATTGCTCTTGTCAACCACATGAGTAGCTGTGTCTTGCTGCTCTCCCTCGCATGTCTCAGTGCCAGTATGTTCAGAGGAAATTCTTTTGTTCTTCATACAGAAACCATATTGTATTGTTAACATACCTTTTTCTATTAGGTTGCAAATTGCCCTGTCTTATTGGGCATACTTGTGTTGCTATCACTAAATATATTGAGTCTCCTAGGAAAGAAATATCTGAAAGACAAATAAGTGGGGTTATTTTGTGAATAATTTATTAGGCTACAAATAACATTGGCTGGCAATGGGAGAAAGAATGCCTTCTCACAAATAAAATATCAATTGCAAGTGTGGCAAGGCAGGGATAGTCTTTGCTGCTGAGGGGCATAATGAATGATTCTATTTTGCAGTTGTTTCTAAAATGTAAGCATTTTCAAATCAGTGTTGCAGTGTTTGGTCTCAGGAGAGCAGTGAGAATTTCTAAAGATGGTCTCATTTTCCAAGTACAAATTGTTCAGAAAGGAACATTGTGTTCTGCATGTTGGCCAGACTAGTTTTGTCATTTGAGAAGAGCATAGACTTGTTGACTTAAAAAGGTCAGTGATGCTACTCTCACTTGTTATATGACCTTGGTCAAGTCACAGAACTTCTCTGTTTCTTTCTGTTTTATTTTGTTTTACTCTGTTTAATTTGGACTTTGGGTAGCCCAAGGTCCTTTTCAGAACTCTACAAAATCTGTTCCATTGACAGAGACAGAAAACATTCTTTTAGGACTTTTGCACTTATCACTTACTTAGGCTTCTGAATCATAAAAGTTTGGATCCTCTCATCTTCCTCCCCTTTCCAAATGCTTGGGGCTAATTGTAAGGAGCAGTAGACTTACAGGTTCATATTCTGAGCTTCTAAGAACCTGTTGGCAAAGTGAGGAGACAATGTTTGTCCTCCTTAACTCTAGGAGGTGAGACTGAGTAGCTCTGGGGTGGACATCCAGGGAGCACTCTGTGAAGCCAGGGCAGGGGCTTCAGGATGCATGACAGCCCCACAAGGACTTGAGAGGGCCATTTTACCTTCTGAACCTCAAGGAGGACATGGGACAGTGATGCTTGAACAAAACAAGATATTAAAATTTCAACACTCTTAGAAGAGAGAAATACAAAATAACCAATTGCCTTTATCGTTTTGTCTTTTTAAGCATCTGATTTTCTTCCTCCTTCCCATGTCATAGCTGGGGGAGATGAAAGGAGTCTGGGGGAAGGAAGTCTTTAGTATTTACTAATCTCCATGTTCTGGGTACTAGACCAGACATTTAACCACAAGGTTTGATTTAATTCTTGCAATATCTCTTTGAAGTAGCTCCAGTTATAATCCCCACATCACAGATGAGAAAACTGTGGCTTAGAGCATTAATGCCACTTGCCCAAATCACACAATTAGTAGGAGGCAGCAGAAGATTGAAACCTTATCTGTGTCAATCCTTGATTTTGCATTTTACTCCAGTATTTTCCCTTTTCATTATGTTTTTCTCCACGTATTTGGTAACCCTCTTTTCCCCAGTGACTCTTGTCCCTTACTTACTCTGATCCTCATTTTGTTTTCCCAAAGATCAACATTCCTAAATCTCTCCTTGCCTCTTCCCTTCCCTCCTTACCAGGCTGGCTGGCCAATCCAATAAACTCATTTCCATGAAAGGGCTTAGTAACACACAAAGCCACAGCATTTTACTCTTCTGGCATAAATTCTTTTATAATTCTCAGGTTCCTTGGGAGACAAGAGCTGGTGGACGATGCTGGCAACCATAATATTAGTCCAGCTCATTGAGCCCACAAAAAGTGTGTGGGTATTTTCAGTGATACCTTGGGGGAGGTCCCCTTTAGTCAAGAATGGTGTGTCTTCCTGCACAGGAGACTATGAGAGGGTGTGAAATAAAGGTTTCCTTCTCTCTTTGGTGTGAGCACACATATAAAAGGCCCTGTGAGCAAGGTCAAGGGATTTGACCAATAATAGCATTTCTTCATTGATTTCACTGTTGTTCTAGATAAGAATCCATACACTTACATTAGGGTAGAACGTCTCCATCTCTGGTCTATATGAGGCATAGATTCTAAATGCACCAGTCCCCCATATTCACCCCAAGATTAGTCTGTTTCTTGTGTGATGTGGTTTAGATATGAAAATAGTGCAGATTTCAATTGCTTTTCCTTAGCTAAATGGTGTGAATGCAGTCTTCTGAATTCTACACCTCCTCCATTAAAAAAAAAAAAGTAAAAGAGAAAAGGTCTCTAACCATTCTGTCTAAAAGACAGCTTTTGGGTGACAGAAAGAGAACATCTTTATCATTGAATTTCCTTTGAAGGACATTCTAAATTCAAGGGAGCATTTCCTGAATAGGGCAACTCCATCTAGCCCTACAACATAGGAACAACATCAGGAAGAGCACCATCCCTGCACTGTAGCCTCCTAACTGGTTTCTTGTGATCCAATCTCATCCTCCTGTAATGCAGTGGTCCTGAAACATGAGTGTGCATCAGAATATCCTGGAGAGCCTGTGAAAACAGATTGCTGAACTCTACCCCCAGAGTTTCTGAGTCAGGATATTGAGAGTGGGGCCTAAGAATGTGCATTTCTAACAGGTTTCTAGGTGATGCTGCTGGTCTGGGAACCTCCTTTGAGGACCACTGCTGGAATCCATTTTGCATGCAGCATCCACAGTAATCTTTAAACATGTAAATCAGATCATGCCATTTTGTTACTTAAAACCCTGGGGTATCTTTCCGTTGCACTTAAGATGAACTCAAATATTTTATGGTACCTGCAAGGCCTGGGATGGTTCCTCTGTTTACTTCTTCAAGTTTATCTTTTTCTGCTCCCTCCTCTTGCTCACAAGGCGGGATCTCTCACCCTCTTTCAGATTGTCCTTGAAAATGCACAGCTCAGTGTTTCTCTTCAAGGACTTAAGCTCTGGGTTCCTCCACTATAGCTGGCTGGCAACCTTCAGATCACAGATCCACTGGCCCCGTCTGGAAACTCTTACTGACAATGCCATCTGATGCTGTCCCTCAGTCACTGCAGTCCCTTTCAAGTATCACCTTTTTTCCTCTGTAGCAGTTATCACCATTTGGAATAATTTTTGTTTATTTGCTCATTGTCTCCATCCTCCCACTAAAATATAAGCTCTGTGATGACAAGGTCCTGTCTCTCTTGCTCACAGCTATGTGCTCAGTGTCCCCAAGAGGTGTTTGCCACGTTGTAGGTGCTGGGTTAGTTTGTGTTGTATGAAGCAGTGAGCTTAAACAAAGGGTTTGAATTACCTTCCCTAAGTAGGGCTGTCCTTGGTGCTTGGTCTACAATGTCATTGGAGATAACCCATCAGCGAGAATAAAGGAATACTTCCCAGTGTTAGAGCAGCCTCAGAGCAGAACCAGCCCAGATATGTGAGGCTGGACATGGGATCTTTGAACCCGTGGCAATGCTGGTGCTGAGTTTCCACCCCATAAGAAAATCTACCAACCCAAGGCGGGAAGGCTGGGAGCAACAGTATGATATTCTTTACTATTTTCCTAGGGTTGATTCTATGGCCATGACACATCTTTGAGTCCATATGACTTTTAGGAGGGGTGTGCTGAAAGGTTAGTGACAGCACTCAGCCTTCTTTGATGACCCTGAATGGAAGATCCCATCCTATTGGCCTGACTATCTTGCTCCCGGGCAAAGAGAGGGTCCATGTTTGTGTTCACGTCTGTCACCAAACGGGACCCAGGCTGGAGCTTCAGCACCTCACTCCAGGTGAGGGAAATGTAAAAATTCAAATGTATTTAGGGTTCTTTGATTTTTCTTTAACTTTCAACAGATTTTGGTGTACCTGCTCGATTCATTATTTGGCAGCACTTTGAAAAAGGTTTTTCAGTGTTCTTGGGTTCCCCCAAAACAACATGAAACAAAAAAGTGATACTGCCACACAGGGGCCCTCAGAGGTCAGCAGGGTTTCTGCTCCTACTCCTTCTCTTCCAGCGGCACTATTTGATACAACAGAGTCTGTGGTCTGGGGCAGATAAAGTCACTCTAAAATAGTTGTGTTAGCTGGGCGCAGTGGCTCACGCCTGTAATCCTAGCACTTTAGGAGGCTGAGGTGGGTGGATTAGTGGAGGTCAGCAGTTTGAGACCAGCCTGGCCAACATGGTGAAACCTTGCTTCTACTAAAAATACAAAAATTAGCTGGGTGTGGTGACATATGCCAGTAGTCCCAGCTATGTGAGAGGCTGAGGCAGGAGAATAGTTTGAACCTGGGAGGTCAAGGTTGTACTGAGCCAAGATCTTGCCACTGCACTTCAGACTGGGCAACAGGGTTAGACTCCTTTTCAAAAACAAACAACCAAGCAAAAAAAAAAAAAAAAAAACAAAAACGGTTGTATTGATACCAGAGTCTTACACCAGAGAAACTGCTGAAAACAATCCTATTTCTCAGCATGGGCACATTTTGGATGAGGGTAGCCCTCTCCAGGCTTGACCCAGGGAAAACACAGATCTGAACATGGTCTGGGATTCTCCAGACTGGAAATAGGGTAGCACCAAAAAGGAGAGATTGGCTTTGGCACCATCTAGATATAGGCCTGTTTCTGGAAGAAAATCCCTTTTTTTTTTTTTTTTAGGTGATAGTGCTTTAGGGAAGACATTCTAGTTGTATTTGTGAAGTCTAGTTGTTATCTGTGAAAGTAACAGCTATGCTTACACAACTCCAGGGGATTGTAATCTATCAAATAACCCCTCCAGGAAGAATGTGATGATCAGGTGACCAGACTTCCAGGTTTGCCTGTAATCCCAGCATAATTATTCACTGTGCCCCTTTTACTCTCTGTATTTCAGGATGATTATCATTAAGTATTAACTAGTTATTAAAATTATTGAATCATTATTAATACCCCCTTTCTCTCTCAGAACTATTTCTGTTTGATCAATAAATTCTATTGTCGTGCTATTGCTAATACACAGTCTGCTGTCTCTCAAGAGCTGCTAACTAGATCTTCCTCTGGAAATCTCTAGAGCAGTGCTCTTTGATAGAACTTTCTACAGTGATGGGAATGCTTTATATCTGTGCTGTCTAATATGGTAGCTTCCGGTTACATGTGGCTATTGAGTACTTTGAAATATGGTTAGTATCTGCTATTAAAATAATAAATACTTAAAAAGAAATATGGTTAGTGTGACTGAGGAACAGAATTTAAAATTTTATTTAATTTTAATTAATTTCACATTAAATATATATAGCCACATGTGACTACCACATGGGTCAGTACAGCTCCAGGGTCTCCCTATGTAAGCCTCCAGGGTTCTTTCCATGTCTCAGGACTTCCTGACTTTATTTCTCTTTAAATCCACTAGCACCACTTCTCTCTCTGTAACATTGGTAGCTCAGTGGATCATCTTAGCAGTTCCCAAAGACAAGCATACAGACCCTGTCGTCTTAAGGGTTTTAATGGTGATCACCATGGGTAAAACAGAGGGCATAGCACAAACGGCAACCTTGGAGGAGTTACCATGATGGGAGGGGGCCGCAAGGCGGGTAGGGGAGATAGGGAGGAGCAGAGACTGAGCAGCCCATGCAAGATTCTGGCACTAGAAGGAAAAACGAAAAAGCGTCTTGTTGCTTATGATCCGGTAGGAATGATGCAACACACTTTTGAGGCCATGTTATGATTTAATTAGAAAGGAGAGGAAGGTTTAGTCCACCCTTAAAATATAAATAACAACCCCATCACCATTTTACTAATTAAGGAACTGGAAATTCAGTTATAAAATAGTTTGGGCTCACACATCTGAATGAGAGGCATGTGTGGCTGCTGCTAACACACAGAAATCTGAGAGATGGAGGCACAATGGAATGCTGTCCTTTTGAGGTTTTAAACTTCCCTCCCAGCTAAGCAAATCATTTCTGTGTCTATTTCAGGATTTAAATATTCTAAAAAATCAAACTAGCAGTCTGCGTATTTATTTTCTTTTTCTTCTGTGGAATATGAAAGCAATCATGAATGATAACATAGGCTTTATTAGAAGAAAATCCAAAGAAATTCTGGCCAGACAGGCAACGAAGAATGCAGCTCCAAGAAGAATCTGTTGCTGGGTGCCTGCACTTCATGACCTCCACATCTCCTCTCCTCTCCTCTCCTCTCGTTGGGTAAATTTCCTCTGGGAGAATCAATATTGCTCCCCAAGTCCCCCTGTGCTCTCAGAAGGTCAGGTGGACATGAGAAGAGTTCAGGGCAAGAGTGTAAGGAGAGCGAGGTATGGGAGATTCCTCTGGTGGGTGAGAAAGGGGAAGTGAGGGTTTTATTATTTCTGTTATTTGGGTTTGTCTGGGTTGAGCTGAGAAAGAAGTGCTGGCTGAAGTTTGAGAAGCCACATTACCACCGTGATAATACCACATGTGAGAGGTTGGGATGAGGGGGCACAAAGAAGGTCTATTTTCTCCATGGTTTTGGTTCCTCTGAGCAAACCAGATTTTCTAAATTGTGGGGGTAGCTGGGTGGGGGTAGTGCAATTTGTTACCTTGAATTGGTTTTTTTTTTTTTTTAATAGTTTGGGTAAAACTACTAAGAGAAGTAATGGATGAATGGATAAACAATATGTGGTATATCTGTACAATGGAATATTGTTCAGCCTTAAAAACAAGGAAATTCTGACACACGCTACAACATGCGTGAATGCTGAGGACACTATGCAAAGTGAAGTAAGCCATAACAAAAGGACCAATTCCATTTGACGCCATTCATGCGACGAACCTACAGTAGTCAAATTTATAGAGACAGAATGTAGAATGTGGGTTACAGGGACTGGGGGAGGGGGAAATGGAGAGTTATTGTTTAATGGGTGCAGAGTTTCAGTTTGGGAAGATGAAAAGTTCTGGAGGTTAACTGCACAATGTGAATATGCCTGACTACTGAATAGTACGCCTAGAAATGGTTAAGATAGTAAATTTTATGTTGTGCAGTTTTTTATCACAGTAAGAAAAGAGATATGGGATTTCTGATTTTTTTTTTTGGATTCTTCTTAAATTTTGGTGTATGTATTTAAAGAAGGATTTTTTTTTTTTAATGAGTAGCAGAAATTTCCAGTGAGCTGAGTACCATAAGCCTTTTTTTTTTTCTTCTCCTAAAGATCTTGCTATGGAGAAGAGAGGTTTTTTTTTTTGTTCTTATTTTTGTGTTTCCTACTCATAAGCCAATCCAACTTTGGGGGAAGAAAGAAAACATTTAATGAGCACTTTCTCTGTACCTGCCCCTTTTACATATGTTATCTTGTTTAATATTCATAATAACTGTTTAAGTCAACATATAAGTAAAACTGAAGGTCAAGAGAGGTTCAATTATTTACTTAAATCATACATGTGGTAATACTAACACGTGGTGATACATGTGGAGCAACATCCTTAAGACTACTTGGCATTTATTAAACACTTACTGTGTGCCAGACACTTACTATGTGCAAGGGTTTTACTCATTTAAGCACTAGACCTGCATTAAAATCTAACTGCTTGATCTTCTGACTGCATTCCCCCATTTGTAGGCCATGTGACTGAGGCTCAGAGAGGATCAATGACATGCCCAAAGTCACACAGCTACTTAACACCAGAGCTAGGATCAGCGGTCATATCAATGCTGTTTCCAATTCATATTCTTTGCTATCTTCTGATTTAGACAAAAGAAGTATAAACCCTATTTAACTGGGAAACATACTTTTTAAAAAATTAAAAAATTATAATTAAAAAATAATTATTAAAATAAAAAAATAATTTAAAAATGGAGATATCTCTTTTAAAGGGAACATTTAGCAAACTCTAGACTGGTTTTATGGGTTGTGTTTCACTTTGGCATATCTGCTAGAGTCACTGAAATCACGAATAAAGGGACAATAAGATCACTTTTCTAGATGTAATTTCAACTCTCAAATGGTGTAGTCCATGTAACTTTATGAATAAATAAATACAATGTTCTGAATTTTCTGGGGTGTGGGTGAATCAAAGATTATTCTTACTTGTATTACACAGTATTTTTTATGGCTACAATGGACATGTCTGACTAATGGGAAGCCACCACATCACAAGAAAATAATAAAGCTGAGGCATGAAGTCCTTGTTTAGGATGAGCTGGAAATTTTTCTGGGTTCCACATTCTGTCTTGTGATGAATTCTTTTTGGTTTTGAATAAATGCCATCGACTCTCAGACCAAGGCCGTGCATCAGCTTGAGCTATGTTGCTTGTTCTCTCTTTGCCTTTCCTTGTATCTTTCTTGCTCCTCTTAGGTTCAGCATGGTAACAATATGCTTTAATTTTATGCTTCTTTCCTGGTATCAGAACTGAACCTCGAAGCCACACAAACCTCAATTTTTTTTCTTTCAATTTTCTGCTGGAGTCCAGAGGAATTCAGATTTAGAATCAATACATGACATGTCAAAAAAGAATTAAACAGAGTTGGTAACGTGAAGATAAAATGTTTCTTTCCTCCCTCGGGTTTAACTTTGTCTAAAGTAATAATAAAAGGGGGAGCTTACCATGAGTAAGCAATTTGCTCTGCTTCCGTCTAACCTGACAGCCAACTGATTTTATGACACAGGTTGTAAGATGAATTAAACCAATAATATTTATTTGCTTTTCAGCATGAAAAAAATAGATCTATCTGTTTCTAAGGTTATTATATCCACCATTGAAGGAAATGCCACCCAGAGATACGATCTTTCCTGTACTTTGAAGCCTATCATTATCTTTCTTTCAGAGAAAGCAAACATATGTGTACACATGTACACAAACACACAAACACATACTATATTTTATTAGTTAGCCCCCTTTTTTCTCCTAGCACGCTGAAGGGAAATAGAGACAGTAAAATGCTGCCCACACAATTCAGCAGGCTTCACTGTGGGCTTCTATCAATATTTACTACTGAGGGGCCCTAGGGCTTCTTGCAAGACTATTTTGGCCTCTAGTGAAAAACCTCTGCGTTCTGACTCTGATTTCAACACTGTTCAATTTCCTGACTGTGGAAAAGGATTTCCACTAAATTTCCCCTCCATAAACCTGGTATTGTAATAAATAAATGCTTTCTTCTCACCACCTCTTACCCCTAGGACCTCCTTGTATCTGTGAGGATTCAGTAATATTTGTAAGAGACTTTGTACCTAGGATTATCTCTTGTAAGTGTGAAGTTCAGGTCATTTGGTTTTTCTGCTCTATTTAAGGATTTATTCCCTTGGATCAAACCTGGATTTGACCTCTCAGAGGTTTAAGTTTCTATCGTGCGACATTGTGCTTGAATCAGAAACACTCTACTTCTGTGTTTTGTCAAAGGCCAATCCTATGACCTTTTTCATAATCAGGTTTGATACTGTCCATCCTACTTTCCATTTCGGTTTCTATCACCTCTACAATCGGGGTAATATCTGAAATAAGACTAGAAATTTGCTGTTCTAATTCTTGGTTGAGTGCTGGCTCCTGGGCCTATATTGATGGTGAAGGCCGGGGATTGACAAAAAGGCAAATGAGTCATCTCTAAAGTTGTCTTGTGGCAGAAGAACAAATTGTTGAAAATAAAAATTCCTTCAAAACATAACATTTGATTGCCTTGACCTTTTTTTCTGAGTTGGCTTTTTCTTTTGAGTGAGGATAAGCCACAGTGATGTTTCAGCTCCATAAACTCCAAAGAGTTGTAGGAGAAGACATATAGTCAGGATGAGAAGAACCAGATCAAGGCCATTGTTCAGGCTCGAAGACTCACATGGGAGCAGGCTAAACGCTAGGGCTACCCAGATGGTCAAAATCAGCATTCTCATAGTTTGTGACAATATTCTCTCACTGGTCTCCTTGCTTCAGTCTTTCCCTTGACCTATGAACAATATAAATGGGATCACAGTCATTCTGCTGCTTAAAATTCTGTGGTGGCTTCCACAACCTTAGACTAGAACACCAAATTTTTTTATTTTTATTTATTTATTAATTAAACTTTTATTTTAGGTTCAGGGGTACATGTGCAGGTTTGTTATATAGGTAAACTGGTGTCATGGGGGTTTGTTGTACGGACTGTTTTGTCACTAGATATTAAGCCTAGTACCCATTAGTTATTTTTCCTAATCCTCTCCCTCCTCCCACCCTCTGCCTTCCAATAGGCCCTGGTGTGTGTTGCTCCCCTCTATGTGTTTATGTGTTTTCATCATTTAGCTCCCACTTGTAAGTAAGAATATGTGGTATTTAGTTTTCTGTTCCTGAATTAGTTTACTAAGTATAATGGCCTCCAGCTCCATCCACATTGCTGCAAAGGACATCATCTTGTTCTTTTTTATGGCTGCCTAGTATTCCATGGTGTATATGTATTATATTTTCTTTACCCAATATGCCATTGATGGGCATTTAGATTGATTCCATGTCTCTGTTATTGTGAATAGTGCTGCAATGAATATATAGATCAGATCACACGTGGGCTTGGAGAATGAGTGCAAGGTTTTATTAGTAGAAGTAGCTCTCAGCAGATTGGGGAGCCAGAAAGGAGATGGTTTTCCCCTAGAGTCGGGCCACTGGGCAATGTGTTTTCCCCTCTATGTGTTTATGTATTTTCATCATTTAGTTCCCACTAATAAGTGAGAACACGTGGTATTTAGTTTTCTGTTCCTGCATTAGTTTGCTAAGTATAATGGCCTCCAGCTCCATCCATGTTGCTGCAAAGGACATCATCTGCATAGTATTCCATGATGTATATGTATTACATTTTTTTTTTTTTTTTTTTTACCAAATATGCCATTGATGGGCATTTAGGTTGATTCCATGTCTTTGCTATTGTGAATAGTGCAATGATTGAACTTCATTCGCGGACTCTTCTCCGATTGCTTCCACCGCACCAGCCAAACTCCTTGTAGTTCTGCTTCTTTCTGTCAGTGGATGGCCTGCTCTTCCGCCGGCATGCTCTCGATGACCAGCCGCTTGTGTCTTCTTCACTGATGTGTTCCTCTTGATGTCCTCTTGCTTGTGTCCCTCCCCCTGATGTGTTCCTCTCACCATCCAGCAGCTTCTGTCTCGTCTTGCTAGGGTCTCGGGTTTTTATAGGCCCAGGATAGGGCATGGCAGGCCAGAGTGGTATTGGAAAATGCAGCATTTGGGCGAGAAGGCAGAAGTGCCTGTCCTTACTTAGATCTGTGGGGGTGGAGACCTAGCCAGGGACCACGCCCTCCTCTACCCAGCACTTTCCTTCCCGCTTTCCATATCATTTAAAGGGACCACGCTCTTCCCTTCCCAGCACTCCCGTATTATTTGCTATTGTGAATAGTGCTGTAACGAACATACGTGTGCCTGTGTCTTTATGGTAGAATGATTTATATTCCTTTGTATATATATACCCAGTAATAAGATTGTGGGTTGAGTGGTAGTTCTGTTTGTAGCTCTTTGAGGAATAACCACACTACTTTCCACAATGGTTGAACTAATTTACGCTTCCACAAACAGTGGATAACCGTTTCCTTTTCTCCACAACCTCACTAGCATCTGTTAGTTTTTGAATTTTTAATAATAGCCATTCTGGCTGGTGTGAGATGGTACCTCATTGTTGTTTGGATTTTTATTTCTCTAATCATCAGTGATATTGAGCTTTTTTTTTCATATGCTCGTTGGCCATAGGTAAGTCTTCTTTTGAAAAGTGCCTGTTCATGTTCTTCCCACTTTTTAACAGGGTTATTTATTTTTTTCTTGTAAATTTGTTTAAGTTCCTTACAGATGCTAGATATTAGCATCCTTGCCTTGTGCTGGTTTCCAAGGGGAATGTTTCCAACTTTTGCTCATTTAGTATGGTGTTGGCTGTGGGTTTGTCATAGATGGCTCTTATTATTTTGAGGTATGTTCCTTCGATATCTAATTTGTTTAGAATTTTTAACATGAAGGGGTGTCGAATTTTATCAAAAGGCTCTTCTGCATCAAAAGTCTTTTCTGCATCTATTGAGACAATCATGTGGTTTTTGTCTCGAGTTCTGTTTATGTGATGAGTCACATTTATTGATTTGCATATGTTGAACCAACCTTGCATCCCAGGGATAAAGCCTACTTGATAGTGGTGGATAAGCCTTTTGGTATACTGTTGGATTTGATTTTTCAGTATTTTGTTGAGGATTTTTGCATCAATGTTCATCTAAGCATACTGGCTTAAAGTTTTCTTTTTTTTGTTGTGACTCTCCCAGGTTTTAGTATCAGGATGATGTTGGCCTCACAGAATGAGTTGGGGTAGAGTCCCTCCTTGTCAACTTTTTGGAATAGTTTCAGCAGGAATGGTACCAGCTCTTCTTTTTACATTTGGTAGGATTCAGCTGTGAATCTGTCTAGTCCTGGGCTTTTTTATTGTTGGTGGGCTATTTATTACTAATTCCATTTCAGACCTTGTTATTGGTCTATTCAGTGAACCAATTTCTTCCTTGTTCAGTCTTGGGAGGGTGTATATATCCAGGAATCTATCCACTTCTATGTTTTTCAGTACGTGTGTGTAGAGGTGTCATAGTAGTCTCTGATGGTTGTTTGTATTTCTGTGGGGTCAGTGGGAACATCCCCTTTGTCATTCCTAATTGTCTTTATTTGGATCTTCTCTCTTTTCTTCTTCATTAGTCTAGATAGTGGCCTACCTTGTTAATTTTTTCAAAAAACCACATCCTGGACTTCAGAACACAAAATTCTTACTAAGACCTTTTGTTGTCTTGTCCCTGCCTATTCCTGTAACCTGATTTCATTTTCCTCTTGCTCACTACTCTCCAGTCACATTAACTTGCTTTAATTTTCTTGCACTTGCCAAGCTCTTTCTTGCCAGCAGATCTTTGGCTATGTTGTTTTTCTTGCCTGAAAAGCTCTTTGTCCATTTGACTCCTACTGATTCTTCAGGTTTTAGCTTAATGTTACTTTCTTGGAAAGGCCTTTCCTGTTGGTCTATTTCAAAGTACTCTGTTCTTTTCATGGCACATAGCATAATTTGTTAATTTGTATTTATATGTTTGTTGGGGCATAAGAGAAATATCTGTCTTAATCACTGGATAGTAAGATTTGTAAAGGTAGGACAGAGATTTGTTTTATGTACTATCGAGCTTCCAATAATTGGCAAGTAGATAAATAATGTGTGTGTGTGTGTGTGTGTGCGTATGCATGTGTGCATGCGTGTATATCTTGGGGTCAAGAGCAAGATGAACAGCTCATACTCAGATCACACACAGCACCAAGCCAAGTAATGAGATAAAACTAGGCAAGCTGTTGAATATCAGGAGACCCAGTTCCTCAGGAGCAAGGTTGTATATCAAAGACCTGGCAAATAGCACAGGATGAGGAAATGTGTGTGCTCTAAACATACAGGAGGAATCCAAATAAAACATTGGGAAAGCTGATAGTGCCAGACATAGGACCTTAGCAAGGTAGTAGGTAGTAGACACACAGCACCAGCAACAAGGACACTACAACACGGCAGGAGTGTCCTGGCTCATCAAGGAAGATTCTTATAGGAGAGCATTTGGATTTCACTGAAATGATTCAATTCACGAGGTCTTACTGTGGGTCTCCTATAACAGTTACCAGGTCTGACATCCCTTTTTGCCCTACAGGCTCCCTGGAATGTCTACATTTGATTTCTCACCTGTGGATACTCAGTGTGCACAATCCCTCATCCCAGCCAGAGTGTGCTGTGCAAACACTGCGTGACCATTTTCAATATTCACCATATAGTTTGTAATTATCATGGCTCTCTTCTCTTCCCAAGGGCATTTAGATTGGGTGATAGAACATTCTCATCTATTTTAAATGAGTTGTATCAGATTAAAAGATCCTGGGGCTGAAAAACCCACTCAAGTAACAAAAAGGAAAAAAAAATCATTCAAGGCTGCTTTTACAAAATGATTTTTTGCTTTGTAAAGGCTACCCACCCTTATCAGGGAAGAGAGAGACACAAAGGAATGTTCTGGCATCTTGCTGGGTTGATAAAACAAAGGCTGTTTGAATAGGATGTTGTCGACCATTTTCAAATAATTTTCCTTTATTGAGTAAATTTATGTGTTTTAAATGAATAAATTACTGCTATTATTATTGATCAATCCTTTTTTCTCCTTCAAGGTTGTTCTTCAAGTGTTTCTATAATAAAATAAGACAAAATCTAAGACAACATCAGCACAGTTTTCTCCTTCTAACCCATTTCTTCCACTTAAGTACGTATTTCAGTTTTGTTGAGAAGGAAGGTTTTCTTTTCCTGACATAAAAGCGGCTCAGTAAAGAGCATCCCACATCCTGTGACCCTACCTTTTGCCTGTGTGGACACTTTCTGGGGAAACAGTGTCCACGGTAAACGAAAATAAGCAATAAGTTGTGAATTAGGATTGACTTTCCCAGGAACGAGTTTTTAAATGGGCGATCCACCATATCAAAACCAGAGGCGGAAAGTAATAGCAACTGTTAAATTTGGGCCCTGACACTTTGGGAGGCTGAGGCAGGCGGATCACCTGAGGTTGAGAGTTCAAGACCAGCCTGACCAACATGGAGAAACCCCGTCTCTACTAAAAATACAAAAAAATTAGCCGGGCATGGTGGCCAATGCTTGTAATCCCAGCTACTCAGGAGGCTGAGGCAGGAGAATTGCTTGAATCCGGGAGGCAGAGGTTGCAGTGAGTGGAGATCGTGCCATTGCACTTCCAACCTGGGCAACAAGGGCAAAACTCCATCTCAAAATAATAATAATAATAATAATAATAATAATAATAATAATAATGTGGGCCCTAAGCAAGTGCAAAGCCATAAGGGTTGGAGGCTGGGGAACTGCCAGGATGGCCTAGCTGTATTGGATTATCCCACTGGTATCATAATAGACACCTGAGGAGCGATAGATGCTAACACTGAGGGCTTCACACTGCAGCATGGCTTTGCAACTCAGCAGGTCAGCACTGAAGGCTTAGCACCACTGGCATCCTGTGAAAGCAGGCCTGAAGTGGTAATGGAATGGCTACATAGTTCAAAAGAAAGGTAACTGTGTTTAAAGAGAAGGTAAAGAAACCTGTCTGAGTTGTAGCTGTCAATGTACATGGAAGAATATGACAGATGCCCAATTTCACTGCATACTAAACCAGAAAGGAAGGAAGAGACACAGTGATTACTTCTGGAAATGTACATGTTATTTATTTACCATGGATTCATCATGATAGTGCATTGTGTGGCTACAGAATGCTTCTTAATGAAAATCCTCATGAGTAGATGGATGCCCTCTTTTATAATTTAATACATGGCTCTTCTGTGAATACAGATTTAGTAAATGATGTCAGGAACAGAACAAGAAGATTTTATTTATAGCTATACGTCCATATCCAGGTACTTGTAATATGATTTTTCTTTTTCTTTCCTCTCCCTCCTTCCCATCCTCCCTCCTTCTCTTCTCTGCTGCTACTGAAAACAGCCCAGCATTAGATAACTCCCTTGATTCTTTTTTAGGGATGAAGCAGTCATTTTCAGTCAACAATTCAGCTTATCAGGAGAAAATGACACAGAGTGGGGAGTAAACAAGAAAATAACCAGGGGCCTACTTTGAAGTTCCTTATTGAAAAGCAGGCAAGTCTTCCTCCTTCCTCTTACAAAGAGAACTCCCTCACAGGCATCTTCCCTCTCTGCCTGGGAGATATCCCTTCCCTACTACTTGTCTGCATGCTCCAAAAAGAATTTTGACTGTCTTCTCACCCAAGCACACTTTTTTATTTAACAACAACAAAAAAAATCCCCCAGCTATAAAATGACAACTGAGCGCACACATGCAGAGCTACCAGGAAATCACAGTTCTTGCCAGCTTGGATGGCCCAGCCTAGACTATTTGCACTGAGGCTGAGGGTGTATAAACCACTGCTTTGTTGGACTCTCAGGGTGAGAGGAAATTTCTTAACCAAGAGCTCCGCATGGAAAACATTGTTTCTGTAACAGCCTGAGGTCAAACTCTGGGGATAGCTAGCAAGAATTCCATTGGCAGTGTTCAGTTGTCTTGAGGTTATGAAGGGAGAAAGGAATCCCTTTCCCTCTCACCACCTCCAAGATTCAGTGGGGCCTGGATTCTGAAGAACTCTGTCTGCCTCAGCCATTTTTGAAGTGTTCTTAAAAGCAGAGGTATGAATTGCAGCTGAGGTTGTCTTTGTGGTGAAAAAACTCTTAGGCTTGAGGAAGCACTGCCTTTTTATCAGAAATACCCACCAGGTAGGAAAAGATAGAGATTAGAGGCACTGAGGAGTTGCAGACCTCCAAGATCTTGCTTATGTGCTTAGAAAATGATACAGCATTATCATGTATTATGTTTTGCAAAGGCTGTTATTTTCAAGGAACTGGTCCCACTAGGATATTCTTAGAACATTTTGAAGTAACATCCTTAGGAGATCGTAGTCATAGGCACTATTCAATCACAAAGGAGACTTTTAAGCCAACTGTTTTCAAATCTTATTTTAAAAAGTTTAAAGAAACAACTTTCAATAAGTTTGGAGATGAGAAAATCCAAATGCAAGGAACTGGGGTGGTGGGAGCCGGGGACAGGGGAGGATGGAGCAATCACTTGGGAGTGAAGGTTAATAGCCACCTGAAAAATCTCTGACTCAGCAAACTTCTTAATTGTTTTCCCTCTAAACTTTCTACCTTCTAACATCCATTTCTAGGACATGAATAGATGGAAGAGGAAAAAGGCCTACCGGAGGTGTCTGGGACTTCTGCATGTGTTATCTCTGTGGCTGGTTTTTGTACCTGCCTCAAAAGCAGATGGATGATCAGGGACTGTGGCTTGCATCTGTAATCCTAGCACTTGGGGAGGCTGAGGCCAGAGGATAGCTTGAGGTCAGGAGTTTGAGACCAGCTTGGGCAACATAGCAAGACCTGTCTCTACAAAAAATAAAAAAGATTAGCTGGGTGTGGTGGCGTGTGCTTGTGGCTCCAGCTACTCAGAAGGCTGAGGCAGGAAGATCACTTGAGCTCAGGATTTTAAAGCTGCAGTGAGTGATGATTTCAGTACTGTACTCCAGTGGATGGCAGAGTGAGACCCTGTCTCTGAAATTAAATAAAAATGAAAATAAATTTTAAAAAGCAGATCAATATGAGATGATCAAGGTCCTCTGAATGGCAGAAGGCAGGGCCATGCTTACCTTGGAGCTCCTAGGATATTGACTGGTGCAAGGTGGGTGCTCAAATAATACCTGATAAATACGAGAAGAGTGGAGGGGAAAGAGGGAGGGAAGCAGAGAGAGAGAGAGAGAGAGACAGTACAAGACAGAAGGGGGAGGGAGGTCCCTCAAGTGTGTACTCTGAAACCTACCTGACTTAATGACTTGATTGTACTGAATTATCGCCTTGAGGAATCAAAGAAATGAACAGGAACTTAAAAATATTTTTTAACCCTAATTCAGCCTCCATTTACATTTTGGACTTACCCAATACAAGGATCTTTAAAGTTCAATTTGTGAAAACACCTGGTTTTTAGTATCTACTATCTTCCTTCATTTATTCTCTGGCATACAGCCAGTCACGCCCACCTGCGATGAGCTTCAAATTTGGAAGAAGAGGAAAGAGTGCATTCTTAGAATGAGGTGACCAGAGGTGCTGGGTTTGAGATATGCCTTGGGGGCCTCTACGTAGCCGTCATCTTTCTTATTCCATCATGCTTTAGTCCTCATTTGGGGTCAAACACCAGAGCATAACCTATTGTAACAACTGAGCACATATGTAGGGAAGTGATAGACATCTATCTAGACTTCCTCAAAAATAATCAAGAACTGTCCCAAGCTGGGGACATAAGTACGTGGGAGGGATGGGATCAAGGATACAATCAAGTGTGGGAGGATGGTTTAATCTCTTATGCTATATGGATTTTCATGTGATTAGTACCACCCGGTAGTAGTTTTCAAATGCCTTGCAGTACCTGGATTACAAAGATCAGGAAGTGACATTTTCTACTCTTGACTTTTAGTGATTATGCTTTTGTGAATTACTCCATGTTCTTAGGTACGAAATAGATATGATCTTGCAGTAGGATTTTATTGTGCCTCTTTTTTGGAAGGAGAGAGCTAGGGGACTCATTGCGTCAGGAATCAATAGTGAGTCGACACCTTTTCGGGCTTCCTGTTGTTAGAGGTGGGGCTGCAGAGGGATAGAGAGTGCACAGAGGTGTGTAGCCCTCTAGGTGTGCCTGCTCCAAATGAGGCCGGTGGGCCTGCAATTTTGTGAAAAGTTTGCTGAAAACGTTCTGGGAGGCAAGAATATTCCTTTCCCAAATACCTCTCATCACAGCAGGAGGTAAAACAAGACACCCCAGGAGGTAAAACAAGACACCCCAGAATTAACCTGAATTGAAGGGGAAAAAGATCCTTGAAAAAGCAGTATTGCAAAGCAATATGACATTAATCATGCTTCCCGACTTTTGATTTGCTACAGTCTAGATCATGTTTCTGACTTTGAAGAGTCTCCAGTTCTGATCATTTGAAGAGGATTTTAGGCTCTGGCAATGAGCCATATGAAAAAAAAAATGCCCACCAGATGTATCACTCTGGCTTCATTTTTTGTTCTCTCTTTGCTTCAGGCACACTGAACTTTTCTAGGACCTGAAGTTGCCTCACTATCCCTGCTGTATCAAGCACTTATGCCTCACTGGTGCCTCACCTCCTCGTTGGCTAATTTCAATGCATTCTGTGGTCACTGAGAAGCCTTTTCTAACCCCCAAGGCTGGGCTAAGATCCCTGCTCTGAGCCCCACATCATCCTGTGTTCCCTCAGGCCCAGGGATTAACCCGTTGCATTGGCAAGGTTTGTTTACTTGTCTGTGTCCCACTAGACAATGGGAAAGTTATATTTAAGTTTTCTGTGCCCCAATGCCCTCGTCTGTAAAACGGGAGCTTTAGGTATACCAATCATGGGATATGTGAAGATTAACTGAGTTAAAGTATGTGAAGCAAGAGAGGATCTCTGGCATATACTAAATGCTGACAATTGTGAGCTATTATTTTTATACTTGAGGGCAGGACCCATATCTGTCATTTTTATGTCCCTACAGCTTGCCTCAGGGCCAGTGCAGAGTAAGCTGCCAAAACTACTTATTAAATACATTGGAGACACTCAAGAGCTCTGTAAAGACTGAGTCACAGTTTTAGGAACATTGATGTCTTTGGCAAGATTCCTGTGCCTTTGTAAATGTCCAGACTCACTCCAGCTGCCTCTCTGATATGTGGAGGCAGCAATGTCTTTGACCTCAGCACAGGTGCAACTGGGTGGCCCCATGAGAATGACAGAGCCTCTCTTCTCTCAGTAGTCAGGATTCTGCTGACCTGCTTACAGGGCACTAAATACCTGAGGAGGCAGGAGCTTGGGGGAAAGCTGAGAGGTATCTATCCCCATCTACCTACTGAGAGGATTTTAAGAAACACAGATAAATGCAAGAGACAACACGGTCATATAATGGGAAAAGAGCGTGGCTTGGAGGTGGACACACTTTGTTTTGCATTCCAGCTCTGCAGTGTAACCAGATGTGGTTTAGTTATTAACCTCTCTCATCCCTGGTGTCTTCATCCATAAAATGGGAATTGTGGGCTGTGGAATTAGTAGGACTGGAGTTAGAAAGCCAGTTTTGCTATTTACTAGTTGTGTGACATTGAAGCAGTTACATAACCTCTTTAAGCCCCAGTTTTACTAATTAATAAAATGTACTTAATAATCATATCAGATAACAGGTTGTTATGAGATTAAATAAAATAACATACATAAAAAAGTTAGCTTAGGAAAAGTATGCAATAGTGAAAGCCTCGACTGTCTGCAGTGGTGCTGTAAATTATTTCTTGAAATATAGCAATTGAACGTGATAAAAAGAATTCTGATGTGTTGGGCAGAAGCTTACAAAGATGTCTTCCAAATCGCAAACAACATGCATTCCTCTCAGGAGACAATTTTATTACAAAGAATGGCAACCCAACTGGAGGCACAGACATCTAATTTGTTTTAACTCTCCGTAGCATTCAGAATCATTTGTAATATTCCATTTGCCCTGGTTGCTTTTAGCAAGAAGTGTTTTATCACATAGAGAAACACATCAGTGACCATCTCCTCCTTAATAAACCATGTCTTTAGACACAGCATTGTGCAATATGATTACAAGCCATTATGGGATGTTCCTCTTACTACCAAGAGCAATGGAGCAAGTGATGTTAATATTATTGAGACTTTGCCTGGCTCAGCTGGATTCCACTAATACTTCCTTTTAGAAAGCAGTACCCAAAAATGGCTGATGAATCTGATTGCCAGCCCAGCTCGACAATCTTCAGACTACATTTTTGCATGTTTCATGCTTTGGAACAGAACACTCTTAAATTGTTCTGTTTTTAACTGCTGAATTGCATTTCATCTTGAGATCACACTAAGGGGGGAAAATCTTAACAACTTTAGCAAAATTTTTGGTTTAGCTGTTTCACATTCCTCTGCTTTACAATGAAAGTATCTCTTTATGCTTCTTGGCATCTGGGAGTAGAATATTGTGTATTTAACAGAGTCTTGGGTGACAGTGGTGTGGTGCTGTTGAGTAATTTATTGGCAGGTCTTCTGCAGTGGATCCCTCAATACAAGCATGTGGCCCAATTTCCAATTACAGTGTTTCCATTAGAAATATCTTCAGGACATAGTGTCTAAGACAGAGGGAAAAGAGTAAGGACACATCTGCCTTAGAGCCCTGAGGACAAAGAACGGAATGTAAAATGGGCCACACTGCACTTGTTGGTCCCCATCCTATTGTGATATTCTTGTATTTAACTTCTGCTGCTCCAGGCTGAGCCTTTACGAAGTTTCTAAAAAGTGTCCTGTTTCCATGTCAGTGATGGCCTAGAGGCAAAAAGGAAGTCCAGAATAAAACCACTATCTGAGAACTCTTTTGTTCAAATATTTCTTGTGCAAACACAATGTGCAAGGCCAATGCCAGGCCCCAAGTATTCAATGTAGGACTCCTGGGCTTTGAGGACCTTAGAGGGGGAGACACACACATGCAATTAGAATATGCGGTGAGGTATATCAGAGGAGCTAATGAAGAGCTTGAGATGCACAGGATGGAGAGTAACTGTGCCGGGAAAACTGGGGAAGCTGTAATTGAGGACACAGCATTTGGGATATGCCTCAAAGGATGTCCCATGCCTCCAAGAGTGTCCAAAAGTGACCAAAAGGCTCTTCTGTCAGATAGAAACACAAACAGTAATAACAGCATACTTTTGCAAAATGCATCTTAGGTTTATGAAGTAGACAAGGCAGTTGGTATTTCCTCCAATGTATAGCAGAAGTAACGATGTCTGAAGAGCAAGAATCATTTACCCAAGTTACCATTGGCAAGCAAGGATAAAGCCGGGACAAGGAAATAGGTCAGGATCCAAATTCGGGTTTCCTTAATGGCTTCTTGGTCAGCATGCTTTCACACTCAGCACCTGTGAGAGGAGAAGGTCCATGTGCATCAGCAGCTCTGATTGCTGTGCAACCCCTCCTGAAGTGCTTTGGGTAATAGTGCATTTTGCCAGCTGCCTAGATTGGGCCAGCCCGGGCCACAGTCCTGTGCATTTGGGAACCCATGATGGGGAGAAGGGCTAAGGCAGGAGCAATGTCCCAACAGTTACCCAGCTCCCTGCACTTTCCCATCAGAGCCTCTAGGTGAGATTGTCATCAGGGACACCTGCCAGCAGCCAGACCCCAGGGTGGGGTGAACGTCCTTATCACCAGGGTGCTTTGTCTCTGTATGGGTTGTTTTATGAGCCTTATTACAACAGCTCTGTGATAGTGGTATGACAGATAGGATTTTCTTAGTGGAGACAAGGATACTGAAGTGCAGAGAGGTTAGATAACTTGCCTACATGACAAATAAATCAGAAAACTGGGGCTGAAATTCAGATATACTTTTAGTCCCACTGGCTCTCAGTCTGCTGAGGAATTTGGTGTCTCTTCATCATGGTTCCTAGAATTCTTTTGATAGGAAACAATGCCTTTACCCTCTAATTGAGCCATGGTTTCAAATGAAGTATTAGTCTGCCTTCAATTCTTGCCAAATCATAAGTCATCTATATTAGGTCTATCCCTGATAGCAATTTTTGATGAGTGGGAAGGGCTGTGGGAGGGAATACTGAGATATTAATATTCTTCAGGGATGGAAGGAGAGAGAGGGAGGAAAATGCCCTCTTCTGCCAAAGTGGGTGTGTGAAAACAAGAACCGAATACCGAGCACCCTCACCTGTGACCCCAACTTCCCCATAGTCCCCCTGTTCTATGTACATATATTCTACATCAAACCCCTTTTCCTCAGACATGACACTGCTTCTCCACTTTGAAGCTTGGCTCATGCTGTTTCATTCAGCATTTTTGCTTGCAAACATGATACCATTTTCCTATGGTCATTTCAAGTTTTTGTTTTGATGCTCCTGCCTGGATTCATTCTCTTGTTTCATACAAAAGGTCTGAGCACTTTTGAGGTTTCTTGGCACTTACTGTGTTGTACCTTGAGCTAGAGTTGAGTTGTGTTCTTGGCTAATTCCTCCCACTGAGTGCAGAGGGCAAGACCGATGTCTTAGTCATCTTAGTAGATAGTAGATATATAGAGATATCGATGTAGATGTATACTTACATCAAGAGTATAGTAGGCACATGATCACAGAACAGGGACCATCTAAGTTTTTGAATATAATTTATGATTCTGCTTAGGATCAGCTCTGTTCCATGGGAGGCCCTGTTATGAGGCCATAGAGAGCACCTGGACTTTAGGAGGGGCACTTAGTTTCCTGAATGAACTACTTGAACCATGGATAAGGGTTGGGTGAAGGAGAAACCCTCTGGAAAAAAAGATGCCCAGGTCCAAATAGTTGACCATCTGTAGCCTTTTCTCCAAATCTGTAGCATACTCCATTGTAGACAGTCCTATCCAACTGCTTAACTCTAGTGACCTGGCCAGGGCAATGTAGTCAAGGGGAGAGACAGGCCATTATGTCCCTCATTCCTGATTCTGAAGTGCAGCTGCTCAAATGCTGTTTACTTGTGAATGCATTGGCTTCTTTCCAGCCAATGTGGAGAAATCTCTGACTCACAGTAAGAACTTTGCAAAATGACCTCAGTATAGTGAATGAGAAAAGGCAATTGAAGTGTAGGTGTTTCTGGGTGCAACAAGGATCCTTGGATGTCAGCAGCTCATTTAATATGCATAGCACTTGACAATTTACAAAAGAGTTTTACACGTCTTTCTTCATTTGGCCTCCACAATTAGTTCCAGAAATCAGTAGAAGAGTAATTTCACTTCCTCTTTACAGATGGGGCTCAGAGAAGAGCCTTGTCTGTGACCACATGGCTAATAGTGGGCAGGTGCAGGAGAGATTCTTGAATCCAGAACTTCATTTGCCAAGTCTAGAGGTATTTCTGTTATCTGTTATCCTCAAAGCATCTTAGATAACATCCACCCACCCAAATGAAAAGGATAAGAGTGTCCAGGAAGTGAAATAAATACATAAAAGAAGAGAGAAGAGAACAATAAGTGAAACTATCTGAGAATATGCAAACCAGAGCCAGTGCAGGAAGGAATGTATTAGCTTTATTTTGGCAGGTAACTTTTTTTTTTTTTTTTGCTTTTTAGAGAAAGAGAATGAGAAACATGAAGAAGGAGTAATTTGTTGTCTACCCCAACATTCCTTCCTTGACACCAGTACTTATTTCCCAATAGAAAGGCTGGAAATGGCCAACACTGCTTTTCCAGGCGTCCCTGCAGAAAGGCATGCATGTGTGACTTAATCATGGCCAGTGAGACGAGAACATATGTCTTCAGAGAGCCTTCTGGGACAGATTTTCCTCCTGGTTCTGGGTATGAAGCTTGCTCAGTTCAGTGCCTGTGGGATTCACTGATAACATGAAATACACTGATCCACAGCTTGTCTGAGATGAATGCATGTGCTGTGTGATCCTGAAGTTCTTTATGTCTGTTGGCTTTTCATAGTACATCTGCTGGAAAGAAGAGCCTTTTTGGACATTTGTAAGCCCTTTGTGATGGGAGGGGAGTAAGTCTGTAAGTATGTGTGAAAAGGGGCTGCTATAATGTAAAGCCAACTCACCAAACATGGGCTTTGCAGTAATAAGGATGGGAAGCTAAAGATCAGGCCTCATGGAAAAGAATTTCCCCCTTTCTTTGACTTGGCCTATAAATGTAGCTTTTCTGACTCTTTTGAGGCCCTGTTGCTTGTCTTGTATTCAGCACCTAATAATGTTGTTGCAAATGTCAGGACTGCAACAAGCTCAGTTGTGTTGTAGCAAGTAGGAGACTGCTACAAAATGGGAAGAGTCACTAATAGTTTTGGCAACAAAACATGACAATGTGCATATTACCAGAGGCAATTATGTGCATCTCATGGGGATTCAATAGACTCTGGGACTGACTTTAATGACCTGAAAATCCACTTGCCCTTTTTGTTTTCTCTGTTATGTCCAAGTAATGAAAATATTGAGAAAGTTATTGTAACTATAAAATTGCAGCATAGTTCCTTTTTTAAAAAAATAAAGCCTGATCTATCTTTTGACTTGCAAAATGGTTCATTATACTTTGATTCAAAGAGAGAATAAAACTGAGATAGTAGGAAGGGACCAGCTCACTTTGTCTGAGTCACTTGGTACCAAACAATTTGGGCACCAGCCCAGGATAGATGAGTTTTTACATTGCTACATTGGAGCAGAGAGCCAGTTCCACATTCAGTTTTCAGAAAGTCTCCAAAGACCAATGGTCAACTATAACCTGTATTTATTTATTTATTACTAATTTTTAAAATGTGTATGTATTCCTGGGGTACAATGCAATTTTGCTACATTGATATATTGCACTGTGGTGAAGTCAGGGCTTCACTGGGGCCATCACTGGAGTAGCACGTGTTGTATCCACCAAGCAGCCTCCCATTAGCTATAATCTTATTAATGTTATTCCTGAGAGGCTTTGGAAAGACTTTCCTAAATTGGATGAGAAACTATTCATGAAATATAAAATGTAATCAACAAACACAGAAGTAGATTCCTCATTTCAGTCAAACTACTGTTACCTGTGGTCTCATTGTGCTACTGCTCGGTTGTAGCTCTTGGAGTGAAGCTACCCCTTAGGATGCCTGTAAGTGACAACAACAACAAAAAACTTAGCAGATTAGGACTACATCTAAATATTTTAGCTTAATAATAGGTGTCTACCAAAAATAAAACCTCAGACACAATTCCTAACAGTGAGATGTTAGTGGAATGCGCTTTAAAATCAGAATAAGATAAGCCTGTCAGCTCCCATCACTTCCATTCACCACGGGAGGTCCTTACCTGTGTAAAGGTATGAAAATAAAGGATATGGATTGGATTTCTAAAGCCGGAAGGAAACAGAGAGTAGCATACAAAAAGAGATATTAATGGCAACACGGTTCAAGAATATATTTAGTAAATGATGCGCAAGATCTGTATGAAGAATAGTGTTGTTTGTATATCAGTAAAACTTTATTGAAATTCACTAAGAAGACGTAAATAATACAGAAATATGCTATTTCATGTATGGAATGCCTCAATATTATAAACTTGTAACTTCTCCCTAAATTGAATTATAGATTTCTGGCAACTTTCATTAAAATCTCGACTGGTTTTTGGAGAATTTAATGAGCCAATTATAAAATTTAAATGAAGAGCAAAGTCTCAAGGAGAACCAGGATTCTTCTCAAGAAGAAAACATTGGAAGGGCTAGAATTACCAGATAACCAGGCATAAAGTTATTATAATCAATATAATGTGGCATTTTCACAGAGAGTTACAAATCAAACTAAATAAGGAGAATAGATGGCCCAGACACAGATCTACATATGGAACTTTATGTAGCGGAGGTGGAATTGTAAATGACTAGGAAAGGAGGTAGTATTTAATAGATAGTGCTGAGAAAGTTAATTATCCATATGGAAAAAAATGAAACAAGTTCTATTTTCACCCTGTAAAGAAAAATCAATTCTAGTTGAATTAATGCATACATATAAAAGGCAGAACTTTTCCAAGAAAGTATGGGATGATTTGCATTCTTGGGTAAAGAAATATACATTTGAATAGAATGCAGAAAGTACTAACCTAATTTTTAAAAATTAACTACATTAAATTAGGAACTTACGTTCAAAGACAACATAAGGTAAATGAAAACACAAGGAGATGGCATTTGCCTGACATATAACAAATAGAATTTATTTCTGAAATGTACAAAAAAATTTCTACAAATCAATTAAAATGGAGATAACCCAATAGAAGAATGGGGGGAAAGACATTTTACTGAGGAGGCATCATGAATGGCAAATGTATATAAGAAAAGATGTTTAACTTCATTTGTAAGCAGGGAAATGCAAACTAAAACTCCTTTAATAAAGCTCAAAACCAAGCAAGAGTACATAATATATTGTTTATTTATAAATACATATGCTAAAATTAGAAAGCAAATCAGTGGTGACTACTACATTCAGTGCAGTGTTCACCTCTGGAAGGAAAGCTTTAGGGTAGGGGAAGAGGAAGCCCACAGATGGATGAAATGCTAAGAGTAAAGCTCTAGTTTTATGTTTCTTGATGGGTTCATAATGTTCATTTTGTTATTTTATAATTCATATATTTGCTACATACATTCTTTAGTAGGTATCATATATTACATATCTTTTTTTTTAAGTCAGTGAAAAAAGGCAAGAAAGAGAAGAAAGAGACTGGATACAGCCTTTGCACTGTTTCCTTGTATCTCCAATTCTATCTCGGAGAGTGAGACCTTTGAAGCCACAGGAAACATTTTTCTGTGCCATATTTCTTCTAGGGTGCCAGATACAAAAGAGCCCCTTCTCCTGGACCCTGGTAAAATCTCTTTGTGCAGCCTCCTGACTCTCTGGCTTCTGCTCTGTAGGTGCGTAGAAGTTGACTCACTGTTTCTCGAATAAAGTAAAGAAAGGTAAATGAATTGTTGCAGCAGAGTTATAATTCAAGTGTTGACTCAGCCATCCCATTACTGGGTATATACCCAAAGGATTATAAATCATGCTGCTATAAAGACACATGCACACGTATGTTTATTGTAGCACTATTCACAATAGCAAAGACTTGGAACCAACCCAAATGTCCACCAGTGATAGACTGGATTAAGAAAATGTGGCAAATATACCCCATGGAATACTATGCAGCCATAAAAAAGGATGAGTTCATGTCCTTTGTAGGGACATGGATGAAGCTGGAAACCATTATTCTGAGCAAACTATCACAAGGACAGAAAACCAAACACCGCAGGTTCTCACTCATAGGTGGGAATTGAACAATGAGAACACTTGGACACAGGGTGGGGAACATCACACACTGGGGTCTGTCAGGGGGAGGGGAGATGGGGGAGGGATAGCATTAGGAGAAATACCTAATGTAAATGATGAGTTAATGGGTGCAGCCCACCAACATGGCACATGTATACATATGTAACAAAACTGCTCGATGTGCACATGTACCCTAGAACTTAGAGCATAATTTTAAAAAATTGCCATTGTGCTGTATTGTACCCAATACCACATGCAGATGGGTGTTTAATAAATGCTTTTTGATGATAGCATTGATGAGAAAAAATATTCCTTTGAGAGAAGGTGTTGGTATATGCTGGCAGTCATGAAACTTATAACTGTTAACCTTTTGGGCACTTGGATAAATACTGAATAAACACATACTTACAAAGCATAGGCTATGAGCTTCCTTGAATTTTTACAGTTGAAATTGCTCTTGGAGGCTAAGAAAGGAGTGTTGTCCTAAAGACTTTGCCTCCTGGGGCTGTTCTGTTCTGGGGATAATGGGAATCCAAGTGATATCTCTGTAGTGCCAACTGCCTCATTCCTTTACCTGCAGGTCCCAGAGTCCAGCAGGGAAATCGGATGGGGTGAGGAGTTGGGGCAGTCAGCGTCGTTTTGCCTTTCTCTGGCTTTAAAGAGTTCTTGGCAGAGCAGCAAGGTGAAGGAAGGAGAGTTTTATCCTACATTCCAAAAGAAACTTGAACCTTCTCAGAATATCTTGTGGAAGGGAAAGGACTCTCTTGAAATGTATCTCTTTGGCCAAAACCATCAGGGTGATGTGTCTGAATGGTGCTGTGATTCCTTTGCTTAGGAATGGCAAGACCACCTGCCACTTTACCTTTAGGATCACAGTTTCTGCCTAGAGGGCGGGGTGTCAGAGAATGGAAAGAAAAACCCTCTAAAAAAGAACGTAGGTTTTGATTTGAAGTCAACAAATATAAAATAGGGACCCCCAAACCATTTTAAAGCCAAAACAAAATGAAACTTAAATAATGACTTTGAAGACCATGAAGCAAACCTGAATTGTTTTCTCTAATTTGTCTCTATCTTCTGTTGCCTGTACTGTGTGGGAAGTCTGCCCCTATGTCCATCTTGCTTCTGTCAGCATTTCGTGGCCTGATTGGAATCTCACCTCTCTATGTCCCTGAATCCATCTGAGTGAGAGTGGAAGGATCTTTCCTTTTGTGACTGTTTATGGCTTTTTTTTTTTTTTTTTTTGGTCTGAACACTGTATTTGGCAACAATTCTTGTTCAGCCTGTGGATTTTGATTGTTGCTGAGACCTGTTATTTTAATGCAGGGCATGATACAATAGGCAAAACATGAGCTTTTAAGTCAATCTAATTCAATTTATTTGTGTAGACTCAGCTTTCTTCCTAAAAAGAATTACAAAAACATTTTTTAAAAAAGTTGCAATAAAATTAACCACATAGCAGAAATATGCCAATCATAAGGATAAATAGAGCTGAAAACCTGGCACTAAGCCACCTGTCAGCATTGTGAAAAGAGAAACATGACAAGCTAGAAAGAGCTCATTACCTAAGAAGGGGAAATACCAGCTCTGAAGAGGAGGTAAGTCCCACCCCCACCATTAAACTCTGAAAAAACATTTATAGAGTTATATCTAAATTCAAATCCCATTCTATCACTTAACTAGCCTTGAATCCCTAATTAGTTTTTTAAATGGCTCCAAGATTGAGTTTTTGTGAATCTTTAAAGTGGGTATAAATACATAACTGGGTGATTGTAAAGATTAAAATGAAATTTGTGTATTCATTAAAGTACATGGCACATAATAGCTAATTATCCACCCACTCATCTACCCATGTATCTGACATCATTTCTCCTGTTTCATAAATCATTTATTGTTATTTCATTTTCCATGGTTTTGGTACTTTTGTCCATGAGATTGTAAACTTTTTAAAGGCAGGGACTGAAATTGCTTATTTTCATTCACTCTGGTAAAGTGCTGGTCATAAAGCTGCCATTCCATATCCTTTACTAGTTTGGTTCTTCCCATGAGTGTATCTTGGGTTCTCGTTTACTTCTCTTCTCTGTTAGGCTTCTCTTTCCTCTTGACTTCAATGATGAAGGAAATGTTCTCCTTTCCTGGACTGCATCCCTGGGCTGACTCCTCCATGATTTTCTGTGTTCTTTCTGGAGAGTGGTGAGTATTGGCTACCGCTCTGCTGTGTACCTCATTGGGTTCCACTGATGCCCAGACCAACAGAAGAAGGAAAAATGGCAAGTGGGTTTGTCTAACCCAAATTCTGGTCAGTCAGATCTGCTGCCTGAGAGTGACCTCAACAGGTGTGTGGGTATACACCCCCTGAAAGAAACTTGAAAATCTTTTGAATCCACAGGAGTCCTGCACTGTTTATTGTGCATAAGGTGGCCCTCTTTCATTAGGTAAAAAGTGAGAGCCCCTGCCCCTGCTCCCTGGAGAAGCTCTGAATTCAGAGAAGGCACAGGGAACTATGAATATTATGTCAATCCAAATGTGTTGGTATTCAGATCTTCCCACAGAACCAGCTAAGCCTTAATGAGAACCCCTAGGCTCTGATGTTCAATTTCCCTTTGAAAACATGGTATCATAGCCTCCGCCAATTCCTACACACAGAACCCAGAAGAGCTGCCACAGGAGCTGCCAGCCAACTGGAGGAAAATAGAGACCCTCCTGAATTGTCCTAAACTGTGCTTTCAAAGAAGGCTTAATCCACTCAGTTTTCTATGGTACACTAACTCAGGCCTTCAGAGATACCCGAACAGGAGTTGACATCTCCTGTATCATTTAATCCTCATAATGACTCTCCAGGCAGGCATGATCACCCCAATTTTACAGAAAAGAAAACAGAGGCTAGCAAATACCAGTTTCAACACATCATCTTTCTCACTTCAGAACCCTTGCTTTTTCCAGTGGGCTGGGATGCCTTCTTTCTAGAATATAAAAACTTGGTGTTTATTAAAAAATCATTTAACATTGCAACTCCCACACTTAATTAGCACTCTTTTTTGGGTTTGGATTTTTTTTTGTTTGGGGTGCCATATGACAAGTCCAAAGATGTTTTGGAAAGCCAGAAGCTGGAAGCTTATTTAAGAAAGCAATAGTGTATTTAGAAATACAATAACTTAGCAGTGAAACTCCAAAGAAGAGTGGCAGAAGGCTTGCCCATCGATGCCAGCTGTTGGGACCTACTGATTCATGCATACTCTTTCTTCCAGATGGTCTTCTCAGATTCCTAGTAGATGAGAGTTTATTACACATAGTGCTTTTATAAATAAATCTAAGGTCTTATGTGTACAATGCACATTATATTAATAAAAGTAAAAAGAAAAAAGAGAATGAGAGCCTTTTTTAAAGTTCTAAGCATATACAGTTTTCTTTATCCTTATACTTTGTGAGTCAGGGGTAGGGATCACCATTTGAGTTCATATAGTTTCAAGCTTGGATCTCTGTCTCTTGTTTCTCTTAATTTGTCATGTCTCTTGATAAGCAGCTATATTATCGAGGGAACTTCCTCAAGTATAGATAGCATGATTCTCAAGTTCAGGTAAAGCTGAAGGAATAATATGAATTGTTGGTTGGTGTGTTCTACTCTGTGGGTGAACACAGTTCTTCCTAATGTTGCTCAGTGCAAACTACTATGGAGATGAGAAGTAACATTAAAAATAAACACAATAAGCCAGGGCAAAAGGTTAAGCACAAGACTGTACTGATGAGCATAGAGGTTGAGTTTAAATCATTTTTATTAGAAAGCAAAACAGCTTAGAAATGTCATAAGTGACATCTATTTTTAATGACATTTGAAAATTTTTATTAGCAGTCATATTAGAACAGCTAAAAGTTATTTCATTGTCATCATTAGATTTTATTACAAATTACTGTATTTCAGGGTAGGACTTATTTTTCTGGTTCAAACTGATGCAAATCAACCTTTTTCTTTGACACTCTTAGAGTGACATCTATTGAGTCAGTTCAGCTCACTGGTTTGTTAAGATAGCTCATTGAAGAGGGGAGCCAGCCCTTTTAGGGTCCTGCTTCTCCTAACATAGACAGGCCTTGGAAAAATGCACCAGATGATTTTTTTTTCTAGCTCTACCTGGTCCTGTAAGTAGAACTTTTGTCTTTAGTTGAATCTGGAAGCTAGGGAGCTTAAGGCTCTATATAAAGTCATCCAAATTGGCAGCTCTGACCACATATTTTGGACTAATATTACAGTGAACAAGTATACTCAGGGCAAAATGAATCAGGCAGAATTGCTGAAATCTCTATAATTTTTCAGACATACTCTCACCTTCTCCTAAATTGAAAAACTATCCTTTAAAAAACCCATTATTTATAAATAATCATCTAGAGTATCAATTTATTTTTCTTATATTCTTATCTGTAATTTCTAGGGCCTTTAAACACACACACACACACACACACACACACCCATTCTCAGCCATTACTTGGATTAAACTCACTGTCAAATCTACTACCCATATATATATATATATATATATATATATATATATATATATTTTTTTTTTTTTTTTGTTCTCTACCTCCTTGTAAAAAGAAAACACCAAAAACCACTCTCCAATCCCTTCCCTCCATGAAAGAAGTGGTCTTTAAAAAAGCAAATAAAGCAACAAGGAATGAGAAGACTCGTGTTGATTTTGGAATGAGAGTGTGACAGTGGATTTGGTGCATATTATTCAACTCTGAGGATGCACTGAAGTCAACCATGTCAATCAGACTGTTTGTGTAGCCGGACCTAATCAGGAAACAGATCCTGGTAAAACCATGTTTAGAAAGCTGCTAAATTCTGCTACTCTCTTCAGATATTGTAACTTTTTGTAAGGTCTTCATAGGAATGTTGTTCTGTGGGAGTGCTTTCAGCATATCCATCGGGTCTTTTTTATGAGGAGACAGTATGAATTCTAAATTATATGTCCGATACACACACACACACATATTTTTCCAGTAGACAGCTGCTCAGATGTTTTCAGATGCATCTAACTTCAGATCTAACTTTAGGCAATGACATCAAGCTTGAACCCAGACTCCCATTGCAGTCTGTTGAGTCTGCCATTGGATTGTGGTATCATTCTGATGCAGAATTGGAATCGTGGCTTGTGGAGGCCTGATGTTTCAATTTGGGCTGCTGAGAGTCTGTCTCTGTGCTGCCAAAGCCAGCACACCACCGCAGACTGCATCACACCTGAATCAGGGAGGTTTGAGAGTTTCAGTTGATTTAGTACCACCATATACATGCACGTTTAGAGTAGAACTCCATGGACTACCATGGGAGAGGTGGTGCTTGGCATGCATAGAGTAGGTGGGACATGTGAACTTTTGGGCTCTCTCTCTCTGCAGGACTGATTTGTTCTTAAATTGACTGAATAATTCATTATTGCTTTGATGATCAACATTTAATTCTTCATTTTAGCCCATGGCTATATGTAGTCAAAACGTACTTATTTAAGTGTTATGCCAGTTGTCACAAAACATCCAGTAAGAAATTCTGTTAAAAAAATAAAAACAAAAGTGAGAGTTGCGTATAATTGACCACCTCCATTGATTGTTTTGTGGTCATATGGACCCCGGCTGGAATTGGCAGACCAGGGATCTCAAACTCAGTTGCTTAAGAGGTTAAGTATATAAGCAAATAAAGTAGGTAAAGACCAACATACTCCCTATCCGAAAGGACATTTCACTCTGGTAATTATGGCCATATGTAGGAATTTTGGGCATAGTAGGGCCAAATCCTCTAATATTCATAGGGAATACCTATGTCCTACATATAATACCTCCCCTACCCATTCATGCTGTATGAGTTGTACTTATCCTGTAAAACTTTGTTTAAATATTAATTGCTCTGGGAAACATTTCTTAACTGTTGTAGTGAGAATGAACTACTCAGTACCCACTCTCATACTCATAGCACATTGTGCAAATCTCCAATATTGATTGTACTTCACTAATGACATAATAACTGCATGTTTGGTGACATCTCCCCAGCTCTACAGTGCAAGGGCAGGCCTCATGTACCTCTTGCAAAGCAGAGCTGGAGCCTAAGTAGGTACCACATGATGCTGAGTGGCTGAAAGATGACTATGGAAGCAGAATTGGAGTGGCAAACTCTTAGCTTCTTAGAGTTGATGTGGTGGTTTGGCAAATACTAGGAGCAATGAACAAGAAGGAAGCAGGCCCTGACAAAGTGTGTCATTATCATTCCTTACCAACTTCTTAAATGCTCTTTCTATTTGTATGTGCTACCTATTACATTCCTTTTCCCAACTGGTGCTTCAAATCAAATTCCTATCCCCTCACCAAGCTATATCCTATTAAATGCTATATTAGAATGAAGGTTTTTTTTTTTTTTTTTTGAGACAGAGTCTTGCTCTGTCTCCCAGGCTGGAGTGCAGTGGCGCCATCTTGGCTCACTGCAACCTCCACTTCCTGGGTTCAAGCAATTCTCCTGCCTCAGCCTCCCGTTCAAATAAAGCCGAACGAATAATTTGAATTCTTAGTTGGTGTGTTCTACTCTGTAGGTGAACACAGTTCTTTCTAATGTTGCTCAGTGCAAACTACTATGGAGATGAGAAGTAACATTAAAAATAAACTCAATAAGCCAGGGCAAAAGGTTAAGCACAAGACTGTGCTGATGAACATTGAAGTTGAGCTCCTGAGTAGCTGGGACTACAGGTGCATGCCACCACACCAGCTAAGTTTTGTATTTTTAGTAGAGATGGGGTTTTACCATGTTGGCCAGGATGGTCTTGATCTCCTGATCTTGTGATCCACCTGCCTTGGCCTCCCAAAGTGCTGGGATTGCAGGCATGAGCCACTGCGCCCAGCCTAGAATGAGTTTTTAAGGGCAAGCTATTGCTGTATTATCCTTTGAACCTTGAGAGTCTAGTACAGTGATTAGACACAACTCAATAAATGCTCTTATGGGTGAACAAATGAATGAATGGTTACTACATTCATCAGCTTGCTTTCTGTCTGGGGCAGCTAGCTGAAAGAAAGCCTGTAAGGGGATGTGATTCTGGGTAGGCAATTAGAAAAACAGACCACAGAATAGTTGGGGGTGTGGAAAATCCCTCTATATAAGAATTGTTCACCTCATCATTTCCTTGGAGGCTGGGCCTAACTGGGAGAAGAACCAGACCCCAGAACCAGGACCATTGCTACCATTACTAATATTTTTGTTGGCTATTTAATTTTATAATTAGACTTTAGTTTTCTAAAATCTCATTCTTTATCATATAAGCTGAAAGTCTCTCACCAACATATTATTCACCTTGTATTGCTCTACTTCAGCTGTCTCACTTGTGAGATGGGATCAAAGATACCTTTCACTCAGCCACTTGGAAATTCATTTTGAGGTCTCTAATGTGAAAGGGAATCTCAGCACCAGTTGATGATTGTGCAGCCTATTCAGGCTCTAATTTGATGATGCGCGGCTGTGATATTTTGCTTCAGAACTAAGTTAATGCAACACAGAACATGTTTTCCCCTGAGGCAAAGCAGCTTGCTTGTGTGTAGCAGACTGTGCTCAGTCCTTAGCATGAATCATAAACAGATACTTCTCAAGCCACATCACTCCCATTATGAGAAAAATTATTGGATTTTTAGTCTTGGGTGGGTAAAGAAAAAGTAGCCTGCAGCTACATGGCATAACAAAATGTTGTTGTAAATTTCTGATGCTCGAGTGATGGGTTGGTATTACTCACTGCTCCTAAGAGCAACAATTACATTATAATATTGTCCTTTTTGTGTCCTAAAACAGAATCCTATGTGTAACAGAAAGGTGACTTAATGGTCTGAGATTTTCAATATTTGGGGGTGTTCATAGTTTTTAAGTACTGGCAAGATAAATTTAATTAAGGTATAGTAATAAAAGAATAATATGGCAGCAGTAATTGTAACACTAGAGATTGAGTTCAATTTTCCATTGGTTTGCTGTCCATACAAATGCATTTCCATACTTGTGGGAAAGGTGTGTCAACATCTATAGATCACCACAAAGCTCTAGTTTTGTCCACCTTTGTCAGACACAATCTTGTGAACTTGAATTGACATGCTCTTTCACATAGGACAAAACTGGGGAATCAAAAATAGTCCTACGAAGAGAGTGAGTAGTCAAGGAATACTCCTATAATTGAATAGAGCTCCATGTTTGTTCATTGCTTTCAATTTCTTACATCATTTTCTTATCTGCGATCTCCTTTATTTTTAATCCCAGCAGCCTTGTGTGTGGGGTAGAGAAAGGGTCAGTGTCTTCTTTTATACACAGAGGAGTTCATCCACAAATACATTAAGCAACTTGTCTCAGGTCACTCAGATAGTTACTGACATTGTCAGGAGGAGAGCCCCAGCTGGTATCCAGACTCCTGGCTGGCAATGGATGTTGTTGAAAGTTGCAAGCACAGAAGGAATTGAACCTTTTAAATAGCACGTTTGCATCTGGAGTGGTCCAGGGACATTGCTGAAAGGATGGAAACATAACCTAGATGGCCCCCTGATAAAAATCAAAGTTCTATGTTATTCCATGTGGTTACGATTGTGCAAGCATATTAGCAATTAAAAGCTGCTGAGTAACCTTAGTTTTTCCACGAGATCATTTTCCAGGAGACGAAGAATTAGTATCCGTACAAAGGGACAAAGATGGAGGGGAACAGGACTTTTACCCTAGGTCTGTCATGGTGTGAACACCTACCCAGGTCAGCTCACCTACTGAGAGCTGAGTGCTCTCATTGAGGCCACGTTATTGTATGTTACAGTCCAGCTGGCTCTAACCTGATGATGCATTTTTCAAGAGAATCATTGATCACTGTTGAATAAATAAATTGCTGTTGTCCCCATGGCTTTGAGCTATTATCTGTGAGAGAAGCAGCTTGGGGCAAATTGCCACCTGCTATACAGAGTATATGCTCTTTTAATTTTTGATTTATGGTTCATATTTGAAACTGCTTTTTGTTTTCTTGATCCATGATATCTCTCTTCTGATTGGCAATCATGTGACCTCCATTGCCCTGTTTCTCTGGATAGACTCCTGTCTCTTTAATGTGCCTCTCAGAGCCTCCTAAAGTGGATTTCATCAATAACATGTAGCCTATAGTTCAAGACAGACCATTCCAATATAAACTCTAAATTTGGTAAAAATCCACTTCATGTGAGGTAGTAAAAGAGTGATGAAAGTCTTTTTTTTAAAAATTTTATACATTTCAAGATCAACATATCTAAAAGACAATAATGGCTTCCTCCTGCAAGTTCCTGGATGAGCTTAGGTATTTTGTTGGTTAGATTCCATCTACTTATCTGGAACCTCTTTTCTGAACTTTTAAGGTTAAGTTTTGAGCTTGCTTTTTACCCCTTGCTTAGCCTACAGCCCACTAGATCAATATTTCTCAAATTCGAGTTTCAGAAATGCTGGAGTGTCTAAGGAACATTTTTTGCAGGATTTGAGAATTCCTGCAAAAATTTGGATTTATGTTTTAATAAATAGAAAAATTAATGGGTGTAGTGGATATTTATTGGTGGTTGTTTGGCACATCTTTTTCATTCTTCCTTGATAACAGTACCACCAATTTCCTTTGGAAACCACTTCTCTCTTTCTTCAGGTACATAACTTGAGTGAGGTTAATCTTATCCATGGTTCCTGGCCTTAGCTCTGATTGTGATCAGTGTATCCCCGCTTGTTGGTCTCAGGGATGAGCACGTAATCTGGTCAGAGCCGATGGGGAAGGTTTGCTCAGGATTCTTTCACTTATGACCTAGTTTAACTTAGATTTTCTTTTATTTGTAACCAAAAGAAATCCTGACAGGTGCATAGATCATTTGGATGAATTTAGCGCCCATGTTTGTGTTTGTTTCCAGTATCTTTTGTGTCAAGTAATACTACTTAATTATCTTGAGCTAATAAGAAAATAATAGAGGTCAATTTAATATATAAATGATGCACATTTTATAAATGAAGGTTTTGTAGTAATCGAATAGAGAGAAGTGAGTCATCAAATAGTGTCTACCCTTTGAAGCCTGCAGAACCTGAAAGGATCCATACCATAGTTATGGGTGCCAAGTTCAGACTGCAAACAGTGATCAATTCTGAGCAACATACCACCATCCATCACATTAAATTAAGATTGCTAATTAAAAACTTATTGGCTTGAAGTGTTGTTTGTATTTAATTTAAAACATTTTTAGTTGCTTAAGAACTATAAGCATAAGGACTTTTACAGCTATAGGTTTAAGGCTGTACAGATTTGAGTGACAAAATAAAATTAAGTTAACACCAGGGGATCAAGGAGAAATGTGTTTTTTTCGTTACAGGGAATCTGCTCATTTCTTAAGTTTTAGAAGTGGTGCCATCAATGGTAAAAGGTATATTTATGTTAAAAAAGACAGACTATGGAATTGGATAAACATCCTCCTGTCTGGAATATTACTGAATTGTACCAAGCTATATAAAAATCTACCTCTAAAATTTCAACCCTTAAAAAGGAGCTTCTCTCTTCTAAGGAGGACAAAATATTTTGCAAGCATAACTGCTCTCATTTTCAACTCACTAGTGTGTGAGTTTATTCAGCAGATGTGAATATGAGCCTGAGCTCAGCAAGTTCAGTTCCTTTGGTTGCAAGTGCAGCTCATGTTGCTCCAACCTCTTCTGTAAAATTTGCTTCTAGAGAAAAGCCAAGCACTACCAGGGGTCAGTGAAGGTGAGGTGAGTTTGTGAAGGGTGGTGGAATATGGGGTGACTACTCCTTTTTCTGTAACACTGCTCTCACCAACAAACCCCAGTTGGGTGCATCCCAAGATCTCAATTTGCACTACAATTTGGAAATCACAAGTTGTTCCATGAGAAAGGTGGGATTTTGTATCACTTGTACTGTGTTATACAAGGAGCAAACTTTTTCTAGAAGGAGGCTTTGGGTTTACCTATTGCAAGAACAAATTCAGGTCCATTTGGGTCAGCTCAACAAATACTTTCCAAGTTCCTACTATGTGCCCAGCATTGTGCTGTATACTTGGGGACACAAGGAAATACTAAAATATGATCATTTCCCTGAAAAAGTTTGTAGTATAGTGAGAATGTAGATTTCAATGCAATGTGGTAATCCAATGACAGGGGTAATCAGAGAATACTACAGAAACCCACTTACCCACATCATCTGTGAGTTCACAGGAAAAAGGAAGACAAAACTAGTTATTTTCACTGTCTTACACACACACACACACACACACACACAGAGTTGTTTGACTAATTATTTTGGCTTTAGAATGGTTGCATTGACATTACCTCAGGTAGATTCGGGTAGACTTAGATATTGATAAGTGAAAGATGGAGATTCAACTATGATACCCAATAGATGGAGACTGTTGCTGATTTTTTGGTTATCGTATTTTAAAGTTGTCAGCAATGCCTTTGGCCAGTTTATCTCTGCCGTTGGAGAAAACAACGGCAGAGAGTTTTTATGTGGTGAGACAATTACAACTTTTGTTTTCTCACCTATGTGCAATGAAAACTACTTTCTTGCCAACAAAGCTGTAGGACCATTTTCCTGATGATACCCTGGCAGGTTGGAGCCAGAGTTTGCTTTCAGTATTCATCAGAGTCCCGCTTTCCTTGCTCATTAATTCTGGGTAAATTTTAAGTTGTTTCTTCAAGTACTGAAACTCTCAGACTGAAGTATAACAGAAATAACACAGGGGAGGAGGTGGCTGTCTTTGTTGAAACCATTTGGAAGAGAGAAGGGCTGGTGTGGAAGTGTGAATTTGCAGTTGTTGATGAATGAACCAGGAGACTGCAGCCTGTGGCCATTGTAATTCCCCCCAGCCCCCAAGCATCATAAAAAGAGTGTTGTAGTTTCAGAGCTGAATTTCTCTCTGTTTGCTTGGCTTTGTAATTTGGGCCAATATGTCTGGGCTGTCAAAAACCACATCCTCTTTATTTTAAGTCTTTCCATTTTTACCTTTCATTTCCTCACCGGCCAAAGCTCTTCTTGTGCTAATTCTATTGATTCCTTCTTTTTCTTATTTGGAAAACAAAGCACCTTGAAAGTCACTCCATATAATGTGGGTAGCCTGCGTCTGAGGAGGCTTTTCTGTAAAATTGAGAATTTTGAATGCATTGCTAGAGGATATTTTTCTTTAAATTTCTTTTTGGGTCTTATCTAATGGCACATTAAAAGTCGGCTGGGTACTAAATTTATTGAGAGGTCCAGAAAAAGTGCAATTTAATCTAATAAAGATTTAATTATGCTGGGAAATAATGAGGTCTAAAGATCCCAGTGGAGTGCTCGCTGGGTTAACTTGCTCCTGTGATAGATTTCTTAGCATTGGTGTAAAAAATCATGGGGGACACTCTCTGTGTGTGCATTCCTCTTTGGAAGAAAATGAGACTACTTGAAGGGGGGAATGTGTTTGCATAAGTATTGCTTAAAGGTATTTATGAAAAATAGATCTACGTTTGCATAGTCTTCTGAAAGGGGCCTCAAAGATTACACTCTTCAAGAGAACAGTCATAACAGAGCAGCTAATTCTGGCTTGGCTAAATAATTCATCTACTCCTCCACCATTTATTGAATACATCATGGGGAATTTGAAGCAGTGAAGCCTAAGGCAGTGTCTGCCTGCTTTGTTCAATGTTCTTAGCTTAGAGTTTCAAAAATATAGTTGTTAATAGATGTTACATAGGAAACAAAGGAGAGAGAGGGTGGTGTAGAGAGGACCTGTGGTTAGGTGTTAGGAAAACACTGCTAACTTATATTCCTCTAGGAAACATATAGTAATTAGTTAAAGGCTCTAAGATGTCTTTCTATAAAATAAGTGTTTACCTTTATTCAGTGTAGAGGTTTTAGTTCTTACAGGATCATGGATGTCCTCTTTCTTTCCAGTGAATATCTATACATCTCGTGGAACACATTACAAGAACAAAATAGTCATATGGGTTGTTCTCGTTGTCTAAGATGGTTGGCTGATATGTTGTGATGTCGTATAGATACAACCTCACACAGGGCAATGATTCTCAAAGGGTGATATATTTGTAATAAAACAATGCCTTTCAAGACAGGGTTTCTTTACTGCTATGCTAATGGCTTGACCAAAAGGAGCCCAAGCGTCCTGCCTCAGGGTGGAATGGCAGCCTGGACCCCATGTCTGTTTGGCTAAAGTACCTCCTGCCTCCATTCCTTCCCTTTCAGGTTTAAGGACGCCCCTGTGTCACACAAACTACAGAAGCAGCTTCCTTTCTTGCTTATTTGTTCCACCTCTGCGAAGGCCATAATCAGGATATGTAACGTGTCCACTCATTTTTCTCTAAGAGCGTTCACTGTGGGATTTGGACAAACCTTCTTAATCTCTGACTTCTCTCCATTCTCAGCCTACTCTTAGAATAAGGATCACAAGACATGAGATAGGAAGCCAAAACCTGGTAGAGACAAATATATGAATTTTTCGTATCAACTCTTTGAACTACTTAATATAAGGCATTCTATAGATAATAATTCCCTTGATCGTATCCAGGCAAATCCCATTTTATTGTGCTTTGCTTTATGTGTTTTGCAGATATTTCATCTTTTACCAGTTGTAGGTTTGTGGCAACCCTGCACTGTGTAAGTCTATGGGCACCATTTTTCTGGCAGCATGTGCTCACTTCGTGTCTGTGTCAGCATTTTTTAGCAAAACATATTTTAAATTGTTATGTATATTGCTTTTTACACATAATGCTAGTACACACTTAATAGACTATAGCATAGTGTAAACATAATTTTTATATTATGTTTTATATGCACTAGGAAGCCAACAAATTGTGCGACTTATTTTATTGGGGTAGTCTGAAACCAAACCTGCAAATTCTGAGGTATGCGTGTATTCTTTCCTTAGTATTTTCATATACATTATCTTATTTGATCCCAACTCAATTTTTGAGAGACATCCTGATGAGAAGAATTAACACTAGATGGATTAGACAGATTTGGAAAATAACGAGCACCCAAGACTAGAAGCAACGGCTCTCCAGTTAAACGCTTTTCCTATGATGCTAGAGTTTCCCAAAGGTTGTAGATTTTAGGGAGGGCACAGACATGGCAGTAAATGCCATTGAATCATAAGGTAAGAATATTAGGGATGTGCTGGTTTCTTTCTCTTTTTGTTTTTCTATTTGATATAGAGTCTGTCACCCAGGCTGTAATGCAGTGGCATGGTGAGCTGCAGCCTTGACCTCCTGGACTCAAACAATCTTCCTGTCTCAGCCTCCTGGGTGGCTGAGCAGTTTCTTTTTTAAACACTTTCAAATACATAAAGGAGAAAGCCTCTGATTCTAGTCTTTAACCTCTCTCTAATATTGGCACATCTCCTCTTTCAATAAATACAGAGCAGGACACAGATAACAGTGCATTAGTTTCATTTCACAGTTACCTTCTATTTGTGGTGACATGAAGTTTTCTTTTAATTGAATACATTATATTTATTTTGTTGACCAGATAATATATACAAATGGTACAATGTTCAAAAAGTACACAAAGGTAATATACCTTTACCTGCTAGCCCCCCAAATTTTGTACAAAGGTAATTGTGGTCAGTAGTTTCTTATTGGTATTTCCACAGATATATTCATAGTAATATGTATGTATATGTGTGTATTTTTATATAGATTTTTAAAACCTAAGTGGTAGTAAATTAGTCATGCTGTTCTGCACTTTGACTTTTTTTTCTATTAAATATTTATCTGGGGGTCCCAGATATGGCAAAAATTTTTAAGCAGGTTCACAGAAGACTGGTCACCTGCTTATAACTTGCTATCTCTCTCCTCTTGCCTGTAAATGGACACAAAAACATGTCACTGAAAGTTTTGCTCCAAAAATAAAACTTGAATGATTAATGAGGTCTAATCATATGCTTTTTGCCTCCACATTTTTTTCTTTTGCCCTTTGTGTTGTCTTGTTCCCTATGCTCTCCTTGAATGAGGGGAAGGACCAGACTCTTACTTACCCAGCAGAGAGGAGATCTGCCAGGAAGGAATAGTACTAGTGAACATTTTCATCCCTTAATGGTTAAGAGGAGCCTGGAGCATGAATCAAACTAACAAAAGGGGAAAAATAGTTTTTCCTAATGGCTCTCTCTCTGAAAAGCTAAGGTAGATTTAACAAGAAGACGTCGATAGTCTGATTTGCTGAGGTCTATGAAAACCAGTCCACAAATTTCAGCCATTCATGAAAACTGTTCTAAGCCATAAGCAGTCAACCTGACACAAAGTTCGGACTCATCAGCTTTTGTCCCACCCTAATAGGTAGGCAGGCTTTTCTTCCTTTGCTAGGTTTTCACCAAAAATATGTTTTGGCAGACATAATCTGTTTAAAAACCAACCTGATGTCAATTTCTATGAACTTGAGCACATTCAACCTCAAATAGATATGTATTCAGAGGGTCAAAAATATCTGCTTAACTGTGGTCCAGGCTGGTTGGCTCAGTTCTTTAGTGGATGTGGCCAAGGATAGGAGTTAAATCTTTATGTGGGGCAGAGGAAAAGCTGCTTGCTTGCCCCAGATGATGCTATGGATCTCAGCAGATCCCCTGTAGAGCACGGGAGGTTTGCCTCAGACCAGTGACAGGTGGTCTAGTACAGACTCCTTCCCACAACTGGGAGAGAGACTCCAACCAACTGAAAGTACATATGATTAAGTAATTCATTATGCATCTCCATAAAAGTTACAAAATGCTCTGCTAATTTCAACAGCCTTCTTGAGAACATGAAATAATAATGCTGGCTGTTATTATTAGCACCTCCATTTTATATAGGTCAGGAAGCTAGGGCTCAGGGAGGTTGAGAAGTTTGACAACTTCCTAAGGCTAAAGGGCAAATCCTAATTCAAACCAGGGTCCTTTGACCCCAAATCCCATCATGAGTCAGTAGCCCCACCCTCATGCAGATGGGCAATCAGTGCTTCTTAAATCACCTGCCGGCTAGCCCAAACTAACCCTCTCTATCATCTGTTATGATTTAATATGATAATCCCATAGGAAAAAATTTAGGTGGGATGCAATTATATGCCAATCATAGTGTAGGTTTTATTTATTTAAAAAAAAGAACCTCAAATAGTAGCACCTTAGTCCATTGTTTTGCTTACAGCCTTTGCCAATTAAACCTGCATCTGGGAATGGGGTCTAGATATGGCAAAACTGTTGCAGCCTGTGTAACAATGACTGAAGGTCATAGAAGTCATATTTGAAATTGTTCAAAAGGTGATTCTTTATTTCCTCTGCATCATAATTATGAAGGGAAGATCAGAAGCACTATAAAAAACATTTTGTTGGGAGGCTGAGGCAGGTGGATCATGAGGTCAGGAGATCGAGACCATCCTGGCTAACACGGTGAAACCCAGTCTCTACTAAAAATACCAAAATTAGCCGGGTGTGGTGGTGGGCACCTGTAGTCCCAGCTACTCGGGAGACTGAGGCAGGAGAATGGCGTGAACCCGGAAGGCGGAGCTTGCAGTGAGCTGAGATCACGCCAGTGCACTCCAGCCTGGGCGACAGAGCGAGACTCCGTCTCAAAAAAAAAAAAAAGAAAGAAACACTTTGTCACAAGGAAGTTATAGGGCTGTTGAGGGTTTTATCTCACAATTTGCTGCTCAAATATGAACGTTGTAAAGAGGTATGCTGAGGTTTCATTTGTGTTCAAGCTCTTTGAGCTGAGTCAGCTGTTTCCAGAACAAATATAATGCAGCAAGTTCATGTGCTGGGGCAGAACACTGAAATGTGGTGATTATATTCCCCATAGATAATGCTTCTTAAACTGGGGGCATAAAGACATCTGTAGTGTGAACATTACTAGGGCCAGTTTTTATGTATCAGGTAACTAATTCCAGCTGTTAACTATGTCCTCCTCTGCCAAAGACTTTCCCCAAATGTAGCCATTGGTTCCAGGAGTTCTACGCTGAATACTGCAAAAGATGGCCATTATGCAGCCTGTCTGATAGTTTTGTCTGATAGTTTATTTACAGGCAAATGCACTCCTCCTACAAAGTCTCTTCTACAGTGAGCACAAATTTACCTTGATGCTGCACTTTATGGATCAGAACATTTGACCCTTGATACCCAACTCCTTCCCTGACCACACTTTCCTCAAGGCATCCAAGTGCAGCAGCATATAAAGGCATTTGTCCAAAATATTTGAGGCCCACCCAAGGGTCAGATAAATGTCATCATGTTTATTTTCTGGAATCAGGGTTAAGGGATAGGGTTAAGGGAAAGATTTTTCCTGTTTCAACTCAAGTTTACTGGAAATGAAGCAATCACATTTTATGCAAAATACTGTTTTTCTGTCTCTGTGTGACATCATAATCTGGCATGCTCTAATGAGTCTTTGATTGTCTTACCTTTGAATGTCATGTGCCTGTTTTATTTGTATTCCAAGATGCAGTATTTCAGAAAGAGGACAAAAAACTACCCATTTGGGCAAGGTGGGGTGGCTTGACTTTCTCTGGTTGTGGGTAACTAACACTGGCAAATGTAGGCTTATTAAGTCCTGGGTAATGTATATCCATTGGTCTGAAATTCAAATTCTTATAGATATTTGGGTCACTTTAATAATTCTCTGGAGATGAGAATAAACTTGGAGCAGTGAGTGATTTAAAACAAATGACCAACACACCATCAGATTGTTCACTGATGCAAACTGCACCAAATTCAGAAAGTAAGGAGGCTCAAAAAGTAATATAAGCCATGGTATCATTGGCTCCTCACCCACCCCCGCATGAGAGAAATATGTATTTCATATGAAGCCTAAAGCATATGCATGGGTGAATCAGGCAGTCCCCAGTTGGTGAATGGTATTCATTATTTCCAGAACACACAATCTTCACCCCTTTTTGGCTTTTCACAAAGTGTTCCCTCTTCTTGAAATTCTTCCCTTCTTACATCATTTATTGGAATCCTTCTTTGGAAGAATCTTAGTTATCCTCCAGTGTCCTTTACCTCATCTTCCATAGTATTAGAATGTTGAGCTGGACATGTGGCTATCCAGAAAAATACTACCTTTCCCAGCTTCTCTTGCAGCTAGATGTGACTCTGTGACTAAGTTCTGGCCGATGACATATAAGCAGAAGCGTCAGCTGGCAGCAACTGGAAATCTCCATTGCTATTTTTTGCTCCTTCTGTCCTGCTTTGCTGATCGGCATGGAGAGACAAGGTGGCTGCAGCTGGAGGAGCTACCCCAGAGCCTGTGGGGGGATGGAGAATGGAGTAGGTTCATGGGGAAGCAATAAGATAGAAGGAGCCTGAATCCCTAATACTGTGGGAAGCCAACTCAGCATTGGATTGCCTGCCTCTTGACTCATACTATAGAAAAAAACAAACTTGTAAATTATTTAAGTCACTGTTATATTGGGGTTCCTGTCACTCACATTGAACTTAATTGTAAGAAATCCACTGTCTCATGCTTTAAAGCTCACTTTAATGCCAACATCACGTGCAAGAACATGGGCTTGAGCAAGAGCTCTGGGCTCCAAGTTTTCATAATATATGGTGGTCTTTTTCGTCCTCTCTCTTTTCTTTCCACACAGGCTTCTTGAAGCCCACTCTTCTTCCGGCTGCCTTCTAGTCAGTATACTTATTTTCATAAGTGGGCATCAACATTTTTAAGGAATTTTCTGGAAAACCATGTTTTTCCTTTGAAAGAGGCATGCAATGTGGCTGCCTGGTGGCCCCATCTCGAGCTCATTTGAATTCTTCCCTTCACGTTCTAGAAACTCTGTAGGACGTTGTAAGCTAATGTTCTCTAAATCTACTGGCCATAACCTATATCCCATCTGTGATTCCAGGTTCTGTGGCCTCAGGACCCCTGACACCTCATGATGTTCCTCAGAGCTCTGTTTCCCACCCCCTGTAGTCTCCAGCTGCATGCCAGGGTCTTAGGCACAGCTGCCCACCCCCAACCCCCCAGTGTCTCTCTGGCTACCTACTATGTTCAGACACTGTCTTGGCATGGGGATCCAGCAACAACCAGTGCAAGACAGCCTCTAGACATCTTCCTGGGCTCCAGCTTTCAGGCACATTTTTACCCCAAAGGGCTTTCCAATGCAAAAATTAACACCTGGCCCCATCAGTCTTGATGCTTTCTATTCAGTCAAGTTAGCTTTATCAGAGTCTGTCACAGTCAATTTTTATTATTTTTGTTTTACTGGATTATAAAAATTATACTACTGTAGAAAATGTGGAACTACTGAAACATATAAAGAAGAAAATAAGAACTTCTCCTAATCGCTCAACCTAGAGAGAAGCATATCTAATGTATTTATTTCCTTGTAGCTTCTTTGTGTGTATGTTTGTGCATTCTTAATTTTATGGTGTAATACCATACAATGTATGCAGTTCTTGCATCTATCTACCTACCTGTCTATTTATCTATGGCTGCAAAACACTCTATTTTGTGGATATACTAGAATTTACTCAACTAGTTTCTTACTGTTTAATATTTAAATTTCCTGGCCAGGCACGGTGGTTCACACCTGTAATCCCAGCACTTTGGGAGGCCGAGGTGGGTGGATCATAAGGTCAGGAGTTCGAGACCATCCTGGCTAAGATGGTGAAACCTGGTCTCTACTAAAAATACAAAAAATTAGCTGGGCATGGTGACAGGCACCTGTAGTCCAAGCTACTCTGGAGGCTGAGGCAGGTGAATCACTTGAACCCAGGAGGCGGAGGTTGCAGTGAGTCAAGATTGCACCACTGCACTCCAGCCTGGGCAACAGAGTGAGACTCTGTCTCAAAAAAAAAAAAAAAAATTTAAATTTCCCCCCAATTTTACCTGACTATAAGTAACATTGTGATTAACATTTATGTGTACCTATGTTTTCCATTTGGATTATTTCCTTAGGTTTGAATTTTTGAAGGTCAAAGAATTTTAGATTCTTAGGAAGTTTAAGTCCTCTTGATACATATTGCAAATTGCTTAACAGAAAGTTGTCTCAATTTCTTATTCTCCTATTAATGTCTCATTACTCTCTTCCATGCCTAGAATTTTTATCATTAAAAATCTTTACTAATGTAAAAGTTTAAAAAATTGTCTCATTTTAAAATTTGCATTTCTTTGATTACAATGAAAGTTGAATACATTTTTAATCATTCATTTACATTTCTTCTTTATGTCTCTTTAAGTCCTTGGCCTATTTATCTGGGATCATGTTTTCTTAAAAATTTGAGAAAACTCTATAAAAAAAATTTTAACCCTTTGCCTGTCATATTTAGTGAACATATTTTTCCCCCAGTTTTCAATTTGCCTTTTAATTTGTGTCACATTTGTGATTAACAACCATGGAAATAATTATGGAAGCAAGTATAATTTTTGTGACATTTTTCATAAATTTTAACTTCAGACAATCTCTATCCCCTCCTCAAAGTCTAACCAATAGTAAGAGGGTCTCACTTTCCCCGACCTGTTTACAGTGATATTCTCATTAAATTCTATGTATTACACTCTCTATCTCCTAAGGATCACTTTTGGGCTTTTGTTCTGTTTCATTGATTTATCTTTTTTGTACCAATATTACTGCCTTCATTCTTATAGCTTTACAATGAATAATTTCTATTTAATAATTATTGAACATCTACCACATTCAGAAACTGTCTTGGCTTAGGATACACCAATAAAACAGATGGACATATTCCTGCCTTCACATTTGTGGTTTTTAGTGCAGGAAACAGGAGAATAATTGATATGTACAACTAGTGAAACATGAGTGGTGAGAAGAGAGGCACAAGCTCCTGGGGAACGTATGATAAGGGTCCACCCTGGGCTCAGGGTGAATGAAGTTTCCTAGACAAGTGACATCTAAGTTTAGTCCTGAGGTTCAGGATAGGCAAACAGAGGAGGGAGAACAATAATGAAGATAGACAGAAGTGCATGCAGAAAATCCAAGCGTCAATAGCAAGCCTGATGCATTTGAGAAATTGAAAATAATTCTGTGTTGCTGGAGCAGAATGTGATTGGTTCTAAACAGGGACCAGAGTAAGAGTCACTCAAACCGTGTGAAGGAGCATGTAGTTTACCCTGGGGACCATGGAAAATTTTGAAAGGGTTTAAGTAAGAAAGTTACTTAACTTGATTCATAGTCAAGAAAGATCTGTCTGGCTGCAATATGGAGGGTTGGTTGGAATGGGGGCAAAAATTAAGGCAGGGAAATAGCTTGTTCTAATAAACCAGAAAGGAAAATGATGGTGGCCTGCACTAGGGTAGTGGCACCAGAAATAGAGGGATATGGATGGATTTGACAAATGTGGTCTATTTGGAAGACATTTAGGATGTAAACTTGACAGAAATTGGTGATTGATTAGATACGCTGAATTAGTGAGGAATCAGGGATGACACCACAGGACAATTGGGTACATGTTGGTTTCATTCACTGAAAAGGAATGCAGGAAAGATGGGCTTGAGGTGGGAAGATGCTACAGTTTGAGATGTGTGTGGTACAACCTAAAGCTGCATGCCCAATAGACAATTGGCTGTGCTGGCCTAGAGGCTGGAGGAGAGTGAGATGAACTAGGGATATAAATTCGTGTGTCTTCAGTATTTAAAGGGTGAGTAAAGCTGTAAGAGTGAATGTAACCCAACCTCTCACACAGAGTCTGCAGAATGAACATAGCAGAGGATCTAAGGAGCAACAATATTTAAGGTACAAACAGAGGATGGGAAGCTACAAAATTAGACACAGGAAGCAGCCAGAGGGAGGGCAGAAATAAGGGAGAGTGTGGTATCTTTGAAGTGGAAGAAAGATGGATATTTGGAAAATGGGACTGGCATGACATTGATGCTCTGAGACATCAGGCAAGATAATGACTGCAAGGTTGTCACTGGTATTAAGAAGTATGTTAATGACCTTGAAGAGAACAGTTTTGGTGGCCTAGAGAGGGCATAGGATAGACTGCAGTCAACTGGAAAATAAGAAGTAAGCAAACAGAAATGGGCAGTGTTGACAACTATAAAAGTTTTGAGTATGAAGGGAAGAGCAGAAGAGGATAATGATAGCTGAAAGGAGATGTGAGACCAAGGAAATTCAGACTTTCCATCCAGAAATATTTTATGACTCTCCTTTTATTTACTCAAATATTTTCTAGTTCTTGGAAAAGTTTGTAGCTATCCGTGTGGATGTTGCAGATTTCTTGTATCGTTGTTCCTGTTTAACTGGTGCTTTCTCCCCTAATTTTAAATGTAATCTTTTTTAACCTTATTACTTTATATTTACTAACCTATTGTTAGTAAATGGAAATCATGCTGATTCCCTATATTTTTATACTTATCTTGTTTCCATCCACTTTATGAAAATATATTATTATATAATTATTTTGCATAATATAATTATATGATATTATAATAGTTATAATCAATTATATTGAGTTCTCCATGTATATAAGTACTGATCTTTCATAGTGTAAATGTCATTCCTTTTCATAGTTTTTCAAGGAAGGGACTGCGCCCTAAAATATAAAATTAAAGGGTCCTGGGAAATCACCTAGACTAATATTTTTATTTCTTAAAATGAAGAATTCAGGTTAAGAGCAGTTAAGCCTCTACAGTCTTATTCATGCCAGGTCCTGTTACAACACCATAAAATGGATATACATTCCATTTTCATCAGAAGACAACAGCTTCAGGATGGGGGACAGAATATTAAAGGTTTATATCACATTAATTATGGTAATAAAATACAACTAATTCAGTGAGATCTCCAGCAACATCCTCAGAAACTAATTAAATTTTGCTGTTGCTCCTGGTGCCAACATGCACTGTTTGGTGACCTTAACTAGCTCATTCTGCTTCTCCCCATTTGCAGGGTAACTGAACTGGGTTTTATGCCATTATCCCTCTCTTGTTGATACCCACCACTGGAGAAAAGTATTCTTGCCCCCTCTGCTGGCACTTAACACCTTTTTCAATGGATTTCTGAAAATAATCTGGCTCTCTAAAGTTATAATTCCCACTGCCAATAAATGTGATACAGGTTCCCGGGCAGGGAGTCCCTTTGAAAGACCCCACGTGCTTTCTGTAAAACTTTACCAATTTTATTAAACCATAATTTACATCTAATAAGACAACTAAATATATGTACTAGTCAAGGTTCTTGAGAGAGAATATATACATATGTTCAGACAGAGAGAGAGAGAGAGAGTTATTAGAAGGTATTGGCTCATGCAATTATGGAGGCTGAGAAGTTGCACTATCTGCCCTTGACAAGCTGGAGGCCCAGGAAAGCCAGTGATGCAGTTTGAAGGTCTGAGAGCTAGTGGTATAGACTCCAGTCGAGTCAGAGAGACAGGAGTGCAAAGAGTAGGAGAAGATTGATGTCTCAGCTCTGTCAGACAAAGAGAGCAAATTCTCCCATCATCTACCACTTTGTTCTATTCAGACCCTCAGTGGATTGGATGATGCCCACCCACACTGGGGAGGGCAAACAACTTGACTCAGCCTACCAATTTACATGATAATCTCTTCCAGGAACACCCTCACAGACACACCCAGAAATAATGTCTAACCAGCAATCCTGGCAACCCATGAGCCAGTCAAGTTGTCACATAAAATTAACAATTGCAGTATAGCTCAATGAATTTTGACAAATGTCTACACCTGCATAACCATCCCAGTCAAACCATGGAACATTTTTGTCTCCCTCAAAATTCCTGTGTACCCCCTTGCTATCAATGCCCCCTTCCTCTCCTCCACTGTATTTCCAGGAAACCAATGATCTGCTGTCACTGTAGATTAATTTTGTTCATGCTACAATCCCAAATAAGGGAATCAAACTGTATGTGGTCTTTTGTGCTTGGATTTTTTACTCAGAATGAAGTTTTAGTTTATTAACATAAAGGAGTCAGTAGTTATCTCCTTTTTATAGCTCAATAGCTTTCTATTTATGAGTATACCGTGATTTGTGTATCCATTCACCTGTTGATGGATGAACATTGGCTTTTTTCCAGTTTGGGCTAATACAAATAAATATGCTGTGAGTAATCATGTACAAACCATTTCTGGTGGGTGAATACCCAAGAGTGAAATTGCTGGGTCATAAGCCAAGTTTATGCGTTTCTCAGCCCTTTCCTCTTTCAAATTACTTGTGGATTTTTTTCATTTCTTTATGTAATTATGTCAACTTTCAGTGTCCATGTTTCAAATCAATGTTGTTAGAAAGATACAGGTTTAGAATTATAATAAATTCCTGGGGAGTTGTTACTTTTATCACTGAATAAAGCTTTCATTTTTCTAATAATATTTTTGCCTGAAACTCTATTTTACTGGATATTAATATTTTCTCTGGTTAATATTTTAGTAGTTTATTTTACCATTCCTATCATTCAAAATATTTCTTTAAGTTTTCTTAAAATAATATATGACCATAATTTTTAAAAGTCAAATTGTGCTGCAAAGTTTAATGAAAGCCTGAAGTACTCTTTCCTACCACTCCCCAACCACAATCCTCCAGAGCCAACATTTAAAATTATTTTTAGTTTTCCATTCCATTCATATTTTTAAGTACCACATTTATTCTTTTTCTATTTGGGGCATTATCTATTGATTTCCAAGCATGATAGATAAGACCTATTCATTCAGACCTGCTCCCTCATCCTCCTGCTATGGACAGACACAATTCTTGGTTAGATCATTATTCAGAGTTTGTATCACGAGAGTATTGAATGCTATTTACACCTGAGACCTAACAATGTTGTATAATTACATTTAATTTTTTGTACAATGTTGTTCTTTTCAAGTATCAACAACTGCTTCATTTTGCTGTTTTCTTAAAAAAAACTATCACTGATTCTTCCTCAAACTTTTCCACATGGTCATGTATGCTGGATAATCCATCTATTCTGTTTTCTTTCTTTGTGATGTACTCTGGAGTCATCCATTCCTCTGCATTTCTCAGTGATATCTTTCTTCCTTCTTCTCAACATTGTATTTAAGCTTCCTGACTCATTTTACACTACTTAACCCTCCTTTTTCTGAGAAGGATTTCTTTCTCTCTTGGCTCACTACATATACCATACCGATTTATAATCATTTATTTAAACTCAAGTTCCTGAAATAAATACAAATCTTCCTTTCCCTTTTTTTTTTTAACATTTTAAAAAGCAAATGACAACAAAGGAAAGAGAGTAAAAAGGCTGCTGAAGGGTTGTAAGCATGAGAGCAGTGTGTTTTAAACCATCGCTGTTGGCCAGGTGCGGTGGCTCACGCCTGTAATCCCAGCACTTTGGGAGGCCGAGGTGGGCAGATCACAAGGTCAGGAGTTCGAGACCAGCCTGACCAACATGGTGAAACCCTGTCTCTACTAAAAATACAAAAATTAGCCAGGAGTGGTGGCATGTGCCTGTAATCTCAGCTACTTGGGAAACTGACTTAGGAGAACTGCTTGAACCCAGGAGGCAGAGGTTGCAGTGAGCTAGATCACACCACTGCACTCCAGCCTGGGCTACAAGAGCAAAACTCCACCTCCAAAAACAAAACAAAACAAAACCCATCACTTTTGCAGAGTGGAAAATGAGGGGCTAGCTGTGGGTGCAGTTATTACCACAGTTCGGTCACAAGATGATGGTGCCCACGTGGACTGAGTGGAAGAAATGAGGATGGAGAAAACTGGACATATCCAAAAGATATTAAAGAAGTAGCATGCATAGTGCTTGGTGATTGGATGGTGATGAATAGAGAGGTAGGAGAGGTCAAGGATGATTCTCAGGATTCTGGCTGGATGGACATGGTGCCATTTACTGAGATGGGGGAATATTGGAAGTCATGGAGGAGGAGGAAAAGGAGAAAGAGAAGGACAAAGCATTCATTTTCAGGTGATAATGATGTGACCTATTGTATATAAGGCATTTTTCACACAAACTTTCTGAATTTGCCAAACTTTTTAAAGCAGTAGATAGCTGCCAAAAGTAGATTGGTTCTGGCAGAGTAGGTGTACTATCAAGGATCAAAATTCTACTATAATTGATTACTTTGTTTAGTTGCTTCTGTTTATTTTCTGAGATACCATTTCACATTGAATTTTTTTCTCATGCTCTTTCCTTCCAAGTAGAAAAGACAGGCTTGTCTGGCAGGCAGATGAAGTTGGAAACTGATAGGAGCTAATTAAAAAATATCAAGATGGAAAACAAAATGTGAAAGGGTGCAGAGCTTGAGTTGAAAAAACCCTAGGAGAAAAATGCAATAAGCTTACTTAATGAACTAACCAATTCCAATAGAAAATTATTGGAAAAATAATTTTTTGAAGGACATGTAGTGATATGCCACCTCCACAATGCACAGTGCCAAAAATGCTGCTGGAAGGAAAAAAAGTGCAGGCCTATTCAACAAGGAGAAAAGAGAGAGTTACGAAAACTAGGACTCTTAGGACTCTGAATATCTCAGAGAGTAAAACAGAATAAATGGTTCTTAGATCTCACGTTCTTAAGTCACATAATGATACACCATTACATATATATTCTGAGTGATGGCATGAGTCTTGTACCACAGGAAACAGAGGACCAAGAGAGGTTAGTTAGCATTGACCATAGAGGTATGATTTGTGTCATAATAGAAATAGAATAATGTAACAAAATGAGCCAATTTCCCTGTTGACCTGCCATCATCAAGGAGATTGTAAGACCACATTTTATTCATTGTGAGTTCCGTGCAAACTAAATCACACATTTACTAATAAATTCAGCACTGCTTAGTGTCTCATAAATTTGTAAGAAATAAGCAATCTTGAAATATGTCTACCTCTACTAAATTTATGCTTTGCACACACATTTCTTTGCTGTTATTATTCATTTTAGTACTATGTTGTTATTGAAACATATATTCCCTTGCCAATCCAGTATACCTTAGTGAAGATAATGGCCTTTTAAAGTATAGAGATAAAGAATAAATCACTAATTTTTTTCTTCTCCAATGTTAATGCAAAATGATATACTGGCCACAAAAGAAAACCCTAATAAAACTATTCTGATTCATTTCCATCTAACGGGCCTTCTTGGCTGCAGATTCTGTCCAGGTGATACCATCCATATTGTCTCATCCAGTAATATACATTGAAATTATTTTTTCAAAGTCCGAGCAAATCCTAAAGTTTCTTTAGGATCCTTGATTAGGGTTATCAAGGGTTGAAAGTTCTGACTACACTAAAAAAAAATCAATGCCCGTATCATAGAGGGAAATCATACAACCATAATCAGACTGAACTTCCCTCTCACAAAGTCATTCTATGACATAGTTAAGGATAAAAAGAATTCTATTACACCATTCAAATGTACTCCCCACATGGAATTAATAATTCTCGATGTTTGGCAAATTGTTCTCAAATATCAGACTAGTGTGATAGAGGCAAAACAATCAGGTGGTATAAAGAATTTTTGTTTTGTTTTGGTAATATTATATTAACAAGTTTACATGATGAAGGCAGAAATTTGCTGAAATTATTTATTTCTTTATGAATTGGCTTTGGTGACACTACTGTCTCAAAGAGATGCTGTGTTGGTATAACTGCAGTTTTATCTCATAAAAAAGCAGCATAGAAAAGCAGAAAAATCATGGTATAAATAGTCAAACACCTGGGTTTCAAATCAGACATTACCACTTGAAAACTCCATGATACTGACAAGTATCAATTAATCTCATCTTAAAACAACAACAATAGTAACACCTGGATGCTATTTCACATGGTCACTGAGAAGATCAAAGAATCCAATGAGCATGCTTTGAAAATTATATTCAGAAATGTCCCTTTCCTTTTAAGTAGAATGTTTTATCTGAATTGAGATCACAGTGGTGAACTCTGTTATTGAGTTATCCATAAGGTTCATTTGGAAATGAAGATTTTGATCTTTTACATTTAGTGTGAATTCAGCTGAGAAGCCTGCTTGAAGAGAGGGAAGCAAAACTGACTTACTGGTTCTTATAGAATGAACTAACCGTTAAAGCAAGCTACAGTTTGATACTCCATGTGTTAGTTTTACAATAACAATTTGAATGCTTCTCCATGAGTTGGGAAAATTTATGTTGGACACGCTTGCTGCTTCAATTTCATATTTCAAATAGGCATTCTGAAGTCCATATAAGGAGACACTGAGACTCATAAAGCAGCCCATCTGCACTTCCTGATTTATAGTCCTGTTAGTTCCCTTGGGGGGATCTTCAGAAACCCTAAGAGGCCATATTTCTGTCAACACCATGCACCACAGGACCAGGGTTTAGGACTTGATCCCTGGAAGCTGTGCAGTTAAACTTGCCTTATAACACTGGACTAGAATGTTTGGACTTGAGGGGATCTGGATCCGATGTCTTAAAAGCCATTGTCCTGAAGAGCTGTCAGGAGCAGCCAGCTGCCTAGCCCTGGTTGCTGATGTGGTACTAATGACACTCCTAGGATGTCTCAGGTCTCCAGGGAGGGAGGGAGGAAAAGAGCCTTTGCCAAGTCCATGGGCTAAAGCAGACAGTGTTCTCAGTTCTCTCCCAGTACTTGTGGGATATTAAGCTATGTGAGATTTTGATTTTCTTATAAATCTCTTATCATGTGGCTGGGGTGACTGATTGGGTGTGAGCTGAAGTGTTGATGTGACCCAGTCAGAGGGCTATGTGCTAGGTCCCATGTCCACATTCTCTACCCCGCTCCGGGGCCTGGGTGGCTATCTCATAAGAATGGCATTAAATTGGCTTTCTTGCCCTTTGGCCTCTGGTCAGAGAGTTCAATGGGTGGAAGGAAGAGAGTGTTTGTTTCCGTGGCTGTCTCCCTGCAAGGGGGCCCAGAGGAGGCAAAGCTCTGTTAGTTGTCCCATCCATGCAGCCTTCCATGTCTCTGATTCCCATAAACAAACCGTCCGCTTACCCCTTCAGGTACATGGAGGTGATGGTGCACCGTTGTCAGCACCCTGGGTTACAGCACTCTTCTTCAGTTTCCCTGTTCCCTGCTCATCAATAGGAACTAGTCCCTTTATTAAATTCTCTTCACGTATACCAGTTTTGAGTGCCAGCTTTTTCCTGCCAAAACTCTGACACACCAGGCAAGCTGGATTGCCACCGGCCTGCAAATGGGGGCAAACCTAAACTCCAGGTGCCAAATAGCTGTTGGGCAGAATGCCATTCAATTACAGTGACAACAGGGGTCCTCTGCTTCTGTTACCTTCTAGTTAAGGGTTGGTTTCTCTTAGTTTTGTCTTTAAAATGTTGTATCAGAAATGTCTAATTTCGTGAGGAGTCCAAGTTGCTTATTGAAAAGAGGTCATGAGTACTATTGCTTAATCTAAAAAATCATTTATTTGATATATTCATTTTGGGTGGGGTAAAAAATGAGGTACTACTTTTGCTATTATGAAAAAATAAAATCTCTTTCCCTCTCCTTTCCTTATTTTTACCTTTCTTTCCTTATTAATAATGGGATCACTTGAGGTCAGGGGTTCCAGACCAGCCTGGCCAACATGGCAAAACCCCATCTCTACTAAAAATACAAAAATTAGCTGGTTATGGTGGCAGGTGCTTGTAATCTTAGCTACTTGGGAGGCTGAGGCAGGAGAATTGCTTGAACCTGGGAAGTGGAGGTTGCAGTGGGCCCAGACTGTGCCACTGCACTACAGCCTGGGTGACAGAGCGAGACTCCATCTCAAAAAAAAAAAAAGAAAATTATCTATTGTTTAAACTTAGAGTAAATATCTTATTCAGAACACCAGATTTAGGTCAATATGCATACTCTGAAAGAATAAGAAGGAAAACAAAAATCTTATCACTCTTTAATGTTGATACGGTTTGGCTCAGTCTCCACCTAAATCACATCTTGAATTATAGCTCCCAGAATTCCCACATGTCATGGGAATTACCTGGTGGGAGGTAATTCAATCACGGGGGCAGGATTTTCTGGTGCTGTTCTTTTGATAGTGAGTAAGTCTCATGAGACTTGATGGTTTTAAAGGGAAGTTCCCCTGCACAAGCTCTCTTGTCTGCTGCCATGTAAGATGTGACTTTGCTCCTCCTTTGCCTTCTGCCATTATTGTGAGGCCTCCCCTGCCATGTGGAACTGTGAGTGAATTAAATTCCTTTCCTTTATAAATTACCCAGTATATCTTTATTAGCAGCATGAGAACAGACTAATACAAATGTTCACCAATATGAGAACACTGAAACATTTAAAATGTTTAGAATGGATGCTAAGCATACCATTCTAGTCAAATGATCTATTTAAGTTGGCTGTTTGATTTATTTGTGAGATAATATCACATTTTAAAAGTTTCAGCACATACTGTTTTTTAAACTATTAATATTGTGTTCCTTCATATTTATGGAGCTATACTAGTCCTGAAGCTTTAATGCCACTCTACTCCTCCAAATACTGTATGTGTGCAGACATGAAAATAATTAGAGTATATTCAAATTAACTTTGTTTGGGGAACAGTGTGGCACCCTATGCCCATAGTTTAGTGCACATCATGTCGTATTTTCTGTCCTGTACCCTTTCTGCCTCTAGGAACAGCATTTTCCTCTCTTAGGAACTGCCTCTTCCCCAGATCCAACCATATGGTTACTCAGGATCCACCCTGGTCTTCCGTGATGCTGTCATACTCTGACCTCAAGTAATTTCTCTAGAAGCAGGCACATAGCCAGAGTTCAGCCAATAGGAATGCTTCCCCTGGGATTTTTGTGAAAGGAAGAGAGGAAGAGTCAGTTCTTCTCTAGAGATGGAAACTATTCATAAAATCAGGTTCCCTTGGCAGCCAGTTTTCCTCTCACTTGAAGGAAGCCTGTTTTTGGTGGCAGAAACTAAAGTGGACAGAAATGTGGGTCAGAGGTTAGCCTTGCCACAGTCAAGTCCTTGGCTCCAGCTGTTTCAGAAGCCAGGTGCATTTCTGCCTTTATCAAGTTGTGGTTGTTCAGATTTCCTTCAATTATATAAGACATACTCAGTATTGTACTGCAGGCTTACACATTTGCCTAAGCTAGTTTGATTGTGGTCTCTATCAGTTACAATGGAAAGCATCATGACTAAAGCAAATGGCTATAACTTCAATTTAAATTTGTTCAACACTTTCTGGGTAGTTTTGAGCCAAACCCTCCAAAGGAAGCAATGCAATATGAAGCCTTGTCCCTATCCTCTGTGAGTTTATGCTAAAGTAGGAGAGAGAATAATAATGATAATAACAACATGATAACAACCACCATGATATTTTGCACACTATGGGCATCTGCTAAGTCTTTTAAATGCATGATTTTATTTAATGCTTATAATAACTCTATCGTGTAACATCATCTCTTACTTTTGAAAATGCTATAATTAAGGCTCTGTAAGCTTGAGTCATACAGCAAGTTAAGGGTAAAGGCATAACTTGAACTCAGGATGGTTGGGTTTCTAGGTCCTTGCTCTTGTTCACTATACCTTACCTCTTATATCTAAAGAAAAATATGTTTGACTTAAAAATTAATTCACAGAAGGCAGAGATGACATTCATTTGTAGGATCTAGAGTTGTTTAATGGAGGATATGGACTTTGAGGGTAGCTATAGGATGTGATGGGGGCAGAAAACACAATCCACAGACCCCCTCCGTGCTTTGAGTGTACTCACAACTGAGACTGGTCCAGGATAAAAACAGGGGATAGCATCAATTCAAATACCTCTTAGGTTGCATCTTATACTTTTCATATTAGCTCATTTTTCCCCATTCAAGCTTGCCTTCCTAATGATTCTGCTAAGTGTAAGGAATTAACCTGCAATTCTAAAGAGTCACAGCTGGAAGGATTTCATTTTGGAGGCAGTGAGGCCAAGAAAATTTAGCAGTGTTGATTGAGCAGACCCATAAGTTATTGAGCTTGGAGGGAACATGTGCTTCCTGGACCGATGAGGTTTACATGACTGATAATGGCTTTATTGTGTTGCTATTGGGCAACTTGTGTGTTGAAAGCTTTGCTTTCTCTTTCCAGGCTCTTTGAAAGCAGGGGCTGATGCATCCTTCTGTCTCAGCACAGTGCCCCATCCACCTGACAGACACAAACAGCAATTTTTATGCACAGCAAGTCTGATCCCTGGAAATAACCTTAGAAGTTGTAAAACCAGGGATAATAATGATTTTTGTATACCCTGCTTCTCCCTTTCTAGGGTAGAGCAGACATGGCCATAGGTAACCCCAGCTCCCTTTATGAATATTTTGGATAAAAGCAACCTGCTGAGAAATCTCAGTAACCCTCCTTCACGGTTTTGTAGCAGTACTCCTAGGCCAGTGAGTTTCAACTGCTTTATAAGGAATGAATATTTATTATTTACAATGTATCAGACACTGAGTTAGAGACCTTATAGACCACCCGCTTAACTCTTAACACTTCACAGTAACACTGCAAAACTTGAGATTCAGAGAGGTTAAGAATCTTGCTCAAGGTCACACAGCCAGCAGATGGCAGAGTTAAAATTGGAATCTGCTTATATATGGCATAAAGCCAATGATGCCTTCACTTTAAGCTGTTGGTAGGCATGATTACCATTGTTTGGCTGGGAATAGTGAAACCTGGAAGTTAAATAATTTGAAAGGTCACCTTGCAACCCAGGAGTAGATATTATCTATATCCAGTCACAGCAGTGTGCTTTTGTCAGAGCAGACTTCTAAACAGTGTTACACGTCAGGTACTGGTCAGAAATAGAACATGCAGAAGTGAGAAAACACATTATTTGGAGAAAAAAACAAAGTCAAACTTCTAGAAAAATGCCTGAGAGTTTCCATTAAAAGCAACTTGAGGAATTATTGTTATTTACAGCTGGTTATCACCAAGATCCTTCCAAATTGGCCATTTATTTTTGAAGGTGTTAATGTCAGGCTCAAAATATGTCAACACTGGGAAACTTCAGAATAATCAGTTGGACAGATGATCTGTAGGCTTGTTGCACAGATACTCTTTGTGAAACAGACAGCTTCCTACTAGGACCTGGCAGGGAAGCAGCCTCTATTGCCATATTTTTCTGAAAACAGCCTGGGTAGTTTGAGGGGCAAGAATCATATACTGTATGTATCACCTAGAGATGATGATCTGTCCATTATGGCTTGTGGTTTTCTTTTACACTATTTGATGACCGTACTTAAAAGAACTGCATTTTTGCATGCATTGGATAAAGTGTCCAAGGCAAGCAATTAATGATACATCCATTTTAAATCTAATGTTAGAAGGAGAGGTATTCTAAAGTAACAAAGAAATAAAAAGCTCCCACTAAGAAATAACTAGGGTATATCACCTTGGGACTAAAATGCCGTTGAAGATTCACATAGGCTAAATTGTAAACATCTGGATATCATACGGCTAGCCTTGTACTTTCTTAAAAGTTTCTAACTTTAGTAATGTGGACAAATAATCTATGTGGCTTAAGATTTTCTCTATGTCAAGAAAAGTTTCTGTCTTAGGCTTAATAACCATGAAATAAATGTCAAATCGTATCAGATAATGCTGTGTGTCTCCTGGGTTAAAGCAATGCTTATAATATTCAGAGCAACATCGATGATCCTTTTCTAAATTGGCTGCCATAGAAGTTTTGTGGGGAACTTCAGTGAGCCTGGGGCTCTTCCTACACCCTTTGGGTCTAGTAACTAGGTCCTGGTAAAGCTGTGTGGACTTAAAAAAACATAGGATCCTAGACTGCTCCTTGGGGAAAATATGTAACAACAGTATGTAGCATTACTTGGGCTTCTTTTCTCTATCAGTCAGAATTGGATAAACAATGCTGCAGAACAATGCTGCAGTAACAATCACCTAAATTTATGTGGCTTTCTACAATAAAAAACTGTTTCTTGCTTATGTCATCATCTGTGTCAGGCTGGATGGCTTCTCTAGGCAGCTTTCTTCAGGCAGTGACTCAGGTATCTGGGTTTCTTCCACTGTATGTCTCTATCACTGGGCATGTTCCAATGCCTGTTTCATGGATGGGACAAAGAAGGTGTTTACAATCACATGGATACTTTAAAGGCCAAGCCCAGAAGTGGCATATCTTATTTCTACCTATGTTCCAGAGACTAGAATTTAGTCACATTCACAACCTAACTGCAAGAGAGCCCCAAAATTGTAAAATGTAGAACATACGAGTGGGAAAAGAAATTTTACATTTCAGCTACTTTGTTTTCTGGGGCTTGGGATAGAAGAATGGGGATAGAAGTAGACAGGAGGGAGCTTTTGGTTAGATTGGTGACAGGTCATTGTAGGAAGAAAGGACATGTTAAACCCAGTAATACTGTAGAAATCAACACTCAAATACCAAATCTTTAAAACACCACTTTGGATGCTGAAGCCTTAGCAATGCTAAGATTGGCAAGCTAGATTCTAAAAAACAAGAAACAAACAAACAAAAAATCTTTCCATCTTGTCTGGTCAAATGGGTCAAGGTAAGGAATATTGTGATAGTGTAACGATTACCATTAAGTTTGTTTTGGGGGCTTTTGGTCATAGTATATCGTTATACATAAATATAATCTAATCAGTTAGAAAATCTAAGAAAACAAAACTTGGGTAGAGCAAGATTTGGTATTATAGGCAATAGTATTAACAATTGTTGTATACACCTGTTGTTTGCTATCCAGAATCCATTTCCCTTTCTTTTTTTACTGTGGTAAAACACATACACACACATAACATGAGATCTACCCTCTTAACAAATTTTGAAGTGTACAGTACAGCACTGTTAACTATATGTACAGTGTGTCCAGCAGATCTCCAGAACGTTTTCATCTGTAATGACTAAAACATTATACCCATTGAACAGCAACTGCCCATTTCCCCCTCCCTCTAGCCCCTGGCAACTACCATCCTACTTTCTGTTTCTATGAGTTTTGACTCTTTTAAATTTCTCATGTAGGTGGAATCAAGCAGTATTTGTCCTTCTGTGACTGAATTATTTCACTTAGCATAATGTCCTGCGGCTCATCTATGTTGAAGTATATGACAAGATTTTCTTTTTTTAAGGCTTAATAATATTCCATTATATGTATATACAGCATTTTCTTAATCTATTCATCTGTCAATAGACATTTAGGTTGTTTCCAGCTCTTGAATACTGTGACTAATGCTGAAATGAACATGGAGTGTAAATATCTCTTCCACATTTTGTTTTCAATCCTTTCAGATAAATGTTCAGAAGTGAGGTTGCTGGATCATGTGGTAGTCCTACATCAAACTAAAAAGCTTCTTTCTGTGCAGCAAAGAAAACAATCAACAGGATGAAAAGGTAACCTCTGAAAAATATTTGCAATATACCCTATACATGATAAGGCACTAATACCCGAAAATATAAACTACTACAACTCAATAGCAAAATAACCAAATAACCCAATTAAAAAATGGGCAAAGAATTTGAGTAGACATGTCTCCACAAAAGACACACAAATTGCTAATAGGTATATGAAAAGATGTTCAATATTACTAGTCATCAAAACCACAGTGAGGTATCTTACCTCATATCTATTGGGATGGTCATTATAGACAAACCAACCAACAAACAAATCTAGAAAATAATGTGTTGGCAAGGATATGGAGAGATAGGAACGCTTGTGCATTGTTGGTGCGATTCTAAAATGGTATACTGTCTATGGAAAACAGTATGGAAATTCTTAAAACATTCCCCCTTCTTATAATGATAGTACTTTGAATATCCTTTTGAGAAATGTTTCTCTTCCTTTATTATCAATTCTGTCTGTACTACATTTATTCCACCTTCAACTCTAGGAGTGGGCCATAGTTAGCTTAAGCCAATTGTGTACCTCATCATTTTTGCTAGAATGATTGGTTTAGAAAAGGCATAACACCTAATTGGATCAATAATAAACTCTTGGAAAGACTCATTCTTTTCTTTTCTTTTCTTTTTTTTTTTGAGATGGAGTCTTGCTCTGTTGCCAGGCTGCAGTGCAGTGGCGCCATGTTGGTTCACTGCAATCTCTGCCTCCTAGGTTTAAGTGATTTCCCCTGCCTCAGTCTCCTGAGTAGCTGGGATTACATGTGCACACCGTCAAGCCCGGATAATTTTTTGTATTTTTTAGTAAAGACGGAGTTTCACCACATTGACCACAATGGTCTTGATCTCCTGACCTCATAATCCACTCGCCTCGGCCTCCCAAAGTGCTGGAATTACAGGTGTGAGCCACCATGTCTGGCCGGAAAGACTCATTCTTAAAGTCTTTCCCCCTCATTCCTTGAAGATGTGAACATTTAGGCAGTTGGTTCACTATTCCTCTTTCTGACCTTACACCTAATTAAGTATTGGCAAATTCAGTAACTACATGGAGGATCCACCTAATTTCCTAGACTCTCAATTCCTTTATCTTCTATTCTCCTCCACTCTAAGTGAGATGCCCAGACTTTGTCATTGCCAGTCAGTATATCCTGTTCATAATCTCTTTTAACTATCCCAGTCTATGATAACTCTTGTTATCCTTCCAGCTTAATCCATCCTGTAAACTCATTTCCAAAATTCACTGATCAAAACTGAATCTAAAATTGAACATACTACCTCATTATTTTCCCTTACCACCCTTGTGCACATGTCATAACTCTCCTCCTTATTCATCTTAAATGTCATGATATAACATTAAAATTACTTCTCTCATACATTCTCAATACCCTTTCTCCTTTCTCGCTCCTTTGAACTTGCCCAGCAAAAACCATTACATGGATTAAACCCAACTTTATCTACTTCATGGCTTCACTAAGATAGATGAACAGAGCTGGACAAAAACACAAATTGTTCATTAATATCATTTTAAATCCATGACCATAACCTCACATTGGCCCTCAGGTATTGGGTCAGTTCACTGTGTTTGTTTCCCTATTAAGTCTTCCGTTCTCCTTGATGACTATTTCAAAGTTCCTCGTTTCTCGAATCACCCAAACCCTTTGCCCTTGTCTCTCTCCAGTCCCCCATCACATCTACCACCTCACCTATATCTCTGTTCATGTAGTCGGCTTTCCTTCTCATTGCTATGGATCAACTACCTGTGGAAGGCCAGGTCCTCCACTGGATCATAGCTCTTCCTACCTACTCAAGAGCATTGTCCCAGCAATTTTTTCTTTTCTCTCTTTGTTGTCAAATTTCTCCTCTCTCCTGAATCATTCACATGAGCATAGAAACATGCTGTCAGTATGTCTAAAAAGCCAATAAACTTTCCTTGACCCATATTTCTTTCCAGGGACTGCCCCAGTTCTCTACTTCCCTTTTAACTAAAGATCTGTCTCTGTTTGCAATATCCACTTGCCCTCCTTTCCATACTAGATAATCTCACATTGCCAAATCCAATGGTCAATTTGCAATCATCTTATTCGACCCAATTTATCATTCCTTATTCCTTGAAGGACTTCATTTTTCTCCTAGAAAAGCCCTCACCCAGAGTTCTTCTCATACTTCACTGTATGTCCTTTCTGAACCTCTTTGCTGGCTCATCCTCACTACCTTACCCCTACCAGAGTGTCCCTGAGTTCAGCCCCTAGGCTGCTTCTCTCTTCCACCTACACCATCTTCTTGGGTGACCTCATCCAGTTTTGTGGCTTTAAACAACATTTATTTGCTGAGGATTCTCAAATTTATTTCAGGTCCAGAATTTTTTTTCTGATTTTACGTGTGATATCCTTATTTGAATATCTATAAGCTTCTCAAACATTTTCAAATTGAACCACTGGATTACATATCCACCAGCCCCTCCACCATAAATTTGCTTTTTCTGTACTCTCCTATCTCTGAAAATGGAAACTCCATTATTCCAATTGCTCAGGCCAAAATCCTTGGTGTCATTCCTGATTTTTCTTTTTCTTTTACATCCTATGTTCAATCCATTACCAAATCCTGTCATTTCTACCACCAAAATATAAGTACTTATCATTTCAACCTCGACTATGCTGAGCTAAACCATCACATCTGTCACATGGAAATTCTCTTACCTGGTTTCCTTACTTCTACTTTTTACCACCCTATGATCTATTCCCCACATAGAAACTAGAATGATCTTTTTAATACCAAAGGGGTGACTATGGTATTAAAAGGATCATGGGTATTAAAAGGATCATTCTAGTTTCTGTGTGGGGAATAGATTATAGGGTGGTAAAAGCAGAAGCAAGGAAACCAGTTAAGAGAATTTCCATGTGGCATATGTGATGATTTAGCTTAGCATGGTTGAGGTTGACATGATAAGTACATATATATTGGTGGTAGAAATGATGGAATTTGGTCATGGATTGAACATGGGATGTAAAAGAAAAAGAAAAAATCAGGAGTTTGGGTCCAGTTGGGTATAAAATCTTATCGAAGGACATAAACAAGATGTAGTCATTTAGAAAGAAAATCTATGCTTTTGCATGAGGTGATTTCATAACTCAAAAATTTCCATAAAATAAACAAATTAGACAAAATTTAATTGGAATACCTTTATATTTGTAGTTTGTTGGAATTAGATAATAAGACCTTGAAAATCATTTGAGAGATTAAGTATGTCAGAAGAGCCAAGAAAAGTATAAAAAATAATGGTGAGGTAATATTGCCTTATTAAATGTTCAAATACTTGATTAAGTATCAATTATTCAAACATACTGTATATCATGTATATTATTCCATTTTATGCTGCTGATAAAGACATACCTGAGTCTGGTTAATTTATAAAGAAAAAGAGGTTTAATTGACTCACAGTTCCCTGTGAGTGGGGAGGCCTCGCAATCACGGTAGATCAAGGGACGTATTACATGGCCGCAGGCAAGAGAAAGAGTGAGATTTCTTTTACATTTGAAAGAATAAATTTCTTTTATATTTGCTTAGATTTGAGATCCCAAATTATCAACATTTTATTTAATGATTTTGTGGAGAGAGAAATAAATGAGACTATATGTAGAGAATAACGATCTTCTTGGTAGGAAACTGGTCAGTGTGTCTGAGGGGGAAATTAATTAAATAGTAGCATTTCAGGAAATTTTTACTTTTGTTCTATTTGAGATTTTTAAAATCAGTGTATTAACATAATCTGTAAAAAAGAAGAAAGAAAAGTTATTGTAATTGTAGGGGAAAATAAAAAGGGATATAGATAGAGACTAATTTGCTCTTGAAGAAGCAAGTGAATCATTTTTTGCATTGAGATCAATATATCCCCTTAAACAAGGCTGTTGGTCCTAACTATAAACCAGTCTCAAAAGTAGTTAAAACATGAAATAGGAGCTAACATTTAAAAAATTGGTTGTTTTACATAAGAGTCACATGGACTATTTGTGAATGACATCCTGAGTTGTGCAATGCATGGTCCGCACATCCATTTACAGGAGCTCTGGCTGCAGGAATACACATTGATCAGAAGCTTCTAGATGATTTTATGGCAAAACACCTCAAATGGAAATCTGTATCTTCACATTAAAAGTAAAAGCAAGAAAAGAAAAATCTTGAACAACCTTTTATAAATAAATGGAAGGGAACAAACATATCAACATGAAATTAAATTGTAGGCTAATGAATAAACATATGAATCCCACCTTTATAGGTTTGCTTGCTAAACAGATGGTCCCAGAGCAGTTGAACAGTTCAGCCATTGGCTAGAAGGAAGGGAAGAGTCAGATGTACACACTTCTACAAAGATATTCTCATGAAATGTGATTAATTAATTCTTGGACTGACCCATTCATTTCACAAACTTCAACTAAAAGACTACTGGTACTAAACAATGTACTGGGCTTTGAGAGGAGAGGCTAAGGATAAATATGACATGGTCTCATAGCACAGAAAATGTATATAAAGTTATAAATAAGAATATTACAATTATAATAATTATTGAAACCTAAGTAGGCAACTGATTTTTCTCTTCAAGAGAAGGAATTCTAACATTCTGCTAAAAGTCTATAGGATAAATTGAACATATCTCAACATTATATACTTGACTAATAATTAAATCAGTTTTATTTTCAGAGTGGGGCTTTACTAGAGTCCATGAATTTGTCAGGTTGTATTACCTCCCAATAGGTGTTCAATGATTTAAAGAAATGAATTGACAAGCATCCGGCCATTTCTAAGAGTACCAACTGCCAAGCCTTAACACATCGCAGCAGGAGTTTCAACAGAGGAAAAAGACAGTGAGAAGGAGATTTGTCTCCACTGAAACCTTCTGTCTTTGTGACTCAGAATGAGTTTAGAAGTAGGAAGTTATCTGCTGTTTTCAGTCACAGGCACAGGAGCAGGGAAAGCCTTCTGATCCCTGGCTTTCTGGTCAGTCTTCTATAAGAAGCCAAGGTCTTCAGAGCAGGGTCAAGATCCTTCTTCCGTTTTATGCGTTCTTGTTTATTGAAGCTTATTCAGTCATTTTAAAACATGCACTCTATTTTTATGTTTTTACTTCTGCCTGTTCTTGTTCATTGTTTTTTTTTTTTTTTTTTTTTTTTTTTTTTGCCATCTGCATAAGTCAGCTTGGGATGTCATAACAAAATGCCACAGGCTGGATGGCTTAAACAACAGAAATTTCTTTTCTCACACTTCTAGAGACTGGAAGTCCAAGGGAAAGGTGTGTGTGCAGGGTTTGTTTCTCCTGAGGATGGTTTCTCTCCTTGACTTGCAGATGGCTGCCTTCTCTCTCTGTCCTCACACGGCCTTTGCATCTCTGGTTCTCTGGTGTCCCTTGATATAAAGACACCAGTCCTATTGGATTAGGGTTAAATTAGGATGCTTATGACCTTATTTAACCTTAATGACCTCTTAAAGGCTCTGTCTCCAAATGCAGTCACATTTGGGGAGTATAGCTCAGTTGTAGAGAATTTGGCAGCAAATACAGTCACATTCCTAGGCTCTGAGGGATAGGGCTTTGACATATAAATTTTAGGAGGATACTTTTCAATCCATTACACCATCTGTTTCTGTTCCTCTTTCTCGTTCCAGTTCCTGTCCTTTTAATTGTTGCTTCTGTTGATCTTAAACTCTTTGGAATAGATTCACAAATTTTCTCGGAGACCAAAATATGTATGTCTGTTGTCCCTAGTAGAACACTTCATATTAATGCTAATGTTAAGAAGGAAAGTTAACAAAAACTGTGGGATAACATATCGGTCCTAGTTAGAAGGTGTTCAAAAGGAGCCTTTTTGTTTTAACTCTTCCTTTCACTGGGGGAGAGAAAATTACTTTTTTCAAAAATAACTTTTATTTTAGGTTCAGGGGTACATGTGCAGGTTTGTAACATGGTTAAATTGCGTGTTGTGGGGGTTTGGTGTACAGATTATTTCATCACCCAGATATAAGCGTAATACCTAATAGGTAGTTTTTTTTATCTTCACTCTCCTCTCACCCTCCACCTTCAAGTAGGCCCTGGTGTTTGCTGTTCCTTTCTTTGTGTCCATGTGTACTCAATATTTAGCTCCCACTTGTAAGTGAGAACATGTAATATTTGGTTTTCTGTTCCTGTGTTAGTTTGCTTAGGATAATGGCCTCCAGCTCCATGTATTTTGCTGCAACGAATATAATCTCATTCATTTTTATGGCTGCAGAATATTTCGTGGTGTATATGTACCATATTTTCATTATTCAGTCTATTGTTGATGGGGAATTTAGGTTGACTCCATGTCTTTGCTATTGTGAATAGTGCTGCAGTGAACATACATGTGCATGTGTCTTTATGGTAGAATGATTTATATTCCTTTGGGTATAGCCAGTAATGGGATTCCTGGGTCAAAATGGTAGTTCTGTTTTAAATTCTTTGAGAAATCACCAAACTACTTTCCACAATGGCTGAACTGATTTACATTCCCCACAGCAGTGTATAAGCTTTCCCCTCTCTTCACAACCTTGCCAGCATCTGGTTTTTTTTTTTTTGTTGTTGTTGTTTTACTTTTTAATAATAGCCATTCTGACTGGTAAGAGATGGTATCTCATTGTGGTTTTGATTTGCATTTCTGTAATGATTAGTGATATTGAGCATTTTTTATATGCTTGTTTTGGCCGCATGTCTTTCTTTGAAAAGTTTCTGTTTGTGTCCTTTGCCTGATTTTTAATGGGGTTATTTTTTACTTCTTAATTTCCTTAGGTTCCTTACAGATTCTGGATATTAGGCTTTTGTCAGATGCATAGTTTGCAAATATTTTCTCCAATTCTTTAGGTTGTCTGTTTACTCTGCTGATAGTTTCTTTTGCAGTGCAGAAGCCAGAAAATTACTTTTTTTGATTTAAAGAGCTGTTGTAGACTATGTGATTTACAAAAATTGCTAAGAAAATGCCCAACTCTTAGTTGGCTTTTAATAAATATTAATTCCTTTTGCTTTTCTTTCATTAGGAGATTGTTATTGAAAGTAGATTTCTGGGAAGAGGTACAGGTACCTTAGAAAAAATTATAGTGCCTTCTAAAGCAGAAACAGGCACCATTACTGAACAATGATGAACCCAGAACACTTCTAAACATTCTCAGCTTTATCATGAATATACTGTCCTAACCATTTCTAAGACACAGGGCAAAAGGTTCTCTTAACATTACAGACAGCTAGTGTTCATTTCCACCAGGATTATATGAACCTGCGATGATTCTGTATGCATTTTTTTGCACATTTCCTCAAGACTCAAATATTTGCGCAATTATATCTTATTAGACTCATTGACATCTTTCCTTTCTTCTCCTGATCTGCAGGTGTTAGTTGTATAACAAGCCAATATTACCCCATCTTTTTTCTCCTTGTTTCTCCACCATCACCAGCAGGAATTCAGAAATATAAAAAACTAGATATGTGCAACTTTGTGCCAACAACTGTTTTCCCCTAGAGCCATCCGCTTGGCTGCCCATAATTCCCTAGGAGTTTCATGGTTTTCAGTGTAAATCAGCTTGTTTATATTTTTTGTTTTGTTTTAAACTTAGAAATCTGATTATAGCTAGTAGGTTTTGCTAGAGTGTAGAAATTACTCTCAGAAGAACTGGAGGGGATGTAGGAAGTTTATCTATTGGCTGAACTTTTTAAGTAGCAGTCCACGGAGGTAATTTACATTAAATAAAAAGCAGCATGGGGCTGCCTTGGGATTTGCAGGGCACTTTTATTAGAAATAAAAATATCATACTTCTGACCAAAATGGATTGAATGGTTCAATGCCAACAGTGTTCTTTTCATCGGTAAACAGTTCCAAAAATCCAGCAAGTGAGAAATGAAACACTGATTTTGTTCAAAATTGAAACCTCCCAGATAAATTTAATATTTATGCCAAGTATCAAAGATTTTTGCATTCAAAATATAGAGATTTGGGCTAAAGTAACAGGGCAGCACATTTTACTACAAATGTGGTTAGTTGAAATATCTGTGCTTATGAAGTTTGCGATTCAGTGGAAATGGGAGAAGAATATTTGGAATGCAAGAATTTAGATAAAGAACACATGTATTAGAATATACTCATACTTCTTCAGACAAGTCAAATTGGGGATCACATAGAGTGAAAGCTGTGTTTCCTGGCACTTGATACCCACAAAACCCTAGGAATAGCTATGTCTTCTGAGTTCTTGAGACAAAGAGTAAGCATTAGGAAGGAACATTAACTGGAGCAGAGCGTGCAGTAGGTTGGTAATAGCTAGGAGATGTTTAAAAGCTGCTTTTAAAAAAAAAAATCTTTTTTTTGTTGTTGTTTGGGATAACTAGCAAGCCTTGTAACTCAGGAGTCTTTTAGACTATGATGATTTATAACAAAAGTTACTAGCAATTGCATGACTCTTAGTTGTCCTCTAATAAATGTTAATTTCCTTCCCTACCTCCCGTTCTCCTTAGAGGTTTATTTAGGTTGGTGCAAAAGTAATTGCAGTTATAAACTTTTGCACCAACCTCAATAAATTTCAGAGAAGCCAGCAGGGAAGTAATATACATTAACCCATAATCAACTTGAGTTTTGATTAGTAGTAGATCTTTTCTATTTCCCATATATTTTGAATGTAAACATGAATTTATTTATTTTATACACACACATATATGTCTGTGTTTGTTGATATGTTAATGGTGAATTTTGATAATGTATATTCATTGAAATAGATTATGACTTTAAAATAATAAATTCTAAAGTTTCTAGGTGCAGGACCTAAAGCATAGGGTTAGCAAAAGGAATTATAGAATCTCTGAACACCATTCTGAAAGGAAACTTAGAGATTATCTACCTGATCCCTCCTCATAATTTTTCAGATGAAGAAATGAGGCCTGATAAGGTGAATTGATTTTCTTTAACTTGTCTATGCCAGTGACCTCAGTGGCAGCAAATCTTTCCTGGAAACAATAAAAAGTCATTTGGAGCTAGTTCTGATGGATCTATCATTGATCAAGTTGGATAATATTCTTCTTGAAGCAAAACATTTCATGAAGTGCATAAAAGAGTTACTAAGACAATCAGAACCCTGCCTTTTCTCCCTGCCCCAACCCCCATTTCTAGAAGAAAGTTGCAAAAACCTTTAAAATAATAACTGTATCATTGAAAGAAAGTGTCCAGATTTCTAGGTTTATTTTGAATGATGACTCTCATTTGGATGTGTGAGTTCCAAGGTGTATGTTTATTTTTTATTTTAACTAGGGACATTATTTGAGTTTTTCTTCTATAGGAGGGTGGATTTAGATCTTTGGACAAATGCCCCATCATCATTGATTTCTGTACCATCACAATTGTGCAACCAAGAACTCATAGATTCAAAACAAACAATCATAAAATTGCTCTTGTCTTTTGCAAATCAGAAAAGATACAAAATATTGTTCTCCGATAATTTTAAATTATTTTAATAGTCTTATTGAGGGACTCTGGTTTACAGATCTAAATAAATGTTCAAATTGCTTGGCTTATTTTTAATAATTAGCTCTGAAAGTTTTCTTAGTATGCTCTTTTCTAATTATTGGCAAATCAAAACATATTTATATGTGATTCAGAGAATGTATAATACTATACTTGAATTTTATCTGATGCATCAATAACATTTGTATTTCTACCTATAAAAATCAATTATATGAATCTATCATCATAAATGTATTTTGTCATTTATTCAGCTACATTTACTATTTCTAACTGAGCAGAGATAGCTAACTGCTTACCCAATATCCATTTCCCCTTCTTCCTGGGCAGTGTGCCCAATGAGGAAAAACAACATTTCCTCACATTGACCAATGAAATATAAGCTGCAAAATGTCTTCAAAGGCTCATGCCCTTTTGCTCTTACCCTTTTTCTTTCTCTCAGTTGCCTGCCATGTAGTCCTGATAGCTGGAGTTTCAGCAGTTACCTTGAAACATGAGGAAATCTTTAGGATAGACACCAGTGCCAAGGAGGGTACAGCAGAAAGATAAACAGAACTTGGATCCCTGATGATAACCCCTGGAGTACCTACTTTCAGATTTCTTTTATTTGAGAGAAAAGTAAACCCGTATGTTTCTAAGCCATCATTACCACACACTTTCTGTTCTACACAATGGAATGTAATCCTTTCTGATTTGCTAACCTCAAGCTCACCAGATTTTTTTTCAGCTCAAGAAAGTCTTATGGTTACCTATTGCTTATTGTAAAAATATAACCAGTTCTGCTTAATCCAGAGTGTCCTACAGAAAATATGTTAAGTAATTCCAAGGGGCACAATTTTCTAGAATGCAATGGGAATAGAGTCATCCGATGGAATATAATATAGTGTCTCAGTATGGGCCTCAAAAATTGTAGCCATCAGTGTCACAGTTTAAATTCACACAAAGAGCACACCCAGAGTGGTATAATATTATTTTCTGTATGGTAAAATTAAATATAAAAACATCTATTGTGTAATTACATGCAAAGTAGGTTGTACTTTTTTAAAAAAAATGGTAAAAGAAAATGAGGAAACAAATGCTTAGATAAACATCCAGTAACAAAAGGAAAAACTCAAGGCAAAACTCAAGTGTTTAAGAGAATATGGAAACCAAAAAGAAGACCTATAGTTCAGCCACTTTGGGCTGAATCAAGAAATAGGTTCTACAAACTTAGCCAATCTACCTATATTCTGGGAATAAGGAAGTTGAAAAGTACTTTATTAAATTGAGGGGAGGAAGTAGGGCAGAACTGAAAGTGATTACAAGCTTGTGAGAAGTAGTAGAGAAATATCTAGGCAAGAGTAGGCCCAGCTCAGGTCAAGGAAGATAAGTTTCTAGAAACCAGAATTTTTAAAAATTTTAATTGTGATAAAAAACACATGACAACATGACATAAAATTTACCATCTTAACCATTTTTAAGTGTTCAGTAAGGTTAACTGTATGTACATTGTTGTACAGCAGACCTGTAAAATTATTTCATCTTGCCAAACTGAAGCTCTATATCCAGTGAAAAACAAAGCCCTATATCCCCCTTTCCGTAGGTCCTGGCCATCACCATTTTATTTTCTGGTTCTATGGATTTGACCACTTTATATAAGTGGAATCACACAATACTTGCCTTTTTGTGATTTGCTTATGTTAGCATAATGTTCTCAAGGTTTATCCTGTTTTAGTATGTGGCAAGATATCCTTCTTTTTAAAGGGTGAATGCTATTCCATTGTATGTATAGACCACAGTTTATTTATTCATTTATCCCTCAATGAACATTTGGGTTGCTTCAACCTCTTGGCTAATGTGAATAGTGCTGCTATGAACATGGGTGTGCAAATATCTGTTTCAGATCCTGCTTTCAATTCTTTTGGATGTATCCCCAGAAGTTGGATTGCTGGATCTTATGGTTAATTCTATAATTCTACTCTTAGTTTTCTAAGGAACCTCCATACTGTTAACATAGCAGCTCAGCTGCACTATTTTACATTCACCCACAAGGTACAAGAATTTCCTTTTCTCCACATCCTTGCCAGCAGTTATCTTTTGTCTTTTTGATAATTACCATTCCAACAAGTGTGAGATGGTATCTTTGTTGTTTTGACATGCATTTCTCTGGTGATGAGTGATGTTGAATATCTTTCCATATGTTTTTTTGCTGTTTATATATCTTATTTGGAGAACTGTCCATTCGAGTTCTTTGCCCATTTTTAAATCAGATTTGTTGTTGTTGTTGAGCTTCAAAATATATTCTGGATGTTAATCCCTTATCAGACATGTGATTTGCAAATATTTTCTCCCATTTAGTAAGTTGCCTTTTCACTTTGTTAATTGTTTCCTTTGATGGGCAGAAGTTTTTAAGTTTGATACAATCCTATTTGTCTATTTTGCTTTTGTTGCCTATACTGTGGTGTCATATCCAAGAAATCATTGTCAAATCCAATGTCATGAAGCTTTTACCCTGTGTTTTCCTCTATAAGTATAACAGTTTCAGGTCTTGTGTTTAGGTTCTTAATTCATTTTGAGTCCCTTTTTGTATACAGTGTAAGGGTCCAATGTATTCTTTTGCATGTAGAAATCCAGTTTTCCCAGATTATTAAAGAGACAGTCCTTTCCCCATTGTGTCATCTTGGTACCCTTTTTAAAGATCATCTGACCATATACCTGATGGCTTGTTGCTGGGATCTCTAGTCTCTTTCATGGTCTATTTGTCTGTCTTTATGCTAGTACCATACTGTTTTGATTACAACAGCTTTGTAATAGGTTTTAAAATTAGGAAGTGTGAGGGCTCCAACTTTGTTCCTCTCTTTCAAAGATGATTTTGTCTACTCAGGGTCCCATGAGTTTTTAGGATTTTTTTTTCTATTTCTGCAAAAAATATCATGGAAATTTTAATAGAGATTATATTAAATCTGTAGATCATTTTGGGTAATATGGTTATTTTAACAATGTTAGTCTTCTAATCCATGAACATGGGATGCTTTTCCATTTATTTATATCTTCTTTAATGTTTTTAAACTCCGTGATTAAGTTTGCTGCTAAATATTTTATTCCTTTAAATGCTATTATACATGGGATTGTTTTCTCAATTTCTTTTTCAGATTGTTCATTGTTAGTGTATAGAAACGCAACAAATTTTTGTATGTTGCTTTTGTATCTGGCAACTTTGTTGAATTCATATATTTGTTTGAATAGTGTGTGTGTGTGGTCTTGAGAATTAAAAACCCAGAATATTTTTAGTAAGTCATAATCCTACAAAGGACATTAGTAGATCATTGCTTTACTTGGGATTATTCATTCAATTCCATGTTCTTTCAGCGTCTATTAATTGAATGCTTACAATTCTAAATACTGGGAATACAATGGTAACCATAAACCTGAGATTCCTGCTTATGTAGCTGACATTCTAGTGAATGAGGGAAAGAAAATAAATTAACAAGTAAACAAATACACAATTTTAGATAGTAATGAGTTTTGAAGTAAACACATCTAGGAGTGTTAGAAAGAGCTTGACTAAATGAGGATTTACTTTATATGGTGTGTTCAAAGAAAATCTCTCTGTGTTGTGATATTCAAAATAGGCTCTAAGTGATGAGTATGAAGCAGCCGTTCAAAGCAGAGTAGCATTCTAGGTGGAAGGAGCAGCTAGTGCAGAGGCCCTGGGTCAGAACAAGCTGGGCATGCTTGAAGAAAGGACAGTATGGCTAGATAATCATGAGGGCGGGAGGGGTTTTTAGGAGAAGAAACTGGGGAGGCATGCAGAGACCAGGGTTTCTAGGTCTTCAAAGGAATATCATACGTCTGGATTTTATTTGCATAAGAAGCCACTAGTGGGTTTTATGGAAAAACATGATTTATATTTCAAAACAATTACCCTTGCTACCGTATGGGACATGGACTATAGATGGGGGAAGCATGGAAACGAGATCAGTTTGGAGGTTGTTATATTAGACCAGGTGCAAGAAGATGGTGGTTTGGAGTAGTTGTGTATCAGTGGAGATGTAGATCCTATTTGAATGTATCAGTCTGAATAAAATAAAGCTGTACAAAGTTTAACCATGCTTTGCGTGGTTCTTAGGTGATGTTTACTGTCACAGTGTATGCAAAGTAAGAATATTGAAATAGAATTTCAGGGCTATAGCTTTCAAGGAGACGTCAAACCTAGGAACGGTGGCCATGGATGTGCCAAGGAAGACTGAGAGCCTGGCATTTAATGTTTATGGGTAAAAAATCAAGTTTTTATGTTTTCTCAATCATGAGTTTAATCGTTGTCATGTCTTGCTTAGGGTTAAGAAGGATTCTCATTAATTTGTACAGGAACAAAAAAGAAAAACAGCACATAATTAAGCTGATTTGCACTTAAAGATGTTCTGGAAGAATAATTTGGTGTGGAGGGATTATTAGACTCACACATCTAGAATATATGATCTGTATCAACCCAGTTGTAAACGTTTGTCTTAGCTGAGCTCTTTCTCTGGTTGATTTTGCATCGCAAATCCTGTTCCACTTGTCAATTGGAAGTAGATTTGTGTTTTATCTTCTAATCTGAGTTCAAATAAACTGTGTACTTAAAGGGAATAATATTGTAAAACTCCCCCAGATTTCAGCAGGGAAAGGAAGGTTCTCTAATCCATTTAGCCACAGTCTCTTCCTGGTATTTCATAGCCTGTAAAAGGGAAGCCGAGTACTAAAGTAGATTGAGTATTCTTTTGGATTAGTCATAGGTTCTTCTAAAACAACGTTTAGTTCCATTGACCCATCAATCTATGCATTTTTTTAGTAATCCATTTATTCAGTTAATTTATTTAAGAAACCACAAGCTTCCTTGTTATATCTCCTTCCAAAGATTTTGAAGCTGGTGGCTACCAAGTAAAAGAAGCCAATATAAGCACAGTTTATGCACCAAATCCTCAAATATTTATATTCCTTTCTTTGGGGAGAAACTGGGATATCAAGTGTTCATTCTCCTTACCTTCTGAAAGTAGAGAATTTTGGCAGTTTTTTTTCCCTCTAATACAGTCATGTTTTACAATGATTTTCAATTAATCAAATTAGACAGGAAACAAAAAACGAACATTTGTTGAATTCCTACTTTGTGCTATGTATGTTCATATACACATTTTTAAAAAATATTATTTACCTTTCCACTTTAAAATAAAGTTATTTCAAACCTAAAGAAATGTTACAAGAATAGTACAGAGAACTCCCTAAGTCCCTTTACCCAGATTCACCTAATATGCCAGATTTGCTTTATAATTTTTTCTGTCTTTCACTCAGTCTCATATCATTTTTTTTTCTGTACTATTGGAAAGTGGGGCACATGCCTAATAATCATTTGATCTTCAATAGTTCTTCAATGTGTTTTTCTTAAAAACAAGGATATTTTCTTACATCTCCACAGTGTAGTTATATTCAGGAAATTTGACATTGGTACAATATTTTTATCTAATTTACAGTCCAGATTCTCATTTTTATAAATTGTCCCTATAATGTCTTTTGTAGCATCTTTATTCTTTCAGCCCAGGATCTACCGCTACACTCAATGGCTAAGTCTCTTTCATCTTCCTTATCAGGAACAATTCTTTAGTCTTTGTTTTGTTTTAGCTTTCATGACTTTGATATATTTTAAGAATATAGGCCACTTGTTTTGTTTTGGTAGAAAAAATATTTTGTAGAAATTTTTCCATTGGGTTTTTCCGTTTGTTTGTTTGTTTGTTGGTATTTCCTCATGCTTAGATTTCAAGTCTGTATCCCTAATTAGAATATTACAATAGTTTATATGTCCTTAACAGGGCATCATGTCTGGATGTACATCATATCCATATGTACCTCATTAGAGATGCTAATTTTGATCACCAAGCTAAGATATTTCATGTTTTTCCACTGTGAAATTAACATTTCTTTCCATTCTTAAATATAACAAGAAATTTTGAGGGAGACACTTAAGGCAATGAAAATCATCAGAGTCCAACTCCAGCAGATTTGGCACCCACTGATGATTCTTGCCTAAACCGGTTCTAACTCCAATGGTTGCAAATAGTGATTTTCCAACTCATGCTCCATACACACTTACCAGTTGGAATTCTACTGGAAGAAAGAGCCCCTCCTTTGCCACTAAGAATATTTATTTATTATCAGTCTGAACTCATGAATTCATACCTTATTCATTGCATCATAACCCATTACTACTTAATTGTTCTAGATTTGACCAGTAGGAGCATCTTCAAGCTAGCTCTGTGTGTTGTTTTTTTTTTTTTTTGAAGTACATTTAAAAACACTTTTAATTTTAGAATAATTTTACAGAAAAGTTGTAAAGATGACACAGAGAATTCCTGCATACCCTGCACACATTTCTCCCTATTATTGACATCTAACTATGGCCCATTTGTAATAACTAAGGAAACAACATTGGCACATTACTGTTATTAACTAAACTCCACACTTTATCCAAATTTCACTAGTTTTTTCCTAATGTCCTTTTTCTGTTCCAGGATCCTATTCAGAATACACATTATGTTTAGCTGTCATGACTCCTAGCCTCTTTTGGTCTGTGACAGTCTATCAGGCTTTCCTTGTTTTTGATAATGACAGTTTTGAAGAGTACTTACCTGTGTCTTTTTAACATGCCCAATTACTTTTTTTTCTTTTTTTTTTTTTTTTACTACTTCCTTACTTTCTGGCACAAGAAGATGTTTCAGGCTCATTTTATTACCTCTCTACTTTAGTTCTGGAATTTGCTATTTCTTCAAAAAGCCCTTGGTCCCTTTAATGGAAAGTGGCATTTAGAAACTAATATGTGGGCACCAAATAGGCTTATTGATACCGAGGTGCCAAGCGTCATTGATTCTAGGCATTTCAGCAAAGAAAATTAGGATATATAGATATAGATATAGATATAGATTTCTACGGATACCTACAGCATTAGCCCAACTCCGTCAAGGCTCTTTTTTTGCCTTGCTCCCTTTCACCTTGTTGTCTCCATCTTCTGCAGTGAAACAGCACTTCCAACAGCATCAATACTTTCTCAACCATTTGTTCACTTGCTTAATTCCACTATACACATAAATTGGTTTCAAAATGTTTACACCAACATCACTACAAAATAACAAACCTACACAAGAGTCCAGGATTTGTTTGCAATGTTCTTTTCTTCCTAGACAGAAGGTGTACAGTCATATTCTTCATTTCAATGGGTACTTTAATGAATTCTTTCTTGGCCCTTTCAGTGAACTTATGTTATTCATTTGAATTGCAGATAGGCTCATCTGATACTGTTTGCAATCAGTTTTAGGTTTTTTCCTCCCTAACTCTGTGGATTTCATTAATTAATTAATTACTTTTTACTTTCTAAAGGAGGAACCAACAAATTTTTTTCTGTAGATTTCCAGATGGTAAATATTTTAGACTTTGTGGACCACGCAGTCTCTATTCTACTACTCAACTCTGCTGGTTTACCAATAAACCAGCAAAACCTTATTTACAGAAACAGGCAGCAGGCTGCATTTTGTCTGCAGGCCATTGTTTGCTGACACCTGTTCTAGAACACTAAAATGCCTCTCAAAATCAAAACTATTTATAAAAGGTATATTCATAGAAATGTAACTTCTTCTACTGTCTCCTCCACATTACAGCTTATTGTATTTTCCAAAGATGATCACAACATCTTCCCTCCTCATGGTCTTCTGCAACTTTGCTATTGTCTCATCAAGAGGCAGAGTCTATATCTCTACCCTCTGGAATCTAGGTTGGCCCTATGACTGCTTTGACCAAAAAATGTGGTGGAAATGATGCTGTGTCAGTTTTGGTATTCTGTTTCCTGCCCCTTAGAATGTATATTTGGGGAGCAGACATCATCATGTAATAAGCCCTCAGCCTTATTACCTAAGCCACATGTAATAACCTTAACTTCTTTGGGACCTCCATATTGTGAGGGAGACCAAACTGATGATGTAAAGAGAAAACAATGCTGCCAGCTATTTGTGCCATCCACTTCCAGGTGCCAGACATGTGAGTGAAGAAGCCATCTTGGACACACCCACTCCAGGAGATGCCACTCGACCCAGGCACACTGCCTCAGTTGAGTTGTCCCAGCCCTCTAGCCATTCAAACCACCCCAGTTGAGGCTTCAGATACTATGCAGTGAAGAGCTGTTGCCCACTATGCCCTGCCAGAATTCATGACTTGTCAAATCACATAGTTGTTGAATGACTGTACCAGTTTTGGGATAATTTGTTAAACACTAAGATAACCCAGAACACATCCTTTTCTCCCTACCATCACCACCACCATTGTATTAGTTTTCTAGGGCTGCTGTAACAAAGTACCAAAAATTAAGTGGCTTAAACAACAGAAATTTATTGTTTCACAGTTTTGGGGGCTAGACGTCCAAAATAAAGGTGTCTGTAGGGTTGGTTTCTCCTTAGGGCTGTGAGAAAAGGATGTTTTAGGCCTTTCTCCTTGGCTAGTAGATGGCCATCTTCTCCCTGCCTCTTCCAGTCACCTTCCTTCTTCATATGTCTCTGTGTTCAAGCTTCCCCTTTTCATGATGACACAAGTCATAATGAATTGGGTCCCTTTCTAATGACCTCATTTTAAAACTGATTACATCTTTAAAGACCCTATCTCCACATAAGGTCACATTTCGAGGTAGTAAGTGTTAGGACTTTAACATATGAATTTTGAAGGAACACAATTTACCTCAAAACAATCATTCCTGTAGGTAGTCAATTTCATTTATTTTTTGTTTAATCTCCCTGTGTTGCCTTCCTGCAAAAACTAAGCAGATTTATAATTTTTTCCTCTTTCTCTTCTGTAATTTTTTTCCACTTTGCTGTTTTTTTTAAATTTAACAATATAGCCAAGAAAACACCCCATATCAATTTGTAGAGATTTTTCTCATTTTTTTTGTAGCTACATAGTATATCAATGTGTATATAAACCATGGTTTATTCAACCCATCTTTAGGTATCTAGGTATGTTCCAATATTTTGCAATTACAAATAATGCTGTGATGAATAGCCATGTGCTTATGTATTTTCATTTTGTTTGAAGTGTATCTTCAGAGTAAATTCCAAAAAGTAGAATTGCTGAGTCAAAAGATAAATGTGTATATAGTTATGTAGATATTGTCAAATTCTCTTCATAGAAATTGTGTAATTTTCTATTTCTATCAACAATTAATGTATTAAAGTTCATGTTTATCCATGGCCTCTCCAATAGAATACATTGCCAATATGTTTAATCTTTGCCAATCTCTTAGGTGAGAAATGTTATCTGAGTACAGTTTGAATTTGAATTTCTCTGAGTGAAATTGAGTATCTTTTCATATGTTTAAAAGTCATTTTATATGTATATGTCTGTATATGTCTTTTGTCTACGTTTACATAATTTTAAAATCTATTTCCTCTTAATTTTTATATATTAGGGGTATTATTTCTTTATATGTTTCAATTATTTCCTCTAAATTTGTTATTTTATTTTTTATTTTGCTTGTAGTGAGTTTTTTTGCCATAAATGAAAAAATTATGTAGTTAAATTTGTTATCTTTCATTGCATCTGCATTTAGAATCATAGAAAGTGTTTTCCTATACCAAACCCATGGAGGAATCCATTTTTGTTTTCTTCTATTACTTATATAGTTTTTTTGTTTTTTAAACATTCAGATCTTTGAACTATTTGGATTTTAATCTTGCATATGATGTGAGGAATGGATTTAACTGTATCTTTTGCAAATAGCTATCCAATTGTCCCAGCACTATATTTTTGTTTTTTTAGGGATAGGATCTCACTGTATCATCCAGGATGGAGTGCAGGGGTATGATCATAGCTGACTGCAGCCTTGAACTCCTGGGCTCAAGAGATGCTCCTGCCTCAGCCTTCCAGGTAGCTATGACTACAGGTGCATACCACCACATCTGGCTAACTAATTTTCTTCTTTTTAATTTTTATAGAGACTGGGGTCTCACTTTGTGACCCAGGCTGGTCTCAAACTCGTGGCTTCAAGCAATCCTCCTCTTTGGCCTTCCAAAGTGCTGGGATTATAGGCATAAGCCACTGTACCGAGCCCCAACACCATTTTTAAAAAGGCTCAGTGTTATGAAATCTCACTTTCATCATACACTGGATTTCCATAAAATGCTGATTCTACTTTTAGACTTTCTTTTTTATTCCATTGGTCTGGTTATCTCTCTGTGTATCATTACACTGTTTTAATTACTGTGGCTTTGTGACATTTTAATATCTGGTAGAGCTAGGCCCCTTTCATAGCTCTTTTTCTTCCCAGCATTTTCCCAATTATATTCTTGCATATTTATTATTTGATGTGGACTTAATTATCAAGTTGTTCCACACTAGAAAAAAGCTTTTTGGTATTTTAACTCAGGGAGAATTTATATCTTGATGATGTTGAACTGTCCAAAATAAAACAACATGAGGAGGAAGTATTTCATAGTTTATACAGATTTTGAACATGATTTGTTAAGTTTATTTCTAAGGTTTTTTTGTGGTTTATTTTTTAAGTTCATTTTGCTGCTATTGGTAAATTGTGCTTCCGTTAGTCCTATTTAGATATTATTTGTGTATGTGTATACTATTGGTTTTTTATATTAATTTTATATTTTGCTTTTATTGTTTGAATTAGTTTTACATTAATTATCTAGGGTTTTCCAGGTGTATTATCATGTCATCTACAAATATAGATAATATATTTCCTTTCATGGCTCAAGTTATTTTTTGTCTAGTTGCATTAATTAATAATTCTAATATGATGTTAAATAACCATGCAGTTAGCATGGATCTTTGCCTTGTCCCTGACCTTGGTGGGAATGTTTCTAGTGTTTCTCTATTAAGTAATATTCTTGCTTCATGGCATATATGCATGTATGTATGTAAATGGATAGGTAGACATAGGTATGTGTATGTAGATATTTATGTGTGTGTGTGTGTATATATATATATATATGTATATTTGTAATTATTCTGAGCTTGATTTTAGTACTTTAGGACCTGAGTTTTCCTTCAGTTGCTTCTTAGAGCACAGCTCTCTCTCTGGCTGCACTATCCATATTTATTGCTGTAGGTTGTTGCTACAAATGGCTGCTGCTCAATGTTTAATATAAATTATCAAAGGTATGAAGGAGAAAAATGACTTAGTCTTGTGAGTGTACATCTTCAACTATTTACCCTAATGACTGCCTTGGAATTTTCTCTATTCTCTTGTCTCCATTTATTTTGGGCTAAGATTTCCCTCAAGCCTCTCTTACCTTCATGTTTTTTTTCCCTCTAAGCTGATTTAAAGCACTCTAAGCTATTTTTGTTTCTTTTTATACCTGATCTTGGCTATCTTTCAGGAATTCCTTCCCCTTTTTCTTTTGTTTTCCTGAATAGTCGCAAATTTATTTTATCATTTTTCAATACCCTTTTTGCCATTTTGTGGGATTTAGGTAAGAGGAAGTGTTTACCTGCCATTTTGATTTAATGTCCTGTTTAAACTTTTCATGTAGGTGAACTAGTTCAGTCCTATTTGCCCAGGACTTTTCTGGGTATAGCACTGAAAGTCTTGTCTCCCAGAGAACCTTTCAGTCCCTGTAAAATAGAGGAGTTGGTCACCTTATTTTCTGAGACAGTGGGAAATTTAGTTTAACTTTCTACATCTAGGTGGTTGGTCCAACAGTATCTTCTCCTACATACTCATGAATGGACAACTCAAATAACTAATGTGATAAGAATGGTGAAAATGTTTTGAGTTTTGCTGGGAGAGGAGGAATAAAAATATATAAGAAGAGTATAGATATCCAAGAAAGATAATATTGGTATGAGGTTCAAAGAAGCTATAATAGAACTATTGCCATTAGGCCATTCAGGCAGAAGGGGAACTTCAGTGTCACTTCTCATACAAATACTGAGAAAAAAATGAGATGCATTGCTGTCCCCCCATCTCCTCCCTGCCACCACACCTATCATATCCTCTATTTCAGTAATTGATTAGTTGACCCTAGGTCCACAATTTTACCATGTTATGTATCAAGGCATATATTTCTTCTACCTGTGTCAAAGCAAGGGTCTTACAACATATTTGCAGGTATGAAACCTATGGCACTTGGAAGAATCTCATATGTGCACATACTCATATATGCATTGTCAGCCTATTAATGCTATGGAAAAGTTTTACTTGCTCTAGGCAACAAAAGTAACTCACATAATTGTGAATCAAGATAGACAAAAGCAAGAAGGTTGCCATCAATATGCAAATTAGGAATTAACTCCTTTCTATCCAGTGTTCATTTTGCCCTGCAGAATTAAGTTAGTTATATGGTCTCAGTGTATGGCCTGCAGATTTTCTAGACCAATCATGATTCAAATATTTTATTTCACTGTCTACATGACTGACATTGATCTGCCCCATATTTTGGGTTTGAAAATATGGAGACTGTGACTAACTTAAATGTTAAACTACCACTGATCAGTGGTAAAATTTTGAACCACACAAAATGTGTTGGCGGCTATTCCCTACTGTCTTAGCATGTTCTCCTTCTTAACTCCAATGTCTTCCTTCTCATTTGCTTAACCCATGTCACAGTCATCCCTGTCTCCCTTCACCCTGATGTCTTGTCCATGAAGCACTGTCTTCTTTGCTAATGTCAATGTCAGATGATAAGACTTAAAAAACCACCTAGGAGTTCTCACAGGTAATAATGATTTTGAGAAGTAAAAGAAACCAACCAAACAAAGAAACAAACCAAACAAACTTCAGGATTTCTGGGTTCCACCTGGAAGGATGGGAGTTATGTGTTTATAGCCACAGTAGACACTGCACCAAAGCCTGCCGTGGTGGTTATACAGCTTATAGACTGTGATGTAAATTTGCCCATACAGGGATTTCTAGTGGCTGGACTTTTGTCTAAGCTGGATCAATTTGGAAAATAAACCAAGAAGGTGTTTCAGGGAAGTATTTCCGGGCAGGGGAACCCAAAATGTGGTCAAGATGAATGAGTAAATCAAATCAGAGGGTAATATCAGGAGAATTAAGAATTGGCCCAGGTAAGGTGCAAACACAGGTTGGAGGGTAGTTCCAAGTTTAGTTTATGAAGAATGTGTATGAAGATGAGGTGTGCCCTGAGCCATAATGCAGTATAATGTAAAAAAAGCTTGCCTACGGCATAATTCTGTGGAGTGATGCAAATCACTCCTGCAATTAGTGAGACAAATACTTCCAGATTAGGGTCCCAGCAAAAGTTACAATTTGTCAGCTCTTATCATAACATTGGTACTAAAATTAAAGTGTTCTAATTTTCTTACCAAATGTAAAAGTGATCAATGAAATGAAAAGTTTTGCAGTGGCTACTGTAATAGTAAGTGACAATGATAAGTGCTTAGAGTAACAGCAAGTTAACAATTAAATTTATGCTTATAGCTCAATCTCTAAAGATATGAAAACGTTGACTGGAAGTTAGAATATATCCAAAATGACATTTAAGATGAAAGTTTATATGCCGGTGAAAATATATTACTAGAAACACATAACTTCTCTGTGCCAGCACTGTTCCAAGCACTGTATAGTAAGCACTCAGTTAATGTCATCAATAGGTTCTCAGAAACTGTGACTTTGAGGGAAATTATGTATAGGGAAATCAATTTTACCATAGGCTAATTGATATAAACAAAAGTTAAGCTCATATAGTGTATTTCTGGTCACACATGCATCATCAAATTTGTAAATAAAGACCCAAAACACTTCTAATCTTAAACATTGAAATAAATGTGAGTATACACACATTTCAGAAAGATTAATGAAAACAAGTAAGATAATTATTTATGGCCAGGCATGGTGGCTCATGCCTGTAATCCCAGCACTTTGGGTGGCCAAGGCAGGTGGATCACAAGGTCAGGAGATTGAGACCATCCTGGCTAAAACGGTGAAACCCCATCTCTACTAAAAAAAAAAAAAAATACAAAAAATTAGCCGGGCGTGGTGGCGGGCACCTGTAGTCCCAGCTACTCGGGAGGCTGAAGCAGGAGAATGGCAACCCAGGAGGCAGAGCTTGCAGTGAGCTGAGATTGCGCCACTGCACTCCAACCTGGACACAGAATGAGACTCTGTCTCAAAAAAAAAAAAAAAAGATAATTATTTACGCAGTAATTTTAGTTCAGGGTGTCAGGTAGCCAGAACCTATCCCTGCAGCTCAGGGCCACAGACAGGGACGACTCTGGACAGGACATGCTCACACACAAAATCACGCTCACTCACGCAGGGACCATGTAGCCAATGAATCTAACTTGCACATCTTTTGGGATGTGGGAGGAAACCAGAGTACATGGTCAGCACCCATGTGGACATGGGAAGAACACACAGACTCCACGCAGACATGGGAAGGACACACAGACTCCATGCGGACATGGGAAGGACACACAGACTCCACGCTGACATGGGAAGGACACACAGACTCCACACAGACATGGGAAGGACACACAGACTCCACACAGACATGGGAAGGACACACAGACTCCACGTGGACATGGGAAGGACACACAGACTCCACGCTGACATGGGAAGGACACACAGACTCCATGCAGACATGGGAATGACACACAGACTCCACACAGACATGGGAAGGACACACAGACTCCATGCAGACATTGGAAGGACACACAGACTCCACGCGGACATGGGGAGGACACACAGACTCCAAGCGGACATGGGAAGGACACACAGACTCCACGCGGACATGGGAAGGACACACAGACTCCACGCAGACATGGGAAGGACACACAGACTCCACGCGGACATTGGAAGGACACACAGACTCCACGCGGACATTGGAAGGACACACAGACTCCACGCGGGCATGGGGAGGACACACAGACTCCGAGCAGACATGGGAAGGACACACAGACTCCACGCGGACATGGGAAGGACACACTGACTCCATGCGGACATGGGAAGGACACATAGACTCCACACAGACATGGGAAGCACATGCAGACACCACACAGACAGTGGCCCTGACTGCGTGAAATTTTTTTTCTGAATTCCAAGGGAATCCATTTTTTTCCCTCATCAATGTTATAACAAAATGAAGCTAAACAAAATGACCTTATTTGAGAACTTTCTGTGTGTACATCGACAGATTTTACTCTTTTATTCAGGGAAAGCATAAAGATTCGATTCAGAGAATGAAAAATAATATAATGAAATGACTTGACAAAGTAAAGTTTTATAACTAACAAAGGAGAATCTCAGAGCACAAGTACACTTTGTGGCACCAGATGTGTCCAGGAATGTTTATGGGGGTGCCTTCTAAGTAGCGAGTGAGACAGAAAAGCTAATAATTCAATACTACATGATGAATGCTGTGTCAGGCTGGGTAAGAGGACAGAGCCTGGGGAGTGACTAACTCCGCATGGGCAGGGAGGGGAAAGCCTTAAAGAGAAAATGACATCTGAAAAGACAGTGATTAAAAATTGAGACTTCTTTAGTTCTTTTGAGCTTTGTATAAAGAAACTTCTTAAGAAAATGGAATCTTTTAAGGGTAGTCCTTTGAAATAGGACTACGTATTTGAAACCAATTTTCCCTGAGCCACATGTCCAAATCAAATGATGACTTTCATTGTCTGAGTAAGACATGATGTCCTCTTGATACTTAGTGGTCACTGCTATTCGGCTAATCTCTCGTTTTTGTTTTTTTGAGACAGGGTCTTGCTCTATTACTAGGGCTGGTGTCCAGTGGCCCAATCATGGCTCACTGCAGCCTCCACCTCCAGGGCTCAAGTGATTCTCCTGCCTCAGCCTCCCAAGCAGCTGGGACTATGGGCAAACACCACCACACCTGGCTCTTTTTAAAATTTTTTGTAGAGACAGGGTTTTGCCATGCTGCTCAGGCTGGTCTCAAACTTCTGGGCTCAAGTGATCCTCCCGCCTCAGCCTTCCAAAGTGCTCTGATTACAGGCATGAGCCACCATGCCCAGCCCTATTCAACTGATCTCTACGAGCCTGCCAAAATCTATTCCTGCCACTGAAGTCACATTCTTACCAAAGTCACTTCTCTTGGTTCTTAAACTTTATTTGGCAACTGTACTTAGCAAATTATATAATTTGATTAAATATTTATATTTATGCTAATTGTACTTATGTAATTAGGAACTTAATTAAATGTTAAATAAGTCAATGAAATGTGAGTTTAAAAAGGTTATTATTCCTTTGAAAATATAATTGAAGCTTTGGAAGACTGTATAAAGTCTAGTCACAATAATAAAATTCTGTTGAATTATATGTGGACAACTATAGAAGTTTGGGAAGGGGATTATAAAACTAGAAGGATTTTGAACTCAGACTGCACTAATATTATATATAAGTGTTCACAAGCATCTTCTCTAAAGTGTCTTGCATCACTTTAAAGAAACCCGAGCTCGAAATCATAGATTATGCATCATGGATGTGATTTATGCAAGACAGATATGGAACTCCAATCAGAGTTTTGATGCACAAAGAAGAGGAAGAATGTAGCTGTATATCTAATGATTGCCAATGAATGTAGACTTATATACTTTAAGTTCAAAATAAAAAAATGTATAGTATTTATGTATTTTAATAATACACCACATGTTGTGGCTTGCTCCTGTAGCCACAGCTACACTCAGGAGGCTGAGGTGGGAAGATCACTTGAGCCCAGGAGTTGGAGGCTGCAATGAGCTACGATTGTGCCACTGCACTTTAGCCTGGGTAATAGAGCAAGAACCTATCTCTAAAAACAAAACAAAACAAAACAAAGCAATATAATTAAATAAAAATAATTTCCAGTTTAAAACTTTCTTTTTCTTAAGCAGCTAACAAATGGATCTAATTGCATTTGAAAAAAGACCATGTACGGTACCACAAAAACCACTTATTTTTCTTCTTTAATCACGGGTGGCATCATAGTAAATACAAGCATCTGGTATGAAAAGGTATGGACATGTTTTTGCTGGTGAGTGAAAACTGATGATTAAGAAATCTGTGGAAAATCAAACTTCTGTTTCTGTCAAGACATACTCTTTTCAAACATCAACTTCCTGAAAGTTGCCAGTAATGCACTAGGGTTTATGAGGGCAGAGCTGGCTTCGTGGACATGTGACCTGTGCAGTTGCACAGGGCTTTGTACTCAGAAGGACCCTCGACTTGGTTTAAAGCTTTTCTATCACTATCTTGAAATTCTTTTTTTTTTTTTTTTTTTTTTTTTTTTTGAGACGGAGTCTCGCTCTGTCTCCCAGGCTGGAGTGCAGTGGCGGGATCTCGGCTCACTGCAAGCTCCGCATCCCGGGTTCACGCCATTCTCCTGCCTCAGCCTCCCAAGTAGCTGGGACTACAGGCGCCCGCCACTACGCCCGGCTAATTTTTTGTATTTTTAGTAGAGACGGGGTTTCACCGTTTTTAGCCGGGATGGTCTCGATCTCCTGACCTCGTGATCCGCCCGCCTTGGCCTCCCAAAGTGCTGGGATTACAGGTGTGAGCCACCGCGCCCGGCCGAAATTCTTATTAACCTTATCTTCGTGTTTTGTGAATGAAGTCTGGTGGGACAATGGAGCATGTACTTGAGCAGAGGAGATGCCTGTGATATGCAGTTTGATAATTCCTAGCTACCTTATTTTAACATAGTATATCCGCTATGCCTCAGGAGTGTGGAATTCGGGTGGATCCACAGTGCATGGGAGTTCAGTGAGCCTAAAAGTGAGTACCAGCTGAGTGCATTAAACATACCTATGACTCAGTGAGTAGGGACAAAAGGCCACACTTTGCTTTCTGTTAGAACCAGAACTTGCTTTGAATATAATGGCATTCTAAGAAAGAAGTCCCAAAGAACCATGTGGAAGGCAGGATGATGGGATGATGACCTCCCCCTTCCAAAGATGCCTACATCCTCATAACTGGAAACTTGAATATCTTAGGTTATATATGGCACAAGGGAATTAAGGTTACACCACAGATTTAAGAATGCTAATCGGCTGACTTTTTTTTTTTTTTTTTTTTTTTTTTTTTTTTTTTTTGAGACGAAGTCTTGCTCTTTCGCCCAGGCTGCAGTGCAGTGGAGCTATCTCGGCTCACTGCAAGCTCTGCCTCCCGGGTTCAGGCCATTCTCCTGCCTCATCCTCCGGAGTAGCTGGGACTACAGGCGCCCGCCAGTGCACCCGGCTAAATTTTTGTATTTTTAGTAGAGATGGGGTTTCACCGTGTTAGCCAGGCTAATCAGCTGACTTTGAGATTGGAAGGTTACCTTGGATTATCTGACCATACACAATGTAAATCACAAATGTCCTTAAGGAATGAAGGCAGAAGAGAAATAACTGAATAGGTGGCAGCCAGAGTGGAACTTGGCCTGATGGTGTTGGCTTTGAAGATGCAGGAAGGAATCACAAACCACACAGTGGTGGCCTCTAAAAGCTGGAGAATGAAAGGGAATGGATTCTTCCCTGGAGCCTCTAGAAAGAATGCAGCTTGCTGACACCTTGCATTGAGCCCAGTGAAACTCATTCAGACTTCTGATCTCTAGAACTCTAAGATAATGCATTTGTGTTATTTTGAGCCAATAAGTTGGGGTAATTTGATACAGCAGCCATAGGAAACACATGTAAACCTTATAATATCTTTGCTTACTCATGCTACCTTCCTCTGTTAGCCAACTACTTGTTCTGAAAATGATGACACAGAAAATTAAAGGTAGGACAACCAGTAGTTCTTTTAATTTCAGTGCTTCCTTCCTCATTAATAAGCTGAAGTTAGTGTTCACAGAATTCAATTATATCAAGAAGTAAAGTAAAAAGAGTTGCATTACTTTTGTGAAGCATTTCTACTGTTCTGGTGAGAATGGGATATATATGCATGTATGAGCTATGGAATATAGGTGGTACAATTTTGGTGATTCTGTATATGAGATAAATGCTCTTGTGTTTGCATTTAAAGCTAGAATTGCAAAATATAAAGATGAGTGGCAAGATTTGTGCTAAAACTTGAAATTCAATATTTACTTAGAACATTAAATGGTGATATGGTTTGACTCTGTGTCCCCACCCAAATCTCATCTTGAATTGTACTCCCATAATTCTTCCCATGTGTTGTGGGAGGGAACTGGTGGGAGATAATTTGAATCATGGGGGTGGTTTTCCCCATACTGTTCTCATGGTAGTAAATGAGTCTCATGAGATCTGATGATTTTATCAGGGATTTCCAATTTTGCATCTTTCTCATTTTCTCTTGCTGCTGCTATGTAAGAAGTGCTGTTCACCTCCCACCATGATTCTGAGGCCTCCCCAGCCATGTGGAACTGTAAGTCCAATTAAACCTCTTTTTCTTCCCAGTCTCAGGTATGTCTTTACCAGCAGTGTGAAAACTGACTAATATAGTAAATTGGTACCAGTAAAGTGGGGCATTGCTGAAAAGATACCCGAAAATGTGGAATATTGGAACTGGGTAACAGGCAGAGTTTGGAATAGTTTGGAGGATTTCAGAAGAAGACAGGAAAATTGGGGAAGTTTGGAACCTCCTAGAGACTTATTGAATGGGTTTGACTGAAAGCCTGATAGCAATATGGACAATAAAGTTCAGGCTGAGGTAGTCTCAGATGGAGATGAGGAATTTGTTGGGAACTGGAGCAAAGATGACTCTTGTTATGCTTGTTATGTTTTAGCAAAGAGACTGGCGGCATTTTGCCCCTGCCCTAGGAATTTGTGGAACTTTGAACTTGAGAGAGATGATTCAGGGTATCTGGTAGAATAAATTTCTAAGCTGCAAAGCATTCAAGAGGGAACTTGGGTGCTGTTAAAGGCATTCAGTTTTATAAGGAAAGCAGAGCATAAAAGTTCAGAAAATATGCAGCCTGACAATGTGATAGAAAAGAAAAACTCATTTTCTGAGGAGAAATTCAAGCTGGCTACAGAAATTTGTATAAGTAATGAGGGGCCAAATGTTAATCCCCAAGACAATGGGGAAAATGTTTCCAGGGCATGTCAGAGGTCTTCATGGCAGTCCATCCCATCACAGGCCTGGAGGCCTAGGAGAAAATGATTTCCTGGGCCAGGCCCAGGGTCCCTGTGCTGAGTGCAGCCTAAAGACTTGGTGCCCTGTATCCCAGATTCTCTAGCCATGGCTGAAATGGTCCCACATAGAGCTCAGGCCATGGTTTCAGAGGGAGCAAGCCCCAAGCCTTGGCAGTTTCTACGTGGTGTTGAGCCTGCAAGTGCATGGAAGTAAAAAAGTGGGGTTTGGGAACCTCCGCCTAGATTTTAAAACATGTATGGAAATGCCTGGATGCCCAGGGAGAAGTTTGCTACAGGGGTGGGGAGCTCATAGAGAGCCTCTGCTAGGACAGTGCAGAAGGGAAATGTGGGATTGGAGCCCCCACACGGAGTCCATACTGGGCCACTGTCTAGTGGAGCTGTGAGAGAGGGGTACCATACTCCAGACCCCAGAATGGGAGATCCACTGACAGCTTGCACTGTGCACCTGGAAAAGTCGCAGACACTCAACACCAGCCCGTGAAAGCAGACAGGAGGAAGTCTGTACCCTGCAAAGCCACAGGGGTGAAACTGCCCAAGACCATGGGAACCCACCTCTTGCATCAGCGTGGCTGGGATGTGAGACCTGTAGTCAAAGGAGGTCATTTTGGAGCTTTAAAATTTGACTGCCCCACTAGATTTTGGACTTGCATGGGCCCTGTAACCACTTTGTTTTGGCCAATTTCTCCCATTTGGAATGGCTGTATTTACCCAACACCTGTACCCCCATTGTATCTAGGAAGTAACTAGCTTGCTTTTGATTTTACAGTCTCATAGGCGGAAGGAACTTGCCTTGTCTTAGATGAGACTTTGGACTGTGGACTTTTGGGTTAATGCTGAAATGAGTTAAGTCTTTTGGGAACTGTTGGGAAGGCATGATTGGTTTTGAAATGTGAGGACATGAGATTTGCAGGGGCCAGGGGCAGAATGATATGGTTGGCTTGTGTCCTCTCCCAAATCTCACCTTGAATTGTACTCCCATAATTCCCACATGTTGTGGGAGGGACCCGGTGGGAGATCATTTGAATCATGGGGGTGGTCTCCCCCATACTGTTCACGTGGTAGTGAATAAGTCTCATGAGATCTGATGGTTTTATCAGGGGTTTCTGCTTTTGCTTCTTCCTCATTTTCTCTTGCTGTCACCATGTAAGAAGTGCCTGTCACCTCCCGCCATGATTCTGAGGCCCCACCCAGCCATGTGGAACTATAAGTCCAATTAAACCTCTTTTTCTTCCCAGTCTCGGGTGTGTCTTTATCAACAGTGTGAAAACAGACTAATACAAATAGCAAATTAAAGACACCACAAGAAGTTGAGAGATCACAGAAGAAAGAAAAAGTTTAACATGTTAGTACCATTAGTAGACCTTTTCTCTTGCTTTTTGAACAAGGGTCTCCACATTCTCATTTTACATGAGGCTCTACAATTCATGTAGCTGGCTTATACCTCGACACCAGGAGAAAAGCTCCTCTCAAACTATCCCTCAGATGCTGGCTTCTCTTTGGAAATCCAAGCAGGCACTGAGCTGAAGCTGAGCAGCTTCCTTCCTTCCAAAAGCCCAAGCTCCAGGAATAACCCAAACCTCAACCCAAATCAACACACAGACTAAGACTCCACTCTCCTGTTAGAAGAAACAAATGCAATGGAGATGAATGGGTTTAATTGGTTACAAAAGGCAGGTATCCCAGAGAACTCTCCTGTGAGATTTATAAGAACTGCTGAAACTGGATGGAAACACTTATTTGAGAAAAATGCTCTTCTCAGGAGGCGTTGGAGGAAGTCTTTCTGGTTGACAATGAAACATACATCCCCAAAGATGGAGGTGGTGCCCTAAGGTTCCTGGTATGTCTCCCAGAAGGCCAGGGTAGAGCAAGCAGCAAGCCATTCACAAAGCTCACCACAGGGACTGGCCCTGATGGATCTGCCCAACCTCTCACCTCCAGGGACCTCTTGGGTATTGTCCAGGTGTTTCTGGCCTGGGTTCTCCCCTTGCCCCTTGGTAATTCACTCCCTGAGTCTTTCCTTGGGTGACTCATCCAGTCCCTTTTTGTCTCCTTCTCAGGCCCGGCCCCGAGACCCCTCATTCTGTAGCATTTGGAGCCCCTTGTGGTGTGTTTTGGGCTCTTCCCCAGGCTGTGCCTGAGACCCTTCCCATGTCCTTCCTCAGCTGAGACTTTGCTGGGCTCCTCACATAGAAACTTCCTGGTGACTCCACTCAATTTCTCCCAGGTCCTCACCGCTCTGGCCCCTAAACTAAGAGGGCTTGACAGTGATGTCTGTCTTGGGCTGAGACGTCCCTGGTAATTTGCCTTGATGCTATGCCAAGGCCAGAGACTCTTGGATCCTGCAGGCCAGACCCCTACAGTGTTAGATGTGTGTCTTTTGAAGGTGGTGCTTGGGTTGCATCCTGAGCTCACTGCTGGGAGCAAAATGTCCAGGAAGAAGGAGACTGGAAAGTGGCCTAGGAGGCAGGGCTGGGGAGGGTTGGGAGCAGGAAGACTCAAGGAATCCTGATATTTTTGGACCACAGGGAGTAAACTCCACAAACTTTGCAGCTTCTTTTGCAACAAGAATCACTTAAGGAGCTCAATTTCAGTCAGAGTGATAGACTGCACTTCACCCACTGCCCTACAGAAGGGTATTCCAAAGCCCTAATCTATGATGGAGAAAGGAGGATGAGTGTTGAAGTGGGGCATGGGTCTGTAGTACCAGGGCCGGATATGGGGGTGGTAACTGGCAGGGCTCCAGCCCAGAGCTGTGGCATGGCTGTGGAGTGGGAAAGTCTCTGTGAAGGGGAGTGAGTGAGCAGAGACCACTTACCTTCTTTAGTACAGAGGGGGCATGAGCTATCCCCACCTGGTTAAGCCAGAGAGGACCCTAGTGGAGAAGAGCTACCAGAGATGGGGACAATCACCCTGAGTCTCACTGTGCAGGCAGAGGACACCCTGAAGAGCTGGTTCCACTCCTGTGGTGCAGGGTGTTCCATGGTTGTGGGATGCGGAGGCAGCCAAAGCCTGCGCTGCTGCTGTCGTTGCCTTTGTTGCTCCCGCAGGTTTGGATACCTGTGGTGTCTGCTTGTCAACAAGTGACTCTCAGGTATTCTTAGTCTTCATTTGGTAGCCTGACCTCAGGATTTTGGAAATGAGCCCGACTTTATGCATTTTCCTCCAAAATCCAGACGTCTCCTCTCTGGATAACTTTTCTGCAGGTGCTCCTGGACATCACAGAGTGGGAGTCTAGCAGCTTCTAGATGCCTGTTTGCAGGGCCTCCCAGAGAGAGGCCTCTAGGGAACAGCTAGAAATGAACTCTTGCAGGAGAATGGAGCGGAGAGAAGGGGGTGGAACATGTCTGTGCCAGACACTGACTCCAGGGGAGTGTGCAAGGGGCAGGTCCATGCCTGAGACTGTAGGGAAGAAGGGACCACCCAGCTGGGCTCTCTGGAGAGGGAGCACTCAGGACAGGACACAGTAGGATTGCAGTTGAGTCCCAGGAGTCAGAGTAAAGTCTGTCCAAGAAGGAGCAGAGAGGGTGGTAGGTGCAGATCACGTCCAATGAATCAGTGAGATTCATGTGGTGAGTCAAAGTAGGTGGGAGATTGATGTCCTAACAGAGAAAGTGTCAGGTGGGGAGCTTGGGTCAGGGACCAAGAGAAGTTTGGTTAGGTAATAAAATCCAGTGTCTGAGTGTGTTGTGAAGCTTGAAAGGGAAGGTTAGTTATTTCCTGGTTTATATCATGCACCAATCACAGTGCAAGACATACAACAGACAATAAGGACTTGCTGAAAAAAAGCAGGGAATGAAGGAATCCTTAAACTCATAAAAATGAGCCAGGAATAGTGGCATAGATAATTTTTCTTTTCTTTTTCTTTTTTTTTTTTTTTTTTTTTGAGACAGAGTCTCACTTTGTTGCCCAGGCTGAAGTGCAGTGGTGCAATCTTGGCTGACTGCAACATTTACCTCACAAGAGAAAGCAATTGTCATGCCTCGTCCTCCCAAGTAGCTGGGACTACAGGCGCCCGTTACCACACCAGGCTAATTTTTGTATTTTAGTAGAGATGGGGTTTTGCCATGTTGGCCAGGCTGGTCTTGAACTCCTGGCCCCAAGTGATCCTCCCACCTTGGCCTCCCAAAGTGCTGGGATTACAGGCATGAGCCACTGCGCCCAGCCTTTTCTTTTTTTTGAGACAGGATCTCACTCTGTTGCCCAGGCTGGAGTGCAGTAGCATGATCACAGCTTACTGCAGTCTCAACCTCCTGGATTCAAGCGATCCTCCCACCTCCATCCTGAGTAGTTAGGACCACAGGCATGTGCCACCATGCCTGGCACTTTTTAAAACTTTTTATAGAGACAGGGTCTCACCATGTTGCCCAGGCTTTTAAGATACTTTTCCTCGGACCATTACATCACTTGGAAATAAATTCCAGTTCCACACGTATAGTTTGTTTTCTGAATAGTGTCATTAAAAATTCTTATAAACACGAATTCACTCATTTTTTTGTATTTTTTTTAAATTATACTTTAAGTTTTAGGGTACATGTGCACAACGTGGAGGTTAGTTACATATCTTATTCTTTTTCCCACCCCATCCTTCATCCATTTAGTTCTGCCCCAGCCTCTGCCACCCCAAGTAATAAATTTTTTATTAGGTTCTTACGTATTTTTCAGTTTTTAATGTAAAAGTAAGCAAACTCAAATACTTAATTCTTTGCTCCTTTTGTACAAAGGATATCACATTATCTGTATTGTTTTACCTGCATTTCTGACTTGATAATAGATATTAGAAATATTTCTTTATTACTTAACAGAGAGTACCCTCATTCTTTTTGACCAAACTGCATAGTGTTGATGGACATTTGTTTGTTTTTCCCCATCTTTTGCACTGTAAGTGATGCCACAATGAATAACTTCATGTACACATTATTTTGCAAGTTTCCTTGTAGAATAAATCTCCATCATGACACTGCTGACTGAAAGGGCATATGCATTTGAAATGTTTATGGTTATTGCCAAAATGCCCTCCATGTACCTTGTACCAATTTATATTCACACCAGAAATACATAAGTACCTACTTCCTCATAGCTTTGCCAACAGAGTGTGTCATTAAACTTTTTAGGTATTTGCCATTCTGAGAGGTAAAAAGTGGTATACAGGCATACATAATTGGTTGTACACACACACACACACCTTGTTCACTGAGATTTCTGTTAAGTGAAATAAGTGAAATAGCCCAAGATAATGTAGTGTCTTGCTCCAGCAAAAGAAATGAGAAGCCTAATTGTCTGAGGCCTACTCTTTGGAGACAGGGGGATGAATGACACGATGTATCCAAATCATCTACAGACCTAAGCATTGCATCCTACAAATTCAGAACAAAATAAACCACCTCTCTCGTGGTGGGAACTCCTGGAAAGGACCAGGTTGTAAATTGCTACGGAAGAACAATTTCCGGTACTCAATTCTGCAACACTGTCCATTGCTTTCACCATAAATGTCTAACGTGAATCTGTGTCTATCAACACAGCCCTACATTTTCAGATGAGATTAATCAATGTCATCACAAAAGGCCACACATGATGGTGATTTGAGGAAGGAGAGGCAGTGTAAAAAGTCAAACCAGAGCGGATTGGTGCATTTTCAGATCGTGAGCATAATTTGCATCTGTAATTTTATTCAGCAACTCCCAGATGGAGTATAGAGATATTTCCGTTTTTGTTTATCTTGTCATAGATCGTGCTTTTGGTTAAATTAGCCCTGATAAAACTTTTCTTTACTATTTTGGCCCATCAACACTATTTTGAGTTTACAAATGTTTAGGAAACTGCTGACATTTTATAAATAACTAACTCCATTTAATTACCCTCCACTTCCAACCGTGTCCCACCACTCTAAATAAGGGAGCTTTTGTAATTTGAAATTAAACAGCTTTCTACAGTGACCCTAGTCCCAACTTTCCCCCAAAATTCAAGCTCTATTGAAATTATAATAATAATTAACCTAATATTGAGCAGTTACGAAGTATCATGCTCTTAACTTGTAAAAAATTATCAATCCTCACAGTGTTTTATGAGATAGTCATTGTTATCTCCATTTGAAGATGAGAAACTGAGGTTAAATTACTATGCCAATTATTTCTTACCTAGACATATACAGCCTGGTTTTGAATGCAGATAAGTCTTGTTCCAAAAACCGGAAAGTTAAAAAGTGAAAGAGATAGTATATTTCTTCAGGTCAAGTAAGTGCTTGATTTCATTCAAGTTTCATTTAGCTGACTCAGATCTCTTCCCCTCACCCAAAACATTTTGATAATTTTAAAGGCACTCATTTAATCCTACCACCATAAAACACTTTTTATGACTTTTCCATGTCCTCTTTCAGTCTTTGAACACACAAATATTTTATGTTGCTGTAATTATAGCATCATAGTAACATTTTATATTCTGCTTTTTCAATTAATAGTATATCATAAATGTTTTCCATGCTATTACATAGTATTCATAATTATTTTAATGACTTTATAATATTCTATGCAGTTAACCTACCACATTGATTTAAGTATTCTCTTATCATTGAATTCACAACTTCATTTAAATTCTGCAGTCATAAATAATACAGCAATAAATATTTTAATGCTTATAGCTTTATGCCTCAATTTAAATTACTTCCATAGGATAAATTTGTAGGAGTGGGTATAAGAGCATCATATATGTCTGTCCCAATTTCTGCTACAATGGCAGTGAATGAGCAGGCCATTTTCCCCACAACCTCATTAGCAATAATAATGAACTACTTTAAAATGGTCGGGTTAATTTAGCAGAACACAATGCTATCTGGGTGTGAATTTATTTATTTGTATTTAGTTACTAAGCTGAAGGATAATTCATTTTAGAAATAAGAAGACATGCATAAAACAATAAACAAATACATCTTCTAGCTTATATCACCCAGACTATTTTTCCCCCCAACCTAAACATTTAAGCTAGGGTCCTGAAAGTACTGAGTTTGATCTGGTAGAAATGTGTAGCCATTACATTTAGCGAGCTCTGCGTCAGGTTTCTGATTAGGCTCCAAATAGAAAAGAGTTTTCTTAGCTTTCTGTTCCCATTAGAAAGTGATGCATTATGCTCTGACCTGGGTAACCTTGGCCCAGTGCCCCCTAAAGACTTGGACTATGTTTTCATTGCCAAGATCTCAATGTCCATTGAGCAACACCCTCTATTAAAAGGAACTGAGGAGGTAGGAAAGAATGTGGCACAAAGGTAAAACTAGAACTCATTATCTTCAACTCAATCTAATAAGAAAAGATGCAAACAACTCCAAATTGGCACCAGAGTGAAAATCTACACTTTTCTCCACGAAAAACTACCTACATTGATTTTTTTTCTTGTACCATTAAAGGTCAGAATGAAAAATTCTTTGCCCTTTAAGATTGTCCCATAAATAGGCTATTTTTTGCTCAGAGTGAGGATTTTTCCATACAGCTCTAATAACTTATTCATCTCCTCCCCTCAGCAAACACAAACAGCTTAGGCTTTATAAACAAGCCCACTACAAAAGGAATGCCACATGGGGAGACCTTCACACTATAATTCACAAAGACAAAATGCCTTGATACCTACTCCTTAGACTATGGAAATTACTGTACAAATCGGATAGTTTTGTCATTTTGTTCAACACACATATCACATTATCCAAATTACCTTTTTTATAGGGCATAAATAAACTGCAAAAGGACAGCTCTAGACATTGCAATACCCACTCAGGGACTGCATTACATGAAAGGAAATGGACAGATGAAACTTGTGTCAATGATCATTTTTCTTCTTCACACATCAAATAAAGACATCTCCAGAGCAGTTACTATGGTGTGAAATGTCATTTTCTTGGTAATTAATGAGTAACGTCTAAGATCTAGAGAGAGAGTTCTTGGAAATCTGAACGCTTTGAAAACCCTTGTGGGCCATAAATCACTGCCTTGAATTTTCACAAGCCTTTCACATTTCAAAAGTAGTATGTATGCTAGGGTCCAGAGTTGATTTTTTCCTCCCTATATGAATTCTTGTGTTTGTAGGTTGTAGTTTTTTAGAATAGAGTTAGCCCATAATAGCTTTTACAGCAATAAAGGCAATTTTATTGAAGGCTTGCTTTATTGCTACTGAATATAACACATTTATTATCTACTTTTATTTCTCTGAGCAAAGTCTCTGAGCAATAAGGAAATCTTTGCAAATCTGTGCATTCCAAAAGTTCAGTTCAGTGCACTGAGAGTACCATGGATAACATATTCACATCCATAAAAAATTTTGAACCCTACAACTGCCTAGTTAGGGTAGATAATATTAATTTCTTTTGTAGAAGAAGAGGGTATCCCTCAGCAATGCAACAGGGTCAGCCAGATAGTAAATAGCAGAAGAATTTAAGATTCATAGTTCCTTGCCCTTCTTGCTATAGCACCATGGCTTCACTGGGAATAATGAGCCCTCTGAAATTACAGACCAAGTTTAGGATAGAGGGTTGGGGCCGGTCCCTCTCCACATTTCACATCACTCTGCCTTGAAGCAGGTGTGGATCCAGAGTCAAGTCTTGCAAACTTCAATCTATTCCTTTGCAGACAACCCTCAGTCCTTCTAAATCATTCTAGTATGTCTTTCCACTTACATTTGGATAGCAGGACACAGATAAAGGCTACAAACTAAGTTCGTGGGCAAGTTTTAAACACTGTTTTTGCATAGCTGAAGGCAGATGGCCCAATAGCAAACACTATAGTCAGTGAAAATAGGTCATTCCTAGGAAACGTTCTGAAGACAAAAGGGCCAGGAAAGATTTGAATTTGCTCAGGTCTATGCTGGCTTAAGTTCATAGATATGTACAAGAAAAGCACACTGTGACAGTTCATTCTGATATTCTACCCATAGAACAGAACTTGCCATAATTCAGATTCCTTTTAAATTTGAGTAAAGAGATTTATTTGCTAAGTTGCCAAATGGACTTATTGTAAAAAGATTTCCTGGAAATTAGTTTTCTTTTGCCCTTCCCCACCCTCTCCAATCCTTTAATAGTATCATAAAATTTCTATGTATATGGGATAAGACATTCAGGAAGTTTATCGAAGATGTTTTTGTTCATTATTCTTTGTATAACATAGATCACAAACGTCATGGAAGAATTGAAATGACAGTAATTTATGATAAAGTATCAACGTTCAGTGTGCAATTTCTCAGTTGTTTTCAATGGGTTTCCTTCTTTTCTATACACTCTTGGGTAAGGGGAAGGACAAAGATGTGTTATTAGAGAAAACTTATCACAGCAATTAGCAGTGGTAGAAAAGAAAATGTCCACGGAGAAAGTAAGTGCCATAACATTTAACAACTAGCAGCAACTTCTGGCAATATGATACTAATTAAATCTTGAAGGGCCTGTTTCATCCTTTAGTCTTACACAGATTGTTCTGCCCAGGCAAAATGATAACTCAGGTAGTTATATGGATAATATAAAAACTTTATCTTCTGCCCCTGCTTTCTTCCTTTAGGGAAAAAAAGGAGAGAAGGGTTGATTCTGAACTTTTGCTTTGCACAAAGATCCATATTGCTTGAGCAAAGCATACATGCATATGTGTATGTGTATGAATTCTCATATAGACAGAACACGCCTATTGTTGTCATTGTATTAGTTATAGAATTGATATTCTGTACATTTGTAACAGCCAAGCTGAACGCATCATATGCAACCTCCCTCACTTATTGCACATATTTTCTTGCTAATATCGGAAGAAGGGGTCAGTCGTCATGTCCACTGTCAGAGGTGAATCCTAGGGTTGTAGCTGAAACAATTTTAGATTTTCCTTCTTTTTTTTTTTTTTTTTTTTGAGACAGAGTTGCTCTCTGTTGCCCAGGCTGGAGTGCAGTGGTGCCATCTCTGCTCACTGCAACCTTCTCCTCCCGGGTTCAAGCGACTCTCCCACCTCAGCCTCCAGAGTAGCTGAAATTACAGGCATGTGCCACCACACCTGGCTAATTTTTGTATTTTTTACAGAGACAGGATTTTGTCATGTTGGCCAGACTGGTCTCGAACTCCTGACCTCAAGTGATCTGCTCTCCTTGGCTTCCCAAAGTGCTGGGATTACAGGCATGAGCCACCACACCCAGCCAGTTTTTCTTTTTTTTACCCTAGAATGTCATCCAAAACAACAGCACTGCCTTCAAAGATGGCGATTCTCCTGCGGTGAGAAGTGATTGCATCACTGTACTCCAGCCTGGGTGACAGGAGTGAGACTGTCTCAAAAAAAAAAAAAAAAAAAAAAAGATGGTGATAAGACACATAAAGTTTTCAATGTGTGTTGCTTTTTAAAAAATTATTTTAACTAAATATGTATTAACGGAGTTCACAATTCCCTCAGTACTGAAGCTTTTAGAGCCTCAACACTGTAACTGGCAGTTCTAGAATATTTTGAAAAAAAAACCTTTGCTTTTCTTTAACAAAATAAGGAAGAGGGACCCTATCTTCATAGTATGTGAAGATACAATAATATATATTATATAAATAAAATGTTATAATACTAATATATAATATAATATTTAGGGAAATAGATTTCTTCATGTGAGTGAGAATATTGTTCCCATTTTAACTGATTTTTAAACTGCTGAAAAATGCATATTTAAGAACTATCACTTAATATGCTATAAATTATATTACATTATAGATGACTGATTATAATTGTTGAGTAATAATCAAAGCTGACATGTTCAGAATGCCATACAGGAACCTTCTGTCCTAGCCTTCTACTTCCTGGAGCTTGTATGGGCTGCAACATGCAGCTTAAATGGAGAAAAAACATCAGTAGTAGGATCGGTGAAGACATATCAATGGGATAATGATATATTCAGGGATTTATAATTTGTATCTTTCATTAAAATTTCTGCATCACAGAAATTAACACAGGGTGCTTTGCCCTTGAAAAGGCATGACCTTAATCTATGGAGGATGTGGGAAAAGCCCCTTTAGTATCTCTCCATGAACACAGACCACAGGTATCGGCCATCCAACAATGTGGTTGACTTGAAACTCCAAGTTAAAGTAAATATCCATGTGATATTTCCAGTTACTTGAATTTTTAGAGGCAACTCTAAATAGTAGGTTCTAATCTTCAGCAATTTGTTTTTACTCTTAATAACTCTATGAGCATAGGTTAATCTGGTTTGATCTAGGCTGTTGTCCCTACTATTAAGGATTTGAGATGGCATTTCATGATTAACTCCTACAATATCTCCTCTGGGGTATGTTAGACTATGTGTATGAACCACAAGCAGTGCTGAAATGGGAAACATGGAATTATTTTAATAACTATGCAAGTGTTCAATGTCCTCTCATTGCAAGGCACTTCTGGCAAGTTGTGCTGGAGCATGTGGCCTAATCCAGCAGACTCAGAGTCCACTCTGCCATCCATAGACAAAGACAGTCTTTCAAAGAACAAGACCTTCATGCTTACCTTACAGAGGAAGAGAGCATATCATCATAGAGCACCTTTCTTTTCTAGGAAGCAGGAATAAAGGAGAGAGCAAGGGAGATATTGTCCTTTCCCTTTACACATCTTATAATTTGAGCAAGACACACAGAATGAAAGCTTCATCTACTAATGAGCAGGTTTTCCCCCGAGTGTGCAAGATCTCAGGGTCATACGGTAGTGTTCCTAATTGCCTCAAGGAAACATTTCTGAGCCCAACTATGGGTCATTGTCACACTCCTTTTTTTCTCTGGATTCAGGTTCCTGAAAATGATCTACATCTGTGGTTCTCAGACGTCGGCTCCAGATCAGCAGCCTCACCATCACCTGGGAACTGATTAGACCTGCAAATTTTAGAGCCCAATCCACACTTACTGAATCAGAAACATTGGAGTTGCACTTAGCAAGATGTGTTTTGTTTTGTTTTCCTCTTTCCAACTTTTATTTTAGGCTTCAGGGGTACAGGTGCAGATGTGTTACATGGGTAAATTGTGTGTTGTGGAGTTTTGGTGTACAGATAGTTTTGTCAGTCAGGTAATCAGCATAATTCCTGACAGGTAGTTTTTCAGTTCTCATACTCCACCCTCAAGTAGGCCCCAATGTCTAGTGTTCCTTTCTTTGTGTCCATGTATACTCAGTGTTTAGCTCTTACTTATAAGTGAGAACACACAATATTTGTTTTTTTGTTCCTGCTTTAATTTGCTTAGGATAGTGACCTCTAGCTCCATCCATGTTGCTGCAGAGGACATGATCTCATTCTTTTTTATGGCTGTGTAGTATTCCATGGTATGTATGTACCACATTTGCTTTATCCAGTCCACCACTGATGGACAGCTAGGTGGATTCCATGTCTTGGCTATTACAAATAGTGCTGCAATGAATATACATATGCATGTGTCTTTATGGTAGAATGATTTATATTCCTTTGGATATACACCCAGTAATGAGATTACTGGGTTGAATGGTAGTTCTGTTTTAAGTTCTTTGAGAAATCCCCAGACTGCTTTCCACAGTTGCTGAACTGATTTACATTTCCACCAACAGTTATAAGTGTTCCCTTTTCTCCACAACTTCACCAGCACTTGTTATTTTTTTTTTTTTACTTTTTAATAATAACCATTCTGACTGGTGAGAGATCGTATCTCATTGTGGTTTTGATTTGTATTTCCCTAATGATTAGTGATACTGAAAATTTTTTCATATGCTTGTTGGCCATGTGTGTGTTGTCTTTTGAGAAGTATCTGTTCATGTCTGTTCATGTCCTTTGACTATTTTTTTTAAATGGGACTATTTGTTTTTCACTCATTGATTTCTTTAAGTTTCTTATAGATTCTGGATACTAAGACCTTTGTCAGAGGGATAGTTTGCAAATATTTTTTCTCATTCTGTGGATTATCTGTTTATTCTATTGATTGTTTCTTTTGCTGTGGAGAAGCTCCTTAGTTTAATTATGTCCCAATGTCTATTTTTGTTTTTGTTGCAGTTGCTTTTGGAGTCTTCATCTTGGAGTCTTTGCCAGGGCCTATGTCCAGAATAGTATTGCCTAGGTTTTCTTATAGAGTTTTTATAGTTTTAGGTTTACATTTAAGTCTTTAATCCATCTAGAATTGATTTTTTATATGGTAAAATATAGAGGTCCAGTTTCAATCTTTTGCATATAGCTAGCCAGTTTTCACAGCACCATTTACTGAATAGGGAGTCCTTTCTTCATTGCTTGTTTTTGTCTGCTTTGTCAAAGATCAGATGGTCATAGGCGTCCAGTCTTATTTCTGGGTTTTCTATGTTTTTTTTCCATTGATCTAAGTGTCTGTTTTTGTACCAGTACCATGCTGTTTTAGTTACTGTAACCTTATAACATCATTTGAAGTCAGGTAGTGTGATTCCTCCAGTTTCAATCTTTTTGCTTAGGATTGCTTTCACTATTTGGGCTTTTTTTTTTTTTGATTCCAAATGAATTTTAGAATGTTTTTCCCTAATTTTGTGAAAAATGTCATTGGTAGCTTGATAGGAATAACATTGAATCTGTAAATTGCTTTGGGTAGTATGGCTATTTTTTATAATATTGATTCTTCCTATCAATGAGCATGGAATGTTTTTCATTTGCTTTTGTTGCCTCTGGCTTTTTTGGGCACTGTTTTGTAATTATTGTAGAGATCTTTCACCTCCCTGGTTAGCTGCATTCCTAGGTATTTTATTCTTTCTGTGGTATTTTGAATGGGATTGCATTCTAGATTTGACTCTCAGCTTGGACATTATTGTTGTACAGAAATGCTGCTGATTTTTGCACATTGATTTTGTATCCTGAAACTTTGCTTAAGTTTGTTTATCAAACCTAGGAGCCTTTGGGCAGAGACTATGGGGTTTCATAGGTATAGAATCATATCATCTGCGAAGTGAGATAGTTTGACTTCCTCTTTTCCTATTTGGGTGCCTTTTATTTCTTCCTCTTGCCTGATTGCTCTGGCCAGGACTTCCAATACTATGTCGAATAAGAGTGGTAAGAATGAGCTCAAGGGGAATGTTTCCAGCTTTTGCCTGTTCGGCTGTGATGTAGGCTGTGGGTTTGTCATAGATGGCTCTTATTACTTTTAGGTATGTACCTTTGATGTCTAGTTTGTTAAGGGCGATCTGTGTTTTAATGGGCCTTTCATATAATTCTGAAGTGCACTAAAGTTTGAGGAACAGTGTTCTAGAGAAGTGTTTCTCAAAAGCAGGGGACATATGGAACTCCTGGAGATCTTGTTTATTTATTTTTCATTTGTTTGTTTTTTGAGACAAGGTTTTGCTCTGCTGCCCAGGCTGGAGTGCAGTGACATGATCACGGTTCACTGCAGCATCAACCTCCCAGGCTCAGGTGATCCTCCCACATCAATCTCTTGAGTAGCTGGGACTACAGGTGTGCACCACCACGTTAGGCTAATTTTTGTATCTTTTGCAGATATGGGGTCCCACTTTGTTGCCCAGGCTAGTCTTGAACTCCTGGGTTCAAGTAATCCACCTGCCTCGTCCTCCCAAAGTGCTGGAATTACAGACATGAGCCAAATGGGGCTTGAAGCTCTGCATTCTAACATGCTTCCAGGTGATACAGTGCTGCTGGCCTGTGCACTACACTTAGAGTAGCAAGGCTTTGGGTGTTCACATTGCTCTTGGTATGTGTAGTTTGGAGAGTTTCAAACTGAGTGAATATTGCACTTGTCCTCTTCAGAAATAAGCATTAAGTTTCTTTCCCTGGGTGCCCATTGGAATCACTTCTATTACATCGTTTGTCATATTGTACTGGAATTATCTGTTTACTCTTCTGTATTCCCCTTCTGTCTATCAACGTGTTGATGGCAGGAAGCATGTCTGTTTTGCAGCAACTTTAAGTGCCTGGCATACAAAAGCCCTTTGATAATGGATGATATAGCAAGATTCTGATCTCTATAGCTATATCCACATAGCTTGTCAACAAGAGATGTATTAAAGCTTCTTGCAAGTAACTTCTCTGTTATTTTTGGCAATCTTCTGAGAGTTGTTTCCTGCCAGTTTATGATGGACTGGTTAAATCCATGAAGCTGAAAGTCTTTAAGTACAGCCAAAGTGAGATCAACTTTAGTCTTAAATGGGTATGTGTCTAGTGGAGAGTGGGAGTGAAATAAAGCTGATTTTGGCCTGGCTCCTGTTGAACTGTGACTAAGAGTTTGTTAACAGCTTTCTTTTTTTAGTTGGCGATTGTCAGTTCCCATAAGAAGCATGGTTCCAATGTGGATAGGCCTGTGTTCTATCTTCAAAAGAGGAATCTCATTTTACCCATAACAGAAGCTGGAATTCACTTCTCCCTCTGTTCAGAATAATATGGTTAATATGATGAATTATCTCTTTTTTAGCCTGCTTCCCCTTAGTTACTAAATAAAAGAGGATATGGATAAAAATGGATATGGATAAAAATTTAGATGTGGATATGAATAAAAATGGATATGGATATGGATAAAAATTTGTACCTAGCCTGTGAAAACAGCCAGTATCATATCTAAAGAATGCTGGCTAGTGAGGGCCTCTCTCCATTGCACCATCTTTCTCATGTGCCCAAAGGAATTACCTCTAATAGTATGAAGATTGGCATCACTAAAGTAATGGCACAAGACTAAGGAGGTCTGGTAATATCCAATTGAAGTGATCTTATCTTCACTCAACACAAACAAACAAAAAACCTACTTGAGAGATTGGATCATTTGTCTGTATAGAAAGCAAGTCCTACATTAAAAGTGGCCAGTCAGCAAGAATTTAGTGAAGAATATAAAATTAAATGAAGTGGTCTAAACTTACCCATGATGAGTTAAAGGAAAGTTAAAGGCTTGAAAATACATCTTTGCAGATGCGAATTCTATTTATTCCATTTATAGGCTCCAATGATGCCTGGTAAAGATCTCCAAAATTAAGAGCAGTGCCCAAAGTATTATTTACCAAAGACTAAGATAAATGCGCCTTTCTTTCACACACTACAGAGAACAGCAGGCCATATTGCATTTTCATTAGATGTTTAATTATTATACTCCTTACAAAACATTTTCTCTGCAACTTCTAAATTCATTTCACTTGGGATCACAAGAGTTAGTCTATTGGAATGATTTTCAGTTAAGTCCAGATTTAAATTAAGACCGTCTGACTTTCACAGATCTAGTAGTAAGTAGGAAATCTATTGTGCTATCCAGACCACCAGGACTATAAATTGATTTGAAGCTTTGGCCCTGTAGAATGTGTTCCTCTTTGGGCAGCTGTCCAGAAACAGCAATAAAGAGGGCAATTACATTGTTTTGTAGTCATTCTCCCTCACACCAAAACATTCCATTTTCAAGTTTATATTTTACAACAAAAATCTTCCATTAATGGGGAAAAATCATCTGATAAATCTTTATTACAGTTGTCAATGGATATTTTGCTCCTGAGAGAATTGTTAATTAAATTATGAACCTGAAAAGCCTATATCTAAAATCACTAATTGCCCCCTTTTCCCTATTTAGAGTAAGCAGCTGAGAACTGAAGAGGTAATCTTCCTTCTAGAGTTTCCAAGTAGGATCTGGAAGGAGAAAGACTCTATATTCCTTAAAAAATATACAATAGTTTAATTTATGAGCCAAAGAATGAAAACTTTACCTGCTTATAAAACAAAAGGATGCTATCCACAGATACTACCTGGTCCTCATGAGGTTAAAGAACTGAGTGATTAAGTTTTATGTCTCAAAAGTGATGGATCATGAAAAAAGACTAGCAGGTATCTTATTCTACCTCTCTTAGAAAAGAGTAGAGGCCAGATTGGTAATTACTAGAGGGCCAAATAAACTGATAGCGCTCAGTTCTGGAAGACACCATTCATTTATTCTACAAGTCTTGCTGAATAAACAAATGGAGGAATCTCAGACAGGTTAATCACAATCTTTAAGCATTTAGAATCCATCTTGAAGCAGCTCTTTCCATATGAGCTCACTTTTTCAGAAAACCTATCCAGTCAATATGAAAAACCAAGCGCTAACAGCTGCTTAAATTTGGGGCAGGACTTTATGATTTATTCTGATGCAACAAACAATGTAATCTAAATGAGGTATGGGAGGGAAAGAAAGTTTGGCAACTCTGCCTATCCGGAAGCCTCCTCTCAGTGTTAATGTGAGAAAAGGAAAGAGTATTTTTATTTTCATTAAAATGCAACAAGCATCAAAGTCAGAAAATAGATCATCTTTCCTCATGGTTAGAAGCAAACAGAAGCAGATGAGCATGTGCATTCTGCTGGGTGTTGCTGGGGCCTTTTCTAACACAGATCCATCACTTGGCATGTGAGTCCAAGCTTGCAGGGAGAAGGAGAGGAAACCTGCCTGAGGACTGGATTGGCCACTGTCCAAGCAGGACAGGCAAGCACTATGCTAGTTCTGGAAGATGTTTCATTCATTCATTCTGCAAGTCTGTGTTGAATGCCTTCTGTGTACCTGGGCATTTATCAGCTCTGGGGATCAAAAGGGGAGCTAGATGTGGCAGTACTGTCAGGTTGCTCACAGCCTGAAGGAAGACAGAGATAAGCAGGCAACTGCGATACAATTCAAGTATCATATATAGAGACTTAAGAGTATATTCAGGAAGGGCCTGTCCTTCTGACTCAGGAGTTCAGGGAAAGCTTCCTAGAGGAGCTGACATCTAGACTGATACTTGAAGGAGGAATCAGTCAGGTGACACCACAGCAGTCTGGAGGTGGGGAAGAGAGAAGGGGTGGGGAATAGAGGGGAGGCAAGAGATGAAGGGGCAAAAGTATTCAAAGCATGTTCAGAGATCTAGAGGAGAAAAAGAACATAGCACATCAGGAACCAACACAAGTACAATGTGGCTGAAGCATATTCTGGGAGGAAGAAAAATAAGGCTGAAGATATTTTAAAAAATAATATCCTTGTAAACCACACTAAGGAGTTTCAATTACATCAAGAGTCACAAGGCTCCATTCTAGACAGTTTTGGAATTTCCAGATAACTCGGATTCCATGGATGAGAAACCACACCACACGCAGCCCCTCTCTAAAAGGGGCTGAAGATGTTTGTTTACATTTGTGTTTTTGCCAAATCTATTATCAGTTCCTGGATGGCAAAAAACATTTTCGGGGTAAATGTCCCGAGCTCAGCTCGGAGGTGTGTAGTGGCTTGAATGGTGGTCCCCCTAAAGGACCTGTAAATGTGACCTTATTTTATTTTTTAAAAAAGATTTTTACACATGTAATTAAGTTAAGCATCTTGAGATCATTCTGAAATTAGGGTAGATCTTAAATCCAATTATTGTGTTCTTAGAACACATAGACACAGAGAATGCCATGTGAAGACAGAGGCAGAGATTGCAGTTTTGTTGCTAAAATCCAAAGAATGCCTAAAGTCACCAGTGGAAGAGGAAACAAAGGAGTCTCCCCTCCAGCCTTCAGAAGGAGTTATGGCTTTACCAAGACTTTCATTTCAGACTTCTGGCCTGTAAAACTGTGAAAGAATAAGTTTTTGTTTTTATAAGACACCCAATTGGTGGTAATTTTATCATGATAGCCACAGGAAACTCAGAGAGTGGAAGCTATGAGAAGTCAAGGAAGATTTCTAGAAGACAGAATGCCTGAGTGAAGACTTGAAAACAGTTAGATTGAACCAGCTGAGATGATCAGGGCATGGGGCTAGGAGGAGGATGGAAAAGAAGTAGGAACGGAAGGGCAAGTTGATATGGTGTTCAAGGAAGGGTCTTGAAAAATTAAAGGAATGATCTCGAAGATGTATTTCATACTATGAAGTAACATCAAACGTACTTATATCTAATGTCAGATACTAAAACGTACTTGTATTTAACTCATGGTTGAGATGATTTGGCCAAAAAGAAAAGGTTTATACAAAAAGGTTGTCAAAAAGGAGTTTTGTATACAAATAGGTTTGGAAAATGATGTATATACTGTCAGAAAACAAAATAACAACAAACTTAATTAAGATCTAGAATTGGACAACACTTATTCTGTAAGATAGAACGAACGTTCCCATGAGCTGAGAAGAAGGAACGGAATATAAAACAGACGGGTCATTTCAAAGTTAATGATTGTCTTGCCTTGTCTTGCCTGCTAAAACTGGCCTATTTGGGGATTTGCCTATTATCTCTCCCTCTCCTGATTTCTCAGAAGGTTGGATCAACAACTTAATTTTGGCTTGGTAGCACGGAACTTTAGTGTGACTCCATTTTGGTTTGGTCTATTGGGCCTAGTGCAGGAGCTCAATCCAAACCAATAACCTCCTGTAATTTTTTTTTAAACAACACTATTTGTAGTTTAGGGATCCAAAGTTCAGATAACCATATTGACAGCCTGGGGAAATTCTGCACTCTATTTCCCCCCGAGTCTCAAACTTTTGTGTGTGTATATGTGTGTATGTGTGTGGAGAATAAGGAGAGCTGCACCTCCCGTCAATGTTTGGGAAACGTTGCCCCAGACTATGTTTGAGGGAGGTCAGGAAAGCCCTGCCCTGATATAAAACCAAATGGTTCAAGCTCCTTTTTTTTTGTATTTAAAAAATAATTTTATAATTATATAATTTGTTTTTATAATTATAAATATTAACAATTTTATAATTTTTTGTAACGACAAAACTTCTTTTGTATTTTTTCATAGCTGGGAAAAGGTTATGCTGTGCTTCTAGGAGTTCACCCTTCAGGCTGACTCATCACTGACACCTTAGAAAGTGTGAAAAGCTGATCCTTTCTGTAGAATGGGCTTAAATCAGGACTAGTGTGAAAGACCATGACATACTCTGAGAAGAGCCAGGGGTCAACCTAAACATGATGATGTGGTGGACAGCGGTGAGAATGCAGGTTGCGGAACTCCTGGAGAGACTGACAGCCAATTCTGGGTTTTGTTAGGATCTGACCTGCTCTGCAAAAGCCCACGTAGGTTGCCTTGCCGGGGGCTGACTTTTGACAAGGTGCAGTTTGCCTCTAGCTGTTTCTCCTGTGCTCTTTCATTCTTCCTGTCCCTGAACTTCTTTGATTTCTGGCCAGGCAGGTAGCCCCTTGAGTGATCCGAGAGCTTCATCTCTACCATTAGGTCCTGAGAGTGTCCTGGTCACCTGGCCTGGCTCTTTCTAGGATACTGCACTTTTTTTTTTCAGGAAGGGCAGAAGATGAATGGCTTTCAGAGAATAACATTTACAGACAGTTCTGTTTGACCAAAGCAAATTGCAAGCATGCAATGATTAAGCTGCAGATAATTGAAAACAATGTTTTATTTACATAGCAACAAACCACCCCCAATCCCCTCCAACAAATCAGTGCCTGAAACTTACATTTTATGGTAGTGATTTAAATAAAAAATAAATGATACCTAGCACCTTGGGGCAATTCCTGAGTACTTGCAGATCATGGGTCCCAATTTAGCTCACACTGGGACTGTTGCAATCTTAACCAAAAGCAATTTACAGAAAGAATTTCTTCTCTGACAAACATTCAAAGCAATTACAATCTGATCTGTTTCTCTCTCTCTCTCTCTCTCCCTCTCCCTCTCTCCCTCCCTCCCTCCCTCCCTCTCTCCCCACCTTAGCTTAGTTTTGTGCTTGTTTGTTTTATAGATTAGGCCTGATTTTAAAGTATCTGTAAATCTTTCTCTAAGTAAAGGACAGATTGCTGATCTGTATGCAAATGATATAGTTGCCTGCCTTAAAAATTTAAGATTGACTTTGAATTGACCCCATGCTTTATGCCTCAGAGGAAATCTATGAAAGGATATTTATAATACCTGTGGACATTGTGTACGATACCAGTGGGAGTTTTCTTCAACGGTAGATGAATAGCAGAAACATGGGCAGACTGAAATGTGGCAGATATATGCAAAAGGGAGATTGAAACTGATTTACATAGCTGGGTATTACTTACTGTAGCTCTCTGTGGTTTCTCTATTGAATACCTAAAAATATGATAAGGTTCTGTAAAAATAAAGAACATAAAACTAAAAACGCACACATATGATAACATACTAGTTGAGTCCCAAAAAGTTTATAGCACAAATTTTATTTTTCTAAATATAGTTTTGAGAACAACTTAAACAATTTTTATAATGACCTTATTCTTACCTGGGGGCAAGCCACAAAAATTTCGTCTATGTTGGAAGTTCATGTGCTTCAAAATACATACCTCACTGCACATCGGTTTTCAGCATTAGCCAAGACTTTTTTTTGGTTTTATTTTTTTGAAACTCTTCACATTGCCTTAAAAATTAGAATAGACAGAGCAGAACATTGACCTGGGATGAAATATGGATTTTTTTACGCTTCTCTCAAACTCAAATTTTATTAAGGTTATTGAAAATAAGATCACTTCACTTATAAATGCCAGAGAAACCCAAAGGATAAAATTGCAGGAGATTAGCATACCTATTCTTACCCTACAACAAACATATTTCATTCCAAACCTCAGCAATTTCTTGGGCCACACTATTTCAGAGCTACATTTTTTAGTGTTTAGTTTTTATTTCCGCAGTAGCAGGTTAGCTGTCTTGTACTCTCACATGAAAGTGTTGAAATTCTCCAGGTCATCAAGAAAATGGTTGCAGTGGAGTCTTTGTATCCTCAGGATCACCTGTGAAGTCTTACCCCCAAACATTTTGCACTCATCAGCTCACAGCGGAGCAATCCAAGTGCTAGGCCTGAGCATCCCAATAGGACCCTCACATGATTGTGGAAGTGATGAAAGACAATGCTCTCCCATCTTTGCCCTTTGTCTCCCGCCATGAGACCCCTCTACTTACCCCCTCTTATGTCCAGGGCTCATGCTCTTTTCTGTTCCCTTTATTTAACATGAAACTATCTGATATTGTCTCATTCACTGCGTACCTAGCTGATAATAGGCACTCAATACATGATTTTATTGAATTAATAAATGAATGATTGAATCACATACGTTCTAGTTTAGAGAGGGCTAACTAGAAAAAAAGATCAGAGAAAGAAAACAAATCACACTTGGGTCTTCCAACCCTAGTCTTTTCTTTATAGGACAAGTAGGAAGAAATGTGGCTAAGAGGAGTCGACATTTATTTTAGAAGGAGAAGAAAAAGGACAGGTAGCAAGAGTAGAAATATCTGGTAGAAATCAAATTATTCCAGTGTCCTCCCATTTATCTGGCCGGATGTCATTATGAGGGCAAAGCACTATTCAGAAGAGAAATTCCTACAGCATGTTGATGTGTTCAGTAGTGGGAGGGAAGGAAGTGGAGGTGTCTAGTGGAAATACGAGATAACTTTGTAGTGTGCACAGGTGTAGCTGTACAGGCCCCTCAGCTCTGTGGGAGAGGAACTCGGGGTTTGACAAGCCTGATGCCTTTTCTGCTAATCTGGATCCAGAATTGCCCTTTCTTTCTGTCTTTAAACTCCTGTTGGTTCCTTTGTGGTTGATGGGAGAGAACAGGGAGTCATTAAGGAGAATGAGGTTGCCTCCCGTATGGGAAAGAAGAGTTGGGGATGCCTCCATGAATGCTGTGCAGAGAAAAGCAATGAAATTTCATCACATTTCCTTTTAAAGTAGTGATCAAAATACTTTGTCTTGTGGGATGCTGTTTCTTTATTGAGAGAGTCGTGAGTTAGATAATATGCTACCTTTCTTATACGTGTCAGATACTGTACTAGGTGGGCATACCTTGCCTTCATGGAGCTTATAGTCTGATAGAGAAGATAAATATTAAGCAAGCGACTACATAAGTAGATACAAGGTTAAAACTGTGATTAATGGCTGGGTGCGGTGGCTCACGCCTGTAATCCCAGCACTTTGGGAGGCTGAGGCGGGTGGATCACGAGGTCAGGAGATCCAGACTATCCTGGCTAACGTGGTGAAACCCCGTCTCTACTAAAAATACAAAAAATTAGCTGGGTGTGGTGGTAGGCGCCTGTAGTTCCAGCTACTTGGGAGGCTGAGGCAGGAGAATAGTGTGAACCCGGGAGGTGGAGCTTGCAGTGAGCCGAGATCATGCCACTGCACTCCAGCCTGGGCAACAGAGCGAGATGAAAAAAAAAAAGGAAAATGTTGCTATGAATTTTGTTGTTGTTGTTGTTGTTGTTACAAAGTCTCACTCTGTCATCCAGGCTGGAGTGCAATGGCACAATCTTAGCCCACTGCAACCTCTGCATCCCGGGTTCAATCAAGTCTCCTGCCTCAGGCTCCCAAGTAGCTGGGATTACAGGTGCCTGCCACTGTGCCCAGCTAATTTCTGTATTTTTAGTAGAGATGGGTTTCACCATGTTGGCCAGGCTGGTCTCGAACTCCTGACCTTATGTGATCTACCTGCCTTGGCCTCCCAAAGTGCTGGGATTACAGGTGTGAGCCACCATGCCCATCTGTTGCTATGGTATTTTATAGTAGAGGAATCTGATCTAGTTTAAGAGTTTGGAGCAGACTTGCTGTGGAGTGATTTGAATTTTATGACATTTCTTTTATTAGAAACCAAGAGATTTTGATCCCTATTAAAGGAATTTCTGGCATTATTATTCAAATGAAGAAAAATTACAGGCTCTTACAAGACCTTCTTATCCCTCTCCAAAGTCAGGAGAGCAGCTTTCTATGCTGCCTGTGCACAGAGTGGCTACTGGGACCAGCAGTGCCAAGTTCAACCTGAAAGGTCTGGAGCCCTCTCAATGGGATTCTACATCTTTTATCCTCTGAGAAAGCAAAAAGTAACCCTAACATTCAGCAACTATTCTAAGGCTTATGGCCAGGCCCTAGTATTGTTAGAAGCTGCCCTGGCCCTCACAGGCAGGCCATGTTGTTCTCTTGCTGGATATAAACACTCTCACAGAATACCAACATCAGAGAAGATCACTCAGGCCATGATACAATGAGAAAACTCAAGACCACTTCATAATTTTGTCCAAGCCAGTGACAAAAGATCCCTATACAACCCACAAAATACCAAACATCCCCTTTCTTGGCTAATGTGACTGATTCCTGGTTCTTAACCATTTGTAGCTTTATCTTTTCTCCAGTCTGCCCATTCTAAAGAATTATTGCTGCTTTTTGACAGCCTTCTTCAATCCAGGAGAGCCCCTGCTTTCTTCATCCCTCTCCCAAGTTCATCTGTCCTCCCTCCCTCCCTCCCTCCCTCCCTCCCTTCCTTCCTTCCCTCCCTCCCTCTCTCTTTCTCTTTCTTTTCTTCCCCTTCCTTCCTTCCTTCCTTCCTTCCTTCCTTCCTTCCTTCCTTCCTTCCTCCCTTCCTTCCTTCCTTCCTTTCTTCCTTTGTTTTCTGACAGGGTCTTTCTCTGTCAACCAGCCCAGGCTGGAGTGCAGTGGCTCAATTATAGCTTACTGCAGTCTCATACTCCTGGGCTTCAGAGTTCTGCTTCGTCCTCTTGAGTAACTGGGAAAACAGGTGCACATCACCATCCCTGTCAAATTTTTTAAATTTTTGTAGAGATGAGGTCTTGCTATGTTGCTCAATCTGGTCTCAAACTCCTGGCCTGAAGCAATCCTTCCACCTTCGGCCTCCCAAAGTGTTGAAATTACAGGTGTGAGCCACCTCATCTGGCCCTATAATTCCTTTCTAACACCCTTTTATTGAGATATCCACACCATGATGTGTCTTCTACTTCACCAGTAAAACCCCAGCTCATTCAACCACATATGTGTTCCTAGGGGCCTTCGGTTGAAGGGAATTGACACTTCACTGCTCCTGAAGTGTGATAATCCTGCCTTCTATTAGATTCTTCAGGACTTTGGTCAGTGTTTTTTTTTTTTTTTTTTTTTTGCACACAGCTTGTGCACAATGTATATATCAGATAGATGACTGATGTAGGATTTTTATATCTGCCTATCTACCTATCGATTGATTGATCAATCAATCTATCTGTTAGGACCCTGGTGTGCTGATGAAAGAATACCCAACACAAATATTCACTAAAAGGGGTGGGGGGCGTTCATTATTTTATTTAATGAAAAAGTTTAGACTGGCTTAAGAAAAGTTTGTATTGAGGACTGAAACAACATAATAGAAATTTATTTCTCTCCATGTCTCATTCTTTTTCATACCACATTGAGACAGTTTGTCTTTTGTGTTGGTTCTTTTACAAGCCAATCACAGTGGATCAGGAGAGTGCATTGCTTTGACTATCCAAGATTGGGTCATATGGTCCACCTCCCCAACCCTGTATTTCGGGATGAGCCCACCAAAACTGTATGGAGCAAGAGCTGGGGAGCTGGGAACTGCCAAGGTAAAATTCATTCTGTGTTATAAATCTTATTAGAGAGGATTTGAATGGCAGTGACTAAAAGCTGGGGCAAAGAGGGTTTGGGGAGCATGACTCTTAGAAGACATGGGTTCAAGGAGTATCATAGCCATTCTATGCTTGCTTGGATAGATTGCTAGAAAGTAGGAGCGTTTAAGAGCTGTCATGGGCTTGGAAAGGAAAATATCAGAAAAGTTCAGGGAATTTTTACTGAAGAAGACTGTGGAATCTAAAAGAAAGATTTCAATACTTAAAATATAATTATGGGAGGCCAACATTTTTCACTGAGACATGAACACACACACACACACAAAACAGGCTTAGTGGCAGCAGGAACAAGTAAGTTAGTTTTCCCCTGCCTGCACTGCTCTGCCTGCTACTCTTCACTGCTTCCCTCCTGGTCATCCTTGGATCCAGCTAAGCAAGGCATCCTCTGGGCAAGCATTACAGAAAAAATCCTGGGACTCTATAGAAGAATTACCCCCCCAAACTTAGAAGGAGACGAGAGACCAAAGAATGATGTGGAGAAGTCCAGCTTGATAAGTAGATGAGTTTATTAGGACACACATACAGAGCATTCCTGGGCAGCAGCAGGTCACCTCCACAGATCTGCCCTGCCACCTGTATCTAAGGTGATTTTGAACTAATTTTCTGGCTCTTTGCCTACGGCATGCAATTAGACTGCTTTTCTTGGTATATTCCCAGATATTTACATGTTTGGGTTCTTAGGGATACCTGCTCCTGTGCTGGGCACCATGGCCTTGGCTCACCACCTGGCCTTCTGGGTTCAAGCAGCAGACATATATCCTTAATTAATCTGGTGGAGGACCTGTCACTCCACAGCAAGTGATACGGTTTCCTTCTGTGTCCCCACCCAAGTCTCATGTTGAATTGTAATCCCCAGTGTTGGAGGTGGGGCCTGGTGGAAGGTGACTGGACCATGGGGGTGGTTTCTAAGGGTTTAGCACCGTTCCCTGAGAGCTGTCTCATAATATAGTTCTCACAAGATCTGGTTGTTTAAAAGTATGTGGCACCAACTTCCACTCTCTCTCTTCTTCCTGCTCCAGCCTTATAAGACATGCCTGCTTCCCCTTTACCTTCTGCCATGACTGCAAGTTTCCTGAGGCCTCCCCAGCCATGCTTCCTGTACAGCCTGTAGAATCATGAGCCAATTAAGCCTCTTTTCTTTATAAATTACCCAGTCTCAGGTATTTCTTTATAGCAGTGTGGAACAAACAAATACAGCAAGTATTCTCCAAACCCTTAAACTAGATCAGATTTCCCTGCTATAAAATTTCATAGCACCATTTCTCTTTTTTTCTTGCATACCATCGAAGTTTTAATCTCATATTTATTTATGTAGTTGTTGCTTAGTAACTATCTTCTCCTTTAGATATAAGTTCCATGAAGGCAAGGTATGCCCACCTAGATTAGTATCTGGCACATATAAGATATGCATTGGATATCATTTCAATAAAGAAATTTATAGGCATAAACTTCCTAATGGGGTGCTTTTAAACACTATTTTACATTTCTAAGAAAGATTGTGTTGTCTTCCTCTTAAATGTAGTAAAAGATGGACAGGTATTCAGCAGCATCAAAGGCATAGCTGAAGTCTACACCCTGGCCTGAGGAGAGAAAGATGCTTCCAGCCTTGTAATCTTGAGAATTGTTATAAAATGATTGTTTGGAATTTCTGTTTTTGGCAATGCCAGGATGCCACAGGAGATTGAGTCTAAAGTTTGCATGATCCATTTCAATCCATTTGAGCAAGAACCAAATGACTATCATTGAGGCAACAAAATACACAAATTGCGTCCCACATACACTAATGGCTTTTTGGATTTGTTTGTCATGTCCATTTCTAGTGATATGCTTCTTTATAACAAGGAAGCTAACTAAGTCATCTTTGACAGTTATTTTACAATCCTCACTGGGGAAGTATTAGTTTTCAAATTTCTAGTCTGTTGTGGAATGCTTTTTAAAAATACCATAAAAATAAATTACTAGTCAAATAAAATAAATATATACAAAATATGAGCCCAAGTTTTCACTAGATGAAACAAATGTCAATTTACTGTGTCATGTTGCTCAAGAAGTTTCTAACCACTGTCAGTTTTGTACTTTTCTTTTACTTGTTTTTCATGGCAACCTTACTTGAGCTGTGACTGATAATGTTGCTATTTGCAATGGCAGAAGAATCCCAAGACACTAGTTGCAGTTTGTACATATTTGTGTGCTTCCAGCAAATTGTTTTTCTCTCTCACCCAATGAGTCTGTAAAGACAGGAAAGTCTATATCCGCAGATAAGCTTTCTGCTCACACAGTGCAATTTGAGAAGGTGTCAGGATTGCTACAATTTGGGGTTCTGCAAGACTATTTAAACATTTTTCTACCAACCATTTAATATGAAATATTCAAAAATTCAATGGAAAATACAGACGGGCCTAAAAAGAGCGTAAAATGAGCAGTACATTTTATAGTTGATACATAGAGTATAATGTACTCCATACCTGCTTTAAAAAATAAAACACATTTCTTTTAAATCTGTGGCTTTCATTTCCATTACCCTAGAATTTTAGTAAAAAGAAATGGGTTTGACTAAAGCAGGATAACATATTGCCCTCTTCCAACAAATATCAGATCATAAGAATGGTAGATGTGATGGTATGAAAATGATTTTCTTAGCTTGTGACCACTGTCACAAGACATTTCATTTCACATCATTTGATTTTATAGATTAAATATACCACTGGGATAAAATCAGATTTCCTTTGACAATCTGTGGGAGAAGGAAGAATCTGTGGGAGAACTACATTATCATAATTGTGAGGTTAAAAAAAACACACTCACAAAACAGCATCCAAGTTATCTAGTACTGGGAGACTGTAAAACTTGATTATTGCAAAGGTGGATTGGCATATTAATTAAAAATAAGACTGACATTTGAAGCATATTTCAGATTTCATGGCAAATTTCATCATTCTAAATATAGATTCGGATTAATTATGACACATTTGGTGCTAAGCTATTTTAGAATTCAAAACACTTCCATCTTGGAATGGTTGCAGCAAATCAGGGTGTTTGATCAAGCTGCAGAGAAAAGAGGCTGGGTTTAATGCTCCAGGTCTCCTCATATTCTGCCTCTAGCTTTTCTTTTCTGTGCAGGTTAAGCTGGTAGAGTTATACAAGGTGATGGCATTTCAGTGCAAATGAAATTTGACATTTTGAGTGTAAATAAGAATGGTTTGCCTTCTTGCAGTATAAGTCACTCTTCACCAGCAGTTAAAATAAAGTGAAAACCACAGAAATGTGGGTTATTCATTTTCTTACATACACACCAAGGAATTTTACATTCAGTTATTGCCATGAACATTACTTTATCCTTTTCTTTTTCAATTTATTGCCTCATTACAGGGATTGATAATGATATTTCTTCTGAATGACTATTATACACATACTTTTTCAACTATAGCTAGAACCTGGAGATATAACTTTTATCTTTCCTTTAGGGATATCTAAGGTAGGCACTCTTATTCTTCCTAAGATACATAAAGATTAGGAAACTTTATGATTTTTTTACTTTTATTTTTCTAATGGTTTCGTTAGAGTAAAGAACAAAGCAGATGTAACACAACTTAATTTTCTCCCTCTCTTTAAATGAGAGAGAAATGGTGAGGGGAGGAGGTAAGAGAAAACTCAGGAAGAATCATAAAAGTTCTAAGCTGTCTGTTCATATCCTCATTTATGCAGCCAAAAAACACATGAAAAAATGCTCATCATCACTGGCCATCAGAGAAATGCAAACCAAAACCACAATGAGATACCATCTCACACCAGTTAGAATGGCGATCATTAAAAAGTCAGGAAACAACAGGAGATGGAGAGGATGTGGAGAAATAGGAACACCTTTACACTGTTGGTGGGACTGTAAACTAGTTCAACCATTGTGGAAGTCAGTGTGGCGATTCCTCAGGGATCTAGAACTAGAAATACCATTTGACCCAGCCATCCCATTACTGGGTTTATACCTAAAGGATTATAAATCATGCTGCTATAAAGACACATGCACACGTATGTTTATAGCAGCACTATTTATTCACAATAGCAAAGACTTGGAACCAACCTAAATGTCCAACAACGATAGACTGGATTAAGAAAATGTGGCACATATACACCATGGAATACTAGGCAGCCATAAAAAATGATGAGTTCATGTCCTTTGTAGGGACATGGATGAAACTGGAAAGCATCATTCTCAGCAAACTATTGCAAGGACAAAAAACCAAACACCGCATGTTCTCACGCATAGGTGGGAATTGAACAGTGAGAACACATGGACACAGGAAGGGAACATCACACACCGGGGACTGTTGTGGGGTGGGGGGAGGGAGGAGGGATAGCATTAGGAGATATACCTAATGCTAAATGACAAGTTAATGGGTGTAGCACACCAGCATGGCACACGTATACGTATGTAACAAACCTGAACGTTGTGCACATGGACCCTAAAACTTAAAGTATAATAATAATAAAAAAAAAGTTATAAGCTGGAAGGAGTGCTTAAATCCAGGAATGCTTAAATCCTGCCATTGAGACCTTTCAACTCCTTCTTCAGATAAGGACAATGAAGTACAGAGAAGGTAATTTACCTAAGCTTACTGAGCTGACTAGTTACAGAGCTGAGCCTACAATATGGATCAAAACGGATGAGTTGGGTGTGTCATTTCACCTTCTGAGCTTCATTTTGTTCAACTGTAAAATCTGGCTGTTAGATTAGATCATCTCTAAAGTCCCCTTTAGCACCAATATTTCTAGAATTGGAGTTGTCAAACATTAAGGTATACATCCTGGCTCTGTCTCTCTGTACTGGTCAGGGGGTGGTTGCTTTAACTCCTAAGCATTAGTTTTCTCACTGTGAGATACTGATTAATTAATTCAACCCATATGTATTAGTTCATTTTCACACTGCTATAAATAACTGCTCAATACTGGGTAATTTATAAAGGAAAGAGGTTTAATTGATTCAGTTCATCATGGCTGGGAGGCCTCAGGAAACTTACAATCATGGTGGAAGACAAAGGGGAAGCAAGGCACCTCCTTCACAGGGTGGCAGGAATAAGAAGTGTCAAGGGAAGAGGGAAGAGCCCCTTGTAAAACCATCAGATCTTGTGAGAACTCACTATCACAAGAACAGAATGGGGGAAACTGCCCCCATGATCCAGTAACCTCCACCTGGTCTCTCCCTTGACACAAAGGAATTGTGGGAATTGTTGGGATTAAAATTCAAGGTGAGATTTGGGTAGGGACACAAAGCCTAACCATATCACCATACTGATTGAATTTCTGTCTTATGTCAGGCAGTGGAAACACAGATGGACAAGGCAGAAATGGCCTCTGTTCTCATGGAGCAGAGCATCCATTCATCCATCCATTTATTTATTTTTTCAAAAAGTATTTATTGAGTTCCTACCATTTGCTAGACAATGTGGTATGTGCTGGAGATACATCAGAAAATATTCCTGGAGTGGAGGCAGGCAGCCAAAAAGCTAAAAAGTAGGCAGCAAGCAGCAGTAAGTATTATGAATGGAACAAACACGAAAATGAGAGCATAATAAGGTAGAAGTTTTGTCCTTAATAAGGCTCTTAGAAAAGGCTTCCTTATAAAAGTGACATTTAAGCTGAATCTTAAAGGACAAAAAGAAACTAATCATGCAGAGTAGCAAAAAGAGCCAAATGCATCTGAATAGGGAAATCAGTGTGGCTGGTTGTAGTGGAATCAGATGACTTTTGGAAAAATATTCAAAAGATAGACATTAAGGGCCTTAAGGATTTGGTTATTCTGAGTTCAATCAAAAGCAACTGAAGACTTGTTGGTGGTAATGGTGGGGTACAAGTGGTAACTTCATCTGATTAATGTGTGGAACATCTGTCTGCTATTTATTGGAGCATGGATTGGAGGGGCATGAGTGGAAGTAAGAAGACCAGTCAACAGCTTATTGCAGTAGTTCCAGCAAGATTACAGTTGAGGTACAGGGAGTAGGGAGATGCAACTGATTGAGGAAACATTTTGAAGTTAGTCAAAATTTACTAATGAATTGTGTCATGACCTGAAGTGTGTCCCTAGTGTTATCAGCTGTATTGCATCCTCCCAAAATTCATATGTTGATGTCCTAACTCCCAGTACTTTAGGATGTGCCTATATTTGGAGATAGGATCTTTAAAGAGGTAATTAAGTTAAAAGGTGGTCATACGATGGGCCCTAATCCAATATAACTGGTGTCCTTATATGAAAAGGAAATTAGGACACAGACCCTTATAGAGAGAAGACCATGAGAAGACACAGGGAAAAGACAGCCATCTGCAAGCCAAGCAGAGAGGCCTCAAATCAAGACTAAGACTTTGATCTCAGACCTCTAGCCTCTAGAATTATGAGAAAATATATTTCTGTAGTTTAAGCCACTCAATGTGTTGTGCTTTGATATGACAGCCTGATATGGTTGGGCTGTGTCCCCACCCAAATCTCATCTTGAATTGTGATTCCCATAATCCCCATGAGTCATGGGAGGAATGCTGTGGTAGGTAATTGAATCATGAAGGTGTTTACCCCCATGCTGCTGTTCTCATGATAGTGAGTTCTCACAAGATCTGATGGTTTTATAAGGGGCTTTTCCCTCTTTGCTTGGCACTACTCCTTTCTCTGCCATGTGAGGAAGGATGTGTTTGCTTCCCCTTCCACCATGATTGTAAGTTTCCTGAAGCCTCCCCAGCCATGCTGGACTGTGAGTCAATTAAACCTCTTTCCTTTTTAAATTACCTAGTCTCAGGTATGTCTTTATTAGCAGTGTAAGAACTGACTAATACACAGATAGCCCTACTAAACTAACACACATTTTATGTGAAAATATAAGAAAACGGTAAAACCAAGGATGGTCCCAGTGTTGGGGATATAGGTTTGGGGAGGGGAAACAGAGTTCCATTTTGGACATGCTATATTTGAGAAGTTAGTGAAGCAAAAAGGTAGAGCTGTCAATTCCTGAGTAAGCTATGTGAGTCTAAGGCTCAGGGAAGTGGGATTGGCTAGAGAAAAGTAAATATGGGTCTTTTCAGAAAAAACAACAGGAATAGATGAGATCACCAGGTAGAGGAGAGACAATGAAATGAAATTAGGTTTAGGCCTAAGCCCTAAGGAATTCCATTATTTGGAAGTCATAAGAGCAGGTTCCATAAGAAAAACTAACAAGAAGTCAAAGAGGGAGAGGGAATAATAAACATCCTGGTGTAAGAAGATAAAGAATGAGGAAGGCCAACAGTATTGAAAGTTGCCAAAGGGCAATGGAGATGAGTGAAAAATATTCAGTGCAATAGGTAACATGGTGGTTGCTGCCAATTTTAAACAACAGAAAATTGAGTGAAGTTTTAGAGGAGAAAAGCAATCTGGAATGTATTGAGTTGTACAATGGAAATGAGGAAATGGAAATAAAGCTTCCGAAAATTTGGACTAAGAATGGAACAGAGAATTGAGAAGGGGCTCAAGGAGGGTTTATTTTCTTTTTAACACAAAAGGTATTATATAATGTTTATATGCTGATAGTAACGGAGGAGGGGAAGGACAGAAATTGATGTTATAGAACATAGAGGAGGGAACTAAGGGAAAGAAAAGTCCTAGGGAAGTTGAGAAAGTTTGGGGTCTGGAACACAGAATGGCTTAGCACACTGCTTAGTGCATAGAAACTGGCCAGCGAAGTAATTCAAAACATGGCACCCCAAAATCTGCCACTCTGGCATACTGACTATTTTGAATTGAAAGGACTTAAAAATAGCAGGTGCAAGAAGATCACTCTGACTTTCCTTCTGCTTCTTAAAAGTAGGAGATGAAATTCCCATGTGAAAGACGTCCTTTCTACACCAGAAGAAGAGTATCATTCTTATCATCTAGGACAAGCAATTGAGGCCTAGGGAAATCTACAAACAAACCTTGTTAAACCAACTCTTATCTTCGTGGTCACTTCTCTACCCAATTAACTATCCTAGCTCAAGCCCCTTTGCCTGGTCACATTCTCATCATTCATGACTGTTGGTCCAATTTAGCATATAAGTGTTTAACTTTGTCTTTGGGTCTTTGTTTCCTTATGAAGATTGTGCACCATGTAAAACTCGTATTAAAGAAATTTGTGTGCACTTCTCCTAATTGTATATATTATGTCAAGACATAAGGTCCAGCTAAAAAATCCCTAAGAGAGTAGAGGTAAAATTTTGCCTTCCCTACATCAGTAAGTATTGAAGATTGTAACCACTTAAGGAAGCTTTTCCTTATCTTTGTATTGGCTTAGCCCAGGAAGAGATGCACTTGAAGAGGAGAATTCTGGTAGTATAGAACAGATATGGGGTCACCAGCTTTTTCAGGTCCAATGCCTTCCTGAATATAAAATAATAAATTTAAGAAAAAAAAATATTGATATTAGAACCAGCCTGAACAGGACAAAGAGGTTTGTAGAAATATTAGACAAGAGTCCTCCTGCACTGGCCCCCACTCCTCTGCACAGACACTGTGCCACTCAAAATTATCTCCCCTCTGAGTGCAAAGTGGTCCAAACCCCTGGAGAAAAATTTGGCAATGTCTAACACAATTTTCATTGCATTTGCCCTTTTACAAAGTCTCTTCTCCTCTAGAAATTTTACCCAGAAGATGCACTTTGGAATACAAAAAACAACAAAAAAAAATACATGAGATTTATCACTTTGTTATGTGAATAAACAAAATTTTGGAAACAAGATAAATGCCTACTCATATCTATTCACTAATTGAATAAACTATATTTGCATACTATGCAGCTTATTAAAAGAAAGAGAAAGATCTTCAAGAACTAATAAAGAGTGATTTCTAGAATCTACCAATAAGTGAAAAAGGCAAAGGAGAAAAGAGTGTATATAATATGCTAAATATGCCTTATTTAAAATATATATATATATTTAAATTTCCTGTTTTTTGCAAGAAGCTACATAAGTAGTATAAACTAGAAACAAATGAAAATTATAGGGGGTGGGTAGGAGAAGGAGTGATGAAGTTGGAAACAAAGTGAGATATTCTTTTCTTTTCTTTTTTTTTTTTTTAAGACGGAGTCTCACACTGTCGCCCAGGCTAGAGTGCAATGGCACGATCTCAGCTCACTGCAACCTCCGCCTCCCTGGTTCAAGCAATTCACCTGCCTCAGCCTCCTGGGTAGCTGGGATTACAGGCACCCACCACCACGTCTGGCTAATTTTTTTTGTATTTTTAGTAGAGATGGGGTTTCATCACTATATTTGCCAGGCTGGTCTCAAACTCCTGACCTTGTGATCCGCCCACCTTGGCCTCCCAAAGTGCTGGGAGTACAGGCATGAGCCACCGCGCCTAGGCATGAGATATTCTTTGAGACTGAATTTTTATGTAGTTTTGACTTTTATAATTATTTAAGTATTTTAAATTTTAAAAATAAATAAACAAGGATTGTAAGAACAACAAACCCTGAAATTAAATACAGGCAGAAACAGATAAATATAGCTATATATCAAATGATAACATATTCACATCAAGATAAGAATTAGGTCAAGTTATTTATGTTTATTTTTTAGACTTTTAGGTTCAGGGGTGCATTTGCAGGTGGTGTTACATAGGTAAATTGCATATTGTGGGGCTTTGGTGTACAGAATTTTTGTCACTCAGGTGATAAGCATAGTACTTGGTAGTTTTTTGATCCTCACCCTCCTCTCACCTTCCACCCTCAAGCAGGCCCTGGTGTCTATTGTTCCCTTATTTGTGTCCATGCATACTTAATATTTAGCTCCCATTTATAAGTGAGAACATGTGGCATTTGGTTTTCTATTCCTGTGTTAATTTGGTCGGGATAATAGCCTCCAAGTTCCATCCATGTTCCTGCAAAGGACATGATCTCATAGTATTAGATGGTGCATATGTACTATATTTTCTTTATCCAGTCTATTGCTGATAGACATCTAGGTTGATTCTAGGCCTTTGTTGTTGTGAATAGTGCTGTGATAAACATACATGTGCATGTGTCTTTATGATAAAATAATTTATATTCCTTTGGTATATTCCCAATAATAGGATTGCTGGATTGAATGGTAATTCTGTTTTAAGTTCTGAGAAATCTCCAGACTGCTTTCCACAGTGGCTGAACTAGCAGCGTGTAAGCGGTCCCTTTTCTCTGCAAACTTGCCAGCATCTATTGTTATACTTTTTTACTTTTTAGTTATAGCCATTCTGACTGGTGTTAGATGGTATCTCATTGTGGTTTTGATCCATGTTTCTCTAATGATTTGTTATGTTGAGGATTTTCTTCACATGCTTGTTGGCTGTGTGTATGTCTTCTTTGGAAAAATGTCTGTTCTTGTTCTTTGCCCTCTTTTTAATGGGACTGTTTGTTTTTTGCTTACTAATTTGTTCAGGTTCCTTATAGATTCTGGATATTAGACCTTTGCTGTATGCATAGCTTGCAAATATTTTCTCCCATTCTGTAGATTTTCTGTTTACTATGTTGGTAATTTCTTCTGCTGTGCAGAAGTGCTTTAATTTAATTAGGTCCTGTTTGTCAATTTTTGTTTGTGTTGCCGTTGCTTTTGGTGTCTTCGTCACAAAGCCTTTGTCAGTGCCTATGACCAGAATGGTATTTCCTAGTTTTTTTTTTCTAGTGTTTTGGTAGTTTTACGTTTTACAGTTAAGTCTTTAGCCCATCTTGAGTTTTTTGTACATGGTGAAAGGAAGGAGCCCAGCTTCAGTATTCTGCATATAGCTAGCCAGTTACCCCAACTCCAAAGGGAGCTCTTTTTCCATTGCTTTTGTCAACTTTATTAAAAATCAGATAGTTTTAGGTGTATGGCCTTATGTCTGGGTTACCTAACCTGTTCCATTGGTCTGTGTTTCTGTTTTTGTACCAGAATTGTGCTGTCTTGTTTACTGTAGCCTTGTAGTATAGCTTCAATTTGAGTAACGTGATGGCATCATCTTTGTTCTTTTTGCTTACGATTGCTTTGGCCATTAGGGCTCTTTTTTAGTTCCATATGAATTTTAGAATAGTTTTTCTCTAATTTTGTGGAAAAATGCTATTGGTAGTTTGATAGGAACAGCATTGAATCTGTAAATTGCTTTGGGTAGTATGGCCACTTTAACAATATTGATTCTTCCTATCCATGAGCATAGAATGTTCTTCCATTTGTTTGTGTAATCTCTTATTTCTCTGAGCAGTGTTTTGTAATTCTCATTGTAAAGATCTTTCATCTCCCTGGTTAGCTGTATTTCTAGGTATTTAATTTTTTGTGGCTATTGTGAATGGGATTTCATTCTTAATTTGGCTCTCAGCTTGGACGTTTTTGGTGTATAGAAACACTACTGATTTTTGTACATTGATTTTGTATTCTGAAACGTTGCTGAAGTTGCTTATCAGCTTTTGGATGAGACTACTGGGTTTTCTAGGTACAGGATCATATCATCTGCAAATAGGGATAGTTTGAGCTCCTTTTTTCCTATTTGGATGTCTTTTATTTCCTACTCTTCCCTGATTGCTTTGACTAAGAATGTTAGTACTACTTTGAATAGGAATAGTGAGAGTGGCATCCTTGTCTTGTTCCAGTTGTCAACGAGAATGCTTCCACCTTTGCCCGATCAATATGATGTTAGCTGTGGGTTTGTCATAAGATGACTCTTATTATTTTGAGGTATGTTATTCAAGCCTAGTTTGTTGAGGATGTTTAACATAAGGTGATGTTGAATTTTATGTAAAGCCTTTTCTGTGTCTGTTGAAATGATCATGTGGTTTTTGTTTTTAGTTCTGTTAATCTAATGAATCACATTTATTGATTTGCACATGTTGAACCAGCCTTGCATCCTAGGGATGAAACCTATTCGATCATGGTGGATTAGCTTTTTGGTGTGCTGCTGGATTCAATTTACTAGTATTTTGTTGAAGATTTTTTACATCTATGTTCATCAAGGATTTGGGCCTGAAGTTTTCTTTTTTGTTGGTATGTCTCTGCCAGGTTTTAGTATGAGGATGATGCTTGTCTCATAGAATGTGTTGGAGAGGAGTTCCTCCTCTCCAATTTTTTGGAATGGTTTCAGTAGGAATGGTACCTACTCTTCGTTATATGTCTAGTAGAATTTGGCTGTGAATCTGTCTGGGCCAGGACATTTCCTTGTTGGTAGGCTTTTAAGTACTGATTCAGTTTTGGAACTTTACTTGTTATTGATCCGTTCACAGTTTCAATTTCTTCCTGGTTCAATATAGGGAGGTTGTATGTTGTTGTTTTTTTTTAATTTATAAGGAAAAGAAATTTATTGGGCTCACAATGCTGCACGCTGTACAGGAAGCATGGCATTGACATCTGCTTCTAGTAAAAACCTCAGGAAGCTTCCACTCGTGGTGGAAGGTGAAGGGGAAGCATATGTGTCACATGGCAAGAGAGAAAGCAACAGAGAGACAGGAGGGATACCCACACTCTTTTAAACAATCAGCTCTTGCATGAACTAATAAAGTGAGAACTTACTCATTAGTGGTAAGATAACACCAAGCCATTCATGAGGGATCCACCCCTATGATCCAAACACCTCCCACCAGGCCCCATTTCCAACATTGAAAATCAAATTTCAACATCAGATTTGGAGAGGAAAAATAGCCCAAATGTATCACCCATTAAATCCAAATGAATAAAATGCCCATTGTAAATATTGCACAGAATTTGCACAGAAGGTATGCTATGGTTTGAATGTTTTTTCCCCTCCAAAACTCATGTTGAAATTTGGTTGCCATTGTGGCGGTGATGGGAGGTGGAAATTTGGGGAGGTGATTAGGCCATAAGGGCTCCACCCTCATGGGTGGGATTAAGGCCATTTATTTTTTATTATTATACTTTCAGTTCTAGGGTACATGTGCACAATGTGCAGGTTTGTTACATATGTATACATGTGCCATGTTGGTGTGCTGCACCCATTAACTCGTCATTTACATTAGGTGTATCTCCTAATGCTATCCCTCTACCCTCCCTCTACCCCAAGACAGGCCCCAGTGTGTGACTTTCCCCACCCTGTGTCCAAGTGTTCTCATTGTTCGATTTCCACCTATGAGTGAGAACATGCGGTGTTTGGTTTTCTGTCCTTGTGATAGTTTGCTCAGAATGATGGTTTCTAGCTTCATCCATGTCCCTACAAAGGACATGAACTCATCCTTTTCTATGGCTGCCTAGTATTCCATGGTGTATATGTGCCACATTTTCTTAATCCAGTCTATCATTGATGGACATTTGGGTTGGTTCCAAGTCTTTGCTATTGTGAATAGTGCCTCAATAAACATACGTGTGCATGTGTCTTTAAAGCAGCAAGATTTATAATCCTTTGGGAATATGCTCAGTAATGGGATGGCTGGGTCAAATGGTATTTCTAGTTCTAGATCCTTGAGGAATCACCATACTGTCTTCCACAATGGTTGAACTAGTTTACAGTCCCACCAACAGTGTAAAAGTGTTCCTATTTCTCCGCATCCTCTCCAGCACCTGTTGTTTCCTGACTTTTTAATGATTGCCTTCTAACTGGTGTGAGATGGTATCTCATTGTGGTTTTGATTTGCATTTCTCTGATGGCCAGTGATGATGAGCATTTTTTCATGTGTCTGTTGGCTGCACAAATGTCTTCTTTTGAGAAGTGTCTGTTCATATCGTTTGCCCACTTTTTGATGGGGTTGTTTGATTTTTTTCTTGTAAATGTGTTTAAGTTCTTTGTAGATTCTGGACATTAGCCCTTTGTCAGATGGGTAGATTGTAAAAATTTTCTCCCATTCTGCAGTTTGTCTGTTCACTCTGATGGTAGTTTCTTTTGCTGTGCAGAAGGTCTTTAGTTTAATTAGATCCCATTTGTCAATTTTGGCTTTTGTTGCCATTGCTTTTGGTGTTTTAGTCATGAAGGAGGTTGTATGTTTTTAGGAATTTATCCATTTCTTGTAGGTTTTCTAATTGATCTACATAGAGGTGTTCATAATAGTCTCTGAGGGTTTTTTTAAATTTCTGTGGACTCCCCCTTTATTTTTGTAATGGCCCCCTTGTTATTTCTGATTGTATTTAGTTGGATCTTCTCTCTCTTTTTTTCTTTTTAGTCTAGTTAGCAGTCTATCAACCTTAATTATTCTTTCTCAAATAAGCAATTCTGGTTTTGTTTTTCTTTTTATGGTTTTTCATGCCTTAATTTCATTTAGTTCAGTTCTGATTTTGTTTATTTCTTGTCCTCTGTTAGCATTGGAGTTGGTTTGCTCTTGTTTTTCTAGTTCCTTTAAGTGTAATGTTATGATGTTAATTTGAGATCTTTCTAACTTTTTGATGTGGGCATTTAACGCTATAAACTCTCATCTTAACACCACTTTAGCTGTGTCCCAGAGATTCTGGGATCTTGTATTTTGGTTTTCATTAGTTTCAAAGAATTTCTTGATTTCTGCTTTAATTTCATCCTTTACCCAAAAGTCATTCAGGAGCAGCTTGTTTAATTTTCATGTAATTCTAGGGTTTCAAATTGTTTTCTTTGTTTTGATTTTTACTTTTATTGCATCGTGGTCCAAGAGTGTGATTGGTATGATTTTGTTTTGCTTTTGCTTTTTTAACTTGCAGAGAATTGTTTTATGACAAATCGTGTGGTTGATTTTAGAGCATGTGCCATGTGCAGATGAAAAGAATGTATACTATGTTGTTTTGGGGCAGAGAATTCTGTAGATGTCCATTAGGTCTATTTGGTCAAGTGTCGAGTTAAGGTTCTGAATATACTTAATAATTTTCTGCCTTGTTGATTTGTTTAACATTGTCAGTGGAGTGTTGAAGTCTTCTACTACTATAGTGTGGTTATCTAAGTCTCTTAATAGGTCTCTAAAAACTTATTTTATGAATCTGAGTGCTTCAGTGTTGGGTGCATATGTATTTAGGATAGTTAAGTCTTCTTATTGAATTGAACCCTTTACTATTATGTAATGCCTTTCTTTGTCTTTTTTGATCATTTTTGGCTTAAAGTCTGTTTTGTCTGAAATTAGCATTCCCGCCTTTTTTGTTTGTTTGTTGTCCATTTCCTTGGTAGATTTTTTTCTCCATTGCTTTACTTTGAGCCTACATGTGTCATTGCATGTGAGATGTGTCTGTTATGGGAACACCAAGGGTTCAGTTTAGGTCCTGCAGCTCACTGCACAGAAAGCCAATCACTGAAACAATGAGTGTTGCCAGGGAAGGAACACTGACCATCTTAAATCCGTCTCTCTGACCAACTAAAATTAGGTGTTTATATAGCAGAAATGTACCAGCAGGAAAACAGGAATTCAGGAATTAAAGAGGGGCAAGGCAGAGGAGTTGGTCATCAGGAAGCAGGTGGTTAGTTAGGCATTCATGATGGATGAGGGGTCTGATGTCTTATTTTCTAGAAGTGGTAATCTAGTAAGTTTCAGTTCCTTGATGCTATCTGGAAGGACTGATAGTTGGTTTCCTGAGAAAGGAATTCAGATAAGACAAATGTAACTTCCTCAAGTTTCAAGCCCCGGGCTAGGGGGATCAATTTATATGTTCTTTCAAAAGAAACTATAACATCAGTTCTATGGGACAATTGGGTTGGTTTCAGGTCTCTTGAAGTCTTGAAGACAGCATGCCATTGAGTCTTGCTTTTTATTGAACTAGCCACTCTGTGCCTTTTAAGTGGGCATTTAGCCCATTTATGTTCAAGATTAGTATTAATATGTGCAGATTTGATCCTGTCATCATGATGTTAGCTTCTTGCCATGCAGACTTGACTGTGTAGTTGCTTCATAGTGTCAATTGTCTATGTACTTAAGTATGTTTTTGTGGTGGCCAGTAATGGTCTTTCTTTTCCATATTTAGCACTCCCTTAAGGACCTCTTGTAAGGCAGGACTAATGATAACAAATTCCTTTAGCATTTGCTTGTCTGAAAAGATCTTATTTCTCCTTCACTTATGAAGCTTAGTTTTGCTAGATAGGAAATCCTTGACTGGAATTTATTTTCTTTAAGAATGCAAATATAGGACCTCAATCTCTTCTGGCTTGTAGAGTTTCTGCTGAAAGGTCCACTGTTAGTCTGATGGGGTACCATTTGTAGATTACCTGCCCCTTCTCTCTAGCTGCCTTTAAAAGTTTTTCTTTTGTGTTGACCTTGGAAAATGTGATGATGATGTGTCTTGAGGATAGTTGTCTTGTATAGAATCTCACAGGGGATATCTGCATGTCCTGATTTTGAATGCTGGCCTGTCTAGTGAGGTTGGGGAAATTTTCATGGGCAATAGACTCAAATATATTTTCCAAATTGCTTTCTTTTTCTCCCTCTCTTTCAGGGACACCAATGAATCGTAGATATGGTCTCCTTAAATAATTCCATATTTCTTGGGAGTTTTGTTTATTCTTTTTTATTTTTATTTTCTTTGGTTTTGTCTGACTGAGTTGATTTGAAGAACTAGTGTTTGATCTCTGAGATTCTTTCCACATCTAGTCTGTCATTAATACTTGTGATTTTATTATGAGATTCTTGCAGTGAGTTTTTCAACTCCATCAGTTTAGTTTGGTTCTTTCTTAAAATGGTTATTTCATCTTTCATCTCTTGTATTGTTTTATTGGATTCCTTAGATTCGTTGGATTGGGTTTTGACTTTCTCCCAAATCTTGATGATTTTTGTTCATATTGAGATTCTGAATTCTATGCCTGTCATTTCTGAATTCTGTGCCATTTCAGCCTGGTTAAGAACCAATTCTGGGGCACTAGTGTGGTTGTTTGGAGGAAAGAAGGCACTCTGGCTTTTTGAGATGCCTGTTTTTGTGCTGGTTCTTTCTCATCTGTGTGGGCTGATGTTCCTTTGATCTTTGAAGTTGCTGTCCTTTGGATGGAGTTTTTGCTGAGTCTGTCCTGCAGACCCTGGCCGATGGATGAAATGAGTATTCAGACATGGGTATACAGTGTAAGAGCAGCTAGGTGACTGCCTGGCTCTAGTGGCCAGAGAGCAGCCATGAGAAGCTGGAGCTGCTTGCTTTTATTCAGTGCAGGCACAATGCCAAAAACCTGGAGCCAACACAACCTGTAGGTAATTAACATTTATTGTTCGCCCTTCAGGGAATGTCAGGCGTGTGGATGATCAAAGGTCAGTTCCTGGTCAACATAAGTAAACAAGCCTGTTGAAGATAAATTCCCCTACACTCCCTTGTACCTACTCCTTGCCCTCTGCCTCAGGGTTATAGAACAGCTGCCTTCAGCTATTCTCTCCTGGAGCTTTGCAGAGCCTTCTGACCTTTCAGAAGGCCTACTCCTTTTCCTATAGTTTCTCCCTCCACTCTGACGGATCTCCTACAGTTTTTTGCTTTTATAGTCTTTGATGCCATTGGGGATTTGTTTGTGGTATAAGGTGGGTTCAGTCAACTGGGCTTCGTTTCTGGAAGATTTCAAGGGGCCAAGGGTCAGCTCATCACTCATGAGTTTCTTGCTGTAGACCTGTGGGCTTGCACTGAACTGCTGGCTTTATTGTTTGGCCCCTGAAGGTTAGAAACCTGCTGCACTGTGGGGACCAAGGTGTTCCCAGTCTGCTGGCAACAACACTCCAATAGGTGATGCTGGACACTGTTTGGTCTGTGCTCTTGCACTTGTGGTCAAGTGATTTTTGAATAAAATACTTTGGTTGTGTTTCTCCAGGAGGTTGTATAAGGACAAAAAAACAGATAGAAAATCTTAGGCTTTCCTTGGTGGGTTTGTCATTGGTAGTGATACAGATACTATAAATACAAAAGTATCTTTATACTGTAAAAAAAGCAAATGAGTAAATATATTGACATTGCTGGGAGACAGTGTTTTCATAGTGAGGACAGATTGATAGAAATATGGAGAAGAAAAAAATGAAAAGGAACCTTCTCGTATTGTATTGAAATTAATGATATCAAGCCATAGTTTAAAATACACACACACACACACACACACACACACACACACACACACACATTTTCTAACTCTGTTCACTCGAAGGGTCTATAATCTAGAAGCAGTGATACTCTAATAGGAATAAACATCCTTCTGCTCATTAACATTTCTCCACTAAAGGAACTACAGATTCTTAGAGAAATGGCAGATTCCAGATTTGCACAAGGGAATGTATAAGGCAAGTTTGGGACACTTTGTGCCAGAATTCAAAGGATTGCTTGTTGATTAAAACAGACATTTGAAAAGGACAGGGAAGCTAACTTAAAGGCTACCCCACTGGCAATATTTGGGACAAGTTGAATATCAAAAGGAACAAGGATAGTTATGTTTTATAACATGCTGGATTTTTTTAAAAAGCCAGGAATCAATAGTGATTAAAACATAAATAAGTAATTCATGTGGAAGCAAGAGAGACAGTGAAGAAAAAGAAAAAGCTCTTCTTTACAGATGAATGCCAGCTAATAAATCTGGAAGGAATGGTAGAATTAGAAAATGGCCATTTTGCAAATCCCAATGTAAACTAATTAAATCAGACAAAGATCCTCAGTGGTTCTTAAACCACTGGGGAAAAGGTTGTTGAGGATAGATATTCATGTGTTCTCAAAGTGTTACCCTAAAATTACTTATCACTTATAATGTATAATTACAGGAGTGAGATTTAGAGATTACCAACCACGTTATCAAACTTGACAACACTAAAAGTGGAACATACTATTGTCTCCCAGTGGGATACAATAGAAACTATGCAACATCACTCATGTAATATCCTCGTTAAAAGTGCAGAATCTGAGTCTAATCAAGAGTGAGCAATCAGACATCTTGATAGATATTTTCAAATTTTCCTCCAAAATGGTTACTTCAATTTAAACTTTCAAAATTTTACCTATTCTTTTACTATTGTCTTTGACCTCTATGTTATTTTTTACCTATATAAAGCTTCACAGTTTTTAGTCATAGTTATCAATCTTTTACTTTCTGGCTTCTATGAAAGAAATAATTCCAGGTTCTTTATTAATCTGAGGACAGTAACGAGGTGAGAACATTTTTACTAAATTCTGTAGCATCCAGATTAGTCTGTCATGTAACTGTGAACACCCAATGTTCTATTTGACTCTAAATTTGCACTGGTTCCATGCACATTAACCAATATTTTCTTCTTCCATTTTAATCATGCCTACTCTTTATTTCTCATGTTTATCCCATACCTACAGTAAATCTCTTCCTAATGTCTGCTTACATGAAAGATGCTGAGGAAGAAACAAACATGAAAGAGACCCAGTTTCTGCTCTCAGTTTACAGAGGAGAGGAGATGAAATGTGATTATAGGCATGGTCAATGCTGAAAGAAAGGCAAGAAAAAATGTCACAAGATTTCAGAGGAGAGATGACATCCAGCTGACAAGATTAGGAAATGCTTTGGGGAAACAGAGGTATTTAATTTGGGTCTCTAATTCTAGGTAAGATTTGTATGTATGAAAAGTGGGATAGAGAAACAGCAGGCACAAAGACAGAGAAGGGAAACAGAGTATGTAAAAGAAACAGCTAGAAGCTCAGTTGGCCTGAAGTGTAAGGCTGCACATATAAGAGCACACGCAAGGGCAGGAGCCTTGGACCCCGGTCATTTAGTCATTAAAACTTTTTAAAAGAATGTATACGACCGGGCGCAGTGGCTCACACCTGTAATCCCAGCACTTTGGGAGGCTTGAGTGGGTGGATCACTTGAGGTCAGGTGTTCAAGACCAGCTTGGCCAAAATGGTGAAACCCTGTCTCTACTAAACATATAAAAATTAGCTGAGTGAGATGGTGCCTGACTGTAATCCCAGCTACAGGGAGGCTGAGGCACAAGAATGGCTTGACCCAGGAGGCAGAGGCTGCAGTGAGCCAAGATTGCACCACCACTGCATGCCAGCCTGGGTAACACAGCAAGACCTTATCTCAGGAAAAAAAAAATGTGTATAGCCATAGCAAAAAAGGAAATGCTGGGTATTGTGCAGTGTGGAGTTTTTGGAGTATAATACCATTCCAATGTTTGTCAATTCTGCTTATGGGTTTTTGTTGTTGTTATTGTTCTTATAAATCTTTTCCTCTCCATTCTTACAGTGTCCTGTTTGTCCTCAATTTTCTCAATTTAAAAATACTGGATTAGGAATTCCTGCATTTTCTTGACCTAACGAGCAATTTGGCTATGTCCAAATTGCAGGCTGCCATTTATTGCCCTATTTTACTAAGAGTTAGTAGTGAAACTGTCTTAAAACACACTGTCGAGCAGCTCTCAACTATCTCTGAAGTGACACTTAGTCTCCTGGGCTTAAAGGCGAGCAATGACATGGTCCTTCTGCCTCTGGCTTTTGGGGCAGCCTGCGACCCTTGAAAAGGTTTCCAGTTATTTGGAGGGATGTGTAATTCTCTCAATCTAGAAGGCCAGATTTCCCCTTTGCCCGAGCACTGGAAACAAACAATTGGCTAATGTGACAGCCTCCTCACTCATCCTAGAAGTAATTGTATCAATTTGACTTTGTGGCCTGGAGGTGGGGGATGTGAGAGTCTAATAGGATTTAAACTCCAATTCTTTTCAGCTGCTGGCTAGGATTGGTGAATGGAGATAAATAGAACCCCTTTGCTATTTTTATAAATTCCAGCTTTGATGTAGGCTTAGATTTGAAACATCTGAAATTTCTCCAGAGATGACATATAAAAACTACAGGGAAAAGGTACAGAAAACCTACCTTGAGTTAAAGAGTTTGTCTCTGTTTCTCTTCTAGACAGTGTTTGGGGAAATGATCTCTATACGGTTTTATTATTACTGATCACTCTGTACTCCTTCTTGAGCATTTGTCAACAAATTGCTCCAATAAAAGTACTTGTAATAAATTTCACGTGTTCTGTGGGTTCATTGCCTTGTAGGTACAATTCTTCTCAGATATATTGCAGTTTGGTGGTTCAATGACTTTGTAATTTAAACTGTAACTTATAGAAGGAAGGAAACTGACTTATCTTCTGAAAGTAATGACTTAAAGCTACTATATTCTGAAGACCTGAGAGTTTCATGGCTCTGTTGTTTCTGTCTTGTTTGTGTGTTCATTAGAGTGTGCTCAAACTGGAGAGGGGATAATTGAGTCTGAGAACTGTCTCAAATCAGGAACTTTTGAAGCAACTGTGCTTATTTATGTTAGAGAAGAAAAAACAGGAGACACATGCTAACATTATTCAGATACTGCAAGTAAATATCATTAAGAGGAAATAGACTTTGATGGTATTTCCAGTAGGGCTAACCAGTAAGCACTGGAGGTAAGTTACATGGGGGCAGATTTGAATTTAATAGAAAAATGTATTTTCTATCACTATCCAACAATGGAACAAATTGGCCAATGCTAAAAATATAGGCTGGGTAACTTTTGAGGTTATAATTACTCTCCAACATCATTGTCAATTTTAAGTCAATTCATTCATTGACTCATTCCTGATTCATTCATTCAATTATTAATTACCTTAAGGATTTATTAGGAACCAGTGTGTGTAAAAACAATAATGAATGACAACAGATGTGGCCCCAGGATGTGGACTGTGACTCCCTCACAGTCTGGTAGGGAGAGAAACAATGACCGAATAATCAAGCAATGAGTGCATGATATTAAACTTGGGTAAATGTCACAAAGTGAAGGAATGTGGTCCTATGACAGCACATGCTGGCCGGGCGCGGTGGCTCACGCCTGTAATCCCAACACTTTGGGAGTCCGAGGTGGGCAGATCACCTGAGGTCAGGAGTTCGAGACCATCCTGGCCAACATGGTGAAACCTCATCTCTACTAAAAATACAAAAAATTAGCCGGGTGTGGTGGTGCATGCCTGTAATCCCAGCTACTTGGGTGGCTGAGGCAAGAGAATCCCTTGAACTCAGGAGGCACAGGTTGCAGTGAGCCGAGATCACACCACTGCACTCCAGCCTGGGCAACAGAGGGAGACTCTATCTCAAAAATAAAATAAAATAAAAAAGAGCACATGTCAAAGAAACCTTCCTAAACCTAGTGGTGGTGTGCTGGGTGATGTGAAGAGAGCTTTCCTGCTGATGCGATGCTGCAGTAGAAAGTTGGAAGATGAGTAAGAGTGAATCTGGTGTGGTGGGAAGGGAGACAAGGAGAGAAAGGGAAGAAGAGGTTTCCAAGCAGCCTATCAGCAGCGTTTTGGAATCATGGTGTGAGTTTCCCAGTCTTTCCTTGAAGTAAGAATGACCTTAGGCTCTTGTTAAGTATACCAGTTTTGAGGGCCTTCCTCTGAAAGTATATCCAGTGGGCTTGGAAATGTTATCAAACAACTTGAGTGATTTGATTCTTTAATTTATCCAATAACTTGAGTGATTGTTATCAACATAAAGGTTTCAGATGGGACATTAGCGGAATTAGAAGAAGCCCATTGTGATGGAAGCACAAAGGTTGTGGGTTGTGGGGTGAGAGGCAGGCTGTGGTCAGTGCATTTGTTTTTATCCTGAGAACATAGTAGGTTTGTAGAATTGGTAACTAAAAATTGAGGGAATTCTTTCTTACCACTTCCATTTTCCCTGTGAATGAAGAAACAAAAATGGTTATCCGTATATAGTAGGAGAGGCTGAGCAGACATCATCACAGTTTTGAGGAAAATGGAGAAATGAGAGAGCCAGTTGGCCAGGAAAAACTAGTAGGACTGATGTGCAGAGTTGACGGCTCACTTGAGGTTAGGGATTATGGATTTATAGAGGTAACAATTTCCTCTGCAATTGTTTCTCCCCAGCAATTATCAAACTCTTAAGTTTAACTAGAGAGAAAGCCCTATTGCAGGATTGACCCAGGTTAGATGTGATAAAATACAAAGGCATAAAGAAGTTTGGGGTATGGACAAGAGTGATTTTGAAATGACGGATTATAGCTTGTAAGTTGGATAAGGAGAAAAGTAAAGAAAGGAACAGGCTGAAAGATTGCTTAACACACACGGATCCGTAGACCAGAGGCTCTGATGAGACCGAAGAGGAAACAGTTTAAAGCAATCAGTAGAGAGGCAACATTGTGGTTGATGGGTAATATGCTTGGATTTATTATTTTAAGATAGAACATTTTTACATAATATTGATGTCTACAATATTACGGTGTCCAGGTGGGTTTCCTGGGGTTGAGTGGAGGAAAAGTTATTGGAAAAGAGACAGCTAAATAAATTAGACAGAAAATCATCTCATCCCTACTACTGCGATTTCGGGGAATCATGGCTGGAGAAGGAGATTTTGTTCCAATGCATGACCTGTTGTTTTCTTCCACCCTGATAGTCAATGTGAGGGTGGTTGCAGGTCAGGGATTTAAGTAGGATGCTAAGACTGGTGTAGGTTATCACAAAGTACATACAACTTAGGGGTCAGGACAGTAACACATCAGGCTGGGGAGACAACAGAAGCCAGGAGGGCACAATTACTAGAAAACAAAACACGGCAAGTGGCCAGAAGTTGATGGAAATGGTGAGAAGCTGGAAGAGCTATATACTGAGAGGAAAGAAAAAGAAAAACTTTTGAAAAATAAGAAAGCCAAGCAAAACTGGGAATTAAGACAATGACAAGATAGACAGGTGGGCAGATAGAACACACCTACAGTGAAGGAGTCACCTTGCTTTGGTTCAACCTAAGCTGTGTTATTTCCTTGTGACCCTGATGAAAACTGATCTAGATCAAGCCTGGCCTGCACGTAGCAGTCAGTGAAAACAGCTAATGGATAGGAAAATGTCTGGTTGAAAGGAATGCTTGAAAACATGTTGTCCTTTGTCATTGAAGATGGCCCTGTTATACTTCAGACTCTATATTGGGATTTGCAGCCAAAAAGAAGAATTTCTTCCTATCTTCCCTTCCCTGATGGTAGCTTATTAGCCCATAGAATTACTGGAAAATAGAACTGTAATGCTTGGAAGTCCAGAAATAACATCTCTTCAAGGATCCGTCAGGTGAGGGCTGAAAACCAAATAAATATACGTATTCTCTCTTGCACAAAACCAGTACATCTGAAGCTAGAAAGCTACAAGCAGTTTAGGATCTCAAGAAAAATATGGTGAAACAGCTTAAGAAATACTGGATTTTGACCCAGGCAAGAAGGTAATGGTGCTCCAGAAGGCCTTGCTGTTGCCCTGTTCTGGCTGTGGCTCACATTATAGGCTGAAGAGTCCCTGGAGCCAACTAGGTGGGCCCAAGCAGAGGTGTATCCCTCTTCTAGACCATGCTTTGATATCTAAGACCCTGGAATCCCCTTTCTAAATGGTCTGACCCTACCTTTAGAGCCTGAGTGGGTCTGTTACCTCTATTATCGCTACTAAGGACAAGATGGCGCCACTGGTGGGTATATCCTAGGCTGAGTGGTGACTAAGAAGTGGCTGTTGGTGGAGGCCATGGCTGGAACTTGTACACGCAGCCTGGGTGTCCACATACATACAAGTATGAAAAGGAATAGGGGGTGGGAAAAGAAGGGAAGATTGTCAAAGGCCTCAGGCTAGGATCCACAAACCAGCTATCTGCACTGCCATGATCTGACTCAACTCTGAGGTGTCAAGGATTCTAAACTCAGATCTGGCCTTTCAGGCTTTATGAAATTCTATTTGTCAAGGTAGAAGGGTAGAACCTATTTTATTTAGCAGTCTATTCACTTGATTTATAACTTTTAAATATTTAGACGTATGGTACGTGATCCTCCATTTGTAAATTTGCCTAGGCCCCAAATATTTGGGACAGGCCTGGGCTTCTGTTCACAAGTTATTCTAAATTCATCTAGTCCTTCATTGTAGCACTGTCTTGTGCCTATTAGTTCATGTGTGTATCTTTCCTTTTAGACATTTTGCTCTTTAAAGCATGCCCTATTTATTTTTAAATTCCCCAGTGCATAGCTGATTGCCTCTTTACGTATAATAAGCACTCAATAAATATTTGCTGAATCAGCAAAAAGACTATGCAGTCATGAAATTTCTCTGGCTGAGGCAATGCTCTGATAAGCCTTTCTCTGTTTCTAAAATCCCAAGGTCTCCTCCTCTTGCTTAGTCCCTCTAAATTTTATATACATATATATATTCCCTCCACAAAGCTTACTTCCCTTTTCCATTACATGTGAATGTGAGAGGCAGAGAAAAATGAATTCCTAACAGGTGGCATCAGAATTCCTTTTAGCAAGAGAAAAAGGAATTTCAGACAAATTCTTTTGTCTAAAAAAATACCATGAAAATCCTGGTTTACTTGAGAAAATGTATGGGACCCTAGGCTGGCTGAAGTAAAGACATTACAGGGAAAGGAAGATTAATTTTGCATAAAAGATGAAGCATTTGGCATTCAGGAGGACAATCTGTTAGGAAGGAGGAAGAGAAGAGAGGAGCCAGCCAGATGGAAGACTCAAGATGACATGACCCATCTTTGTGACCACCTCCACCCATCCAAGTAAAGACTGCTAAGTTCCCAAGTCATGTTTAATGTGTTTGTTTTTCCCTGGAAACTGAAGAAGAAAGAAATGCATTCTACATTGGAATTACATGGTGTAGAACAGAGGTAGCATGTGAGAATGCAGAACCCCAGAGATTAAGATTTTCTCTGAGAATGAATTGTCAGCTTTCTGGAAAATTTGTAGAACTCTCAAGCCAGTCTTATGCAGGTTGTATGGCAGCTAATGCCATTGAGCTTCCCATTCTTCCCCCTTCAGTAGAAAGCCCCCTTCCCTCACATGCCTTGTGAAAGATGGCTATAAATGCTGCTCTCCCCACCTTCCAGTGAAAATGGCTCCGAGTTTGCAAGGAGGATTCAAGTCAGATTTATTTCATCTCAGTGAACACTACTTTCTACCTAGATTTCTTTTTCATCTATGAGTGCTTTTAATTAATTAATTTATTTTTTTGAGATGGAGTTTCGCTCTTGTTGCCCAGGCTGGAGTGCAGTGGTGTGATCTCGGCTTACTGAAACCTCTGCCTCCTGAGTTCAAGCAATTCTCCTGCCTCAGCCTCTGAGTAGCTGGGATTACAGGCATCCGCCACCACGCCCGGCTAATTTTTTGTATTATTAGTAGAGACGGGGTTTCACCATGTTGGCCACGCTGGTGTTGACCTCCTGACTTCAGGTGATCCACCTGCCTTGGCCTCCCAAAGTGCTGGGATTACAGGCATGAACCACCACGCCCAGCCGAGTGCTTTTTACTTACCAAAATAATACATGTAATAAGAAAATTTTAGTATAAAAATTTATAAAGTCAGTGAATTAAAATATACATATAAGAATAAACACATTGCTAGTTACTTTATCACTGTACTTTAGGGTTCTTTGTTTGGAAGCAACAGAAATCTACTCTGGGTGACTTAGAAAAATTATTTACTTGAAAAAATGGTAAGGAATCAGATCTGCATGTAGAGGACATGAAGGAATGCCCATTGAGGCACTAATGCATATTTCTTCCCTAAGGAAGAATTGAAGCGAAGGTTGGAGAGTGAGGTAAGGATCTTTGGAGAGGACAAGAATCAGAGCACTTCTGGACTTTGCAGTAGCAGGAAACCATGGAGTATCTTTAGGGCTCTGACACAAGCATACATCAGTTCTTCCCCTTTTCAAACTCCCAGGAAGGCGTCAGCTTTGCTTAGCTCAGGTGATGAGTCTGCCTTTTGGCCAGGGCACCTTCATTAACAAAGGGGAGATCTGGATTCTAGGCAAAACACATTTCCATTACCAGAAGCTGAAAGAATGGATTTGTGAAACAAAACTTTAGGTGTTCATTATAATTTTTCACATGTCACTACGTCATGGACAGTCATTTACGGCAGCACATACAGATCTAACCTTCTAAAAAGTGCAGTAATTTCTTGGCATGTGTGTCAAAACCTTTCTTTTATTTTTTAGTTTGAGTGTTAATGGACAAATAATAATTGTATATATTTATGGGGTACAATGTGATGTTTTGAAACATATATGTATCAACCGTAAAAGGATCATGTCAGGCTAATTAGCATACTCATCGCTTCTAATATTTATCATTTCTTTGTGATAAAAATATTTAAAATTATCCCTTTTAGCTAGTTTGAAACATACAATACATTATTATTAACTATGGCTACATTGCTGTTCAATAAAACACCAGAACTTGTTCCTCTTGTCTAACTGAAACTTTGTACCCATTGACCAATATCTCCCTTCTCCCCCACCCCATCTCTCCTCCATCTGCCTTCTCCTTAGCCTCTGGTAGCCACCATTCTACTCCCTCCTTTTATGAGTTCAACTTTTTTAGATTCCACATATAAGTGAGATCATATGGCATTTGTCTCTCTGTGCTTGGCTTATTTCACTTAACATAATGCCCTCCAAGTTCATTCACGTTGTTGCCAATGACAGAATTTCCTGTTTTTCTAAAGGCTGAATAGTATTCCATTGGGTATACATACGCCACATTTAAAAAATAATTTATTGACAGACACTTAGGCTGTTTCCCTATCTTGGCTATTGTGAGTAATGCTGCAGTGAATGTGGGAATGTGCACATCAAACTATTTCAATTCCTTTGGGTTTATACCCAGTAATAGGACTGTTGGATCATATGGTAATTCTATGTTTAGTTTCTCAAGGAAAACCTTTCTGAACAGGGACCATTATCTTGGACCTTCTTCACATGTGATCAGACTAGGTGGTATTAAACTACAGGGCTTTTAGTTAGCCCTTTGTTTTCACACACTTTGCTGACCTCAGAACCTCTATCCCAGCCCACACTGCTTAAAGAGCATCGAAAACTAATCCCGTCCTGACATTCTGATTTGGAGACAACCTCCTGGAATAAAAATCAGTTTGCATCTGGGGGCAGGGACTGTCGATTTTAAATTCCAGGTAGAGTTACAGAGAACTCAATTAGCAAACTTGCAGAGGCTGGTCATTTCCATAATAATAGCTCTCATTTATTAAGCCCCTATCGTCTGCTTGGTACATTACCTACTTTATCTCTACTCCTTATTGCAACTCTAGGAGTCAGGTGCTGCTAGCCGTTAGGGACTCAGAAATCGAGGCACAGCAAATGTTAACCACTTGGCTGAGGTCACAGAAAAGCTGCACTGGGATTTGAAATCAGGTTCATTTGACCCTAAACCCTTGGCTGTTCCCATGCTGCCATGCAGCTGCTCTTAACCTACATTCAGCAGCTCTACCCATGCCTCTTTCTCCAGCTTCCTCTTGTGTTTGTGTAGATATCTACCTCTAGCCATACACTGGAAACTCTGAAAGTACAGACTGTTTTTCAATTATCATCATGTACCCCATCATTGTGCTTTACACAAAGCAGATATTCTTTTTCTCTCATGGTCTGTCATATTCTCTCTCTGTACACACTCTCACATGTACACTCATACATGTGCACACACACCTATCTATGGGGAGAGTGAGTTTTTTCAGATGATATAAATGGCTGTTGAGTCTTTCCATTTTCTTATAGATAATTTCTAAAGTTAAATACCTAGCAATACCCTTCGTGTAGCAACTGCCTAAATAAAAGTGTTGAAAACCTGAATGGCCCCTCTCTAAAATGCGCAGGGAATAAAAACTTTAAAATCTCTAGAGCAACATCAAATGTTCCCTCAATAATTGACTCAACTTTGCTTAGGCTCAGAGGTAGACAAATGAGGCTAAATAGTCTTTAAAGATAAACATTTATGAGTACAAAGTGGATTTCAAGAAGTCAATAATAGTTGGCTTCTAGAAATAGTTTGAAATCGTTGTTTTGTTTTGTTTTTTGTAAGATACAAAGTTTGCAAAGGCGATGAAAAATCAGAATTGAGGAAATTTTGGGGGCAAAAAGCAGACCCCAAATTACTGATAGTAAGAATAAGGGGATCTGGATGTGAGGGGGAAAAATGGGAAAGAGGGAGTCCGAATTATCCAACTTTTCTCCCCTAACCATTAGAGTTTATTGGTAAAAGTAGGCCATTGATAAATCCTATAGAAATAATTCTGTATCATTAATCCAAAGGGCAATTGGTTGAATTGCCTTTATCTAATTTTGAGTTTATATATGTACTTATAAAATATATTTTTTAAAAAACCTGCAAGTAAATGTGTGGTTTTCCTGATTTATTGGAATGAAGATACTTTCTCTTAACTTCTAAAGATAGCTCTCAAACTGTCCTATGTATAAGGATTAGCTGGATAATTTCTTCAAATTGCAGATTCCTAGGCCACCCCTACCCTGCCAAAAATCAAAGTTACTTAGATTGTGGTTTAATCCTGGACTCTGCACTTTGAAAATAATCTTAGGTGATTCAGATGCAGGATCCTAAAACTGTACTTCAATAAATATTGGTTTATGTAATAGTGTTAATAATGTGATTAATGAAATAGCAGATACAAAGTACCTTTATAACAAATTAATGGCCTAAGATTCATTTTTCATCTTTATAATGTATGATTATTAGATGTACTATATTCATGAATATTTAGAAAGGAGCAGAAGTCTCAGTACCATGTGGTTATAGCTATCAGGGAGGAGTGTATGGAACTTAGAACATAGTTTGAATGGGTATGAAGAACCAATCAGAGTTGGGATGGTTAGAGAGCTGTGGCCCACCTCACCTTAAAGGCAGAGAAGGGGGACTCCAATGACTGTGTGTGTGTGTGTGTGTGTGTGTGTGTGTATCTTTTTTAATCTCTTTCACATTTGCACTCAATGTTGACATAGTAAAATGACAACTCACTCACTATCACAAGAATAGCACCGAAGAGATGGTGCCAACCCATTCATGAGAACTCCACCCCCGTGATCCAATCACTTCCCACTAGACCCCACCTCCAACACTGGGGATTACAATTTGACATGAGATTTGGTGGGGACACAGACCCAGACCATATCAGAGTCTGCATAGGAGGATCTTTCCTGCTCAGGAAGATGGTCAAACCTCATAGAGGTAGTTTCAAACCACAGGACAATTTCTGTGTCTTCACAGAGAAGAAAGCACTGTTAATTCCTGTGAGTTTTATTAAAGTTACAATGGATTGATTGACTTATGGAATCATAAGTAAAACCTCTTTATGTGTCCTTTTCAAAAGGAATCTCTAACTGGTAGGAATATTCCTTAACTTTAGCATAGTTTTAACAATAAATTCACTGTAGACATAAATCACTACAAATCTAATGTAACCTTCTAAGCTACTAATTTATTTTTTGAACGCTTCAGTTTTTTCAAAAAAACATTTAATACTAATATACTGTGTAATTTAAAGTAAATAATTTTAAGTTAGTTAAAACAGGTTCGGATTTAGTTCAAGGTATATAAAACCAATGAGCTATACAACAGAAATCAGTTGATCTGTTGATTCAGCATGGTTCAAACTGGTTTTAAGCCAAAAAATTAGTCCAACTCAAAGTGAAAAACAGATTCAAACCAGTTCCTTTTAACCTGCTTATGTTTTACCTCCCACAGCCTTTTCATCCAGTAACCTCACCGTAAATCTCGCCATCATTAGAAGCTGCATTGTCCCTGACATTTTCATTTCAGGCAACCCATTCTTGAGCCACCACAACTTACTCTTCCAGATGCTTCCATATTTTCTTAACTGTAACAGTTCTTGCCTCATTACCTCTGCTCCATAACTCCATGCCTTTTTCACCATCCATCCTCCTGATGTCTCTATTTTCCTCTTCATCCAACTTAGATTCCACTTACAATCCATTATAGCCACTTCCTTGAAAATACCTCAGCTTACTTCTCACTCCCTTCCTGTGCACTGTGTTTGTAGAGCAAAACCAAACCGTGGTCAAACCCAACTGTTCACTTTTTCCATGCCTATCCTGGAGAAGCAGAACATTTGGGCTGGGAGTTGTGACGGGAGTGTGGTTGGAATCACAATATAGCCGACTAACTTCATTTGAAATCCATGACTAGAAACCCGAAAAGGCCATTGTCTGGCAATCCTGCTACAGTGCCTTCCTGAGTATGGCAGGTTTACTGAATGGGCTTCTCTCCTTAGGGAAGAAGCAGGGAATATCTTCACTTTTCTCCAGCCACTGCTTTCCCATCCAGTGACTGGGAGTTTTCTCTCTCACTTGCTGATGGCATCACAAGCTTAGTCCCTGTTTTCTGACCTCTTTCAGCCATAAACAGACATATCTCTGGTAAAAGGAAAAAAGTGTAGTCCAGTGTAAATTACAACTTGATTTTATCATTTCATTCAAATTTTTTCCCACCACTTAGCTCAGGACTGACCTATGTAAGGGAGAACAGCAGTCTTTATTTTCAATACCTCTTCACCTTGTTCTTCCATTCCTCTTGTTCCTCCTCCCCTTACCCTCTTGTTGCTTCTGGCCTCTGGAGGATCAGGATCAGGAAAAAATGAACAAACTGAAAATGGAGAAAGACTTTTTACTTAGCTAAGATTAATGGAAGTTCTCTCTTGCCTGTCAACTACTCTCCATCAGGGCCAGGTCAGGTATTCTAACACTGACTCTTCTGTGGAGGTCTTTAGTAACCCCTCCTCCCCCAGCAGGAAGGAACATCTACTCATTTAGAGTTAACAAACTCATGTGACCCTCCACCTTATTTCTGCACCTCCACTCCCACGACAAGAGGTACATCAACAGTCTTTTAAGTCTGTAGTTATAGTCCCCTTAGCCTTAAAGGCAAAGAATTCTTTGAGCGAATATGGTATAACAAAATTCAGATTTGATTTCCCTCTCTAGCAACCACTTGTGTCTTAAACACCTTTGGTCTCCTAAATCAACACATCTTAGGATGATTCCACTGCTTTCATGCTCTGTCATCATGAGCAGCTAGAAGCGGAAAGCAAATGCCTGCAACTGTACATTGTTTGTTGTTTGTTGTTTTTGAGAGGCTCTCTACTGGGTCTCCTGGGACTTTCTACAAAGTATACTTTCTACTGTCTACGGAAGGTAGTAAAATAAATTATACAGAACTCCATCATTTTCTCTAAGTTCTCTTTCTAACAATCCTTCTTCATGAATTCTTAGTCTTTCTTACATAAGCTATGGAATGTGATGTTTACTGGGCCATTTTTCTACCCTTTGGTAGATCCTTCACAGAAGTATCTAGTAGACTTTTCAGTTTCTCTCAGGTTTTGGCCTTTAACTGAAATTCGGACATAATAGGAAATATTCCATTCAACATCTTTTTATATCTGTAATTTATTTTCTTTCATCTTTGCGATGACTATTTTATGCCTTTTCCTCTCATTTTATACATTAATTTTCTTTCATTCCCTTTTAGCCATTGACTTTGTCTCACATTTTGTTGAAAGAATAAATACCATGATAAGGAAACTAAATAGACAAATATAGCCATGTTCTCTAGTTTCCTTTTTGTTACCAGGAAAAGGTGTCCTTTTCAACTGGTGTTTACAGTGGAAAAATTTCTAAAGTTATAAAACTGGAGGGAAAGAGAATTTGCAAAATTTGTTTTGAGAGAAAAGAATTAGAGTCACAACACAGGAGAAGATAACTGGGTCATGAAACATGGTGCTATGGTTTTGATCTGGTTCCTTTGACCCCACCATGTCTCATGTTGAAATCTGATTCGCAATATTGGAGGTGCGGCCTAATGGGAGGGGTTGGGTCATGAGTGTGGATCCCTCATGAGTAGATGAATGCCGTCCCTGGGGGGCGAGTGTGGGGGTGGTGAGTGAGTTTTCACTCTTAGTTCCCAAGAGAGTTCCCTAGAGAGCTGGTTGTTAAAAAGAGCCTGGTACCTTTCCCTTCTCTCTTGCTTTCTCTCACCATGTGATCCCTGCACACACCGGCTGCTCTTCCCCCCTTGCCATGAGTGGAAAAAGTCTAAGGCCCTCACCAGATTCAGATGCTGGTGCCGTGCTTCTTATACAGCCTGCAGAACCATAAGACAATAAACCTATTCTTTTAAAAAATAAATTACCCAGCCTCAGATGTTCCTTTGTAGCAACGCTAACAAATTATACCTGGCCACCAAAATTTAGGGGACCCAGCAATTTAAATAAAAAATTTAAAAAATACTCTTCTATTTTTATTGGATGAAATTACATATAGCCTTATTTGATTTATTTTTATAAACATTAACACAGGCATATGTTTATTGGTATCAAAAAGTCCAGAAGGACTTTTATCTGTTGTTATGCTTTGAGAGCAAATAACAGAAGTTCCCAACGCAACTAGTTGGTACAAAAAGGAAAATTTATTATCTCACATTCAAGACATGTTAAGTTGAGAATTTAATGTATTTAATTGCTAATTCAATGACATCATCGAAATCTCAGGTTCTTTTTTTGTTCTGCCATTCTGTGAATATTGCTCTTTTCCTCAGTCTAGCTTCTTCTTTGTCACAAGAGAGTTATATCTGTCCAGATATCAAATTCAGACATATCAATTTTGAGAGAAAGAAGAGTGAAGCTGCCTCTCAATAATCCCTCCTTCACATCTCATTGGTCATCCTCTAATCCAGTCACTGGTTAGAAGTATAGGATTACCTTGATTTAATAGGCTAATCAGGATTTGCTCTTTGGTTGGAGATGGGATCACTTTCTCTCAGGAGTAGAAATCTGGATTCTGTTAGCAAGGAAAGAGGGAAAAATGGAACTGCTGCAGGCTTTTAATGAATATCAGCAACAGTGTCAGAGTCCCTCATTTCCTCCTCCATTCCTGCACATCATTCAGAAAATTTATTCTTTCAGCAAATATTTATTGAGCATATACAGTCAGCCAACCACTGTTCTAGGCATTGGGGGCACAGTAGTAAACTTCTTCCATTTTTATTTCTTTTGGGGTTATTCCCATATGTCTAAATTATATGTTTATGGTGCAGCTTCTTGAAATATCAAAATTAGACAGTGTTCATTGACTTCCTGCCATGAATCATGAGGATATGAGGATTTAGTTGTTTTATATCACTACTCATCTCCCCTACCTCTCTTCGTATTTATGTAATCCATCTATAAAACTTTAAAAAGGATTTTAAAATCTGTTTCTTCTTTAATAAACTGCAATCTACCTGTATTGGTCAGTTCTTACACTGCTATGAAGAAATTACCCGAGACTGGGTAATTTATAAAGGAAAGAGGTTTAATTGACTCACACTTCCACATAGTTGGGGACACCTCAGGAAACTTACAATCATAGCGGAAGGCAAAGAAGAAGCAGGCACCTTCTTTACAGGGTGGCAGGACAGAGTGAGTACAAGCAGGGGAAATGCCAGATGCCTATAAAACCACCAGATCTTGTGAGAACTCACTATTATGAAAACAGCATGGGGGAAACTGCCCTCATGATCCAATTAGCTCTGCCTAGTCTAGCCCTTGAAATATGGGGATGATGGGGATTAAAATTGGAGGTGGGATTTGGGTGGGGACACAGAGCCAAAGCATATGAATACCCCTACCCTTCTTTCATTTTTTAGCATTTTTTGAATGCCTATTAGCAGTTTGGCAGTAGGAACAAGACATCTTTGTCTTTTTTTCTTCTTAGGGAATTCTCCAATGCCATTTTCAGTTGTTTTTAATTTCCACCCATTTGGTACCTTGGAGGCTGGTGCTTCTCCTTTTCACACTGCTTCTCCCTCAATCAAGGACATCCAAGGGTTAAAGACTTGACATTCCATCTCCTTAAGAACTCAGTAGCTGAAGGCAGATGGCAGAAATCTGCAGAAAGGCTTTCAGTTTATAGACAGCATCTCTTGGCTCCCAAACTAATAAGACGAAATCATTATTCTCCTTCCACATATCCGCATTCTCTTTTTATTGTTCAACCTCAATCAGCTATATCTTTCCTTTAATATTGTCAATATTAAGAATATTTACATTTTATACCTTTTTCCTTTGATGTACCCTTGATTCTAAAAGATGAAAAATCAATAAATCATAATATCATATTATGACTATGTAAATATTTTCTGCTGCAGAGTCAAACAGTGCACGCATATCATTTTTTTCTCCATGAATCAATATCACTCCAAAGAAATTGTTTCTGTCAGAGATTCGATTGTATTTTTTTACTCTCTTTTTAAAATAAATCACCAGTTGTCTTTGTCATATTATGAAGTTATCCAAGCTTTAATAATGCTGTGTAATTCAGAGCTTTCCAACTACTGATGGTATCAGTAGTTGACACCTCAGCCTTGGGGTCAGGCAAACCCAAGGCTCATCAGGGGTATGAAGCCTCCTTTATTTAGCTCATTGTGCTAGACAAATATTGCCATTTTACATTCATGCCGTGATGTAAGAAAGTTTGTGAGGTGCTAGAAATCTATCCACGTTCTCCCTTTTCTTCCCACAGAGATCTCAGAACCTGAGGTTGTGCTCTGTTTCTACTGCCAAGTTGTCATCCCAGGACTTCCCCACTCTGCTCTCCTGAATTAGGTTCATTTTCCTGGATCGCATGTTTTCTTCTTTCTGGGTTTTCTCCCTCATTTTCCTAAGGTGCATCTTCAAATTATGTCCTAGAAAGTGTAGTGGGAGGTAAGAATTCTGAGTTCTCCGTTTCTCTAAGTATCTTTATTTGCCTTTCGCACAGGATTGAGAGACTGGCTGAATACAGTCCTCTCAGTACTTTGACCACATTGCTTAGTTTTCTAGAATTCAGTTGTTGATGAAACATTGGAGCCACTATAATCATGATTATTGGTACATGACCTGAAAGCTTTTAGGATCCTTTGTTTATTCTTGGTCTTTTGAAATTTCATGATCATATGTTTATGGGGCTATTTTCATCCATTTCACTGGCACTCAAGAGCCCCATTCTAGCTTCTTTAGCTATAGAAAATTATCTTCTGTTTCTTTGAAATTTTTCTGTCTATTTTCTGTATTCTGTCTTTCTAGAATTTTCATTAGACAGATGTTGGGTCTCCCACATAAAAGTTTACTGTCATTTTTTCTTTTCTTTCATTTGTTTCTGACTCTTTATCTCTTTGTTCTACATTCTTAGAAGTTTCCTCAATTTACCTTCCAGACACAAGTATTAAGACCCAACAGCACAGGTCTCCTTACTGTAAAATTAGGGGTATCTAAGTGTAACTGTTCATCCTAAAGCAGAACCTTCTAGTTGGCAAACCTCCTCCATGCACACATAACTTCTACTCAGCCCTTTGCCTCACTCTCAAGAGAGAACAGGTAATCAAGGATCAACGGTTTTTGTGGAAAGCTTGTAGCATGTAATGTCAATAAGCTAACTAAAGTTGAATCAAGGTAAATCATCAGGAGAGGTGACTCCAAAGGAAAGAGATAATTTCAAGACCAAAAGACAACAAAAAATTAAAACTATCCTTTGCATGGATAGAGCTGAGGGCCATTATTCTAAGCAAACTAACACAGGAACAGAAAACCAAATGCTGCATGTTCTCGCTTATATGTGGGAGCTAAACATTGAGTACATATGGGCACAAAGAAGGGAACAAGACACCAGGGCCTCCCTGAGGGTGGAGGGTGGGAGGAGGGTGAGGACTGAAAAGCTACCTATGTAGTACTATGCATGTCAGCTGGGTGGCAAAATAATGTGTACACCAAAAACCCTGTGACGTGCCATTTACTCATATAACAAATGTACATACGTACTCCTGAACCCAAAATAAAAGTTTAAAAAATTATATAAAAACTAGAAATTTTTAATTGAGTTATCTCTTAAGGAAATATCCTTTTATTTAGTTTTACCTGGATAAAAGTTATGGGATATCAGTTCATCACACACATTTTCAATGTAATCCCCCTTTTTGGTGCCACTTTTCAGTCTTAAATCCACAGCCTCTTTGCTGTATGTCTGATTCCTTCCTTTCCTGGATAGCATCAGAAACTAGCTACCTCTATTAGTTTCTACTGGGTTTTGTTTCTTAAGAAAGTTTTGAAAACTCTTATCCACTGGTATTTCCCACGTCAATTTTCTTCATTATTAGGAAAAAATACCTTTATGTATTTTTTGCCATCACTGTTGGAGATCTTTGAGCAGAGTGCAAGATCTTAAACAATAGAACAAATTCTGATTTCAACTTTTTTGCCATTTTTAAAATTTCGTTTACCTGTTGGTGCTGTACATACTCCCCTAAAGAAAGTGCCTGGTTGTGAGGTGGAGGTTACAGTGAGCCGAGATCGTGCCATTGGACTCCAGCCTGGGAAACAAGGGTGAAATTCTGTCTCAAAAAAAAAAAAAGTGCCTGGTTATTAGGAATTATTAATTAAAGTATCATGATACCAAATGTACCACACTGCTAATAATCCCCAGCTGTGAGCAACATCCTAAATTATGAAGTTGATGTAGACCTGATTTTATGCTGCTTGCTCTGTCAATGTTGACAGTTAATATTTCAACTCATATCAAGCATACCAACTCAGACTACCCTGGGTGATGAAAGGCTGCACTCAGCATATATTTTATTACTAGGAAAATTATAAAGGAGAAGATTCATAAAAGGATTTTTCGTAAGAAATAAATATTCTTATATTGGGATGGTCTCATAGATTCCTGACAATAGGCCGTAAGAGGATTAGATCAGTGACTCTTTTTTTGTGTGTACTCTCTAAAAAATTTTGAAAACTTATTTTCAAAAAGTATCCCTTTCTATATTTTATGTATCTAAATTTTTTGTCATAAAGGTAAATAGCTATAAAAGATATTAATATTGATATTTACAATTAAATTGCTATGTTTTAAAATGTATTAAATATAATCTAAATGTCATATGAATTTATATCTATCATCATTCATTAAAAAATACATGAGCAAGCACTTTTTAGTAGTGTATTCTTATTACATTTCCCACTCTGAATTTTATCCTAATGTAATATATATTTAGAATGGAAAGGTTTTAATTAATTGCCTTTATTGAGTAATTCATGGAAAAAATATATGAAATTAAACTGAAATTGACATATCAATATACTTCCTGTAACTGTAAGGCTCTAAGGGTTAATTTTTTTCATTAATTTATCATTACGATGATTAGCAGCAGGTACTCAAAACAACATAAATGTATATAAATTATAAAAAGTATCAAATACAAAATGTAAAAGTTTATTGGAAATAAATCTTTTAAGGAGATAGAAGCATTTTCTGATTAATTCACATTAGTATGAATATTTCTTGTTATTTTCAAAAGAGCTCAGCACCTTTTCTGTTGTAGTTTTTAATTTTTATAGATGTAATCTATGATGGCTTACCTGTTATGTAAATGAGAATAGTTTTATTACAATAATGCCATTTATATTTTAGAACTCCTTTTGAACTATTTGCCAAAAATCACATGATATATTTTGAAAAATTATTTTTAATGATCTAGAATCAGCACAAATTTGCTCTTTTTCCATTTTTTAAAAGTATGATTAGGAAACTACCTGATATGCACATGAATTTGTTACTCAGTCTTTAAGGTCATTCACTTTCCTGACACTCACACACCAGCATTTTAAATTCATTTTGTGCCTTGTAGGTTTTTACACCCTGAAGCAGTGCACCATATTAAGATACAGTGGGACTTGAGCTATTCTTCTGTGAAGAGGAGGAGGGCAACTGTGAAAGAAATGGCTTGACTGTAAGATGTTCTCAGTCTAACCAATTTTAGGAAAGAAAATATGTGAAGGCAGAGGATCCAAAGCGATTCCCTTCAAACCATCCTACCCCATGGGACACCCTTTGTGAACTCCCTAAGGTAACAGCAGTCCAGAACACAGATGACCTACAGGATTTCTGTTCCTTTCCAGCTTTTTATTTTACCATTGATGCTTCCTTTCTCCTATAAAGGAAACAACAGCTTCAAAAAACTTTGAAGAGGGTCTCAAAGTGATTGGGGGAAAAAATAAGTAAACTGCAGAATAGAAAGAGCTCTATGGTTAGGAAGTCCAATAAGCAATAAGGAGAGACAAGACAAAAGAGAACCAAACAAAATCCAATGTTACAACCTGATTAGAAATAGAAACTTGAGGATTTAATCGATGAGCGGGGTCACAAAGAATATAAGTGCAGATCGACTTTTTGTACCAAAACAGCTGGCTGACTTCTTATCTGAATCTTGAAGTCATAGTAAATTATCACTAAGTTGTTATAGTTTTTGGAAGATTTGGAGTAAAGGTAAGCTGACAGATGATGGCTCTAAGATGATGGCTTTCAATCTTTTAAAACACAACTAACGGCAAAAATAAAATTTACAGGTATATAACTGAAACAGGAGTTTCAGTTCTTGAAAAAATATAATACTTACTTTCATGCCAGACCCCCTGCTGGCTTTAATAGGGATGACACCAGGTTTGAGAGGCCAAAGAAGAGACCTGGAGCCAAAAAACAAAACACGGGGTTTAATTGAGGGGACTTACATACAAAGCATTCCAGTGACAGTGGGCTGAACAGGAGAACTGTTCTCATTTGTAAGATGCATGCAGTTTATGTGGATCAGGTGCAACCACATTCTCAGATTACACTTAAGTTATTGCTATCAGGTGTGTCTACCATACACTTACCCTTACAATGTGGGGTATTCTATAATATTTTGTCTTCCCTCCTTCATTCTTCTTACGTATTAAAGACAATGCTGGTCAAGAATCACCAATTTATTTCACCATTCACCTAATAAGTAATGATTTTCATCTGAAAAACACCACTGTACGGTCCACTGAAAAATAACCATATATTTTTGTATTAAAATTTTATTTTAAAAAAATTCCTGAAGAAAATCACACATACATTTGACTCATCTCTGCTCAGGAGAAATCAAGCTGCTCATACCCCAAGGACATAACCAGGATCCCTTTGGTGGCAGCCCATCCCAACTGTAGGCATTGTGCCCAAGATGAAATAGCCTCTGGAATGCTACAGAATGACAATAAATAGGGAAAAAAAGCCTAGTAGAGAGTCAAAGTGCTCGTAAGCCAGTCTGTTAATTGATGCAAACCTTCTGTTCTGTGATGATAGTGAAGAGGGGTGAAATGGGTGTGGAGGAGGCTGGCGGGCTAGGAAGAAGTGAGATTTAAGAGAATGGATGATTTAAGTGGAGAGAGAGAGTTCCTGGAGCTTCTTCATACAAACAATCTTCCCAATAGAGTGCTAGATTATCTATGCATTCCACACATCTTGTAACTGATAGTTGTCCTTGTTTACCCCCTCTCTCTAAGAAGAGAAATATGTGGAATTAAACAAGGCATCAACTTCCTAAGAATGTGCTATTGCAATGGGCTCAAGCCAATGAGGGCAATGAGAGAACAAATACATCATTAGGGTGCAATCCAAGCAACACAAGTAAATGGACACAATGGAAGAGGTCTGTGAGAAGACTGCTGAAGACAAGAAATGCTTTTTTTTGAAACAGAATATATAAACTTCCAATCTACCTACGGTTATAAAGAACTATTTTGAAAGGTCCATTTTATAGTAAGTTTTTAAAAAGTTAAAAGCAAAACAAACAAAAATCTCTGGGATATACAGTGTCATCACTTCCAAGTCAAATTACAAAATAAAAAATTAATAAGATTTATTACTCTGAAATATTCCATGACTGAAAAAATACCCAGAGTGCCTAAAACTCTGAACACTTACAGTCCCCAGAAGAATCAGTAGAGAACTTAATGGTAGAAGTAAAAATAAAATTAATTTTAAAAACCTGTAAAACCCCTGGAGAGCCAATGGAAGTGGCTATAAATGGATTCCTAAATGGAATCACCTGCAGGAGCTTTTGGACCATCGGAAACCAAAGCTGAATACAGAGCAATTAAATCAGTCTCCAGAAATGGAACCCAGCTATCAGCACTATTCAAATCTAATGTGTGGCCAGTGTGGTTGAGAACCACTGCTCTAGACCCTTGCCACTCACAGTGTGGTCCATGGGCCAACTGTATCACCTGGGAGTTTATTAGAAACACATAACCTCAAGCCCTTGCCCAGACCTACTGAATCAGAATCCATATTTAACAAAATCCCCGGATGGTTCCTGTGCACATTACATTTGAGAATCACTGATTTAGAAGATGGACACTATTACATTCTGGCATCCACTCTTCCTTAATATTTAATCATTTCTTGCTTGATATTGATGTAATGTATTTGGAATGAGCCAAGTAGCAGCACCTGCTATGTTGTGCTAGCTCTGACTTCTCTAATTGCTCAGAGTTGATGTCCAAATGTTTAAGAACTGAAGGGTCAGTTTCTGTCTTCATCCTAATTATGAATAGCCTTGTCCCTTCCCCAGTGGGATCAAAATATTGCCAGGATTCTACTTAGAATCCAGTGTCCTTTGCTGCCAACCAGATTCTAGACAAAATTTGGTATGTTAATCCTGTTTATATATTTTTAGGTTGGGCATCAATGGTAACCCTGACACTGCTCCTACCTTCTGCCTCTCCTAGTTTTCTCTACCACTAATTCTAACTATATAGAATAAACTCAAAATCTAACAGAGTGGCTGTGGAGGCAGTTGACCTTCCTTGCTTATGCTAATTCTCTTTCAAAAAAGTGGCTGCGGTTCTGAATCCACATGTAGAACTGGTTGATGATGTTACCCAGTTGGTTCTGCTGCTACTGGTTTTTCCATATATCGTAATTTCCTATGCATTTTAAATTTCATTTGTCCACCAGGCTACTGAAATGGACGGATAGCCTTTAAAATGACTTCTAGAGCAGAATTCCTCCTGCATTCCACTGCCGATGACCTTTACAGTAGAAATACATCAGTCCCTGGCCTTGGAACTGGGTTTTATAAAGTCACTCCTCTAGTCTTCTTTTCTGCTACATTTCTTTGCATATAACCCATGAAAATGTTTCATGCTCAGCTGAACTCTAACATTATTATAGGGTAGATGGCCAATGTAAAGTCGTCTCAGATTAATAAGACTTGTAAGGAAATCTCAGAAGGCTTCTCTGTGTAGGGACAAAAAAGCAAACAATAAAAGAAGAAATGTAAAAATAGCGTTTAGTAAACCAGAAAAATCTTTTCCACGTTTTTCTGGTGAACACCAACTTATTCCAGGACATACTATTAGATTGTCCGTGTGCCGAAGTGCTCTAAGATCGTGGAGTAAATGTATCTCCAGTCACTAGAAGTGGAAGCCCTAAATGGCCTAAGTCTAGTAGAACTAGACTTACCTGTGTAAGCACAGACTGAATTTTGGAAGACCTATAACTCTGGCTCACTGAAGAGGAATCAACTTCTAAAAGGGAGATTATTAGATTTTTCCAAAAAAAGAACATAAAAGTTCCTATGGCATTCAAATCACAGGACTAAGATGTGCAGTTGCTTTAGAATCAGGAGCTTTTTAACGAACAGCTGTAATGCATTTGGGCAGTTGTGCAAAACAGAAAGTTGGCAGACCAGATACTCTTTTCAGACATTAAACACAAGACGCTTGGGGCCAGATCTGGTGATTAAGAAATCAAATGTTTTCTTTTTCCTCTTCCAACCTGTTCTCAGAGTGTGGAAAGTTATGTGATTTTTCTTCTCTGACCCTCTGGTTGTGTTTATCAGGCCTGTCTCCTCAGCCAGACTAGATCCAGCCACTGGAGGTCAGTTCAATTCAACTCAATCCAGCCTGATCTAGTCCAACTCAGCCTTCTCCACCTTTCTTTCGAGGAGACCTATATGAACATAAAGAACTCAAGTGTCTTGGGGGCTGATACACCAGGTTGTCTACAGCTCATCTCATAAAATGTCTTGACTCTGAGGCAAGCACTATGCCTGTTTGCTTCCACTGAGGATGTATAGATCTGATTTCTAGATACTTTACCACATCCTGGATTCTGCTTCCTCTATAATTACCAGATTCTATATATCATTGATTTTTCTAGTCCATTTGGGCATGACTTACTTTTGTACCTGGCTCTAATTAACCTACCTGCATCCTGACTGCCTCTCAACTCTCATACTAACTCTTTCCCCTGGTCCCTGCCTCTACCTCTGTCCTTCATTTCAACCTTTCAGGTTTCATTTTCTCCTTCCACAACTTGGCCTGGCAGAAACTGCTTCCTCCGAAAGGTTTTTCTTTCAAGTACACATGCAGAAATATGCATGAGCATCTGGTGTGAGCTTTTTGTTCATCTTCAGCCTCTAGTGAAATACAGAGACAGCTACTCTGAGCAAAAGAGAAAAAAAAATCAAGATTAATGAGAATGAACATCAGAGAAATGCCTTCACATCTAGAAAACATTAAGAGCCTGCTTTAGCCACATGGAAATAGGTGTGTGTCTGGATATCAGCTCTTTCCCCCCGGTCTACCTGTAGTAGACCAGACTCCCAAGAAGCCTGGCAACGGGAAGAGGGAGACTCTAGTGAAAAGTGGTTGCCACTTCCTGGCTCTCACAAGGAAAAGGGTGGATCTAGAGTGTCTGTTCATCAGTCAAACATCCATAATGGCCTTACCGGTTGTTAAAAATATTGAAATACTACCCTACTAATTAATAAACAGCCATTGTCCATCCCTCCCATCCACCCCTTTCTTTGCCTTGGTGCCCTGACTACCTCCATTGGTTCCTCTCATGCCTCCACCAACTAAAAATTTAACATTATGATTGGTGGGCTCAATACCTTGTTAAATATTACGGTAATCTCTCCTCAATAATCACTCCTGACTCTCACAGGAATAGCATGCTTAGAGCCACCTAGAAACCAATAAGGAAAGAAATAACCTTTTAAGGTCATCTTAGGAAGCATGATGCACTTGCCTCCTCAGTAAAATTATTCAGGGGCTGCTCAGATTCACCCTACTCCTTTTGCTTCACCCATTTTCCTCATTGACATGGTTTTTTTGACTGTCTGTCTGATGATCTAATCTTGCTATCCCTCTATCCTTATCCATGGAGTAGGCTACAGGGAGCCTGCGGTCTCCATTTGCTATAGTCTGAATGTTTGCATCTCCCCCAAATTCATATGTTGAAACATAATTCCCAGTGTGGTGGTATATGGAGTTGAGGTCTTTGGAAGGTGATTAGGTCCCAGTGGTGGAGCCTTCATGAATGGGATTAATGCCCTTATAAAAGAGACCCCAGAGAGATCCTTGCCTATTCCACCATGTGAGGACACAATGAGAAGGTGCCATCTACAACCCAGCAAGCATGCCTTCACCAGACACTGAATCTACTGTTGCCTTGATCTTGGACTTCCCAGCCTCCAGAACTGAGAAATACATTTCTTTTGTTTATAAGCCACCTAGCCTATGACATTTTATTATAGCAGCCCAAATGGAGCAAGACACCCATTAGATAACACTTTAAACTCCTTTTCTTCATATAGTCAGCTTCCTGGACAGGAACTGGTTAGTTCCAAATCTAATGATCAGATTCCTCCCAAGTGTTCACTCTACACCCCCATGCAGCCATGTGTGAGATTCCCTGTTGCAACCACCAGAGGCAACCAGGTACCAGTTAAGCCTAGCACCTTCTGCAGTTTCCCTTTCCAACTGTATCATAGCAGAACAGAGAGGGTGCTTTGGAATCAGGCAGACTTGGATTTGATATCCAGCTTCTCTTTACTACCCAAGTTACTTGAGCAAATGACTGAACCTTTGTAGACCTATTTTTTTTTAAAGTCACAAAATGAAGGTAAATATTACTTCATAGAGATGATAACAGGATGAAACAAAATAATGCTGTTGTAGTGACCCACTTATTTTCTTTTTCTTTTTCTATTCAATGTCTCTTTAAGGAACTCTTCCTTTCCTATTCTTATTCTCCATGGTTTGGTAATGGATGTGGTCACATGACCCAGGAGGCCAGTATACTCTACCCCCTCTGGCCATAGTGTTGGTCTGATTTTTGCCTATGACCCAAACTAGCTAATCAATATCTTCTCTTGGAATTTGCTAGAACAACCTATAAAGAGGCATTCTCCTTTCATGAGTACACTTGAATAGGCAGTAGGAGAAAAAGAATTATTTTAGTTTTTATGATTTGCACCCAATGTTATGAATTTTGAGAAGAATTTTTATAATGGTATTCTGCCACTTGCAATCTGGAGTCATCATATGTATATAAATTCCCAACTCTGCATATATATAATTCATATCAATATATGAATTTAGAGCACTAAATTAATTCTTGATAAATGGTAGCCATATGTATCTGTACATATTTAAAATGGCTTAAGAAGAAGAGAAATTTGTTGATTCTTGTGGCTGGAGGGCCCAGTTGAGTGTTGAGATGAAGAACTGTCCTCAGAGGCTCCAGGAATTCTGAGCATGTCTGTCATCTCTGCTTCCCTAATGTCCATTGGCTTTATGATCTCTACTGCAGATGACTTATTAAATGAGGGACAGGGACATGACCAGAGACTAATCTCAGTTTATAACAGAGGAAAGAAAATATATTTTTCTCCGAGTGTCTATGAAATGTCTCTCGTGTCTCTGAAGACACATTCACAAAGGGATATATTTCCAAAGCTTAGGTTTTTCTAAAGCTGTTTTGAGCTTTAGAAAAGTATCCCTTTGAATAATTTTCTAAAAGTATTATGCGGTGATCAAATCTGACCATTACTGAGCCAGTCTCTGAGACGTGTGTAAGTGCGTGTGTGTGAGTGTGTTGTGCACTCTAACTGATGCATTCACTAAAGTCATATGGAGAAAGAAACAGTAGTTCCCAACGGAAGGGTAGCAGAATTACCAAAAGAATGTTTGGGAAGGGATGCTGGGCAGACCCAAACGGTAAGTATCTGCTATTGATATCATCATTTTCATCCTATTATTATTATTGTTGTTATTGTTCACAACTATCTTCATAAAAGATAATGGCATTTGGACTGTTTGGCAGTAAAACTTGACCTGAAATATCTGGCAACAGGATATATAGGTAGCATTTCTTTATTGAAGGGGAAAAATTTTGTCCCTAACTTATGACGAACATTGTCATCCATTAAAAAATATTAGTGTGAGTTGAGGTTGAAGCCTCATGAGAAAAAAAGTATTTCAGATATGCAGAAATTTCATGCACCAAGTGTTCCTAGAATCAGTGATCTTACCTGAAGGACACTCAGTATAGCACAGATGAGTGTACTTTGTGGCCACTTAATGAATATGAATTCAATATAATTTTTGAACAAGGAGTGCAAAGGCAATATCTTTTAATAGTTTATTTTCAATATGTCACATCTTTGGTAATAAGGTGCCAAAAGGGATATGTTTGGTTGTGGCTGGTTAATATTACTCCATATACAATAGAAGACCTATAAAGAATCTGTTTCTTCATTTTCTGCAGTCAAATTTGTTTGACTTTATTGTGTAATTGGCTTTTAAAAAAAAAAAGACAAAATAAAGTTTCTCAGTATAGCACATGAAAGTTGACATGACAACCAATTTTTCTAGTGTATTGTGGATTTAGAAATTTAGTAAATGCAGATATATAGTTAGGCAAATTCACAAAGTCACATCATAGAATTTCTACTTTACATAAATTAGCAAGTCATTTGGAGCTTTTACGGCTCTTGGTGATAAACTATATTAAATCACCTTTTGAAGAAATCGATTTTTATTCTCCTAAATTTTATGTATTCAGGCCTTAATCATTTTATATTAACATGTTACTAGCAGATGTCTAGTTGTTAGTAAACAAACATTCATATTTCTTACTAGAAGAAATTCTGGCCAGGTGCAGTGGCACAAGCCTGTAGCCCCAGCTACTTGGAAGGCTGAAGTGGGAGAATCACTTGAGCCCAGGAGTTCCAGGATGCAGTGAGCTATGGTCGTGCCACTGTACCGTAGCCTTGGCAACAGAGTGAGAACCCATCGCTTAAAAAAAAATTCTCATTTTTTAAAACCAGAGGGAGAACACTGCCAAATTAAGTTCTGACTTCAGAAATAGAGAAGATAATGATCATGATGCACCCTTCTCCCCCTTGCCTATCTTTTACTCCACCCTACAGCAGAATTGCCAAATTTAGCAGGTAAAAATATAGGCTGTCCAGCTAAATTTGTATTTCAGATAACAAATTTCTTAGCATAAGTGTACCCCATGCAATATTAGGCATATTTACACTAACAATTATTTGTTGTTTATCTGAAATTCAAATTTAACTGGACATTTATTTTTGTTAAATCTAGCAACTCTATTGAAACTCTAAAATGGACTCGTTATACTCTTTTTAAATATGTTTTTCTGCTAAAATATGCACAAAGAAAAGGATCCCAAACCTATTCATCCTAAAATATAAACCTGTATGCAGCTCTTAGGGCTCATCTCAGTTTGCTGCTGTACCCAGTAGAAACAAAAATAGGTCTCAAAACCAGCCTTAAAAGGGAGGTGATCTTTCCTGGCAGTCCATTGAAGTTCCACAGCACATCACACAAATCTTCTGAGAGGATGTCTTCTTTTCTATGTTTTTTCCAAAGTCTTACTCTGTGAGGAATCTCTTCCCAGTCTTGCTTTCTTCTCTACACATCTCCTCCTCAAACTCCTCTTTCCGCTCCCGCTGCCGTTGCATTCAGTTCTCTTATCTTCTCCAGTCCTCTGCCATTTGCATCGTCACACACATCCCAGCACCACCAGCAGATTTGGGAAGGAGGAAGTAAAAGGAGGTGATGCTGTGGATGCAAGTTTATGTTGACATACACCCCAACATTCGCCATTATTACAAACAAAGTGCTTGTAATTATTTTACTGACTCAAAAGTTGAGCTAAATCTAACCTTCTTCTAGTTTTCCTTCCAAAATGTACAATGATCTAAATTTCTTAAAATGCACTCCTCTCAGCATTGCAATTGTGCTTCAGTGTCTAACGTAATGACTTCTAACCTAAAATATAAAATAAGAAAGCTCTTTGCCTTCTTTTTAGCTTGCAGGATCATATCAGAAGCCCAGAAATTATTCCATGTAGGCAAAAGTTCATATTCTGCCCTCCCTCTGGATAAATTGAGCTTGTCTACAGTAATTTCTTTGCATTTCATACCCGTACGCTTATTACAGCTGCCATTGTCCAGCAATATTTTTCCCCATTCGTCATCATAACAGCTTATAAGTGTTTGATGGAAATAAACAGAGCCAACACAATTCTGTCATTTAGGCAGCCAAATTCATGAGTCCGGGCATCAATGTGTAGTGATACAATATCCAGAAGCCCCTGCCTGATGATTGTTATCCGTATGATCTGTAGATGGCTCAGCCTGGTCTTAAGTTGTGGGGTCAGGTAAACCCTTGGTATAACAAAACAGACTGAGTGTGATATTTATTGTTGAATTTCTTTGTTAAAATCTGCCCCTGAAGTTTATTTTTTTAAAAGCCTGTACAATCCATGCCTGATGACAGTCCAGTGCAGGCTTGACAGTAGCTGTTCACGTTTTCACTTGCCCAGAATAAATAACAATTATTTCTGGGTGTGGAGAAAAAAAATTTGTTTACTTTATGTTCCTACCATTAAGACACCTACACCCCAACAATGATCAAGGAAAGGCAGGCTGGAAAAGCACTTTTTGGAATGTCTAATAATAATAACAATGGTAGTAATTTAATATTAGCAATAATATAGACTATATTTCAAATTATCAGCCTGGTATGTTTTAAAACAATTATACAGAGACAAATGTGAAAGTGTGATTTTTTTTAGAAATATTGTATTGCTGAAGGGTAAACTATATCTATCTTAAGAATAAAAAGATTATTGAGTGTCACTGAAAGCAAAAAGCAAGCTATCCTGCCTCTTTGTATGCAGTTTCTCATTTTGTAAATAATATGGCCCTAACTTTGTAAATGAATTAGGTAGCATCTACACAGCAGAAAAACATCTAGTTGAAAAATAGTTAATTTATCCAAATGATATTTAAAAACACAGTATAGTGCCAACAAATTAATGGATTCATTTTATTTCATGGACCTGTTCCACATTCCTGATAACTATTTTCCTGATGATTTATCACATTTGTCTCTTCCTGTGGCTAAAACTTACCTTTCTGTCTGGAGTATATCTTTGCATGATGCAAGGCTATCATTTGACTCTGATGATTTTATTTTTCTGATAAATTTTGGAAGATTAATCTGATAGAATACTAAGCCATATGTGGGCTATGTTGGTGAGGCCCATGTGTGTACAAGAAAATGTTAAGCCAAAAAATTTAAAAACTGGACCCCAAAGAAAGTGTACCTATTGATTTCAACTGTGTGAATGTATTATACACATTAGCAGAGAATAAAACTTAAATTGGAGGATAATAGTCTATGTTCATTAAGTGTGTGTATGTGTGTGTGTGTGTGTAAAGTTTATTTTATAATAATTTTAAAAATAAAAAGGATCCCCAAAGAAAAAGTACTAAGACAACACTTGTTTTAAAATGAAGTTTTATACTCTAAAAACTTGCATATGTAGCCAAAACAATTTATTACTAGGGGGAGATTAGGGATTTAGTGGTATTATTTTTAAGAAAAAAAAAGCAACAGCACAAGATGAATATTTTAAAAGTTTACTTAGAAACAAAACACTACTGGCCTCCAAGATACCATGTGCCAATTTTCCCCTCTGAACAACTTTTACAGACAACTTATAACCTCCCTAAATTATAGGTTTATGCGGAAAAATAAGGGGTTGTTATATAATAAGGAAGCTGACAAATCTTTAACTGTAACAGTACTAGTTATTGCTACTGTAATTTATGCATAGATACTGATTCTAATTAAGTAATAGCAGAGGTTGCCTTTGAATTTATGAGGCTATAATCAGCTCCCTTGTGCTCAATAAATGCCACAGCTACAGTCTGTGGTGTTAATTTCACACTACAGTGGGAACTAGTGGTTGTTGCCAAATATACTCATAAGTCACAGGCAATTTGGATTATTACTGTAGTGTGTGCTGCATTGAGAAATGAACTAGTTCATAATCACTTTTTAAAGTCATTATTGAGTGTTTGTGTATGATAACTCTTCTGACATTGATAAGGCATAGTGCAGTAGCTTGTCTTTTTCCCAAAACCCATTTCTAGATAAAATAAATATATCAAATCCTCCGGAAAAATAACAACATAAGAAGCCCCTGCTTCCTCAGCTTTCTGGCTATGTCTGATATATGGGAACTGGAAACTTAGAATTTTTTCCTATAAACTACCTCCTGTGTGATGTTCCCCAAAGGGACAGTGCCTGATACGGGGTTATTCGATATGGGGATTTTATGAATTAATGTGATGAGCTTGCTGGCAAAATGAATTCTGTCCTTTTCTAATTTCCTGAAGCTGGGTGTCAACTAAAGCACTTTCACTGTGAGGTTTAATTCTGGAATTACTTTCCTCAAAATGTCACACACACACACACACACACACACACACACACACACAAAGATGGGAAGTGAGCTAAAAACAGTATCTCTCGTTCTTTATTTTACTGTCTCTCTTCTATTTCAAAGGAGTTACTCTTGGCAGTGGGGTTTTAAGAAATTCCACGTAGGACTGCACACTATTCCACATCTTGTTCTTAAATCCACAACACTGCCATGACTCCTTATTGTTAAACAGCGAACGTGTTCAAATGCCAGCTGTTGACTATAAGGGGTCTTCTTTGTAACCGAGAGGGCTGATTGCATTAATTCCACGGACAGCATGCTCTGACTGGTTGCTGGGACCACAGATTTCTGTTTTGAGTATGTTCACATTATTTCCTGAGGAACTCACTAGGCTCCAGTGCAATCAACAACATAATAGAAGAACCGTGTTTTCTTCGTAAGGGGCAAGCACAAAAGGCAGATGGCTCCCCTGACGTGATGTTTTAGGACCTGCCAAAATCAAGACACCAAGAGTGACTGAAGCTAGTCAAAGAGTCACTGCCACCTTGGATTCTTCTAAATAAAATGACACAAAATATCAGATATTTCCTATATTGCTTTCCATTATCTACCAAAAAAGCGTTCTTCAAACATCCAAAAGATCCTGCACCCTGGAGTTCAAGCTTATCCTTTGTCTATGGTCTGTACACAGAAAGGTAGTTTCCATAAATTATAACCAATGCCCTGTGGAGGCAATAGGTAATCGTTTCAGAAAAACATGTGTGTGGGTGGGTGGGTGTGGGTGTCTGTGTGTGGCTGTGTGCACGTGTGCATGCTTTGATCCCTTTTATTAACATTCCAGGGGCAGAAACTGTAGTCTCAGAGTGGTGTATAATCACAAATTTTCTTCACTTAATTTGCAACAGAAAAGGAAAGGTCTTTCTTCCATTATTGTATAGACAAATAACAAAACATCAGAGCAGTAGCTCTATCAACAAAAAGGCTTTTGGAAGATTTGCAGGTGTTACACAACCTCCTTCATCAGGGGAGAAGTACAGCCTAGCTTTTTGGAGTAAAGACGGAGTCCTTTAACAATTCTTGCTTAGCAACACACAGTCTATTTGTGGTGGTCATGGGGGTGCACCAAGCAATCTCCCATCTAGAAAGACCCTGCTGAGAGGAGCATTGTCAGCTGACAGCTTCTGCGGCCACATCTCCGTATCCACCATGCATTCATGCCAAGACTGTTGTCTTTCCCAGAAGCTCTCAGCCAGTGACTGAGCATGCTGGGATCCTAGGGACAGGCAGTTCTTGCCCAACATATGACTCCTATAGTGGACAATCCCTACTCAAGGATTCCTCTTCAGGCTGACCAAGACTTTTACAGGGCAGCATTGCAGTCTGGGGCTCAGCCTTCTTCCTTCTCTCTCTCCTTCTACAAGTATTAGAGCTACATCACCATCTGAAGTTTCTTTCTTTCTATGTCTGCTCTCTTGTCCTTGTTTCATGCATGTCTTGAGATATTGCCAAATGTCCACTGGGAGGCACAAATCTCTATTCTATGAGAACCACTGGTATAAGGTAAGAAAGCTTCCCTAGGAAGAGCTAGGTGCTTGCTCCTCGGGCTCCTGTGGCACTTGGTTTCACTAAAGCACTTTTTATGTTTAATTGTCATTGTTCATCTATTGGGCTCTCCCGCCAGCTTATGAGCTTTTCCATAGGAACTGTGACTTTCATATTCATTGCATTTCTCCAGTCCCATTTTGGACCTGTTTTCAGAAGACATTCGTTTAAATGACGAATCAAGGAAGAAAGGGGAGAAGGCAGGGAGAGAGGAATGGGGAAGGAAGGATAAAAACAAGCAGTTAGGCAGCAAAAGAAGGCGGGAGAGAGTGAATCTATGAAGCATTTTTCCTTGGCTAGCCAAAGTGGCCTGGGTTATGTTTCTATATTTGAGCCTGGTCATTCTTAGCTTATTGCTTCCCCTTTAGGAGTTTACTGCATGACTCTATCTATAGCGTTTGTTTGTTGAAGAATCGTTCGTTTGTTATGCTCCAAGTGTTGAAATCCTCTTTGGTTTTTGGATCTTCTCATACCCTCCTCTGCCCACTTTAAGGCCATTTCCAGGCAACCACTGGCAGATCCTTGTCCCTCCCCAGTAACTGACAGCACTTAACCATCAATAACGTGATCTCAGACACCAAGGCACTGCTCCAAAGGATGAGCACTTCTTGTTTTGTATCAACAACAAAAAAATATTCTGAATAATACATGGTCCCAAACGGAAAGGTAGATAGGAATGCAATCAATTAACTTGGATGATGTCATAATCCACATGCATGGCAGAAGAGCTAGAATTCCAGACCTTGCTGTGCTCAGCTCTTCTGAGGATAATTAGCAGTGTTCCAGGGAACTTCGGACAGCCCATTGTGTTTTATATCTCTAACAATATGATAGGCCTGAGAGATTTGGAAAAGGATTCATTAGCTTACTAAAATTATTTAAAACCCAGACAGGCCGGGCGTAATGGCTCATGCCTGTAATCCCAGCACTTTGGAAGGCTGAGGCAGGCAGATCATCTGAGGTTGGGAGTTCCAGACCAGCCTGGCTAATATGGTGAAACCCTTTCTCAACTAAAAATACAAAAATTAGCCAGGCCGTGGTGGTGCACACACGTAATCCAGCTACTCAGGAGGCTGAGGCAGGAGAATCACTTGAACCCAGAAGGTGAAGGTTGCAGTGAGCTGAGACAGCACCACTGCACTCCAGCCTGGGTGACAGAGCAAGACACTGTCTCAAAATAAATAAATAAATAAAAGAAAAATAAAAAAAAACTCAGACTAACAGGAATGAGAATGATGCTTGTAGGGACAGAAAGAAAAAAAAAATACTATTAACTGTTTTTGGCTCATCTTGCTCTCCAAACCTGCATTCTTCTGAATTTCAAGAATGAGTACATGTAGCCAGAGGCAAAGGAACTCTGTCCAGGCATGGACTAGGTAACACAACCAGCCCCAGAAGTTCTCCTATCCCCCACGCTAAGTCCTTCTTCCTAATCTTCTTCTAAATCTGTTCCGTTGATAGAAGTTCCCCAACCTTAAAAAGAATTTTTTTTAACTTCTAGAGTTCTTAGTTTTCCATATATTTCATAGTCTGCATAACAGCTAAAAATATCCTTTGTCATCTATCTTTGACATCAAGTAACACTGCCACTGTCACCCAATGTGGAGTTTTATGGAATTCTAAATTTGTAAGAGATGAATACATTATTAAATTCAGTAATTCCCAAATTTTAGTGAATAAAACATCCATTGAGGGAGCTTGTTAAAAATTCAGATTCTGATAAGGCCCAGGAATTTGCCAAGTTTTGGCTGCCTTATAACTTAAATACAGCAAAATTCACTCCCTTGAGGTGTACAGCTTTGCAAATTTTGATAATTGTATGCAGCCATGAAATCTCCATCACAATCAAGATATGAAACAGTTGCATCACCCTACAAAGCTTTTCATGCCCCTTTACAATCCATCTCCTTTCCCTCCCCCGCTTATAACCCCCAGGCAATCACCTGTTTGATTTCCAGCCCCGTAATTTTGCTGTTTGGGGAATTTCATATAAATGTAATCTTGCAGTATACATACAGCCTTTTGTGTTTAACTTTTCTCCCTTAGTATGATGTTTTTGAGGTTCATCTGGAAAATTTGCAATTAAAATAGAAATTTTTGATGATTCTGCTCAGAGAGTTTCATAGCCGTATTTTGAAAAGCACTCTTCTGATCCAAACTTTTTATTTCATAGATAAGAAAGCTGAGGTGTAAAGAATGTAAGTTACTTACCTGAAGTGAAATATTACTGAGAAATATTTGAAACATGTGTCCCTGGAGAGAATTCCATGAATCATTTAATTTTCCTTTACGTCTCTGCGATGAGAGATTGAATCCTTCAGCAATCATATCCTTAAAACCAATGATATGAGATCTAGTGTGTGAATATATTTTGGATTTTCTTCTGGATTACAAAATATTATTGCCAGGGCTTTGCTTAAGTTCAGAAAAATTTACTGAGAGACAGAGTGTGATTTAGTAAGAAAACAGCTCTACAACCTTCTTGAAAATAGTACATTTGCTTTTGTACATGGTGAAATGTAATGAACAACACTCCTCAACTTGTACTTTCTAACTTCACTGATAGAAAAGATTTCTTTCTCACCTGCCTATCCCCATGCTTTGCAGTTGGAAACGGGTTGTGTCTTTGTGGAGGAGCCAGCATGGTGAGTGTTTTCCCCACCCTTTCTGGATCACAGGTCCCTTTGGGAATCTGATGAAGGCTCTGAAGCCTCTTAGGTGGAGGAGATGGAGGAACACAGGTAGGTCATGTGGCAGCTAAGCAGGAGGACCCAGGATCAGGGACACCATAGACAGGGGACAGTTGGGAAGGTCCATAGAGGACCAGCTATAGCTCCAGGAAGCACTCCACAAGCATGCGTCAAAGCTCTGTAAGGGCACTCCTGCTGACTGAGGCTTTTGATCTCGGGGAGCTCGGATCCACCCCATCAAAGCTAAGCCTAGGTCTAATTTACAGATGAGGAAACTGAATTTCTGGGATGACAAAGACCTGCCTGTAGCCAGTTCTTAGCTTAGTCCTGCAGCCAGTACCTAGCTCATGACTTTAACCCTTAACCCAAGCCTGCTGGACTTCATCACTATCCTGTGCTCTCTTCACTGTTTGATCTAAAACTGAATGTAAGAGAATGATATTGGTAGCACATCAGCTAGTGAGCATTATAGGCAGGGAAACATCTCAAGGTCCTCAGTATTTGATCACTTATTCACAGGACCATTTTAAAGGGCTTGTACGTGTCGTAATGACAGTTTATGAGGCCATTTCCCCTTTTTGTTGCTTCTCTAAAAACTGGAAGTGCTACCAATGCCATAAAAATACAATGAGTTAATCTTCCTCCAAAAGTAGTAAAAGAAAGGGGAAATGACCAGTGTATACCATTTAAAATAAGCAGACAATTCTAAAGATAATACCCTGATTTTCATTTACAACTTTCTTATGCTCATCTTCAGTACTCCAGAGTGGACATTTGTAATTTATTGATCCCAGATCAGAGCACCCAGTCCTTGTCCTGAAGAGACCTGTTATCTCCTATCACACCCTTTGGGGTTTGAGACCAGATGGATGACCTGGAACTGACTTCTGTAATCCTTCTTCAGAGCTCCAGAGAGCGAAAACATGTGAATGCCAAGAAAATAAACAGATGGAGTGTGTGAATTACTTTTATAATTAAATTACATATTGATATGTAGATGTGTACAGTCCAACAAAAATTTTAAAATTGGACAAATTTCTAAACAGTCAACACATAATCATTATATTTTTTAAGTTGTCAAAATAATCACATTCATCAATAATTATTGGTCTCTTTCTGCTGAATCTGCTTCTCAGTGGCATTGAGTATGTCTTTCCCTCTGCTTTGAATTCTCTTTCCTTCTTTCTTCATCTGCAAAACTCTCAGTTAATCTTCAAGACTCAGGTTCAAGATTCAGCTACTATGACTTCCCTAGCATGATGTACGTAACTTCATTAAAACACACAACTTATTGTAGTACAGTATTGGTTTTCCTGTTTGTCTCCCTATGGGATTATGAGGACTCTCCACTCATCCATGTTCCCACCACCTAGTGTGGTGCCCTGCATGCTGTTGATACTCAGCACTGCTAGACAATAGAATTAGTGAATGTTACCTTCTTGTCACTGGATCTACCAGCCTCAAGTTCAATTTCCTACATTCCCTGATAATTCTGGCATCATGCTTCACTTCCCTTCCTCATCTCTTACTATCATCCTGAGAAACTTCCATGTGGTTAATATCCAACATCCTTGATTTAAAGTCAGGGATTTTCATTCTGATTCTACTTTATGAATTCATCCCTATAATTCAAGAATGGCTCTTGTCAATTCACCAAAGTGAATTTTACTTCCAAAATAGTAAATTCCACTGTGCTGTTCCATAACCTAAATTTCATATCCTTTCAATCCCACTAAACCAGATTTCAAGTATGTTAGGACTTCCAGTCCATTCCTCTGACATTATTGAACTACTCTTGGACATGATTCCTTCTTCATCTTCTTCAAATTTTTATGAAGGGTCATTTCATTTCTCACTTGCAACATCATCTCCTATTACCTTCTACTAATCCTATCCAAGAAATCTCCACTCTAAACCCTACAATATAATTTCATCATTCTTATATCTGGACTACTTGATAATGCTGGAGAAAATAACCTAGTCTTTCAAATTATTGCCAATATGAATGTATGTAATCTAATGTGCATCAGTGCTGCTCGTTTTTAGAATGGGCAGTTGACTTTTGAAGTCTTCACTATTATTTTCTAGTTAACTTCTTGTTTCAGGCACCTCTTACACATCATGCCAGTACCTCTTGGCTTGCCCTCTGTCGTGGGTCCCCAGCTTTGCCCCAGCCACCACTGCAACCATCTGCTCTTAGTTTCACCCACCATCTTCTCATGGACTCAGTAGCTCACCTCCCACCCTGGGGCTTCCCTGGGAACCTGCTAGGCACTGAGGTGTTAGCAAACTAGTAGTGCGGGGGAGTGGACACTCTCTGGGACAAACCATTAACCAATGGAGATAGGAGCTGCTAGAAAAATGATTTCCTTTTCATTCTCACTCCCTTCCAGGATGGTCCTGCGATATTTCATACAGCCTTCTGCAGATGGACCTCTGATGTCACATAATCAGTTATACTTGATAGCAAACACAACTATCTCAGTAACGTGCCTTCTCATCCTTGTTCTTGGACTATTCTTGGACATGATTCCCTGTCTTGCTTCCCTTTTTTCTCTCTTCTGCTTTCTTGGAATTGTGGGAATTCCTCCTCTCTCACCCTCAAACACACATGATAAAGCACTAATTTTCTATTACTTCATTGTGTGTGTGTGTGTGAGGGTGGGTGAGGAGGAATTCTTAGCAATCCAGGTTAAGACACTTCCTGTGTTCCACTAACCTCACTGCAAAGAGACAACTTGCTTTCTATTTTATAAAGAGAACAGAGGTTACTAGATGTGAAAATATTCAACTCTCTTGCTCTACATATGTAAACTTACTGTTTCTGTGTTTGTCCCCAGTCTCAGAGAAGAGGTATCACTTCCTAGCATTTTGGTTGGTTTTATTTTGCTATTTTTTTTTTTGAGATGGAGTCTTGCTCTGTCGCCCAGGGTGGAGTGCAGTGGTATGATCTTGGCTCATGGCAAACTGCCTCCTGGGTTCAAGTGATTCTCCTGCCTCAGCCTCCTGAGTAACTGGGGTTGCAGGCGTGTGCCACCACACATGGCTAATTTTCACATTTTTAGTAGAGAAAGGGTTTCACCATATTGGCCAGGCTGGTCTCGAACACCTGGCCTCAAGTGATCTGCTTGCCTCAGCCTCCCAAAGTCCTAGGATTACGGGCATGAGCCACAGTGCCCGGCCTTTTTACTATGTTTTGGAGGCTATCCTCTCTCTTCCTTCAAAACCCATTCGTTATTAGTTCCTCTTTTCTTTAATTTCATTGTCTTCTTTATTATAGATCATGTCCCATAGGTTATAAATATACACATATTTCCTACATTAAAAAAGAAAAAACTCCTCTAAAACTATATTCTTCTTCTACTATGACCTTCTCTTTATAGCCAAGTTTCTTAAGGGCCATTAACAGTCTTTCCTCCCACCCCCCTTATCATCCTTGAACACACTCTTCACTTCATGTAATGTGGTTTCTGACCGACCTCGCTGCTTACATTAAGCTGTTCAAGCAAAGGCTGCCAATCATTTCATCATTACCAACTCTTAATAGGCAGTTTTCATATTGATGTCCATAAGCTTCTTGACACTTTGCAACACCATTTTCTTCCTTAAACTCTTTCCTCCTTTGATTCCAGGATTCTACTCTCTGCAGAATCCCAAACCCAATTTCTGACTGGTCTTTTTCAAAAGATTCCTTTGCTGTTATATTTTCCTCTGTCCACCTTTAAAGAAGAGATTTTTGAAAGATTTCCATCACCCTACCCTCACTGTCCCTCACTCTACATACTTTTCCTATGGGATCACATCCACTGCCATGATTCTAACTAATGCCAATATTTTGATGGTTCTCAAATCTCTCTCTAACCTAAATGTGTATCACAATACAAGGCTTACATGTCCATCAGCATAATGGGTATCTTCATCTGGCAAATCAACGAAATATGGCAAAAGTCTCATGAATGTATTATGTTCCTTCTAACCACAATGCTCTTCTCTGCCATTTTCACCAGTCAAACTCCTTTTCTCCCTTCAAAATTCACTTTAATGTCATCTTATTTAAACCTTTTCTGATTCCTTGGGTGGAGTTGATCCCTCTGTCTTTTCAGCCCCACTCTGGTGAACTTCTTCTAACAAACTTTCAGTGGTAACTTACTTATGCCTAGCCCCAGAGAAAGAGAGATGAACTCATCCTAGAGCAGCTCACACACCAGCCAAGAAGTCACTTCAGAGGTACGAGTTCCTCTAGTAAAGGAGATATGCAAGAGATTCTGGGAAGACCATCATTTTCAAAGTTGTTTGTGGACCCTGGGGAAGTCCTTAAGACCCTCTTAAGGGGTCTGCAAACACAAAAGTACTTTCATAATAGTATCAAAACATTATTAATCTTTTCACCATATTGAAATTTGCACTGATGATGCAAAAGCAATACTGGATAAAACTTGGCACCTTATAATCAATCAACGCAATTATCAATCAAGCTAGTAGTAGTTGGATTTTTCATTGCCACCCACTCACTGTAAAAGAAAATGTCAGTTTCACTTTAGAGTATCCTTGGTGAAACAGTAAACATTATTAATTTTAAATCTCAAGCCTTGAGTGTAAGTCTTTTTAATAGTCTGTAGCAAAATGAGAAGTACACATCAAATAATTCTGCTGCATATTGAAGTATGGTGGTTATCTTGAGGAAAGGCACTTGTTTGAGTTGTAACCTAGACCAGCCACTTTTTGTGAAATGCCATTTTTACTTGAATGACTGATAAGCAAACAATGGTTATTTAGACTTAAATATTTGGCAAATATTTCTTAAGAATGAGTGAGAGAGCCTGTCCCTTCAAGGAAAACAACTCACTGTGTTTGTCGCCAGTGATAAAATTCAAGCTTTCAAGTGGAAATTGGCATTTTAGAAACACATCCACCTGTAAGTTTGACAGAGTCCTAATGTTTAAGGCCTTTTAAAACGAAATTGATGGTGATGTTAACAATGTGATGTTTTTTTCTATTATATAATGAAATGTGCCAACATTTGGAAGATATGCATAACTCAGTGAACCAATACTTTCCAAGTGACCAATGCATGATGTTAGAAAATCATGCACGGGTAACAGATCCTTTCAGAGTGGAAGATGATCCAGTTAAAATTCATCAAAATGGTTTCAGATTTGACATTGCAACTAACCTGTAAAAAAATTACAACTTGGCAAGTTTTGATGCAGTATTAAAGAAGAATATCCACAGTTATCTGAAAAGGCTATTAAAATTCTACTCCCTTTTCCAAATACATATCTGTGAGAGGCCAGATTTTCTTCATATACTTCAACTAAAACAACATATCTACAGCAGATTGACTGTAGCAGCAGATATGAGAAACCAGCTGTCTTCTTTTATGCCAGACATTAAAAAGATTTGCAAAAGTACAAAACAACTCCACTCTTCTCATTAACTTTTTTGTTTTAGAAAATACAATTTGTTAGAAAGTAATTTTCAAAAGAAAAGTAAAATCATGACTCTCATACAGATGTAAAAATAAACATGGGCTAATGACTTTATTCAACTCATTAATCAATGAGGGAATTAGGCAGATATTACAAACAGTTCAAATAAGAAGCTAAACTGAAATTTATATGGAGTAAAGGTAGATTAAAATAAATTGTAAATAGGGGCAAAGAGGGTTTTCCAATCTAGTCTTTATCAGACAAAATTTGCATGTCTAATAGCCAGCTACAGTTTACAGTTATAAAACAGCTCAAAGAAAAGAAAGACTAGACATTGGTAACCCAGAAGGAATGTCCTCTAAACAATGCATAGTTTCCCATTGAAACAAATATTTTCAAAAAGTTAATTTTTATTACAAAATGATAGTTATGTTAATGGGAAATGGGTTTGTTACTATTTTATAATAACACAATAAATCAATATTTTAAACCTTTTTTACTTTTAATTTCTAATATGGTAAATATAAATAGATATATTCCAGACAAACAAGAACTCTTTGGAAGCCTCCATAATTTTTAAGACTATAAAGGGGGTTCTGTGACTAAAAAGTTTGAGAACCACTGTAGTAAGTATTCAACAGATTAATTAATCCTCACCAAGCCTGCTCACTGGATGAGAAATTCCTCCATGATCAATCGATCCTGTAGTCTGATCTAACTTCTCCCAGAGAGAACTGGGTGTGTTGCTTTCCCCTGGCCTTCTTCCAGGATACTGCTGTACTGAGTCCATGTGGATCACACAAGGCTAACCAAATCCATCATTCCTTACATCTCTATTAAGGCCACTAGCTAAAAAGTATGCTGCTCTGGCCATCTCTCTTTCAACTCAACTTCTCTCTAATTTCCTTATCCTAATTTATTCCATTGCATGCTTGATCTGTGACAAATGGCTTTTTCCACTTCCTTGACCTCATCATTAAATGTTTCTTTCATCTCCTGTCTATGCTGAAACCTGGTCCTCCCCTGAGTGCTGCTTTCCTGGAAGCTTTATTGAGAGGCAGCTGACCAATCTCCACGTACTTTAGAGTCAGGGGGTAGAGTGGGCACACTCCCGTTCCCTGGTATTGCTTTTAGACCATTACCCCACCTGCTTACGCCCCAAAACAAGTTCCTTTGAAGTTCATATCATCCATCTTCTACCCTCATTGTCATCAACCACCTACCCTTCATTCGTTCCAAGCTACTGAAGATTAGGCATCAGTCATTCTGATCTGTTATCATTCTGGATGAAAAACACTTTCCAATTTTGACCTTTTGAACTCTAATGACTTCCACTCCATTTCTGTGATCATACCCTAGAATTTGTGCTCCTGGGGAACTACTTCCCTCCATCCAAACCTCACGCTTCCTAGTCACAGTTCCATATTCGTCCCCTTCTCTCTGTTATTCTCACCACATCTGCTCTTCAGTCTCTTTGTGATCTCCACTCGCTTGTTCCTTCAAGTGTCATCTCCACATCATCTTCTTTCCCATCATGACCCTGAGGCAAATTTTTGGGGTCACTCTCTTGCTAAAGTCTTCAAGTCCTCAGTGTCTTTTTTTCCCAGCTCCTCTGCCTGGTGAACTCCTAACTTTACAATTCTCTGAATGTTTGCCACTTCTGCTCCCACTTCCATGGCTCTGAGGGCTACACATGGAGCTTGACACTATACAAAATGTTTTCTAATTTTATACAGTCTTTAAAGATGCCTTCAATCATACTATGCCTGTGTCAACTCTCCAATTTTTCCCATATCCTTCAACCCTCACCTCTACTATCTCCTTCTCCTGTGTATCAAGAATGCATCTGCCTCCTTCTTTAGTGGGATGAAAGGATGCTATCATGTGAGCTCTCTCAATTTTCTGACACTCCTACCCACAACTACATCACATGTAACTTTGCTTCCTCCTGTCTGGTCACAGTGGGAGGGTCAGAAAGTGTCCTTTCTAAGGCTGATCCCTATCCCCGGAAGATGGATCAAACAGGAGCTGTGCTGTGGGTTGAAGGAGGGAGCCAACCTGCAGTGACCCCACAGGGAAGGGCTCAGGGAATCAATACCTCAATCTCACTTATCTTCTGTCTTCCTTTGTCTCTTGCTGATGCTTCCCATTAACTGAGCCCAATTGGAAGCCAGAGGGCAAGGGAGCCCACTGATACAATTCATAACAGTTTCATCTCCCAGGATACAAGGCAGAGAGAAGAAGGCAGAGAGTGCATCTAGAAAGCAGAAAGAAAACATCCACCACATCCTCCTTCTTTAGAGCTAGGGACTGAGAATGATCTTCTACATTTTGCAAGCTAATGAGATTTGATCCCCAAGGCACAGAGTTCTAACTAATTAATGTGTAGGGGGCAGGAGGAGTGGAGAGGAGTGGACTAGGCCTCTTCTTCCGTATTCTTCTGTACATCAGGTCCTCTAGCTGGAAAAGAACTCAGCACTCTCTCAACAGTGCCTGTAAAAGGAAAGGCAACACCCTTACACCTTCTCTCTTGCTGTCTGCCCAAATAGCACCTGTTATCAGGCATTCTCTAGCTTGGTCACATGGCCTTTTTTCCTTAATCAATTGTCAGTCTATAAAGACACTTCTTCTCCCCTACATGAAGCAGTATTCTAAAGGACTTCACCTGTGATTCAGAAGGCTCAAGCAGCACTTAGGTCAATGATTAGTACTTACCTCAGAGCCTTTTGTGAGACCAGCTGCCTCCAGTCACCTATGGTGGAGAGCTGGATTGAAGGTCTGAGGAGCTCAGAGAGGTAAGATGAAGACATTTGTCATTTTTTTTTCTATATAGCCAACTTAACTTCTCCTAGCTCTTCTTTGCTTGAGATAACATCTGGAGGCCCCATTTATTGCAGCAAGAGATTGCTTTTGATTTTAAACATGTATACTTCTGTCATAAAAATTAATTTATATCCAATCACTGTGTGTAAGAAATTAAACAAAAAGGTTTTCCAAGCCCTAAGCCTTGTTACAAATAAATATGTGCAAGCTAGGTTGACACTGTGTTTTAAAAATACTGTAATACGATGGGGAAGATGAATATCTGCTCTTCTGATTTAGATTTGAGGTTAGATCGGGTATGTTTGTACCAGAGTCAGCCAGTCTGAATTGCAAGCAAATCACCTTCGGTGAGATCAGATCATAACGGAAAATGAAGTCACCCAGCCAAAAAGAGTTGAGTCTTACAAAAGACTTCCTTGGTGCTCCTGTTTATATAGGCAAATTACTCACTGTGATGGCTCCTAGGCCACTGCACTGGCTGAGCCTTTGCCTGCTATTTTTGAGCCAACCATTTATCACAACTAGAGCTTTATTAAAAAGTACTCTCCACTCTTCAGAGAACAAATATGAAAATGTGGTTTCTGAAGATATCAGAACCATTTATTTTTGAAGTTGGCAGCACTGGCTGTGAACACACTGCTCTGGGATGGATCTCTTCTGTTGAAAGAGGAGTTATATATTTTTCAGAACAAGCTTTTCTCCTTTCATCCACATGAAACAATGAAATATTAAATATGGTATGAAAAAATTAAAGCATTTTGAAAGGGAAAGAAAAAGAAAATCACACCCCTGATTGGAAACCACTGCGGGAAGCCTCTCTGATAATAGGGAAGAGAAAGTTGTTGGGACCAGGGCTCTCTAATCATTCCATCTGTCCCCTGGCTTCCCTGCAGAGCTGGCTGCCCTGCTCTGGGTGACAGCACTAGCTGCTTCCCCTGTAAGGGTGATGGGAGCAGATGGAGCATCTTTGGGGTGGCTGTCCAAGTCTGACCAGGACTTTCTCATAGAACGCTAGGAAAACTAGTTGAGAAGTGAGAAAATCAGCCAGTTAGCTAGTTAGCTGCTTGGGATGAGAGACGGGTTGGAATTAGAAAGACTTGAAATCGCCTCTGAAATCCATTTTCCTTCTGTTTTCTTTTCTTTTCTTTTTTTCTTTTTTTTTTTTTTTTTTTTGAGACAGGGTCTCACTCTGTCACTCAGGCTCACTGCAGCCTTGACCTCCCAGTCTCAAGTGATCCTCCCACCTCAGCCTTTTGAGTACCTGGGACTACAGGCACATGCCACCGTGCTGCCCGGCTAATTTTTGTATTTTTTTTGTAGAAACAGGGTTTTACCATGTTGCCCAGGCTGGTGAAATCCTTTTTCACATCAAGCAAAATAGAGTTAATAATATCTACTATCCACCTGGAGGGACTGATTTGGATCATTAATGTAAAGCACCTGGCATAGAGCAGGTATTTGTCATAATGACGACAGCAAGCACTTAAGTTGTTCTTGTTATACCAGACACTTTCCCAAGCACTTTGTCTTAACTCATTTAATCCAAAAATGACCATATGACAAAGGCATAATTTTTATCCCCACTAAAGACAAAGAAACTGAGACACAGCAAGGTTAAGTAACTGCTTCAAAACACATACCCTGCTTATAAGAAGGTAATGCAGATGTAGGATTTATACCCAGGTAGTCTGGCCCTGGATCTCAATCTCTAGTCCTGTGCTCTTTAGGATAGAATAGTCTATATGAATTAATGTTAATTATCCCCTACTCATAGTAACAGTCTGGTTTTCTTTCCACAGACATGAAAGGTGGTTTGTCATTGTTCTTTTGGCTTAAACATGACCCTGACGAAATTGAGGGTGCATCTCAGGACTCTGAATTTCTCTTTTGCAGTAAATGACCTTCCTTTTTACTGTCTAAAAAATCCAACACCCTTCTCCTTGATGATATTTAGTTTAAGTCCATCGTATTCCAGCAGAAACCAGCTGACTTCACTGCATTGATGAACAATGGAGAAACAGCTGGTTAATTAGATATTTCTGATTTTCAGTGGATTGTCAGGGATTTGTGAAGACATTTTATCTTATTTTTTTCTTTCTATAACTTTTGGGGTACAAATGGTTTTTGGATACATTAGTGAATTGTCAAGTGGGGAAGTCTGAGATTTTAGTGCACTCATCACCCAAGTAGCAGACATTGTACCCAATATATACTTTTTTATCTCTCACTTTCATCCCACCCTCTTCATCCTTCTGAGTCTCCAGTGTCCATTATACCACTCTATATGCTTTTGTGTACCCATAGCTTAGCTCCCACTTATAACTGAGAAAGTATGGTATTTGGCTTTCCATTTTGAGTTACTTGTGAAGACATTTTAAAGGTAGAGAATCACAGACCATCAAGATGCAATCTAAGATGTCATCAATAAACCTAGGTATCAGTTGCCAAGTAGCAGCCCCTACTGATTGAGGGGCAAAAATTGAATTATTGTCACCTTTGTAGGTGGAAACAAAAAGACACCATGTTAAATCAGGATCTTGGCTTGTCCTGATTTATATATTAGTCTTGCTCTACATAAATTGATGTGTTTTTTAAACATGACTTGGCAGTCATCATCCAACATTTAGGAGTGATCGAATGAACTGAAGGCTGCATGAAAAATTAATTTTGTAAATATATTAGAATTTAAATTTCTAAAGAAATGTACTATTTTGTAAAATCACTTTGTGAAATGGGGGCTTCTCCTGTGAAGAAATATGTTCTAGTTAGCGTAACTATTCAATACATTCAAATTTGGTATGTGAGGTTTCTTAAAAAGAATTACATGTATATCAATCAGCAACAGTGAAACGGCATAATCCTGAGTCTTTGAAGGGCACTGGAGTTTGAGAATGATGTTCTCATGGGTGTCACATTTCATTTTTCCTGCGGTATCTACCTGTGAGTTGTTGGCAGTAATCCAACTGTAATCAGACACCATCTGTGATTGCTTTTCTGTTTAACATCAAAACTTCACTGAATATAAATACCTCCCTTCCTTCCATCACCACCCCTCTCTCTGCTTCCTCCTCCCTAACAGACTTCGGATTTGTTCTCTAGTCAGTTTATTCCTACCCAAGAGGTCCACAGGTTACAATGTAAGAGCAAGTTGCGTTTTCCAAGTGTCTGTGTGTAAATTGTACGATCGTGTATCAGTAGATATATGAGTATGACCTAAAGCATAAAGAAGTTAAATTCTTGAGCTAGGTTTATCATGAGTTCAGTCTGATAGCAATTTTATGTTTCTAGTTACAGCTGATATTGCAAACATAAGAAAAGCACTAAAACCACACAGGCACAATGGCATTTGAGGGGTTGTGTGGATGATGTCTACCCACATATGTTTCAGTTGTCAGAAGATTCTGTCTTTATCTATGGTGATGATTCGATATTACATGCTCTTGTAGTGCCATATTTACATAAAGAAAGGAATGAAATGAGATGGGGTTGGGACTTTAGCAGAATGGCTCCAGAGCAGGAAAGATTGGAATTGATCTACTGGACTTGAAACTCATTTTAGCTCTAAGAATATATGCATTTTGCATTCGACCCTTAAAAAGATATGTTTAAATTATTCCCCATGACAAATATATTTCCTTTTCTTTAAATGTTTAATCAGCACAAGTTTCCTGTTCAGCTAAGGTATAGCAGCACATCTGTGTAAAGGGAAAAAATATTGCTGGTGTAGAGAGGTGATTCCTTTGCCCTTCTCCTGGCAGGAAGGCAGTCAATATGCAGGTTACTATATTTAGTCACCTCTATTTTCTGAGCACAAGCTGAGTTAAATCAGAGAGTTCACTCAAAACAGAATAAAATAGAAAGCAAGAACTGAGAGGATTAGAGGAATCCTTAACTATAAAGGAAGTATACAGTCTTTGTGGGTGTGGGGAGAACCAGTAGAAAAACAGAGGGAGCTGCCATGCCAGGAAAAGGGGTTTTTGAGGGACCCAGGCAGTAGAGAAGGGGCTTGGATTAGGGCACATGAGGGAAAAAGTATACATAGATGTGGAAATGACCAGCAGATACATGGGAAGATGGAAAGATAGAGGAAGTAGAGATTTGGGAATCATCTGCAATAAAGAGACAGTGCTGCATTAATGAGTTCTATTGGGTAATATCCTAAATCATATTTAGCATCTTATCAGGTTGTTCTAAATAGATTAATTTACCTTTGAAAAAAGGAATAACGTACATTTCAGTTCAAGATAGACTGAACACAATCAACTCCTTCCCTCTAGAGGATATATTAAAATGATAATACAAGCTTTTTCAAGAGTGGAAAGAGAATAAGAAGGGAAACTGCAGTAGATGAGAGACTGCAAGAGATTTCCAGAAGATGAAATGTGGTTGGAGGCATGGAGACAAATGAAATAGAGCGGAAAAGCACAGGATGTGCTGTGAGGGTCTGGAATGGGGAAAGGCATCCACCTGCCTGGAGGGGCTAAGTGTGTGGAACCACAGGAATGATAAAAGAGGACTGAACAGAAGAGGTCAAAAGGGGAGCATGGAATAAAGGGCTGTGCCCAGCAGCCTTGTTTGCTCCCTGACCCAGGCAGAGTTTCATGCAGCCTGGCCATTGATTCCAGGATCCTTCTCTAGAGATAATCCAGGAAAAGCCATGCCCTCTTTTGAAACTCTTTTGACCCCTCAGAAGAAGACATTCCTCTTTCTGGCATTCAACCTATAGCCCACTGCCCATAAAGCTGATCTTTCAAACTGTCTGACCCTCCTACACAGATCTTACAGGTTGACTCCCCTGCCAAGGAGGGGACTACTGAGGAAAAATAAAAATTTCCTACTGAACAGAGGAGGAAGCAGACACACTCATCACTAATATGACTCATCCAGGGAGGATCAAACACATGTGGAAAACAAATACTATGAAAGAAAAGGACCACAGTTATCAGAGAAAATAGACATAATTCAGAAAATAGAAGAGGACTTTTAAAGAAATCCTTTGGTACCCTCAACAAGATTCGAGAAGCTATTATATCCATAAAATAGAATCAAATCGCTGTGAAATAGGGACAAAGAACCAGTTGGCATGCCTAAAAATTGTATGAAGTATAATTGCTATAAATGCAGAGGATCTACAAAACATAGAGAAAAATAGGAAGAGAACATAAAAATGAAATAAATATGAAGCATAGAGGCTTAATTCAAAAATATTTATCTTCTGACTAGGAAGGGTTTAAGAACAACAGGTCTTAATGAAAAGAAGTGTGTGCTAGGGCTGGCATAACAAAGTACCACAATCTGAGTGGCTTAAACAGTAAAAATTTATCGTCTCACCGTTCTGGGGTTGCTGGAAGTCAGAGGTCAAGATGTCAGTAGGGTTGGCTCCTTCTGAGGGCTCTGAGGAAGAATTGCTCTATGCCTCTCTCCTGGCTCTGTTGGCTTTCCAGCAGTCTTTGGTGTTCCTTGGCTTGCAGAAGTATCACCCCATCTCTGCCTTCATCTTCTTGTGGCATTCTTTGTGTTTACATGTCTGTTTTATGTCAACATTTCCTTCTTTAGTAAGAACAAAATGTTTTTGGATTAGGACCCACCTTAATAATCCATCTTAACTTGATCATCTGCAAAGACTCTATTTCCAAATAAGGTCACATTTGCAGGTACTGGGAGTTAAAACTTCAACATGTTTTTTTGGAGGTGGGTACAATTCAATCCATAGCAGGATGGAAATTTCTTTAAAAGCTAATAGAAAAAATATCCCAAAGATAAAGATAGGCACAAGGATTTGAAATGCAAAGAGATACTGAGGGGCAAATGAGACGAATAAAAAAGATTCCTGTCTAGAGACATCTTCATGGAATTTAAAAACAAGAAGTTTAAAGAATATTCCTCAAGCTTCTAGAAAGGATAAACTGGTTGACTTCAAAGAATGAGAATCAGACCATCACGAGACTTCTTAGCAACATCAATGGATGTTAGAAGAAAAGTTTTCAAAGTACTGAAGGAAAAGCATCTTCAAGCTAGAATCCTTTTGCTTTTTTTTTTTTTAAATGCGGTATAACACATGGGGTAAGATGCATAAATCTTAATTGTACAGCCTGATGAATATATATCTGTGTCACCACCAACCTCATCAAGATATAGACTATTTCCATCATTCCAGAAACTTCCCTAATGCTCCTTTCCAGTCAATACCCATCACTCCCCACCATTCAGGTAATCAAAATTCTGACTTTTATCACAGTTGATTTTCTTTTTCTGTTTCTGAAATTTAATTTAATCATATAGTATATACTTCTTATGTCTTGATTTCAAAATTTACTATAATAGTTTTAATGTTTATCCAAGTTGTTAAATGGATCAGAAGTTCATTCATTTACTGAGCAGTATTCTATTACATTATTATAGCATGATTCATTTATTCATTTTCCTATTGATGGACATTGGGTTGTTTCTACTTTGAAGCTGTTAGGAAATAATTAAATAGTCCTCAATAACAATGTTGCACAAGATTTTGAGAAATACTAATTATATCTTTTGATTATATACCTAGAATTGGAATTGCTGTGTCATAGGTAGGTTTGTGTTAAAATGTATGAGAAATTGCTACATGGTATTTCAGTTTCACCCTTTCATCAGCAATGTATTCTGAAGTTTCACGGGATCTACATTTTCTCCAGTATCTGGTATTATCAATCTTTTCTTTTAAAAATCTTTTATTTTAGCTTCGGGGGGTACATATGAAGGTTTGTTATACAGATAAAATTGTGTCATGGGAGTTTGGTGTACAGATTATTTCATCATCCAGGTACTAAGCATAGTATCTAATAGTAATTTGTTCTGATTCTCTCCCTCCTCCCACCCTTTACCCTCAAATAGGGACCTCCCACCTGGGAGGGAGGCTGTACCCTGCAAAGCCACAGGGGCAGAGCTGCCCAAGACCATGGGAACCCAGCTCTTGCATCAGCATGACCTGGATGTGAGATCTGGAGTCAAAGCAGATAATTTTAGAGCTTTAAAATTTGACTGTCCCACTGGATTTCAGACTTGCATGGGCCCTGTAACCCCTTTGTTTTGGCCAATGTCTCTCATTTGGAATGGCTGTATATACATAACACCTGTACCCTGATTGTATCTAGGAAGTAGCTAGCTTGCTTTTGATTTGACAGGCTCATAGGCGGAAGGGACTTGCTTGTCTCAGATAAGACTTTGGACTATGGACTTTTGGGTTAATTCTGAAATGAGTTAAAACTTTGGGGGACTGTTGGGAAGGCATGATTGGTTTTGAAATGTGAGGACGTGAGATTTGGAGGGGCCAGGGGAGGAATGATACGGTTTGGCCATGTCCCCACCCAAATCTCAACTCAAATTGTATCTCCCAGAATTCCCATGTGTTGTGGGAGGGACCCAGGGGGAGGTAATTGAATCATGGGGGTCGGTCTTTCTCGTGCTATTCTTATGATAGTGAATAAGTCTCACGTGATCTGATGGGTTTATCATGGGTTTCAGTTGCTTCCTCCTGATTTTCTCTTGTCACCGCCATGTAAGAAGTGCCTTTCACCTCCTGCCATGATTCAGAGGCCTCCTCAGCTATGTGGAACTGTAAGTCCAATTAAACCTCTTTTTCTTCCCAGTCTCAGGTATGTCTTTATCAGCAGCATGAAAACAGACTAATACACTACTGATTATTGTATGTTGATTTTATATCCTGAAACTCTGTTGAAGTTGTTTATTAGCTCAAGGAGATTTTGGGCAGAGACTACTGGGTTTTCTAGATATAGAATCGTGGTCATCAGCAAACAGGGATATTTTGACTTCCCATCTTCCTTTTTGCATGCCTTTTATTTTTTTCTCTTGCCTCATTGCTTTGGCCAGGACTTCCAATACTATGTTGGATAGGAGTGGTGAGAGAAGGCATCCTTGGCTTGTGCCAGTTTTCAAGGGGAATGCTTCCAGCTTTTGCCCATTCAGTTGATGTTGGCTGTGGATTTGTCATACCTGGCTCTTCTTATTTTGAAGTATATTCCTTCAATGCCAGCTTACTGAGGGTTTTTTTTTTTAACATAAGCTATGTTGACTTTTATTGAAAGCATTTTCTGTATCTATTGAGATAATCATGTGTTTTTTGTCCTTAATACTGTTTATATGATGAATCACATTTATTGATTTGTATATGTTGAACTAACCTTGCATCCCAGAGAAAAAGCTTTATTGATCATGGTGAATTAGCTTTTTGATGTGCTGCTGGATTTGTTTTGCTAGTATTTTGTTGATGGTTTTTGTATCAGTGTTCATCAAGGATATTGGCCTTAATTTTCCTCTTTTGTTATGTCTCTGCCAGGTTTTGATATCAGGATGATGTCAGCCTCATACAATGAGTTAGGGAGGAGCCATTCCCCCTCAATTTTTGGAAAAGTTTCAGTAGGAATGGTACCAGCTCTTCTTTGTACATCTGGTAGAATTTGGCTGTGAATCCATCTGGTCCTAGGCTTTTTTTTTTATTGGTAGGCTATTTATTACTGATTCAATTTTGAAGCTCATTATAGGTCTACTCAGGGATTCAATTTCTTCCTGGCTCAGTCTTGGGAGATGTGTGTGCCCAGGAATTTATCCATTTCTTCTGGATTTTCTAGTTTGTATGTACAGAGGTATTCATAGTATTTTCTGATGGTTGTTTGTATTTCTGTGGGGTCAGTGGGAACATCCCCTTTGTCATTTCTAATTGTGATTATTTTCATCTCTCTCCTTTATTAGTCTAGCCAGTGGTCTGTTTTATTATTTTTTTTCAAAGAACCAATTCCTAAATTTGTTGATCTTTTGTCTAGTTTTTTGAGTCTCAGTCTCCTTCAGTTCAGCTCTGAGTTTGGTTATTTCTTGTCTTCTGCCACCTTTGGGGTTACTTTTCTTTTGCTTCTCTAGTTCTTTTAGTTGTAATGTTAGGCTGCTAAATTGAGATCTTTTAAAATTTTTGATGTGGGCATTTAGTGCTATAAATTTCCCTCTTAACACTGCCTTAGGTGTGTCCCAAAGATTCTGGTATGTTATGTCTTTGTTCTTGTTAGTATCAAAGAACTTCTTGATTTCTGCCTTAATTTCATTGTTTACCCAAAAGTCATTCTGAAGCAGATTATTTAATTTCCATGTAATCACATGGTTTTGAGCAATTTTTTAGTCATGATTTCTATTTTTATTGCACTGTGGTAGAAGAGTGTGTTTGGTATGACTTCAGGTTTTTTGAATTTGCTGAGGATTGTTTTATTCTGATTGTATGCTCAATTTTAGAGTGTGTGCCATGTGGTGATAAGAATAATGTATATTCTGTTGCTTTGGGATGGATAATTTTGTAGATGTCTATGAGGTCCATTTGATCCACTGCTGAGTTCAAGTCTAAAATATCTTTGTTAATTTGCTGCCTTGATGGTCTAATACTGTCAGTGGGGTGTTGAAGTCTCCCACTATTATTGTGTGGGAATCTAAGTTTCTTCATAGATCTCTAAGAACTTGTTTTATGAACCTGGGTGCTCATGTGTTAGGTGCATATATATTTAGAATAGTTAGGTCTTCTTGTTGAATTGAACCCTTTACTATTATGTAATGCCCTTTTTTGTCTTTTTTTGATACTTGTTGGCTTAAAGTCTGTTTTATCTGAAGTTAGGACTGCAACCTCTGTTTTTTTCTCTTTTCTGTTTGCTTGGTAGATTTTTCTCCATTTCTTTATTTTGAGCCTATTGATGTCACTGCATATGAGATGGGTCGCTTGAACACAGCATGCCAATGGGTCTTGCTTCTTTATCCACTTTTCCACTCTGGGCCTTTTAATTGGAGCATTTAGCTCATTTATATTCAAGGTTAGTTTTATTATGTGTGGATCTGATCCTATCATCATGTTGTTAGCTGGTTATTATGCACACTTATTTGTGTGGTTGCTTTACAGTGTCACTGGTCTGTGTATTTAAATGTTTTCTATAGTGGGTGGTAATGGTTTTTCCTTTCCATATTTAGTGCTTCCTTCAGGAGCTCTTGTTAGGCATGTCTGATGGTAATGAATTCCCTCAGCATTTGCTTGTCTTTCTTTTTAACTTATGAAACTTAGTTTGGCTGGATATGAAATTCTTGGTTGGAGTAAGTTTTTCTTTCAGAATGTTGAATGTAGGCCCCCAATCTCTTCTGGCTTATAGGGTTTCTGCTGAGAGGTCTGCTGTTCATCTGATAGGCTTCCCTTTGTAGGTGACTTGACTTTTCTCTCTAGCTGCCTTTAACATTTTTCTTTCATTTTGACCTTGGAGGGTCTGATGATTATGTGTCCTGGGGGTGGTCTTCTTGTGTAATATCTTGCAGGGGTTCTTTGCATATTCTGAATTTGAATCTTGGTCTCTCTAGGGAGGTTCAGGAACTTTTCATTAACAATATTCTGAAATATGTTTTTCAAGTTGCTTGCTTTCTCCCTTTTTCAGGGATGCTAATGAGCATAGATTTGGTCTCTTTACATAATCCCATATTTCTTAGAGATTTGTTCATTCCTTTTCATTCTTTTTTGTGTGTGTGTTTTTGTGGCTGTCTTGTTTCAGAGAGCCAGTCTTCAAACACTGAGAGTCTTTTCTTAGCTTGGTCTATTCTGCTGTCAATACTTCGGATTGCATTATGAAATTCTTGTAGTGTGTTTTTCTGCCCTCTCATGTCAGTTTGGTTCTTTTCTATACTGGTTATTTTGTCTATTAGCTCTTGTATCATTTTATTATGATTCTTGGATTCCTCGAAATGGATTTTGCTGTTCTCCTGAATCTTGATGATTTTCGTTCCTATTCATATTCTGAATTTGATTTCTGTCATTTCAGCCATCTCAGCCTCGTTAAGAACCTTTGCTGGAGAATGAGTGCATTCATTTGAAGGAAAGAAGACACTCTGGCCTTTTGAGTTGCCAGAGTTTTGTGCTGGTTCTTTTTCATCTCTGTGTGTGGGTGTTCCTTTAACTGTGGTGTAAATTGAGTACAGTCAGTAGATTCCTTTTCTGGATATTTTCAGAAGGCCAGAGGTTTGTGCAGGGTTTTTATTTGTATTTGACTTCTTGTCTTTGGTTTCACAGGCTGGTATGTTAGCAAACTATTTTTGGAGTTGAAGTTTTGGGGTGTGTTCCAGTAGGTGGCACTTAAGCATAATGGTCAGGAGATGGGCTCTGTCTCAGTTGTGTTGCTCCTCTGTATTTTCTCACAGTTGCAGCCATGCTCCCTCTCAATGCTCTGAAAGTGTGGGCTCCTCTCCCACTTGAGGGCTGGCTGCAGATCATGGCTTGGCCCTCCTGGGCTGCCCATCACAGCTCTGGAGTGACCTCAGGGTTTATGTTCCCTCCCCAGTCTGGAGGCAACAGAGGAAGGGACCTTAGCAATGGTATTGCCAAGGGTCTTTCACTTGTCTCCTGGAGCTCCATCCCAGAGAGATGCAGAGCTGCAATCAATCAGTGTGATTTGCCCAGGATGGGGGTGCTGCACTGTGGGCCAAAGGCAGGAGGGGGAATGAGGGAGAGGCCTACCTGGTGATGAGCATGGGGAGTGGGTGGGAACTGTGGAAGACAAAGTGGCCTCCTCTCCTTAGGGCAACTGTGGCTTGCTGGAAGTATGGATAAGGCACCTAGAGACTTTACTCCTTCCCAGTCCAAGGGCAGCAGGGGCAGTGGTAGAGGGACTTTTGGTTGCCCCTGGGAGCTCCACCTCTGATAAACGTGGAGCCACTGCTACTGGGGGTGTTCAACCAGAGGATGGGGTAGCTGCACTGCTGGCCTGAGCTGGGTGCTCTACTTGTTGGGAAGCTGGGAGTCGAGGGCTTACAGAGAGGAGAGGCTGGTCTCCTCACTGTATGGTGATAGTGGCATGCTGTAAGCTTGAGTATAGCCCTTGGGCTGTTTGTTTCTTCCCCAGACTGAGGGCAGCAGGGGCAGAACTGCTGCTGTGGCAGTGGCAGAGGGGATGTTGGTTGCCTCTGGGAGCCTCTCCCCAGGAACACTCAGTGCCACTACCAGTGTGTATGCTCAGCCATGGGTGGGGCAGCTATTCTGGGGTGAAGTAAGAAGATGCCCAGTGAAAAGTGGGAGCTGGGGATACCCAGGGAAGAGGAATTGGATTCCCTCTCCATATGGTGGCTGTGGTGTGCCAGATGTGCCAGTGTAGCAACTAGACCCTTTGTTCTTTGCCCAGTCCCAGGGCAGTTAGGGCGGTACCACCGTGGCTGCACTGGCAAAGGGGTTGCGGGTTGACTTTGGTATTTCCTCCTTAGAGGAATGCAGAGCTGCTTCTGATTGAAATGTTCAGGCCAGGGCAGGGTGGTTTTGCTGAGGCAGGTAGAGACGGCAGTCAGGTGGCCCGCCCAGCGAGAAAAAGAGAGGACAGGGACCTGCATGGGGAATAGTCTAGCCGCTTTTCTGTGAGGTGGCTGCACTGTGATGGGGATCCACTCCAGCTCCTATTTCCTGCAGTCTCCAGAGCCTGGAGGCAGCAAAGGCGAGGGTTGCAAGACAGCAAAGATGGCAGCCCACCCCTCCCTCTGGGAACCTCTGTTCCAGGAAGTTACAGAAGTGCTACCAGCCCAATAGCCCCAGCGGAGGCTGGCTGGAGTCCCAGATCAGGAGGTCCTGCCCAGTAAAGAGAAATGCGATCAGGCACCTGCATAAAAAACAGTCTGACCAGTTTTCCATAGGGTGGCTGACTGTGCTGTGAGTCTGCACCAGTCCCTAGTCACCTTGGACTCTCCAGAGAAATGAAGACAGCAACAGCCAAGGCTGCAAAACAACACAGATGGCACACTTCCCCTTCTTCTGGGAGCTCCACTTCAGGGAGGTGGGGAGCTGCTGCCAGCCCAAGAAGACTGGTGGGGGCCAGCTGGATTCCCAGGCTGGCAGGTCCTTCTCAATGAGGAGAAATGGGATTGGAGAACTACATAAAAAATCGTCCAGCCGCTTTTCTGTATGGTGGCTGCACTCTGCTGTGAGTCTTTGCCAATCCCTAGTTACCTTGTACTTTCCAGAGCTACCGGCATACAAAACAGGATGGCTGTACTGTGCAGAGGGTCCACTTTAGTGCCTCCTCACCTCGTGCTCTCCAGTGCCCAAAGGCAATGAAAGAGCAAAGATGGTGGCCCGTCCCTCCCTCTGGGAGCTCTGTGTCAGGGAGGTGTGGAGCTGCTGTCAGCCTGAGAACACTGGCGGTGAGCAGCTGGAGTCCCAGGCCAGTGGATCTTAGCCCATGAGGTGCTGTGGAAGTGAGGCCTGCAGACCATGGCTGCTCAGCCCCCTGGATTCGGCCCCTTTCCTGGGGGTGTGTGAGGGAACCTAACCTCCCCTTTTTCCAGAGCTGCAGCTGCTATTGCCAGGATGCCTAGGGGTTCAAGGCTCCCAGGACTCTCTGTGTGCCGGTGGCTATGCTCAGATTCCATGTAGCTCTGCCCAGATTCCACATAGCTCTGCATGTCAGCCTGAAGGCATGTTGGAGTGGGTTCACAAGGGGATCTCCTGACCCCAGGGTTGCAAAGATCTGTGGAAGAAGTGTGGGTCCTTTGGGTCTCTCACTCACTCACTCAGCATTTCCCTGCAGAGCGTGGACCTCCCCTGGCTCCATGTCACTCCCAGATTGGTAGACATCCTGTCTTACTTTTCTCCATTCTACATGGGTCGAGTTGTTTACTTGATGAATCCCAATGTGTGCACCTGGATGTTTCAGCTGAAGGTGTTGTATTTACTTGTTCCTTTTTCTTTTCTCTGTGGGAGCAGCACACACTAGCTGCTTCTGGTCAGCCATCCTCAATCTTCAATGGCCATTTTTGTCAGTGCACAGTGACATGTCATTGTGGGTTGAATTTGCTTTTCCCTGATGAGCTTTGAAATTGAGCAACTTCTTAAATACATGTTAGTCATTTGATTATCTTCTTTGTGAAGTTCCTGTTCAAGTACTGGCCCATTTTAAAAAATTCCATTGCTCTTTTTTTTTCTTATTGATTTTTAGAAGTTCTTTATATATTCTGGGATTGGGCCTTTTTTCCAAATATATGTATTACAAATATTTTCTCCTAGCCTGTGACTTGTGTTTTTACTTTTTAATTTAATTTATAATTCTCCACTCAGCCTACCTTTCAAGTGAGTATGAGAGCAAAAATAAAGATATTTTTAGATGTACATGTCTCAGGGCCTCCTAAGATCCCATCTTAGGAAATCCCATCTGGGATGACCTCGAAGAAAACTGGAACAGGGAAATACAGTTTCAGGGAGGGATATCACTGGGTTAAAAGCAGGACTCCATGCACTGGACAATACGATTGAAAGTCAAGATAAGCTTGAGAAGAAGGTGAGGGTGCATCATTCTTCTATCAACAAGAAAAAAGAAAGCAAGTACAGACTTCAGGAAAAACAAAAGGTTATGCAAGAATTTACGGTTTGGATATTACAAAATAAAGTAAAATATGTCACAATTTTTTCATGTGGTGTCAAAGATAAACACAGCTGGACATTTGTTAAAGTAGTGAAAACAGATTTTATTCAGTAACTACTAACAGGAGGGGAGCTGAGCTCCACTTTGACCTGTGCAGTGATGACTAGGCATTTAAAAGGGAGACAGAGAGGAGCTCTAACAGAGTCAAGGAAGTGAAAAATTACACAAAGCAGGAAGAGCATGGTGGTCATTAGTCCAAGTGAAACCACATGGATTTGCTAACTGGAACTTTGGAAAGTTAGGCTCCTACCATCCTACAGAGACTAGGAGACAGGTCTTTCTTCAGGTGTTCGCTGAAATAAGCAGCAAGTATTTTGGCAACTTTGAGTTTTCTCAGGCAGGTGCTTTTAAGGGAGGATAGGGTCATCCTGGGGATGTGGCCTTGAGCTGTTAGAAACTGTGAGTTTTTTTGCTTAAATCGTTATAGGCCAAGGTTGAGGCCCAGCTAAGAAATGGCTCAGAAGAGCATGGCTAGGGTTTGGCCACAGAGAGAATCTTTGTCAGTGCCATGATATGATTTCAAACATTTAATTCATTAGGTACAAGAACAGAGAATTTATTTTACCCTGGTGCTTGGAGTATAAATATTCTCCATTAATTGGTTCAGGGGTCATGCCATGAGACCTTTAAAAGAAGGAGGTATAATTACAGTACATTTCTTGGCTCTGCAGTTAGCAGCATTTACATAGTTATGATAATGTAAATCTGTTTACGGATTTTTGACTTTCAAATGAAACTATTTAAACAAAGAATGGAAGACCTATTTATATTTGAGAAAACAGAATATGAAAGTTAAAAATTCTGATACTGTACAAAATACAAGTACAGCTGTAAAAGTTAGAAGAGTAGGGTATCTTACATCAACAAAAAGGAGTATCTTACATCAACAGAAAGGATTTAGTTGAGACACTGACTTAGGTTAGAAAAAGAATAAAGAGGGCTGGGCGTGGTGGCTCATGCCTTTAATCCCAGCACTTTGGGAGGCCGAGGTGGGTGGATCTTGAGGTCAGGAGTTCAAGACCAGCCTGCCCAAGATGGTGAAACCCCATCTCTACTAAAGATACAAAAATTAGCTGGGTATGGTGGCAGGCGCCTGTAATCCCAGCTACTGTAATCAAGCGAGGCAGGAGAATCGCTTGAACCTGGGTGGCAGAGGTTGTAGTGAGCCAAGATTGCACCACTGCACTCTAGCCTGGGCAATAGAGTGAGACTCCATCTCAAAAAAAAAAAAAGAATAAAGAGAACACAGCATAAGAATATGAGCTCCATGAGGGCAGGGATTTTGTGTGTGTGTGAGGGATTTATTTGCTGCTATATCTCTGGTACCTAGAATAATGCTTAGGATACAATTTTCCTTTAATGCAAATGTATTGAGTGAAACACATATTAGAAGTTTCAAAGGGAAGTGTTAGTGGAACAAAATATATGCTGCCTCATACTTATACATCTTTGTCTACTCCTTCACAAGGCCAGGTGTGGAGTTCCTGGGCTTGCTTAATAACCCTGGAAAGAATTTTTCACATGCCTCTCAGTTCCAATCTCTGCAGTCCACTGGCCCTTCTTGTCTTAGGTCCTCACACACAGCTCTGCTCAGTTCAATCACCCAGAATGCAGGCTGGTTGGTGAGGCAAATTTGGACAGAAGAAGTCAGTGTCCTACTCCAGCTTTGTGGCAGAACCCAGGAATTGGGGATGTGCCCAGTGACCTGCATCTGCACCAAGAATAGGGCCCACCCCATATTCAGGATGAAACATAAATTTTGGAGGCACTAAGGCTGAAAAGGCCTACATGATCAAATGAAACAAAAATGAATTGGCACCATCTGAGAATGTTTCTTTGAATTTCTCAATTTTCTGTCAAGAAATAAGGGACTGTCTAGCAAATCTCAATCTGACCATGCTCACCTTTTTTATTTTAACTTGAGGAAAAGGAGCTTGTTGCATTAATCAGTTTGAGACTTTAGGGACTAGAATCACATGGGCAAAACCCTGGAAAGTGTAAGGCAAGAAACAGAATGGTTCAGCAGGAAATCTCTCACTGAGAATTCCCCTCATTTTATTAAAAAAGAAAAAAAAAAAGAAAGAAAGAAAAGAAGGGCCAGAGAGCTTTGAAGACTTGTTGAGATCCAGATACAAATGAGGTTTGAATGAATAGATCAGAGTCCACTTAAATCCTAGCCAAGTGATCTTTTTACATGGTAATGCAATTTCTCACATTCTTGCCAATGATCAGCTAGAGTTGACCAGAGGTAAGTGATTTCTGTTGGCCCACGTACAAAATCGTGATTTTTGTCATCTCCATCTAGAAACCCTTGAAAGATTACTTAAATTTTTAAATAAAGAAGGAAGTTATGAACGTCAGTGAGAATATATAAGGATTGTTATGAAAATAAGAGAAAAAGTTCTGCTGATAGAAAGCATAATCTCAAGAAAAACAAGAGGAGCAGGAGAAATTCTGGCATTGAAATATATCTGGTGTGCAACAAGAACAAAGACACAACGTACCAGAATCTCTGGGACACATTCAAAGCAGTGTGTAGAGGGAAATTGATAGCACTAAATGCCCACAAGAGAAAGCAGGAAAGATCTAAAATTGACACCCTAACATCACAATTAAAAGAACTAGAGAAGCAAGAGCAAACACATTCAAAAGCTAGCAGAAGGCAAGAAATAACTAAGATCAGAGCAGAACTGAAGGAAATAGAGACACAAAAAACCCTTCAAAAAATCAATGAATGCAGGAGCTGGTTTTTTGAAAGATCAACAAAATTAATAGACTGCTAGCAAGACTAATAAAGAAGAAAAGAGAGAAGAATCAAATAGACACAATAAAAAATGATAAAGGGGATATCACCACCGATCCCACAGAAATACGAACTACCATCAGAGATACTATAAACACCTCTATGCAAATAAACTAGAAAATCTAGAAGAAATGGATAAATTCCTCGACACATACACTCTCCCAAGACCAAACCAGGAAGAAGTTGAATCTCTGAATAGACCAATAACAGGATCTGAAATTGAGGCAATAATTAATAGCTTACCAACCAAAAAAAGTCCAGGACCAGATGGATTCACAGCCAGATTCTACCAGAGGTACAAGGAGGAGCTGGTACCATTCCTTCTCAAACTATTGCAATCAATAGAAAAAGAGGGAATCCTCCCTAACTCATTTTATGAGGCCAGCATCATCCTGATACCAAAGCCTGGCAGAGACACAACAAAAAAAGAGAATTTCAGACCAATATTCTTGATGAACATTGATGCAAAAATCCTCAATAAAATACTGGCAAACTGAATCCAGCAACACATCAAAAAGCTTATCCACCATGATCAAGTGGGCTTCATCCCTGGGATGCAAGGCTGGTTCAATATACGCAAATCAGTAAATGTAATCCAGCATATAAACAGAACCAAAGACAAAAGCTACATGATTATCTCAATAGATGCAGAAAAGGCCTTTGACAAAATTCAGCAACCCTTCATGCTAAAAACTCTCAATAAATTAGGTATCGATGGGACGTATCTCAAAATAATAAGAGCTATCTATGACAAACCCACAGCCAATATCATACTGAATGGGCAAAAACCGGAAGCATTCTCTTTGAAAACTGGCACAAGACAGGGATGTCCTCTCTCACCACTCCTATTCAACATAGTGTTGGAAGTTCTGGTCAGGGCAATCAGGCAGGAGAAGGAAATAAAAAGCATTCAATTAGGAAAAGAGGAAGTCAAATTGTCCCTGTTTGCAGATGACATGATTGTATATCTAGAAAACCCCATCGTCTCAGCCCAAAATCTCCTTAAGCTGATAAGCAACTTCAGCAAAGTCTCAGGATACAAAATCAATGTGCAAAAATCACAAGCATTCTTATACACCAATAACAGACAAACAGAGAGCCAAATCATGAATGAACTCCCATTCACAATTGCTTTAAAGAGAATCAAATACCTAGGAATCCAACTTACAAGGGATGTGAAGGACCTCTTCAAGGAGAACTACAAACCACTGCTCAAGGAAATAAAAGAGGATACAAACAAATGGAAGAACATTCTATGCTCATGGGAAGGAAGAATCAATATCGTGAAAATGGCCATACTGCCCAAGGTAATTTCTAGATTCAATGCCATCCCCATCAAGCTACCAATGACTTTCTTCACAGAATTGGAAAAAACTACTTCAAAGTTCATATGGAACCAAAAAAGAGCCCGCATTGCCAAGTCAATCCTAAGCCAAAAGAACAAAGCTGGAGGCATCATGCTACCTGACTTCAAACTATACTATAAGGCTACAGTAACCAAAACAGCATGGTACTGGTACCAAAACAGAGATATAGACCAATGGAACAGAACAGAGCCCTCAGAAATAATGCCACATATCTACAACTATCTGATCTTTGACAAAACTGAGAAAAACAAGCAATGGGGAAAGGATTCCCTATTTAATAAATGGTGCTGGGAAAACTGGCTAGCCATATATAGAAAGCTGAAACTGGATCCCTTCCTTACACCTTATACAAAAATTAATTCAAGATGGATTAAAGACTTACACGTTAGACCTAAAACCATAAAAACCCTAGAAGAAAACCTAGGCAATACCATTCAGGACATAGGCATGGGCAAGGACGTCATGTCTAAAACACCAAAAGCAATGGCAACAAAAGCCAAAATTGACAAATGGGATCTAATTAAACTAAAGAGCTTCTGCATAGCAAAAGAAACCACCATCAGAGTGAACAGGCAACCTACAGAATGGGAGAAAATTTTTGCAACCTACTCATCTGACAAAGGGCTAATATCCAGAATCTACAATGAACTCAAACAAATTTACAAGAAAAAAACAACCCCATCAAAAAGTGGGCAAAGGATATGAACAGACACTTCTCAAAAGAAGACATTTATGCAGTCAAAAAACACATGAAAACATGCTCATCATCACTGGCCATCAGAGAAATGCAAATCAAAACCACAATGAGATACCATCTCACACCAGTTAGAATGGCAATCATTAAAAAGTCAGAAAACAACAGGTGCTGGAGAGGATGTGGAGAAACAGGAACACTTTTACACTGTTGGTGGGACTGGAAACTAGTTCAACCATTGTGGAAGTCAGTGTGGCAACTCCTCAGGGATCTAGAACTAGAAATACCATTTGACCCAGCCATCCCATTACTGGGTATATACCTAAAGGATTATAAATCATGCTGCTATAAAGACACATGCACACATATGTTTATTGCGGCACTACTCACAATATCAAAGACTTGGAACCAACCCAAATGTCCAACAATGATAGACTGGATTAAGAAAATGTGGCACATATATACCATTGAATACTATGCAGCCAAAAAAAATGATGAATTCACATCCTTTGTAGGGACATGGATGAAGCTGGAAACCATCATTCTCAGCAAACTATCGCAAGGACAAAAAACCAAACACCGCATGTTCTCACTCATAGGTGGGAATTGAACAATGAGAACACATGGACACAGGAAGGGCATCACACACCAGGGATTGTTGTGGGGTGGGGGGAGGGGGGAGGGATAGCATTAGGAGATATACCTAATGCTAAATGACGAGTTAATGGGTGCAGCACACCAACATGGCCCATGTCTACATATGTAACAAACCTGCACGTTATGCACATGTATCCTAAAACTTAAAGTATAATGATAATAATAATAATAATAAAAGAAACTTATCTGGTGTGGATTTCATGAATGCATCTATACTTTTTAAAAAATAGTTTTAAGTTGGGAAGTCACATGCTAATATCTTTAAAATATCTGATTGAATCTTGTAAAACCATTTCATCAGGTTGTTTTAAAAATTATCCATTTTAGCAACTTCATTACATTTGTTTATCAAACCTCTTTGAATGGAAAAAAGAAATCCCATAAAAGAAACAAAAAAAGAAGAAAAGGTTGTATCGGGTATGCTGGTATATACCATAGAGTTCTGGAACTATCTGCAAGAAAGGTAACGCAGGTTTCTTCTAAAGAGAGCAGAATCACTATCAAGAGATATAGAGAGACTTTCATTTCAGTTATTTGCCCCTTTTGAATTTTGTACCACATACATGAATTACTAATCCAAAAATTTTAAACATAACATTTATTTTTAAAATAAAAAAATAAAGCTAGTTAAGTTGTTAAAAAGTTACATTTGAGGGACACAGTAAGCTGTCTTGCTGCTTCTGGGGCTATTATGTCCTGAAATATCTTGGAAAAAAAAATTCTAGAGTCATTTTGTAGGGCTGGTTTAGAAGGAGAGCCACGGCCCCTGCTAGTACTGAGCTGCTGTATTTTTTTTTAATTTACTATACCTGTAACAATGTGGGATGCAGGACCCACAGAAGAGAAGACTGCACCCTAATCACTGGCAAAGCATGCCTTGAGAAGCTTTGTTCTGGGCCATGTTTTTCCAATAAAAACCGGCTTCATGCTTCGCTATCTTTTTTCCCCCCGCTCAGTCCATACGAATGTCAAAATTGCATTCACATTTCCAACTATAAAGTTAACATGACCAGCAAAAGGGGAAACTGTCTGCTTCCCAAGACTTGCCTTTACTACGGATTTTTCAAGCATGAAGCTTTTAATAAGCCCTCTGCATGCAGTATTTCATTTCCTTTAGACGAGACGCTACCTCACGGCCTGCACACACCCTCCCCTTTGCTCACAGCAGCTGCCATGCCATGTGGAACCTGCCCAGGGTGGTGTCCAACTCTCCACAGAACCCCACATGTTTGAAGAAAAAGATACAGTAATTAAATTTCTTTAAAGTGGCATGTGTAGCTGCTTCTCTCTAAAACAACATAGTTACATGTTTATGCAATTTTAGAGCCTAGCTGGGTACCCGAGCAAAGGCCACCAACATGACAGGGACTACAAATATTGGAGGACGCTGCTGGAGAGGATTTGGGACTTGGCACTCCTGGGATATCAAATGTTTTCTTTTCTCTTTCCTGCTTTCTTTATTTTGGACTCCCCAAACAACAAATACTATTTTTTTTTCTTCTTGGATCAAATGTGGAATTTAGAGATGAACCTCCAACCCCTTTGGACACCAGTTTTTTATTAAGCATCAGGTGGAGTAGGGTGAGCGTTTCCAGAGACAACTGGCCAAGAAAGGTGGTAAATCAGCATTTTTACAATCTACCACGAGCATTTGAAAAGGCAAGAACTTAAATGATACTGCTAGAAATTACAGACCTTGCTGTAATTGCACACTGGGGACATCCATATGAGAAGGAGCTTTTAATTTATTCCTCTAGTCACATCTTTCCTCTGTTTGGATCGGCAGGGACTGGGCAGGGACTGGCTGCGTTACATCCAGGACCCTTCACTGTCATATGCATCATCCGTGTAACATGGGCAAAGGATATCATTTATCCCCTGCCAGTACTGCTTCCCTCTCTTTCGGAGGGCAACTGGAGGACGGGAGAAGAATTGGAAGGTCATGGAGCAGGTTGAGAGTGGAAGAAAGTGTAGGGATACCAGTCCTAGTACCCCTTTATGTGTTTTGGGCCCTTGCCAAAATATCAGCATTGGCTTCCACTTAGGTGAGGTCTAATTTTGGTTCTTTAACATTAGCAGCAAGGCAGAAAGTTCAGGACACGAAGAGACACCAGAGACTCTCCAAAGGGTTTTCTACTTCCCTTTCATTGTTTAGCTGTCTGCTAATAAGATTCTTTCCTTTGTTACTGTTATTTTCCTTTTATTTTCATTATCTAACAATATATGAAGAAAAAGAGGATTTGGCAACAACCTCATGTCTGCCTCAAAGTTAGAATGACTGACGACGGGGCCTTTTATCCCTTTTTGGTTACTTCCCTTTTGGGGCGGGGGCTGGGAAGCATAGAGAGGCAGAAATGATTGACTGCTGAGGAAAACATTCGACTGCTTTTAATGTGGTTCCTCTGGGCCTGTCCTCTTTTCTTCAGCAGCATCATTAAACAATGACAGAGACCAGGTTTGGATAGAGAAACTTCTCCCAGGAAATTTGCAAACATCATGTGTTCTGTTTATTGCCACAGTGTGAAATTCATCTTTCTGAGAAAGGTACATGCAGATCTCAGTGTACATTTACTTCAATAAAAGAGGTAACAGTTACAATTTACTAATCCCATTTGTTTCCCAAAAGAGGAAAACTATCACTAATTTTACAGCAAGTACCCCATATTTCATGGAATATAATGTCATTGACTATAAGAAACATTAAGATTACCAAAAAAGTAAGAAAACTGCCAGTTAAATTTATATAATATCTTTCTCTCACTTAAAGTTTTTATTTTCTACTTATTGAAAGAACTATCTTAGACTTGTCTAGGCACAAATTTTTATGATATAGCACTCTTATGCATTTCTTAAAAAGAAAAACATAAGTAAATTAAATTGGTTAAATTATTCCTAAAACTTCTTTACATTCAGATACTAACTCTCTGGAAAACTTTGACCCAAGGCAGTATATATCATGATTTTATTTTTCACATAAAACTGTCATCTACAGCATCATGAGTATTGGTGATGTTGCATTTTTTAAGAAAATGCTCCAACCAACCTTTCCAGGAATTCCATCCAAACCACTGACACCCATCTTTCTACTCTGGATGCATGCACACACCATGGCACCCACATCCCGACTGCTATCTGACCAGCAGGGATTGAGAGATGCCTCCCCATTTCAGAGATGTAATGTATGGAACAGGGGAATCCGTGTCATAGCTGTAACACCTTGCCCTATCAATTGGGATTTAATAATGGTTTCCCATATTACTATGATAGTCTGCGATGGACAGGTACTGATCTTGTATATTATATGCCATCATACCTAAGTCCAATTGTAAAATTCATTTATTCATCCATCTATGTGCCCAGTCATATAACACAGGGGTCCCCTGTTAGAGGTCTATGGCCTGTTAGGAACAAGGCCACACAGCAGCAAGTGAGTGGCAGGCAAGTGAGCATTACCGCCAGAGCTCTGCCTCCGGTCAGATTAATGGCAGCATTAGATTCTCATAGGAGCACAAACCCTATTGTGAACTGTGCGTATGAGGGATCTAGGTTGCCTGCTCCTTATGAGAATGTAATGAGGTGGAAAAGTTTTATCCTGAAACCATCCATCCCTCTCCGATCCATGGAAAAATTGTCTTCCATGAAACTGATCCCTGGTGCCAGAACATTTGGAGACCACTGATATAACACATTTATTGAAGGCCCAATATTCCTGAGGTAAAATGGTAGGTACTAAGAGTACAAAGATAGCTAATATAGGGTCCTGGCCTTGTGAAATTGCAACAAAATTGAAAAATAGACTTAAATCCAGTAGTGATTAATACATTATGGTGTCATCAGTGAAACAATGGAGATATGTAAAAGGTACTTATTACAAAAAAAAGAAAAGCAATCGTTAGAATATGGTGGGATCAATGAAAGAAACATGTAATAAGTACCTATTACAAAGAAAGTATCTTTGCTTGGGTGGGCTGAACAGAGGAGACCTAGACCTGCTGTTGAGGGCAAGGAGATTCCTGGTAGAGGAAAGAGCTTGCCTTCTTTAAAAGCAAGCCATACATATGTCTGAGCTATATTGTACTCAGGTAGAAAGCACTGCCTAGGTAGAACCACCACTGTCCATCCCTGACTGGTGCTATTGCGCTCTTTACAATGCAGTCAGGTCTTTCACTTTTGTAGACCTCTCAAGATTGGTGAACCACAGCCTTAAACAGGTGGCATGCTCTAACTTCAACAGCAAACCAGGGGAAATCAGAGAGAAAACTGGAAACATGTGGGCCACAGCCAACAGGGCTAACCCAGGTATGCAGTGGCCCCAGAAGAAGCTAAGCCACAGTGCACATGGCATTAAACCAGGGGCATGTGATCTTGTGGCTGACACTCAAGGGGTGATGATAGCATTTCCTGGCAGACACGCTGTTATGGCTAGCCACCCAGCAGCATTGTCTTTGTAGTGAAATCCCGTCAACAACTGCAAGGGGAAAACAGGTCTTTTCCTAGAGCTGTAGGAAGAGTCACACCTTAGTCGTAGGGGTTCCACAGATGTTCCAACCTAGGGAAATTGGAACAGTTACAGGAATCAGGGTAGAATCTAGTCCTGGGAAAACCCAGGAGGACTTAGAAATATTGTTCAATGTGCCCCTCTAAAATCAGTAGCTTCTCCTAGGCACATAGGCTTCATGTTGCAAGACTAGTGCATGATCCTGTCATGTTTGTCACCTCTTCCTTTGGGAGACAGGAGACCTCTAAGAGACTCCCAGAACTGTTCAGGATTGGCCCAGAGAATTTCTCAAACTAAACTCACAGGGAGCATCCTTTTGGTCCTCATAGCTAATGGAAAGTGATACTCATAGTTTTAAGAGGGAACGGAAATTCCTGGATGATAAATAACTACCTAAGTTTATCCAGCTAGTTAGTAGTGGGGTTTGAACCCAAGCTTTCGGATTCCAAATTCCTTAAGAGGCACGCTGATATCTGATAAGAAGGGAGGCTCCTTCTCCCTTGAATTTATCAGCCTTGCCTGAAGGGAAAATCAAATTTTTCCCAAGCTGCTTTTCTTTTTCCCAGTCAGAGGAATATAAGAAGAAATATCCATGGCCCCAACTGCAACTTTCTTACTAGAATGAATAAATTTTTCTATCTTTTTTTTTTCTTTTGATTGGAGCCCAGCTTTCATTGGGTTCCAGTGCACTAGTAGATGGATTCACTGCATTGCTAGCAGAGGAGCATCAGTGACTGGTGTTTTCTCCTGCTTCTGATGGCAGGCACCTTGATCACACTCACTTTCTGCATTCTTCCCTGGGGCTTTCTGCTTTCTTTCTTTTTTTTTTTTTTAATTTTTTTTTTTTTGAGACAGAGTCTCGCTCTGTCCCCAGGCTGGAGTGCAGTGGTGCTATCTTGGCTCACTGCAACCTCTACCTCCCAGATTCAAGCGATTCTCCTGTCTCAGCCTCCCACTGAGTAGCTGGGACTACAGGCACATGCCACCACACCCAACTAATTTTTGTACTTTTAGTGGAGATGGGGTTTCACCATATTGGTCAGGCTGGTCTTGAACTCCTGACCTCAGGTGATCCACCCGCCTCGGCCTCCCAAAATGCTGGGATTACAGGTGTGAGCCACCATGCCCCGCCTTCCCTGGGGCTTTCTGTTCTCAAACAGTAGGGCCACCTGGGCACGGATCTTGATCCACTTTACAGAGGCAGGCTGTACCAGGGCCTTTCCTCCCATAGAAGAAAGCCACCCCTCTCTTTGTTGCTCCATTTTATCTCACATGGCACCTTCCTATGCGTTAACAGCCCAGGCTAGTGGGGGCTGGGTAGCCTAGGGAGCTAAAGAGTAAGAATTGGCAAAAGCTACATGATATTTTTAAAATTTCTTGTTTTCTTGACACTGACCCTGCTCAATGTATTTTGAATTGTCTTTCCAATGGGGTGGAAGTGAAGGGGTGGATATTGGTATAGGCTAAGACCTTATTTAATCCCCTTGGCATTAGCCATGCTACAAAGTCTTTGCTAGAGCAGTCTTCGTTAGTTAGTGTTTTCTAAGATATTTGGCCATATTTCCTTCTGTGTTTAATACTGTTAGCATACAACTTGGAGGATAGAAGAGGTAAGTAATAGAATCTGAGCCCTAAAACCCAAACTCAACCTTAAATCCCTAACAACAGCACCATCCACAATCAATAGCAGCTACTCAGCTGATGGTAGGTACATTTCAGTAAATGCTTTACTATATAAAGAAATTCATGTCTATGTGTATCGTTACTGTGTTTCTTCATCTACAGAGCTCATTAATTTTCACATTTTCTAATCAGTTAGTCCAAACACCTCTTTTACCTCCTAGAAACTAAGATTTGACATTTAGCATATGTTATGCTCATTCAGTTTCCATATGAGGCAGTGACATTTCTAAACCATACCATAGGCTATTATGAGTTATTTTCATTCAGTAGAAGCCAAGATAAACAGTGCATCTCTGCCTTTTGACAGCAATTGTTTGTTTGGAAATAAATGATTTCCCTGGTAATGTGGCATGAAAATAAAATTATAACAATCAGAAAGTTTTGCATACTAAAGAGAAGCAGACAGTGCAGAGTTAAAAGCAGGGAATGAGTCACATTGCCATTTGGAAAACAATTCCTAAAACACACTTGTAAAATGCCAACTAAAGAGACATTCAGCTACAAAATAACAGTTTCATCTGATCAGAATTTTTGGCACGATGTAAAATTATTTTCTATGATTAGCGCTTCCTACGTTAAAGAACTTTCGTTATTTTCATGAGAGCATTTTCGAAAAGAAAAAGAAACAGAAGTAGCAATGTCTTCTTAGGAGTGCCAAAATGTTTCTTTAATTTAAAACAATATCTCAAGTTGAAATTTTCAAGTTAGAAACAAAGATTTCCTCCAGTGATTTGAGGTGTATTCTTCACAATGCAAAGTTGTTGGACCAAATTTATGTTTCCAAAATTATTGAGAATCTTTGCCGTCTACCAAGCAATCACTTTGGCTATTTATCTAGTTGATAATAAATAACTGTTTTGATTTAACTTTGTATTTTTGACGTGTTCTTCAACGTTTCAGAAATTCAAAATTATTTCGGGGAAAAGAGCCCCAGGCCTGTGAAATGTCCTCTGAATATATAATGGTTAATTTACTGTGTGGCTTTGGACAAGTCAATTAAATTTGCTAGGGCTTAGTTTTCTCATTTGTAAAATTAAGAGGTTAAACTAGATGGCCCTGTTGGAGATTCATCTTTGTTTTTAATTCTCTTTCCTTTATTGCTTATTTTACTTTGGAAAGGAAGGTTATATTTTATAATACTGCCAAGCAGGTGCAACTATTGCATTTCTCTTTTACTCAGACAATTATTTCCATTCTCTTATTTCATTGGCTCTTATTTGCAGTAACAACGAAATGTAGACAAAATGCTTCATGTGTGTGAAATAATTTGAGCCTTATTCTCTAACATACTGTGACTTTTAGTAAGGAACCTATGCTTTAGCATTGTGTGAGGACTGGCAAAATGACATTTGCACTACATTTTGGAGTGGAAAAATAACAGCTATGTACCACTGAAAAGCCTGTTATTTTTATCAGATAATGTGCCAACAAGAAAACAATACAACACTGAGTTCTCAGACTGTTTGGCTGGGTATGCTGATCTGAATGCATATTCTTTGAAATATCATTTGCATGTTTACAGTTACTCCTGAAATGTCTTCTAAACAATATGCCATTCTAGTTTGCAAATTGTGGCAGGCAGCCTCTAAGTTTCCCCCAGTGAGGCTCACTTCCCCTGTTAAATAGGATTGACCAGTTGGAACCAATAGGAGATTGTGGAATTGCTGGTGTGTGACTTCTGAGGCTAGATACTAAAGGACATGTGGCTTCCACCTTGCACTCTCTTGAATTATTCACTTGGGTGGAAGTCAGCCACTAGGCCATAAGGACACTCTGGCAGTTTTATGCAAAGGTACATGTGGTGAGGAAGTGAGGCCTCTTGCGAGCAGCCAGTATTGACTTGGCAATGACTGAGAGAGCTGTCTTAGAATCAAATCTTCCTACCCCAGTCAATCCCTCAGATGACTGTTGTCCCAATTGTCATATTTACAGCAATCTCATGAGAGTCTTTGATTCAGAGCCACATAGCTAAACTACCCTGGTATTCCTGAGCCACAGAAATTATGTAAAATAAATATTTATAATTGTTTTAAGTTGCCACAATTTAGGAATAATTTGTTCACTGCAACAGATAACTAATACACAAGCCAAAGAAAATGTAGTGGGTATTCATTTTTTTTGGCCAGTAATTCATGTGTGGGAAAGAAAATAATGTTCTTTATTAGTCTATAACACAACTTAATCTCTGTTTGAAACCCTATTCTGTCTGATTACAGGGAAAAATAACCTTCATACATTCTGGGATAATTCAGTAACTTCAGATTTTAACTCAGTTAATTTAGAACTTTTTTTCTTCGTGCTCCCATTTGCCTAGGAGTGGCATCTCTTATTGGAGGCTTACCTAGTGTCATGGTATCAGGAGTATGTATAGCTGTCTTATCCCTGGCCTTTGTAATATGTCCAGTTAAAAATATTAATGAAATACATAAGTGACCATAGGTGCATTACCAATAAGAAATATAAAGATGGACTTTTCAATATTCTTTCTAGGTCAATGCTTTTTACTATTTTATCAGCTCTAATATTTCATTAAAATCCAGGGGAATTGTAGAGGACACAGAACAAGCCCATAAAGTCCAAATTAAAATTCTATGGCTTCCTGCAGAGTTAGAAGGCCAATATTAATTTAAATGTGTGAATTCTTTCAAAAATTCATTCTCTTGCTATGTGTCATGGGCTAGCCATGAAGGTTTGTCAATACCCCAAAGCTATTCTAGATGGGCAGAAAGTGTAAGAAGCTACTTTAACATGAGTTGATTCTTTAAAGTGAACGCTCATTTGGGTAATTACCCTCACTGCCTCAAACTGCCTTCAATATTTTAAAACAAAAAAAATATTTTTTTTTACCTGCAACTTTATTCTTTCTGGAATAGCTGTCATTGTTCTCCCCTACAGTCAGATAGAAATGAATATGTTGGATAAATGACAAATAAAAAGTATCAGTGAGAGAAATGTGGATTATTAACATTCGAGATTGGAGTTGCCACACAGTGAATCACATACTTAGAAGGATATAGCACAAGACTCTTGAAAATTACATTAACTATGACAGTCGATCATGACAAACACTACAATGTGACACATCCCTTCATATGATATACCTCAGAAATAAACAAAATCAACCCTTATATTACACCTCATTTGAAGGCTTTCCTTTTTGTTTCTTAGCCTTTGTTTCAGTACTGGAGTTTAAATGACTTTCATCATGTTCCAAGTTCAGTTATATCTCCAGGGTTAGGCCGTTTCATCAAAGTAACAGCCTAAGACACATTCCTATGCACAGCTCTCTTTCTATTTTTATCATGGCAAAGCAATTCACCTGTTAGCTTCTAAAATTCTCACATATGCTGAAGGGTCAAAATAATTCATTGAGAGAATAATAATGAGGGAAATCCTCTCCTTTTGGAAGACAGAAAATTTCATGGCCCATTTGTTCTTTTTATTTTTCTTGCTATTTCTTAATTTCTGGGTAAATATTACTTGTAAAAATAATCTGAGTTCTCAAACCATACTAATGTGCCCCTTTGCGTTACATGCATTTAGATGTGTATTTAGTTTTCTGCGATGCAGAAAATTTTAAATGATCTATTTTGAGGTTGCTTTATCATTTCAAATGGTTGATTTTGATACACTTTTTGGTATGTGAAATCAAGTCATAAAGAAATATTATGACAAATTGCAAAATGTGATGATAGAACAATATTAAGTTCTACAATAATGATTAAATAAAAGAAAATAATGCAAAAATACTGTTATTATAGGAAGCATTATAATGACCTTAAAATGAGATTATTTCTGTTGTATTTCATATCTAAAATTAGTTAGAAAAACATACAAATTATGATTTTTGTGTCAAGGTGAAAGGTAAGGAATATAAGGAGAACAGTGGGTATAATTATTGTGATAACAAGTGACATGCTGAATTGAGGGAACTGTCAATTATCTTGTCCCTTTTAATTTCCACTGCAACATTTGGGACTATCAGTGAAATGTATTCTTAGAGAGATACAATATTCTATTTAAAGTCAGGGAATTCTACTCTGTGAACAAGGACATTCCATTCCCAAAAATAATTTTCACTGTGATATTTTAGAGCCTTAGAAATACTATTCTGGTTTGGTAATGCTTTTATTCTCTATTGGCTGTGTAGACATTATTTGGAAACATGTAGACTTGCTGTAATTATTGTATCTATGATGGGCTCTGTAATCAGAGAAGACTTCCCCTTATCTTCCAAACCATAATCTTAAAGTGGTATTTTTCCAGTAGGAAAAGACACTCTGTCAACTCTATTACTTTCATTATCAATATAAAAAGTATCTGTTGAATGGCTAGTAAATATCTGTTCCCATACAAGTATTGCACTCAACTAGCAATACATACTAATTGTAAAACACAGCCTGGCAGGTTGCTCATAACCTTATTTACTTGCTTCATAAACATAGTTGGAAAAAGCCTAAACAAAATATCAAACTAAATTTAGTAGAATAAAAAGAAGCTATTATATCACACATGTAACTGAGTTCATCCCAGAAATGCCAAGAGTGGTTTAACATTAGAAAAAAGTAAATGTAATTCATCACATTAATGAAGTAAAGAAGAAAAGTCACATACCAACTAAATAGAAGCAGAATAATCATTTGATAAAATACAACACGTATTCGGCTTAAAAATAATTCAGCAATCTCTGAGAAGAGAAGAAAATATTTTTCTCTCAACAAAGATTATCTAAAAATACTTAAAGCAAACTTCATTATTAATAGAGAAACGTTGGAAGTACTCCCTTTAAAATTAGGACCAAAATAAGGTGCTCTATCACTGTGTATATTAAACATTTACCAAAGCCCCTTGTCAATTTAGGAGGAAAAGAAGAAAAAAATTAAAGGCATAAAGATCAGGATGAAAGTAACAAAATGCTCATTATTTTTAGATTGGTGATTTACACTATTTACTAGAATAAAAAAGAGAATAGAGCAAAATGAGTATATATAAGATCAATATACAAACATCAATTGCATTTTTAAATATCAACAAAACTTTGTTATTTCTTAAAAAATGACATTTAATATAGCAATGAAAAAATATAAGATCCTTGGGAATCTAACAAATTGTGCCAAATCTGTTTGGAGAAATTGTAAAACTTTATGGAAAGACATAAAAGACGACTTATTTTGTTAAATTTATCAGATATACAGATAGAAAGATCTAATATCATAAAGATTTAAATTCTGCCTAATCTGATCTATAGTGTCAATACAATTCCAGTAAAAAAAAAATTGAATTTTTAGACAATTGAAAAGTTATTTCTAAAAGGCATATCAAAGAACAAAAAATCCCAGAGTGGACAATGAGGGAGAGGGATTTACCCCATGCACATCAATATTTATTAGAAAGCTTTACAAATTATGGCAGTGTGGTATTGGGGCAGCCTGTGTTACAAACAGAAAAGAAAGCCCCAAAATACATGCACATTTATCAATACTTGATATATTACAGAAATACTATTTAACAACACTGCTGAGACAATTAGTTACTTATATGGGAAAAGATAAAATTGTATCCCTACCTTATACCACACACAAAATAATTTCCAGATAGATTAAAGCCTCACATGTGAACGGCGAAACTTTAAAGCATTTAGAAGGAAATACAGGAGAATACCTCTTTGATTTTGGTATAAGGAAAACATTTCTTAAATGAAGAAGTTTTCTTAGTTTGTTCAGGCTGCCATAACAAAATACCATGCACTGAGTAGCTTATGAACAATAAACATTTATTTCTCAGAGTTCTGGAGACTGGGAAGTTCAAGGTTAAGGTACCAGCAGATTGTCTGGTGAGGGCCCACTTTCTGGTTCATAGACGGTCTTTTTGCAGTGTCCTCACATTATGGCGAAGCAGGATGTTTCTCTTGCCCTTTTGCAAGACTTGCCATAGGGGTGCCTCGTTTACCCAGCCTGCAGCTTTCAACTCCTCATGGGAGGGAGCATGCAAGTGAATGAGGCAGGAACTGGAGTGCATGAATGCTAGAACCAGCCGGCTACTTTGGCACTGGCAGGAACAAACTCACTTCACTGACTGGGACCCTGTGTTCCACCCCTTGCAGGAGGGAGCATGGAGGTGAGCAGGTGCAGGAGCCAGGGCAAGTGCTTTTGGGTGTCAGCAGGAGCAAAACTCCGTGCAGGCCCCACAGCAGTGTCTTGGCAGGGTGCCAACAACCCCTGAAGCCCCAGAGGGTGCAATACAGTGCTTTTTTAGCTCTGCCATCCATGGACAGCTTAAGTGTTAACAGCTCAGTGGGCCCTCTGCTTTTTTGCAAAAGGTGACTGCCTTCTGCCAGCACAGGGTAAGTTTGGCAGCCTTTTGTATCTGTAATTGTGGCACCTGAGCTCTTGTCCGGTGTCCAGAAGAAATCAGATCACAAAAACAAATTGAAGGATGGTAAATGTGGGGGACTTTATTGCCAAAGAAGTGGCTCTCAGCAGGAAGGGGAGTTGAAAAGAGGACGGGGTGGGAAGGTGGTCCTCTCCTGAAGTCGGGCTGTCTCCAGCCAGTTTCTTCTCTGAAGTTATGCCATCAAGCTGTCCCTATGAAGTCAAGCCACTTCTCTCCAATGTCCAGCCATAGTCTTCGATATCCAGCTGCTACTCCTTTCTCTGCCAGCTGTGTCTGGGGTATTTATAGGCACAGGATCAGGGCTGGTTGGGGCCATACATGGTTTTGGGAAAGGCAACATTTGAGCAGGAAAACAGGGATAGAAGTTCTCACTTTGGGCCACAGTTTCAGGCCTTTTGACTTGAGAATGGGGCTATTGCCAGGGACCCACCCTTTTCTGCCTAGAAATTTTCTGCCTCCTGCCCCCATCATGTCCCCTGACTGAAGAGGCACATCTAATTGCCACTAGAATACGGACGATGCCTGATTTTAGCTACTTCTTGCTAACAGGGGGTGTGGTTTTGGGGAGAACGAGCTGTCAGATTCCTCCCAGAAGTCTACCTAAGGGTCCCTAGCAAAAGGGAACCATCATCCAAGGCGCTGGTTTCCTGACTGTTTGGAGTTCGATGGCATCTAGGCAAGAAGACACAAGTTTTACAAGGTTAAGTATGCATGGATCAAATATGTGTATTATACAACAAGGGGTTAAAAGGAAAGAATCTAGTGCCAAGGACAACAGAAATAAGAAGTGAAATACACTAATCATTCTGAAAACATTACTGTACCCCATGGTATAGAACAGAATGAAGGTAAGAACAGCAATCATAGGCAAGACCATAAAAAGACTATCCATGGAAGGTTAATTATTAATGCTTATCTTTTGAGATCTTTAGCTTGAGGTCCCTGATCTCTTCACATTGGTATTTTTGGTGCTCTTCTGAGTTGCTGGAGGTAACTCTGTCAGCTTCCCAGGACTTTACTCAGATACAATAAATTCAAGAATCTATTCCAGTGACCTATTCTAAAAGACCAAGGTGGTCACTTTCAGGAGGTTCTCTAAAGTACCATCTGGTCCCAGGGCCTGTTTCCACAGCTTCCTCCTGATATCAGGGGCTGCCTAAGTAATAAATTTATCCTTTAGAATTAGTTGTCCCCCAACTGAATCAGGAGATACAGAGGTGTTGCTTTATCAAGGCCTCTCTTAGCCTTTCCAGGAAGGCATTGGGATTCTCATCAAATCCTTGGTCTATCATGGATAGCTTGGTACAGTTGAGAAGCTTAGTTCTAGTCTTACATAAGCCCTCTATTATGCACGCCTGAAAACATCTCCTCTTCCATTCTCCCATCTTGTCACTGGGATCCCATTTAGAGTCTGCATCTCTCCCAGCTGGATAAAGTTCGGCCCCTTCCCTGACACTATATGTGATACACAGCTCATCCCCAAATCTCTCTGCTGCTTGCAAAGTGGCCTGCTTCTCAGTGTTAAGGTTTGATTCAAAAGTAATATAATGTCTTTCCAGAAGAGCTCGAATACTTGGTTTAAATTCTGGAAACAATCTATATATCTGTCAGGGTCATCTAAAAACTTGCCAAGATACCCACTTAATTTTCCTTAAGTCTTGTACAGAAAAGGAGACCTGGACCTTACTGGGACCAAATTCACCAGGCATCTGTTGGAGGGCCAAGAGTGAGACTGGGGCTTGTGTAGGGTGAGGATTTCTAGGAGGGGCAAAAGAGAGAGAGAAAAAAATACTGGACAGGGAGTATAGAATGGACCTGGAGGAGCAGGGCTAAAGGGAGTTGGTTCCCCTGTTGGAGGTACCTCTGGGGTTTGTTTCTTTTTGTTTCTTTAGTTCCCTGGGATTGCCCCTTGCAGCCTCCCCTGAGATGGCAAACAGGAAGGCTGGATGAATCCTACACTGTTGGCAAAGGTCTGGGTTAGCCTGCAAGGCAAAGAAAGTCTGCATATATAGAGCCTCAGACCATTTGCCCTCACGTTTACAGAAAAGGTCCAAAGGCAGGATGGTATCAAAATGAATGGTTCCTTCCTGAGGCCAAGCCAGTCCTTTCTGCAGATCATAATTTGGCCTAAGCTTTGTGCAAAGAGCTATGAGGCATTTTTCCCCCAGAGTATGAGGGTCAAAGCAGTCCCAGTGATTAAGGATACACTCCAGAGGAGTATAGATTGAGGATGGTGAAGATAGTTGGTTGCCCATTCTGAAAGAGGGAAGAAGGCGTCCTCATTTCCCTTCCCTCTTTCAGCAAAAACTCTTGCTGTGAGGGAGAAGGAAGAAGCCTTCCTCATTTCCCTTCCCTCTTTCAGCAAAAACTCTTGCTGTGAGGGAAAGAGAAAACAGGCATCCCCCTTTTCTCTTCTGACTTTTTATCCCTGAGACCCAGCAACCTTAGACGGACGCACCCATGGGTGCAATTGCAGCCTGCACTCATGAAGCAGGGAGGTCCTAGAGAATAGTAATTATCTGCACTCACCAATGCCTCTATTCCTCCTACTGTGGCAACCTTTGGGTTCCCTAGGCCCTATCTATGCCGTGGAGCACGGTCTCCTTTCGTGAAGCGGGGGCTTAATCGGAAGGAATTAGTCTGCCCATTTACACTGTGCCTGTTGCCTGGCTTTGGATCCCTCAGATATGGTTTTCCTTTCTAGGACTTCAACCCAAAGTTTATAATTGAATTTGGGACCAAAAAAGTGTCTCCGGGGGTACATGGATTCATTTAGCTTAAGTCCCAGACAGTCTTTGCCAAATTTGTAGTTATTAGCCAGTGGGGTCGCTCATCTGCTTGTTCCCCATCATAAGCAGAGTACTAAGGTAGGAAAAGAACTCTGTTGCATAGACAAGGAAGGAGAAAAAATATATAGTTTAAGGTGGGGAAGAACCTCTTGCTCTATACAACAGAGTTCCTTTAATTACTGTATCCTTTCCCAAGTTTGGACTGAGCTGAAGCCCTCAGCCAGGGGAGAAAACACTCTGTGGGTGTGTGATGGGAGGGGACAGCGAGTGAGAAACACTGGCCAACTGGCTGCGTGGGGCCCCTGACACTGCCCTGGGGCCCTGGCAGCAGCTGCGGTTCTCTCCCACCACATGTGGCCATTGGGTGTGGCACGTGCATGCAGTGAATATGACCAAGTGCCCCGGATGGGAGAGGAGCAGGGGAGGAGGGGAGCCGCTGTGTGCTGCACGTGCCTGCGGGTATTGAGGTGGGGGTGGAGATGGCACCTCTCAGAACAGATGGCAATCACATTGTTCTGAATTACATATCTGGGGCTGGGCCAAATGCTTATTCTACCTAATAACATTTCTGCACTTTGTAGCAATACCCTTATCATTATAAAAGAAGGGATACGAGCCATTTCAAACCACGAAAGAAAGAAAGGAAAGATACCATAGAAAAGTCTGGGGGTCTTGATAGATGCCCTAATAGGTAGTCAGGGATGGGGGCCAGTCTAGAGGCCTTCCAGCAACAACAAGGAGTGTCCTTGACCAGATGCTTTCAATTGCCCAGGACTTTATTCTAGCTCCACACGACGGCTATACCTCTGTGAAGGGAAACAGAGCCAACATTCCTTTCACCTGAAAGAAAGAGGTGGCAGGGTTGCATCCTGTCCTCTGCAAATGGCATAACTCAGTGAAGAGACAGATCCGGCAGATCCTCATTTACTCACCCTTTTGATGCATCCCAGACAGGACCCCAGATGAAGTAGGATATTTCCTTGACCCTTTCATGGGACTCGCCATAGTGGTGCCTCGTTTATCCATCCTACAGCTTTCAGCTCCTCATGGTAGGGAGCATACAAGTGAATGAGGCGGGAACTGGAGTGGACGAACGCTGTAACCACCAGCCAGCCACTTCGGTGCCAGCAGGGGTGAACTCCACTCACCCAGACCCACTGCCTTCCACCCCTCACTGAAGGGAGCACCCAGGGGAAGGGGTACAGGAGCTGGGGTGAGTGCTTTGGGGCATTGGCAGGAACCAAACCCTTTGCAGGCCCCACAGTAGTGTCTGACGGGGTGCCTGCAACCCCTAAAGCCCCAGAGGGAGTGTTCCAGTGCTCTTTTAGCTCTGCTGTCTACAGACGCTTAAGTGTTAACAGCTCCTTGGGCCCTTTGCCTTTTCACTTGAGGCAGCTGCTTTCCACCAGTGAGGGCAAAGGTCAAGTGTGACGGCCTTTTGTATCCACACTTATGGGCACCTTAGCTCTTGTGCAGCATCCAGGAGAAATGAGGTCACATGAATAAATCAAAGGACGGTAAATGTGGGGGATTTTATTGCCAATGAAAGTGGCTCTCAGCAGGAAGGGGAGGTGAAAAGGGGAGGGGACGGGAAGGTAGTCTTCCCCTGAAATCTGGCCATCTCCAGCCAGATTATTCTCTGAGATTACCCTGTCAAGCTGTCCGTCTGAAGTCAAGCCACTTCTCTCTGACATCCAGACGCAGTCTTCAACGTCCAGCTGCTTCTCCTCTTTCTGCTGGCTGAGTATGGGGTTTTTATAGGCACAGGATGAGGCAGGGAGGGGCTCAGGTGGTTTTGGAAAAGGCAACATTTGAGCAGGAAAACAGGGAAGTAAGTTCTCACTTTGGGCTGCGGTATCAGGGTTTTCGGCTTAAGGGTCAAGCTTTCACCAGGGACCCACCCTTTTCTGCCTAGAATATCTCTGCCTCCTGTCCCCATCAGTGGAAGGGACAAGTAGTCCCTCTGGGTCTCTTTTATAAGTATTAATCTCATCCATGAGGGCTCTACACCCATGAACTGATCACCTCCCAAGGGCCCTACTTCTTAATTCTGTCACCTTTGAAATGAGAATTTCAACATATAAATCTTGGGAGGACACAAATAGACCATAGTAGAAGCATTAAACATAAAAAGAAAAGATTGATAAATTTGCCCATATTAAAATCAAGAACTTTCTGTCCATCAAACATTACAATAAAGAGAATGAAAAGGCTAACCAAAACAGCGAGAAAATGTTTGTAAACAACATAATTAATATATTAAAAGATCTACATGTCTTAAAACAGGAAAACAATCATACAGAAAAATAGGTAAATCATGTGGGCAGGTATCCTCTAAGAGAGAAAACACGAATGGCTAATAAACATGTAAGAAGTTTCCTAGCCTTATTAGTAACCAGAAAAATGAAAACTAAGACCATAATAAAGTGCTATTTTTCATCTACAAAACTGGCAAAAAGTCGGAAGTCTGAAACACCAAGCATTGGCAAAAATATGGATAAGCATATACTTTATATTCTGATGGTGGGAATGTAAATTAGTAACAATGCTGCAAAACACTTTGGCATTATTATGTAGAGATAAACCTTCTCATGACCTGCAATCTGGCAATTCCACTCCTAGGTAATCTTGAACTTCCCAGCCTCCAGAACTGTGAGAAATTCTTGCATGTGTGCAGCAAGATCTAAATAAAAGAGTGATCATAGAAGTATTGTTTATAGTAAAGGAAATGAAATAACTCAAGTGCCTGTCTGTTAGGAGAATGGAATTAGGTCCTATTCACACAATGGAACAAGATAGTTGAATCTTGAAAACAAAATTGTGAATGAAAAAGTTCCAGAAAACTGCACATATTATGAATCAATTTTTATAAATTGCAACACAAACAAAACTAAACAATATGTAGTTTTAGAGGTATACACTTATAGATACATTTTTGTATAAGGCAAGGGAATGATCAACAAAATTCAAGGTAGTGTTCATCTCTGTGATATAGAGAAAGTGCTGGGATAGCAGAGAATAATATTTTTAGAAGCAAACATCCTGGAAAAGTTCTGATCTCTAGTGAGGTGGAAAGTTTAGGGGAGTTTATTTTATTACTATGTTTCCATGTGTCAAATATTAAACAACAGCAAAAACTAAAGGTCACACATTACACCAAGAAAACATATATAGAATAAAAACATTCAAATACTTCCGATTAATGTTTTTTAACTTTAAAAATCAAGATAGTTATTCAGTGCTAAAAGAAACAAGATTACAAGCCATGAAAAGACATGGAGGAGGCTTAAGTGCATATTAGTAAGAGAAAGGAGCCAGTCTGAAAAGGCTGCTTCCTGTGTGATTCCAACTATATGATATTATGGAAAAGGCAGAACTATGAAGAAAGTGAAAAGATCAGTGGTTACTAGGGATCGTAGGGAAGAACAGATGAATAGGTAGAGAACAGAGGATTTTCAGGGCAGAAAAACTACTCCATAAGATACCATAATGGTGGATACATGTCATTGTATGTTTGTTTGAACCCACAGAATGTCCAACACCAAGGTGAATCCTTGGAATTTGGACCTGGGAGATAATAATGGATCTGTGAATTTTGGGTAATAATAACGTGTCAGTGCAGATTCATTGATTGTAACAAATGCTTCCCTCTGGGACAGGCTGTTGATGGTAGGGGAGGCTATGCATGGGGGAAGAAGGCACACATGGGAACTCCGTACTTCTGTTCAATTTTGCTGTGAACCTAAAACTTCTCTAAAAAAGAAAGTCTAGTGAAAGAGGGGAAAGTGAAGATTTCTGAAGCAACAAAAGGAAAAAAGATCAAGTTGTCCTTAGACTTCTCACAGTAGAATTTAGTATCAGAGACTGTGCAGAAATAGTCACACAGTTCTCTGGGAAAGAAAAGTTTGGCTCAGCCAGCTGCCATTCAAATTTCAACACAAAAGGCATTCTCATATATAAAAGTCTAGAAACATAGCACTCATGAACCTTTCCTGCGGAAAAAAAAACTAATTGTTGCCAAAATCCAGTCAACTGGAGATTAAGTAAAGAATTTAGATACTGGGAAGTCCTTGTTAAGAACAATGGATCCACCTTAATATAGAACTAAGAATAACAACTGAGAAGACCGTGGTTACAAAATAGAAGACAATTGTAAACTCTGACCAAAAACCAAACCAAAACAAAAAACTAAAGAAGAAAACACAATAAAACAACAAACAAATAGTAGATGTAAAAGGGGAAGATAATAGCATTGCTATTCTCTATTTCATAGCAGAGCATCATATTGCCAACAACTGAATTGAACTAGCTAAATAAAAACACACAGGCACACACACACACACACACACACACACACACACACACACACACACACAGCACAGCTTAATGGTCTTCATGGTGCAATTTCTTTTTTAAAAGGCTCTTCCACAAATTACCATCTTGAGTAGTAAATAAAAATTTTGTACAAATTAACAATTCCTTCTGTTTTAGTTCATTTTCTTTTCTTCTGCCAAATTAAAAATTTTTTTAATGACTTCTTATTAAAACACTGTAAGTAGTGTTATCCCATTTTTGTCAACTGATTTTTTCTCCCTATCTTTCCACATGACTTCTATAATTTCTTCTATCTATGTAGACATTCATCCAGTAACACTGATAATTTCTGGTACTGATATTTGAGGTGATTTGTTGCTTTTTTCATATCTTTTTCAAATTATTTGAATTGTTTATAGTATATGTTTCATTTTAAAGTGTAGCAACAAAGTAATTACTTAAAAATAGTTTATTTTTTGTTAAATGGAGAAATAAAACATTTGAAGGTTTTTCATGTCAGTGGATTAATTTAGTGCTGTGGTAATGCATAAAGTTGCAATATTCTTAAAAGAAAAACTCTGCATTATGTTCACATCCCTCACAACATCATGCACAAAGCAAATGTCAAATGTTTCTTAAATAAAATTCCATAGTATTTGTCTATTTTTCTTTTAGATTTGAGAATAGCCTAAGAAAACAACACCTCTAAGAAATCATCATTTAAGTACTCCTCTACAAAGATTCCTATTGAAGTTCATTGACTGTGTCTCCTCAAATCACAACTTCCACAGTTTGTCTCTAGGTGGACACTAAACGCTGGATAATCATCTTTTGAATCTACACTCAAACAATCATTTCATTTATTTCTCCTTTAATTTAGTCATCAAGTATTTATTGAGGACCTATTGTACATAAGTATCTTCCCATGTATGCATACAGCACCGAATAGAAAAGTCTCTCTACTTAAAAAATTTACATTTTTATTTACAAAGGAAATCGATATATAAATTTTCAGATGGTAACAATGCTATGAAAAATGACAACGTAGAGGACATAGGGTGGTTTCAGAAGACCTATTTGATAAGGTGACATTTGAGCAGAAGACATGAGTGACCTGAAGGCATGAAATATGTGGATATCTTGAGGAAGATCCTTCCAGACAAAAGATTCAAGTGCATAGTACAAGGGTTGATCACAGGTGTTGGCCTGAGCAAAGAAATGAATGAAGGTACCATTTAGTGTGATGAAGACAGGTTTCACAGGATGGGTGGAGCAGAAGTGTATGGAAAATTAAGAGTTTAGTTTTAGATATGTTTAGTTTGAGATGCCCATTAGGCAACCAAACTGAAGGGTTGAGTAAACAATTGGATAGATGAGTCTGGAAGTCAAAGTACATGTTAAGCAAATAGTTGGATATATGAGATTGTAGGTCAAAGCACATGTATAATTAAATTTAAAATATATATAAAGCTGAGTAACGTAACACAGGTTAAAATAATAATGAACATTCTTCCCTACCAAATAGTCCACTGCTTTCAAAATAGAAAATAAATTTCAAGAACAGTTTTCTTTCTAAGCAGTTTACTCTTTCAATGTATGTACAGGGAGAAAAATTTCTGGTTCAAAGCTGTGGTGGGATTGTCCTTCTGTGTGGTAATTTTAAGCAGCAAAGCAGGGGCTTATCAATAAGACTTTGCAGAACGGAGGTGAGATCCTTTGCCTTATTGAACCCTGTGCTTGCTCGCCTGGCTGTGCACAGCATTCTGTCACACCCAGTGTTTTTCAAACATAAAGGCCCTGCAGGTTGAAGAGTCACTGTGTCCTTGGAACCAGTGCTTTGACAAGCCAGTTTGCTCCTGCAGTGTGTTTTCAGTGGAGCAGAATAACAAAGAGAAAATTCTGCCAATTAGTGAATGATGGTGGGCTGCAGGGCAAACTGTGCAGAAGCTCAGTGGCAATTGCACCTAAAGACAGGAACATTCCATTCCCTCTCCATCTTTGTCTCATATGGCTCAAATGCCAAGGTTTCATGCTAATGTTAGTCCCAAGCAGCACCTCAGCAAGACCTCCTCTTTCTGCCCTCCCACTTCTGATTAATACTGAGGTTAGGGGATCTGTGGATTTCAGTTAGGCTCCACGTTGTGACTCGTGGCCAAAATTTGGCCCCAACAGCAACTAAAACTTGTGACCTTGTGGAAATCCAAGCTACATGAAACAATTCAGAGTATGGAATATTATAACTCTTCCTATGTAGAAAATAAGCACCATTCCCATATGCCTCACAAAAAGGCAGGGATACATGTCATACAAAATGTTTATCACAAGGATGTCTAAATATAGGGATAAATGATAGACATTACCCATTTGGAAGCAAGAAGCTATGTATTATGTCCATTGTGCAGAATTTATAAGTAAAATCCAAATGTAAACTGAGGTTTCCATGACCTTTGCAGATCTCAGTGTTGACTCAGACTCAACCCCCTTCTTCCCATTCCATGGCCAGAGACAATCCAAGATCTTCCTCCTGTAATTTCAATTGGTCCTAAAATCTTTAATTCTTCATGGTCCTCTCTATCCCTGGTACCTGTGTTCACTTGCACTGTCTCTCCTTTCCCCCACGTCAACTCATACTCAAAATTGAAACCTTTCATTAACTTTCACAAAACAGATTTACTCCCACAAAACATCTTGTGGGTTTAGTGGCTTTACTAGATTCAAAAGGTAGCAGGCGGGTTGCGGGGGTCAGGTAGTGGGAGGGGCATTGCACATTGTTCACTACACAGCTTTGGTAATCTCACTGGCTTTATCCCTGCTCTCCTCCCCCTCCTTCACCCCCAAGGCCAAATGCATTTTTTACTGGTCTTGGGCAGAGTAGTTGCATTATCTTCTTCAAAGACTGGATGCCAACAGCCAATAACCGTGCCTCATAGGGACTTGCTTATCTGCAACAAATTTATCAGTGTTTTAATCCCAATAGAAAGTAACTCTCTTTTTAAGTAAAAATCTAAAATTAGCTGCCAAGAAACATCATTTTCTCCATCTTATTACATCAGACTCGAATTAATTTTCTGTTATGTAAAACTTCTACTTTTTGGTGGGAGGGAGATTTGCATGAAAGTTAGGTTAGTGTTTCTTAATTCTGCATCCAGAATTTAGAACCCCTGAGTTCTGCATTGTGCCTTTTGGCATAGGTGCCACTTGTCTATTGAACCAGTTGTTCTCAATCTTGGCTATGTTCCTTAGAATTACTTGATGTGCTTTCAAAAATCCTAATGGCCAGGATCACTCTAAGCCAATTTCTTGTGAGTGGGATCCAGATATTAGCACATTTCAAAGCTTTCCAGGTAATTTTTATGTGTGTTCAATGATGAAGTCCATTATACTAGATCTTCACAAATCTAAACAGAAGAAAGAAAAAAGGAATTACTAGGAGTTTGAGGTCAGATGAGTTTTATATGTAAGGAAGAGTCTATGAAAGCAAGGAAGGTGAAATAGCAAAAATCCTTTGAAAGAGATGTGAAATTAGTCTGCACACAAAACCATGGATAAGAAGACAAATTGTCCAATATGTCCACCAAGGTATTTCAACTTACTCTATATTGCCTCATGAATTTGGGAGGGGACAAAAACATTCACACCATAGCAATTCCTAATAGGATTGTTATGGTTTGAATGTTTTTGTCCCCTCCCAAATTCATGATGAAACTTAATCCCAATGCAATAGTATTCAGGTGATTGGGTCATGAGAGTTCCACTGTTATGAATAGGATTAGGTGCTCTAACAAAAGGGCTTGAGAAGGGAGTTCACACCCTATTTTGCCCCTTCTGTTTCTTCTGCCCTGTGAAGACACAGTACTTTTCCCTCCAGAGGGTGCAGCAACAAGGCACCACCTTGGAAATGGGGAGACTAAACGGCACCAACCAGTGTCTTGATCTTGTACTTCCCAGCCTCCAGAACCATGAAGAATAAATTTCTTTTGTTTGTAAATTACCTGGTCTGTGGTATCTTGTTATAGCAGCACAAATGGACTAAGACAGGGTCTTCCCTTATTAAAAAATTGCCTAATATAATGTGGGGGGAAAAAGGAGATAGAATTTGCTTGACAAAATGTGCTGCATACCCAATTCAACTAGAATTTGTCCATGGCTGAGCTAATTCTCCTCCTCTGCTTTTCACTTATTTCTCTTTTTCTGCCTCCTAATTATTCAAATCTGCTTGATTAACTCCTGCCTCCTTGAGTTCCAGTTATTCCTCTTAATGCAGAAACAACACAAGAAACAGAATACATTTATTTTATTAATTCACTATAATTTATTGAACATATATTGATAAACATTGTCCTAACCATTCACTTTTTTTTCTGTTTTAGAACCATCTCCTCACACCCCACCATCTATAAATGTGTATTTTTTCTTTGTATTACTTTCATGTTAAATAAAATATGACTGCTTTATTCTTTTACAAAACTGAATACAAATTTGCGAAGCATGTAATGACTACAACAATCGTCATTACTTATGTTACATATGTTGTCCCTCCCATGTAAACACTATAAATCTTTGCAATATGTTTATTTTCTAGATATATTCCTTGGTGGAGAGAAAATTTCAAATGCTGACATGGCAGGTATGTCAAATGTTAACTTTTTAAATGAATTAATAAATTTATCCTCAAAAACTAACATTGATAACCCTCATGCTATTCACCCCAAGTGCTCTGCTCAGTATATATGTATCAGGTGGATAACACATTATTCTTACCTTTGCTAGACTTTATTAAAGACTGGTGTGTTTTCTGCTATAAGAGTATTCTGAAGGCATTTTTAGATGATTTTGTTGGGTATCATTGCTTGTGTCCTGAGAACTACTGTCATGCTCTTTTTATAAGAATGCCTGCTCTGAAACTCTTCGTAAAATTTCTCTGCATTGTTATAATACACACGTTAGTATGAACTGATTCTGCAGTGCAACCATGCTTTAGGTAATCTTGCTGTCTTATTCATTCCCATGTTACAGGGCCCTCACGCTACAATTTACACATGAATTGGTTATAGTTGATGTGATTCATGAGCCAGATTTCCTTTTGAGGGCTGATGTACTTATTCTCCCAGCTAAGCAGAAATGCCGGCTGCTGAAAGCTTACAGCTGAGTCCTCCTCTAAGAGTCGCCCTTCCAAAGAGAGTCACTTCACCTAAGGTTAGACCCCCAGTCCAGAGGCAGCCCACATCCAGTGACTGGTCTAGGCAAGGCCACAAAGGTCTGAGTCCTTGTTTCAATTCAGGACAGCTGGAAAGGCCCATCTCAGCACCAGGGCTTCCCATGGTTGTGGCTCAGGTCACATTTGCAACTACATTGCTTTTCAACTTCTCCTTCTGTTCAGTCCTGATTCCCTCACTGTTTACAGGGATTGTTTCTAAGAGGAGTCCCAAGTAAATCTCCTATAGACAGATTACCCGTAGAGTCTTTCCTGGAAACCAACCTAAGATGGTTGGCACCATAAATGGTCCTAGGAAAGCACCTCTAAAATGAGGTTTTCAAAGTGAATCACCTGATGAGCTGGCTTGTAATAAGGACCACATCACAAGTTGTAGGAGGACTATTGACAGATTTTGGCATGCTGAAGCCATGCAGTTGTTTCAGCTTTCTTCCATTAAAATGTTTGCTTCTTCAAACCAAGGGGAGGAAATCTCTAGTGCATGCCAGCTAGACTATATTACATTATAGTCTATAATATAATATTAGATTATATATGCCATAAATGTAACACATGTATTTTTATGTTTGTACATATACATGTGTTATATTTATGGCATATTATATACATAATATACATATATATCCAATAATGAGGGTGACAGCTCATCATCTTTGCCATATTCTATTGGTTAGAAGCAAGTCAGAGATCTTGGCCACACTTAAGGGGAGGGGATTATATGGGGCATAACAGAGGAGATGGATCATGGGGCCAGCTTAGAATTCTGCCTACCATAGTGTTTTTTTCTTTTGCACTTAATGTCTTTCTAAGTAAAGAAAAATTAAATTTTTAAATTATTATCAGGAATTTCACCATTTGTTATGATATTGCACAATGTCAGTTTTAAAATACAAATATGAGAGCATTTAACTCAGATGTGAAAACACCAAAATTATACAATTCCCATTTCATAGCTCTTACGTGCCTATGCCTTTTACTCTTACCAAAACATTGGAAATACTGCTTAAAACTAACTCAGCTGGATGTTTGTTTTTTCTGCTTGTTAAGCACACATTCAACCAACATTCTCTACTGTCAGCTTACTGATGAGTAAGAAAAGACTGAAAATAAACTATAGTCGTCCCGTCTTACCCTTTCCCTCTATGCACATTTTAAGCATTAGTGGTTGGCTAAAACAGGGAAGTAAGCTGGGTAAGAAGGGACATGAAAGGGTTTCTTGGTCATTTAGCTTCTTAGAACACCATTGCCTTTTTTCTGTATTCATAGCAAGCTCTGGCTCTTTTTTTTTTTTTAGACGGAGTCTCGCTCTGTCGCCAGGCTGGAATGCAGTGGTGTGATCTCATGTCACTGCAACCTCTGCCTCCCGGGTTCAAGCAATTCCCCTGCCTTAGCCTCTTGAGTAGCTGGGATTACAGGCTCCCACCACCATGCCCAGCTAATCTTTATGTTTTTAGTAGAGACGAGGTTTCACTGTGTTGGCCAGTCTGGTCTCGAACTCCTGACCTCAAGAGATCTGCCAGCTTCAGCCTCCCAAAGTGCTGGGATTACAAGCATGAGCCACTGCGCCTGGCCCTAGCTAGCTCTGGTTCTAACAGAAAGGGTGGCCTCTATGAATTGTCAATACCCCTACTTACTCAGTCATAAACATAATATAATTAGCCTTGTATTTGCTTTGAGTCCCTCTGAACTCCCACATGTCATGGGTCCACTGGAATTTCATATTCATGGGACATCACAATTACTATATGTAAAAGTGGCAGCAAGGAACAGCAGACACACATATTGCACGTGTGTCCTTTGTAAACAAATGCTTTCTTGTCTCATTGAAATTTATTTCTGAAGTTGACATGGTTTGGATGTGTGACCCCTCCAAATCTCCTGTCGAAATGTGATCCCCAACGTTGGAGGTGGGGCCTAGTGGCAGGTGTGTAGGTCATGGGGGCAGATTCTTCATGAATGGCTTGGGGCCCTCCTTGCAGTAATGAGCGAGTTCTCATTCTTGAGTTCACATGAGATCTAGTTGTTTAAAAATGCATGTCACGGCTGGGCGCCATGGCTCACGCCTATAATCTTAGCCCTTTGGGAGGCCGAGGCGAGTGGATCACCTGAGGTCAGGAGTTCGAGACCAGCCTGCCCAACATAATGAAATCCTGTCTCTACTAAAAATATAAAAAATTAGCCAGGGGTGGTAGCAGGCGCCTGTAATCCCAGCTACTTCAGAGTATGAGGCAGGAGAATTGCTTGAACCCTGGAGGCGAAGATTGCAGTGAGCCGAGATCATCGCACCACTGCACTCCAGCCTGGGGAACAAGAGTGAAACTCTGTCTCAAAAAAAAAAAAAAATGCATGTCACCTCTCCCCTCTATTGCTCCCTCTCTCACTGTATGACACACTGGCTCCCCTTTCACCTTCTGCCATGATTGTAAACTTCCTGAGGCCTCATCAGAAGCTGAGCAGATGCTGATACCTTGCTTTACAGCCTGCAGAACTATGAGGCAAGTAAAACTCTTCTTTATAAATTACCCAGTCTCGGGTATTCCTTTATAGTAGTACAAAGTAAACTAACACAAAAGCACAAGTTCAAAGATATAAAGTTATTACGAATTTCAAGATGGCAATAATAGAGTATTAAATTTCATGCAGGGCCTTTCTGAGCATGGTGCCTTAGGCGACTGCACAAGTTACATGCCCGTGAAGCAGACTTTGCATCCTGTCCAAGTCAAGTCTTTAAATTTTTGCAGCCCTGACTGATGTCTAATCTAACCTTATGAAATAGCAAACCAGAAACACCTCAAGTGAGCCTCTCCCAAATATGTGACCCATAGGAACTGTAAGAAATAATAAATATTTATTATGTAAAACAGATAACTGATATATGAGTCTCAGTAAAGTGCAGACTCATAGATTATAATTCAGAGTCAGGTTGTGCCCCAAGAATATACATTTTAGCAATAATCCCAACCATCAGGAAAATGCAAACCAAACCACAGTGAGGTACCACTTCAGACCCACTAGGCTGGCTATATTGAAAAAGATAATAACAAGCGTTGGTAAGGATGTGGAGGAATTAGAATCCTCACACACTGCTGGTGGGGATACCCAATGGTACAGCCACATTAGAAACAGTCTGGATATTCCTCAAAATGTTAAACATAGAGTTACCATATGATCCAGGAATTCTATTCCTAAGTATATACTCAAGAGATTTGAAAATATGTCTCCACAAAAATCTCGCACACAAATGTTCATAGCAGCATTATGCATGATAGCCCCCAAGTTGAAAACAATCCAAATGTCTGTCAACTGATAAGTGAATAATACATGTGGTACATCCATACAATGGAATATTATTCAGTAATAAGAAGAAATGCAGTATTGATACATGCTACAACATAGATAAACCATGAGAACATTCTGCTAAGTGAAAGAACCCAGTCACAAAACACCAAATATATTATGATTGTGTTTATGTAAAATGTCCCCAATAAGTAAATTCATAGAAAAGAAAGTAGATCAGTAGTTGCCTAGAGCTAAGGGGGTTGGGGGGATATAGAGAGTGACCCCTAATGGGTAGGGGGAGTTCTTTTGAGGATGGTGAAAATGTTCCAAAATTGATTGTATTGGTGGTTGCATAACTGTGAAAATACTAACAACCATTGAATTGTACACTTTAAACGAGTGAAATATATGGTATGTAAATTATATCTCAATAAGGCTATTATAAAAAATCCTCATATTCTTCTAATGTCAACAGTCTAATTGCCACATTTAACAAATGCCACTCTAGATTTTAAAGTTGATGTTCATTTAAAATAAAAAGCATTACTGTAGTACTTCTAATAATGTTCTTATTAGGTTCACCACTTACACCTTTCTACAGAGAAAATATAACACGAGACAGTGAGGTAAAACTTGGAGTAGAACAGATCTTTAACTTCAATCCAAAATGACTTTTAACTCATCCAACTTTCTTGGCAAAGAACAAAAATAATGACAATAGCAGTAAGGATTGAAATGAACCCTCAAGAAGAGAACAAGTGTGTCAGAGAGAGAAAGAACATTAGTAGTTCCTTTTCAGAGGCTGTAAAGAGGAGGCTTAATTTCTCCATGAAGTGGCTTTCTTGCTCATTCTTAAGACACTCTGGTGAGGCCTGGACACCATGAGTGTCATTCATTTTGCTTTCTCTTTGAGATTAGTGAGAGTCTCTTCTTTAGCTGGGACAGAATGACAAGAAACAGGATGCATCTTATAATTTCAGTGAAAGCAGTTTTTATTCTGACTTAGTTTTTGTTGATGCCTAGCATTCCATCTCTTGTCTGTAGAGCTTGCAGACACAGTAATTATTTAATTGCTTGAGCTCTATTTGTCATATGTACGGTTTAAGCTCTATTGAAGCTGAAGCTGAACTTGTAGAGAGAAAAGCAAGAGGCTTTTTGCAATGAAGAGCTTTCCTCTTGAGGTCGGCATAATCCTTCCTTTCTTGTACAAAATGGGGAATGTTAAAAAGTCATCCCATTTCCACCTTCTATTCTTTAACCATAAAATCTGAACTCTTAAAATAACTAGTCTTTAAAAAATGTTTTGCCTCTATACAATGTATAGAAACACTTGCCTCCCTCTCTGTCTCTGTCTGTCTGTCTTTCTAGATATAGCTATAGATACAGATATACAGGAATATCTCATTTTATTGTGCTTCACTTTATTGCACTTCACATCACGTTTTTAACAACTTTGAGTTTTAGGGCAACCCTGCTCCAAGCAACTCTATGAGCATCATTTTTCTAACAGCATATGCTCACTTCATTTCTCTATGCCCCATTCTGATAATACTCACAATATTTCTAACTTCATTATTATTATTATATCTGTTATGGTGATCTGTAATTGGTGACCTTTGATGTTACTACTGTAATTGTTTTGGGGCTCCATGAACCACACCCACATAAGACAGTGAACTTAATTAACAAATGTGTGTGTCCTGACTGCTCCACTGACTGGCTGTTGCCCCATCTCTCTCCTCTTCTTGGGCCTCTCTATTCCCCTGAGAGACAACTATAGGTCAGTTGAATTACATCTGTTATGAACCCTACAATAACCAACAAGTCAGCAAGTGAAAGAAAGGGTCACATGTCTCTCACTTTAAATCAAAGGCTAGAAGTAATTAAGCTTAGTGAGGAAGACATGTCTAAAGCCAAAATAGGTTAAAAGTTAGGCCTTTTGCACCAAACACTTAGCCAAGTTGTGAATGCAAAAAAAAAAAAAAAAGTTCTTGAAGGAAATTAAAAATGCTACTCCAGTGAACAAATGATAAGAAAGCAAAACAGCCTTACTGCTGATAGGGAGAACATTTTAGTGGTCTGGATAGAAGATCAAACCAGCCACAGCATTCTCCTAAGCCAAAACCTAATCCACAGCAATTCACCAACTCTCTTCAATTCTATTATAAGAAGGTTGATAGAGGTGAGGATGCTGCAGAAGAAAAGTTGGAAGCTAGAAAAAGTTGGTTCATAAACTTTACAGAAAGAAGCTGTCTCCTTAACATAAACATGCAAGGTAAAGCAGGAAGTGCTAATGTATTAATAGAAATTACAGAAAATTATCCAGAAGATATGGCTAAGTTCACTGATGAGTGTGGCTGCACTAAACAACAGATTTTCAATGTATATGAAACAGCCTTTTATTGGAAGAAGATGCCATCTGGGCCTTTCATAGGTAAAAAAGAGAAGTCAATGTGTGGCCTCAAATCTTCAAAGGACAGGCTGACTCTCTTGTTAGCGGCTAATGCAGCTGATGACTTTAAGTTGAAGGCAATGCTCATTTACCATTCCCCAAATTCTAGGATCCTTAAGAATTATGCTAAAGATACTCTGCCTGTGCTCTATAAATGGAACAACAAAGCCTGGATGGCAGCACATCTGTTTATAGCATGGTTTACTGAATATTTTAAGCCCACTGTTGAGACATACTGCCCCCAAAAAAAGACTTGTCTCAAAATATTGCTCACTGTCAATGATCTGGTCACTCAAGAACCCTGATGGAGATTTAGAAGGAGATTAATATTGTTTTCACACCTGCTAACACATCAATCTGCAGTCCATGGATCAAGGAGTAATTCCTCCTTCCAAGTCTTATTTTTTTAAGGAACATATCTTGTGAGGCTATAGCTGCCATAGATTGTGATCCCTCCAGTGCATCTGGGCAATGTAAATTTAAAACCTTTTTGAAAGGATTCACTATTCTAGATGCCATTAAGATCATTTGTGATTCATAGGAGGAGATGAAAACAGCAACATTAATAGGAGTTTGGAGGAAGCTGATTCCAACCCTCGTGAATGACTTTGGGGATTCAAGATTTTAGTGGAGAAAGTAACTAAAATTATGCTAGAAATAACAAAAGAACTAGAACTACAAGTGGAGCCTGAAAATGTGCCTGAATTGCTGCAATCTCCTGAGAAAACTCAAACACATTGAGTTGCTTTTTATGGATGAACAAGAAAGCGGTTTCTTGAGATAGAACCTATTCCTGGTAGAGATGCTGTGAACACTGCTGAAATTACAACAAAGGATTTAGAATATTACATAAACTTAGTTGATAAAACAGTGACAGGGTTTGAGGAGTTTGATTCCAATTTTGATAGAGAATTAAAATTGGGTAAAATGCTGTCAAACAACATTACATGCTATAGAAAAATCTTTCATGAAAGGACAAATCAACTGATGCAGCAAATTTCATTGTTGTCTTATTTTAAAAAATTTCCACAGCCTCTCTAATCTTTGGCGACCACCACCCTGATCAGTCAACGACCATCAGCATAGAGGCAAGACCCTCTACAGCAAAAAGATTATGACTCACTGGAGGCTTAGATAACTGTTAGCACTTTTTAGCAATATTTTGAAATTAATGTGTGTACATGGTTTTTAAAGACATAACACTATTGCACACTTAATAGACTACAGCATGGTGTAAACATAACTTTTTTATGCACCAGGAAACCAAAGAAACTTGTGTGACTCACTGTATTGTGAGATTTTCACATTATTTCAGTGGTCTGGAACTGAACCCACTCTATCTAGGAAGTATGTCTGTATATATTTTTCTCATAAAACTCATAACTTAAGAATGGAATAATTTGTTGGGACTTCAGAAATTCCTTTTTAAATATCCAAGGTGATATTTAAAAAGTGATATCATTTGAAAAACTGTGAAGTGGAGTTATAAATAGGGAGAAAAGCAGATTCCCATGACTGTACTTGTTAAACAAAGTTTTATGTTATCAACTTTCTGAGTTACTTAATATATGCTATTTTATTCATTATCAAAAATTCATTTGAGAAAAAAGAGCTAGTTTTCAGCCCTGAGCACCCCCAGGGAGAGTCTGTGTTATGTATGTTGGCACTAAGCCCAGACATATCACAGTACCTGGACTATGGCTGATGTTTAGTAAATATTTGAGCTTACGGAATTACCTAGAGAGCTTCTCTATTTCACTTTTAGCATCTCCTTCTCTGCTTTCATCCATCCAAAATCTTTATTCTCCAAGTCACTTCAAGTATTGCCTTGTGTGGCCTCGTCTGCGGCATAACCCCTTCGATGGCAAGATGTTTTATAATGGGGGTTTACGGCATTTCACTGAGGGTTGTATGCTGTGAAATGCATGGTAGCAAGATCATTTTTTAGGAATGGCTGGAATTTACAAATTTTTCAAACTGTCTCTCCAAAGAGCTCTATTAGGTCAGTTTTATTCAGTGCTAGTGTCATTATTTTGGGAAAAACTCTTGGGTCCTTCCTGGTTCTGCTCCTAGAAGCTGACTTTAGAGCTCCCCGGAGAGCATAGTGGGTGAAGGAAGGGAGTAAATAATGGAGCTACCAACAGTAGAGCCCCAACAATCAGCACAAAAATCCCAGTAAGTATCCTGTTATTCAGTTCTGCTGATTTAGCCATGGGCAATGCAGAGGGCTGTGGGATGCCCTAAAGCCCAAGGTTATGGAACCTTAATCAATCTATTAAATTTAGATGCCCATAAGCCTGAAGGACAGGCTTTCTTCTTAAAAATCTTCTATTTCCCATGAGGAGAATTCTATAAATAGGTTTTTTCTAGTTGGAAAATATGCCGAAGGTAGTGGAGAGCAGGTTACAGTGAGAGACCAAGATAGGATTTGTCAGCTGCCACCTTTACTCTCTGCATCAGTTCATAAATGTGACCTTCATGAGCCCTCAACAAATGAGAGAGCCCTGGAGAGTGGTAAGTTTCTTAGGGGACGCCTACATCTCTAGCAATGGAACAAAAGCACCATCATTTTCTTCACTGGAGAAACAAGTGGATTGCCTTAAATTTTTGAAAGTTATTTTACTTTTGTTTATTCAGGAAAACACACTACACTTTTGACACTTACTTCTAGAGAAATTCTATTTAAATGAACAGGAGGAAATCAGAGAGTTTAATAGAAAAAGATCAGCTTTGGTTTTAAAAGTGAATTGAAGCAAGCAAAAACAGCAAAGAAGCATGCTGTCATCATGAGGAGTTAGACTGCTAGAAGTAAAAAATAGTCTTGTGTTTGCACAGATCTCCATAATGTGCTTTGTACTGACTGTATGAGGCCGGCTTCAACGTGTTCTCATTTTTCTTCTCACTCATAAACCCGTGATTTCTAGTCCTTCACATAAAGACTAGAAGAGTGTATCTGAGCCCGACTCAGGGAGCAATTCTTTGGAAGCAGAACTGGCGTGTTTAAGACACAAAATGCGACTTTAGAGACCAAACTGCCCTGCCTCCCTGAAATTCAGTCTCCTCATCCATGAAATAAAGGGTCCGACAGAGTCTTTAGGTTCCCTTTCAATTCTAAACCTAATGATGACAGCACTGTAGCTATTAGCCTAACTTCCCCAGTTCACTTTTTAAGTGTCTTCTTTTTTATTTATTCATTGGAGCATATTGTAAAGAACATGGGCTTTGAGGTCAATAAACCTGGGTTTGAATCCCCATTTGGCTCTTTCCTAGCTCTGTGACCATTGACAAGTTACTTAACCTTTCTGAGATTCGAATTGCCTCCCCTGAAAAATGGTGATATGGTATCAGTGATGTGGTGAGGACTGGGTGAAATAAGCTATATACTTGCTACTGTGACTGTATCACTGTCCATTTTAAAATAAATAGTAGGATTATTACCATTCACCAAATATTGGTTGGGTGCTCCAAGCTGGCCCCACGGGTTGTAAAGATAAACATGTCCAGTCCCTTTCTAAAGAAGCTCACAGTCTTTTGGGGAGATAAATATATTAATAATTTACACACTGTAGTGTATTTAATACTACAGTGACAGCATGTTCCTTACTGATTTTGCCATTTTCCCTTTTCCATATAAATTATGTGTTATCCTTAATTTTTTATCACTGGTCCTAGGTGGGTTTTTTCACCTGTTTCTTTTCCACTTAGTACTACATGTGCCAAGGTATTTATTTTTTTTCCTAGTTGGGACTACCTAAATTCTCATTTCTTTACTTTCATTATTCAGATCTCTTATTTGTAAATTTTAGAGCCTCGCTAACTCAATTACTGATTTCTGGGAGAGTCATCTGCCCAGACAATTCCAGTTGTTCTGAATAGCATCTGAACCTTTCCGTGTGCTATCGCTAAGCAGTGGCTTTCTTGGCCCCTCAATTGCATCAGGTTTCCATGACAACATGAGTTTCCACTGATAGTTTTAACTTCCGTAGCTCTGAATTCCCAGTTGTTTTTCTCCCCACTTTCTCCATTACTATACTTCAATCCCATATTTTACTGAGCGGTACTCTGTAATTTTCTCTGTATGGCTTTAAATCTAAGTGTTTTAAATATGCAGGTGAAGTTTTTTTAAAACACGAAATGAATTTTATCTAGTATGGGTCATTTAGATTCTTGAGAACTGTAGTTACAAGGACGGGAGAGCAGTGATTGAAATTATCTACCGTCAAGCTATGGCAAACCCACCTGGTCACATTCACATCCAAGGATAATTAATGGGTGTGCCACATGTTCATTAAAATTATGACTCATCTTATCACTTACCACGTAACCAGGAACAAACCTCTATTTTCACTACTTTATGACTTTTCTATAAAAGGATTCTTGTGGAATGAAAAGCCCAGAGCGTTTCTCAGCTCAAAAACATTTTTTTCTTACTCTTTTTCTAACCTGTATTATCGGTTTTTAATTCTTATTCTGGGAAGTTAGAAATCATATTAATGGTTTTCCCAGTGGATCCTACGTGAATTCTGAGGTATTTTTGCCTTTGGGGGGTTTTTCACACGTACTTTGTAAAACTTGGACCTGAAGATATAGTGCAAACTCCAGAATCAAAAGATCAATTACATCACTTTGGAGGATGAGTGGTGGAAACCAACAACTGAAAGAAAAAAAGAAAGCAGTGGGCCTTGGGACATGCACATTGTCAAAAAAAAAAAAAAAAAAATGCAAGGGACTCAACTGAATCCTTTCGAATGACACAAAAAAAGACAAGTGAAAAGCTGGAGTAGAGGAGGCTGAAGAACTAAACCAAGACAGAAAAAAAAAGAAGAGTCAGCAGGAGGTTCTCTTAGGCACAACATCTGCTTTCTATTGCTTTCATTTCAATTAAGGAATCATGCTCTCTAGCTTTAGGGTATCAGCCACATAAGACCCTTCTCTCTCATCTGTCCCCATTCCAGGTATCTACCATATTTCTCCATCTCTCTTCCTCTATAGCCATCATGCCTCTTGAGCTTCTCACCCCCTTACTGCTATATTGCTCCCATTGCCCCTTACCTTTCCGTAATGATTCAGCCATTCTCTGATCTTCCTCTGTAAATCAGATAGCACTTATAGCACTTAATACAGTGCCTGGCACAGAGTAAGGTGTCAAAAAGTTTGGCTACCATTTTTCATCCCTCTAGCCTGACTTCAAAAACATTTATTTTATCATATTTCCCACATAATTGTAACTCCTCATGAGTTCCTATCTCCAAACATAAATTCCTTGGCTGGATATCTGAGGCTCACTTTTAACTGGCCTCGACGTAAATTTTCAAGATCACCTCTCAGCATTGTTGTCTCTGACCCCATCAGGCTGACAAATGGCTTTTGTTTAGGTCTCATGCATCCCTGCTCCTGCATCTTTAGCTAACTAGCACTTATATAACACTGGCTAACATTTATGCTTCATCTCTTTTGTTTCTCATACCAATACTATACAATTTATATTATGATTTTTCATTTTACAGATTAAGAAACTAAAGCTTAGGGAGGTTGAGCAATTTATTTAAAATGACAACTAGGATATGGCTTAGCCAGAACTTGACCCAGATTTATCCAAGTCCAAAACTCTAAATGGTCACCAGGACTTCATTCTTTTCTCTAAGCACCACCAACTGAAAAATCCTCCCTACTCGCAGTCTCACCTTTTCTCATAAGTGTCTCTTGACAAGTCGCAGAGACCTCAGTCTTTCTCTAACTCTTAATCATTTGAAGCCACAATCTTCTACTGTCTTGGCATTTTTTTCATGTTGGATGGTTTGTTGTCCCTATTGTCATCCCCTCGATCATTTATTTCACTTGTCTATGACAAAGATTGGTGTGTCTTTATTTTAATTATCAGAGTATCTAGTTTAGCACTTTGGGTGTAGAAGTTTACAAGAGGTAAAATGAATGAATGATTAGTATTGGAAGCATTGAGCTTTCAGCTGTATCTTTATTTTTCCTTTGAACACTTGGAAAAGATGTTTCTGCCAAACTCAGTGACTAAATATGAGGAGATAAATGTTAAGGGGCTGAACCAAACCTTCTTAAATCTTAACCTTGGGAATTCTGGCAAGAAACATCTGCCCTGGCTAAATGTGCTGCACATGACCAGATTCTCCAAATTATAGAGCAGTATGTGACAAAAGAAACTAGAGAAAAGGTCTATGGGGTTCTGGCTTCATGTTCCCAGGACTGTTAACAAGGAATTCCTGTTGGAAGTAAAAAGGACACATCCGGCAGGCAAAAGCATCAACAGCTTTGCAGATCTCAGCTGAGAACTGAGCAGAGGCTCCAGGAATAACTGTGGACTATGAGTTAAAAAGCAAACCGCTCAAGCATGGGCTTTGTTTCCTACCTGCATGAATTGAACCTCTCTAAAGTCTTACCTCTGTGTAAACACTGTATCTAAGATATGCTAAAAAAATATAGCCTGTAAGATAAGAGATTGTATATGGTGTTGGAAACCGCTGCATTGTCAGCACCAGAAAGCAAATTCAAACTTGTGGCATGAAATTAATGCATTTGTTACTCTTCATTTGTATTAAAGAGAATTTAATACAAATAGCAAAATTGAAGAGCTAACTTTCACACCTGCCACCCAAGCAGGGCTTTCTAGTTTTTGGTTGGTTGAATTTGGTCCCCCAGTATTCCAGAGCAGACTGGGAGTGACTGATTGCAAGCTGCTGTTAACAAGGCTCAGTGCTGTTATTGTCCTCAAGGGACAGAAGGGATTCTCTCTGGACTTCCAACTACCAGGCCAGGAGTGACCGTTAAAGAAAGAAGAGATGAGGCCAAGAGGAAGCATTAAATCATGTTGGGTCACGCCCCTTTAAGAGTGCAGGTACTGACTTGAGATGATTAACTGCACTGGCTATCAGTTTAAGTGGATTCAACCAGACAGGAAAAGAGAATTTGAATGGGACCACTTAAATGGTCAAGAATTCAAGAGCTGCTATATGAATTTTAAACAGAACTTGAATGCTTCGGATCCACAGAGTATTGCTTTGCTTTCTATTGATGCTGCCTCGGTCCTATGGAAGACAAAGTGGTAGCTTTAGTTAAACTGCACGTGTTCTAGTCCCTGAAAAGTTGAGTTTTATCTTTGTATCACAAACTGCTGTGAACGAGAGTCAGAAAATCCATCTTGCTTTTGTAGTTACAAATCGAGAAAAAGGCTTGATTGCACACCTCATCGGGGAAGATATTTATTATACCTACTGCCCCTAATCCTCGTGTAATGCTTCCTGTTCTCTGCTTTTTAATTTTTTTCCTTTGGTAAGCTAACATCAAATTCTTCCTGTTATCAGAATGTTTCTTTGTGTATTCTATTTCTAAGGGATCCATAAGTAGTATAGGAAGGAAAATCAGAATATTAATGCTACTTGTTTTATTTTTATTCACTCATAGTATTCCTTTGGGCTGAGCCTTTGCATTTTGTTCTGTTTTTCCCCCTCAAATTCTGAGCTAAATCTCTTAATCTCTTTTGTGCATAAACAGATCTCCAGTGGGAGATTTAACTGCCAACTTGAGAAGGACTAAAACATTTAAAGTTTCAGTACAGCCTCCCAGCTATGAGTAGTCCTAGTGGGTGTATCAAATACTGACCATTTTTGTAGCTTGTATATTGTTTTTTAGGACACTGATTTTAGCTGGTAAAACTGAAAACATAATCATGTTAATTCATTGGCTTTAAACTATATTATGAAGGTTCCGTTGTGACCTATTTATGATTGCAGAAGGCTGCGATAAACTACATTTGAGCTCTTAAAATTGTCATGCTCTGTTCTCACTCACAGGTGGGAATTGAACAATGAGAACACTTGGACACAGGGCGGGGAACACCACACACCGGGGCCTGTTGGGTGGTGTGGGGCTAGGAGAGGGATTGCATTAGGAGAAATACCTAATGTAAATGATGAGTTGATGGGTGCAGCACACCAACATGGCACATGTATACCTATGTAACAAACCTGCACGTTGTGCACATGTACCCTAGAACTTGAAGTATAATAATAAAAAAAGATATTAACATTTTAAAACAAAAAAAATTGTCATGCTCATGGCCTTTTCATCACTGTTGTCATATTTTTATGAGTATTCTCTAAAACTAGTCCTTTCATTATTTATTCTTTATCAAACACAGGAGGAAGTGAAAATATTTTCATCAACATCCATTTTTTTATTCAACCGACTTTTCTAGGGGCCATTTATTTTCTTCTATGCTTTTGGTTGCTCTTCACTTTAACTTTAAACACTGCTGAACTGCAATGAAGGGTTTTCCAGGCTGAGAATCCATAACTCAGAGCCAGTTGTACACATTTCCTAGTCAGGAGACAACTCTGGGAGAGATGAATTGTTCGGCAGAAGGACAATTACCACTGAACAAAGGAAAAGAGGAACTAAAGAGTTGCTATAATGGTGGCATTAGATATTTTTAACAAGCCAAGCTGTCCTAGAGATATAGATCTTCACTGGTATTTCCTGTTGATGATTTATGATATGGCTACATTGAGTGTCCTGTGGCCTCATATGCAGGAGACATTATTTTGATTTTTTTCTTTCATTTTTTGAGCTTCATTTTATTCCACAGAGCACAATCAAAGAAAGCCAGAGAGGTTCCTGATTAATATACCACATTCCATCTGAGCAGGTTCCTTTGGTTGAAGAAGAAGAGGGAAGGGGGACTGTTAAGGTTCGTATGGTAGAACAATAATAAACAACACCAGCACTAAATCATTCTCATCTTTACTGAAATACTATCTTTTACTCCTCAGTATAATTTCTCCTTTTCTATGTTCTTCTTCCCAACTGTTGAAATCAGCGTAAAACTCGACATTAAAATAATTTTTGATTTATCTCTTCAATTGTGCCAGATATTTTCAAATAGATCATAATTTCATTAACATCTCAGCAGCCCTAGGAAATACTTAGAATCATTAAATCCATTACAGAAACTTACACATCACATATTTGGTAACTGACAAAATCAGAATTCAAGCCAGAGCAGTCAGGATTAAAACTCAAAAGTCATATACTTCCCATTACATGATGCTAAAATCTTTCTGAATTTCTCTATATAATATACATTATAACTAAAAAGAAGAATTTCAGTATGCCAATAACTCATCCGGGGTACACTTCCTTTAAAAACTCCAAGCTAAACTAGATGATATTTTTGCACTCTGGAGCTTAGGCTCATTCTTTTTTTAAAAATTGAAGGATTATAGTTAAGCACCAGGATAAGAAAGGGCATTTTAGGACAAAAAGGAAGAGACTGTTTATGTTAACTGATGTAGAAACATTTCATGTTCAATTAGAAGCCTCTATTTAAGCCAAAGGAAAAAAATAGTTATTGTTTTGATGGCCTACTGTGATATTATAAAAGAAATCATTAAATCACATAACTCACAAAGAAAATGGCAACCCTTCACCAGATGGATGGTAGTAGCATATAATCAGGATCCTGAGATCAGGTTTCCCCCTACTTTGGAATAAATTATGGGTCTGACGTTTGTTTTTAGTTTCTTTCTTTTTAAACTTCAAAGATTGTAGTCAGTGGTTTAACAACTAGAGCTTATGAGTTTCATTTTCATTGAGTAAAAGAGAACATTCTAATTTATTTATTGACTCAGTACTAACCACTCCTGTTAGTGTTATATTTGATACTTCAGCTGGATTTTCTAATGTTTCAGTTTAGATTTTCCTAGAAACAGAGTGGAAGCAAGCATTTGAGAGTAAGTAGTTTATTTGGGAGGTGATCCTAGAAAATACCAGTAGGGAAGTGGAAAAGTGAGGCAGGGAGGAAATAAAGCCTATACTACATGTGTTTAGGAAGCCAGTTTCTACAGTAAGCAACTGTAGTGGATATTAGTTCTTACACTTTCCAATGAGATTAGAAATTAAGATTAGGCATTTATAAACGTTTGTAGCAAGTTGATAGTGACATGATATAAAAATAGATTTGTATTGTATTTTGCAAAAACTTTGGTTGGAAACAAACAAAAAAAAACTGGTACCTCAAAACTGGTGAATTTTTGCTTTTCTGGCCTGAGTTTTAGTGAGATATCCAAAAAAGAAAAAAGACATTTCCAAGGCCAATGTCCAGGAGCTTTTCCCCTATGTTCTCTTCTAAGACTTTTATAGTTTTTGGTCATATGTTTAGATATTTTATCCATTTTCAGCAATTTTTGTGTATGGTGTCAGATAATGAATGGTTCCGTTCCATTCGTTTGCAAGTGAAAATCCAGTATTCCCAGCTTTATTTATTTATTTATTTAGAGACAAGGGCTCACTCTCTCACCCATGCTGGAGTGCAGTGGTGTGATCATAGCTCACTGCAACCACAAACTCCTGGGCTCAAGAGATCCTCCTGTCTTAGCCTCCCAAGTTGCTGAGACTACAGGAACACACCACCATGCCCAGCTAAACTTTTTTAAATTTTTGTAGAGATGGGCTCTCACTTAATTGCCCAGCCTGGTCTCAAACTACTGGCCTCAAGCAATCTTCCTGCTTAAACCTCCCTAAGTGCTGAGATTACAGGCCTGAGCCACTGCATCCGTCCCCTAACACCATTTATTGAAGAGAATATTCTTTCTCAATTGTGTCTTCTTAGTGCCCTTGTCAAAAATGAGTTGACTATATATGTTTAAATTTACTTCTGGGCTCTCTATTCTGTCCCATTGGTCTATGTGTCTGTTTCTATGCCAGTAACATACTGTTTTGATTACCATAACTTTGTAATATAATTTAAAATCAAGAAATGTGATGCCTCAAACGTTTTATTTCTCAAAATTATTTTGGCTATTCTGGGTCTTTTATGGCTCCATAGCATTAAAACAAATTTTTTCTATTCCTGTGAAGAATGCCATTGGGATTTGATAGGGATTCTGTTGAATCTGAATATTGCTTTGGGCAGTATGGACATTTTAACAATATTGACTCTTCCAATCTATGAACACAAGTTATTTTTCCGTTTATTTATGTGTGTCTTTTTCAATTCATTTTACCAGTGTTCTATAGTTTTCATTGTATATTTCTTTCACCTTTTTTATTAAACTTATTCCTAGGTATTTTTTGATGCAATTATAAATGGTACTATTTCTTGACTTCTCTTTTGGTTAGGTCATTATGTGCATATAAAAATGTTACTCATTTTTATGTTGATTTTGTATCTTACAACTTTACTGAATTTATTTTTTAGTTCTAACAGTTTTTCATGGGATCTTTGGGGTTTTTAATATATGTAAGATTATGTCATCTGCAGTAGAGGTAATTTTACTTTTTTCTTTCTTATTCGAATACCTTTTATTTATTTTTCTTGTCTGATTGTTCTTGCTAGTACTTCCAATACTATGTTGAATAAAAGTGAGAGTGAACATCCTTGTCTTGGACCAGACTTAGTGAAAAGGCTTTCATTTTTTCCCCATTGATTATAATGTGAGCTGTAGGTTTTTCATAAATGGCCTTTATCGTGTTGAGAAACTTTTCTTCTATATCTAAACTGTTCAGAGTTTTAATCAAAAAAGAACATTAGACTTTGCTGAATGCTTTTTCCACATCAATTGAGATGATCATGTGTCTTTTATCATTCATTCTTTTAATGTGATGTAGTATATTGATTAATTTGCCAATGTTAAACTGGCCTTGCATGCCAGAGATAAATACTACTTGGTCATGATGTAAAATCTTTTTGATGTGTTGTTGGGTTTGGTTTACTAATATTTCATTGAGGATATTTGCACCAATATTCATCAGAGAAATTGGCCTGTAGTTTTCTTATGACACCTTTGTCTGGCTTAGGTATCAAGGTGATGTTAGCCTTATAAAATGTGTTTCAAAGTATCCTCTCTAGCTCTATTTTTTAGAAAAGTTGGTAGGATTCCGCTGTGAAGCCATCGGGTGCTGGGCTTTTCTTTGTTGTGTTTTTACTTGTTCAATCTCTGTTTGCTGTTGGCCAGACTTGGAATTTAAAACAACTGTAATTAATATGCTAAGGGCTCCAATGGATAAAGTAGATAGCATGCAAGAAGGGATAGGCAATGTGAGCAGAGAGATAGATATTTTAAGAAAAAATTGGAAAGAAATGCTATGGTTCAAAAGCATTGTAACAGAAGTGAAGAATGCCTTTGATGGGCTTATTTAGTAAACTGGACATGGTTGAGGACAGAATCTCTGAGCTTGCAGTTACCTTGACAGAAACTTCCAAAACTGAAAAGCAGAGATCCTCTCTCTTTTACTTAAAACACAGAACAGCATATCCATGGAGTGTGGGACAACTATAAAAGGTGTGACATATGTGTAATGAAAATACCAGAAGGAGAAAGAAGAGAGACAAGAATAGAAGTATTTGAAACAATAATGACTGACAATTCTTCCAAATTAGTGCCAGACATCAAACCACAGATCCAGGAAGATCATAGAACTGCGAAGAAGATAAATGCAAAACAAAACAACAAACACAAAAAATCCCACACCTAGGTATATCATATTCAAACTACAGAAAATCAAAGATAAAGAAAAAATCCTGATAGAAACCAGAGGGGGGAAACCCTGCTTTATCTATAAAGGAGCAAAGATGAAAATTACATCCCACTTCTCTTCAGAAATCATGCAAGCAAGAAGACAGTGGGGTGAAATATATTTAAAGTGTTGAGAGAAAAAAAGCAACATCTTAGAATTCTGTATTTCATAAGATTATCTTTCAAAGTGAAGAAATAAGACTTTCTTAGACAAACAAGAATTGAGGAAATTTTTTGCTAGTAAATCTGCCTTACAAGAAATGTTAAAAAGAAGTTCTGTAGAGAGAAATAAAAGTATATATGTCAGAAGCTTGAATAGTCATGAAGACAGGAAGAGCATCAAAGAAGGAACATGTGAAGATAAAATAACTTTTTTATTCTTAATTGAGTTAACATAACAATTTATTTAAAATAATAAGAGCAACAATGTATTTGATTACATGTTCTTACTTATATACGCTTATGATTATATTTGTTTATGTGTAAGTGAAATGAATGACAGCAATGATACCAGGGGTGAGGGGGGTAATGAGGATGATTTCATTACTGTAGGTAAGTACATTGCCCTTAAAGTAGTGTAGTGTTATTTGAAAATATATTTGAATTAGTAGTAAATTTATATTGCAAACTCAAGGGCAGACATTAAAAAGGTGAGAAAACAGAAGTGTAACTGATATGTTAAAAAAAGGAGAGAAGGTCAAGCATGGTGGCTCATGCCTGTAGTCCCAGCACTTTCAGAGGCCTAGGTGGGTGGATTGCTTGAGCCCAGAAGTTCGAGACCAGCTTGGGCAAACCTGGCAAAACCCTGTCTCAACAAAAAAAAATTTAAAATTAGCTGAGCATGATGGTGCACACTTGTAGTTCCAGTTACTCAGGAGGCTGAGGTGAGAATATTGTTTGAACCAGAAGTTCAAGGCTACAGTGAGCCAGATCATACCACTGCACTCCATCCTGGGTGACAGAGCTAGATCCCGTCTCAAAAATTAAAAAAAAAAAAAAATAGAGAAAAAATAATCATATAAAATGCTTACTGAAAACCGCAAAAGGCAGAAAGAGTAGAAGACAAAAATAGGAACAAAAAACAAGGATAGCAAATAGCAAACAGTAACAAATATAGTAGATATTAATCCAACTATATGAATAATCACTGGTCTAGATGCACCAATCAAAAGAGAATGCCAGAGTGGATCAAAAAACAAGAGCCAAGTGTATGTTGCCCACGAGACACACAGAATAAAAGTAAAAGATTTAATCCTTTTGGGGTTCATAAGCGTGATGACTGGGTTTTTGACACTCATGTGTGAGATGCACTTCTCTCAAACCTTTTTGCAATGTTGGCATACTATCATACCTGCTTGATGTGGAAAAAAAAGTAAAGGATTTGAGAAAGATATACCATGCTAACACTAATAAAAAGAAAGGGACAGTAGCCATATTAATTTGAGGCACAGCCAATTTTATAACAAGTAAAATTATCAGGAATAAATGGGGTATTGCATAGTAATATAGGGGGTTAATTCTGTAAGATAATGTAACAATCCTTAATGAATATACATCCAACAACAGAACATGAAAATACATGAGTCAAAAACTGATAGATTTCAAAGAGAAATAGATTAATTCGCTATTACGTTTAGAGACTTCAACATGACTCTGTTAAAAATGAATAGATCAAGCAGGTAAAGTACTACTAAGGTCGTAGCTGAATTCAACAACTGGATGTTAATCAACTGGATATAACTTACATCTATAGACTTCTTCATCCCACAACAGCCAGTTACACATTTTCCTCAAGTTTACATGAAACATTTACCAAGATAGACCAAATTTTTAGCCATAAAACACACTTTAACAAATTTAAAATAATAGAAATTATACAGTGTCTGCTCTCAGACCACAAGAGAAATAAACTAGAAATAAATTTCTTTTTTTTCCAGAAAGACAGCTGGAAAATCCCCCCAAATACTTGGAGATTAAATAATACATGTATAAATAATACATGAGTCAAAGAAGAAATTTTAAGATACATTTTTAAAATTTTTAAGCTGAATGAAAATGAAAACAAAACATTAAAAATTTCTGAGATGCAGTGAAAATAGTGCTTAGAGGGAAAGTTATAGCATCAAACGTATATACTAGAAAAGAAGAACGATCTAACATCAGTACTCTATGCTTTTACCTTAGGAAACTATAAAGAAAAGAGCAAATTAAATTCAAGGTAAGCATAAAAAAGAAATGCTAAAACTTAGAACAGAAATTAATAAAATTATAAATAGAAAATTAATAGAGAAAGCCAACAGGACCAAAACCTGGTTTATTGAAAATATCAATAAAATTAATAAGCCTCTATCCAGGCTAACTAAGAAAAAAAGAGAGAGGATACAGATTAAGAGAAAGAAAAGAGAGACTATCACTATGGATTCCATGACATTGAAAGGAAAATAAAAGAATATTATGAACAACTGTATGCCCACAAATTTGATAACCTATTAGATGAAATGCAACAATTCCTCGATAGACAAAATCTGCCAAAACTCACACGAAAAGAAATAGATTATCTGAATAGACATATATCTATTAAAGAAATTAAATCAATAATTAATAATCTTTCAAAACAGAGACCACTGGGTCTAGATGGGTTCACTGGTAAATTCTACCAAACCTTTAAAGGAGAAATTATACCAATCTACAATCTCCTTCAGAAGATAGAAGAAGAAGGAATACTTTCTAACCCATTCTATGAGGCCAACATTGCCCTAATAAGAACAAAAAAGAAAAAGACATCAAAATAAAACTACACACCAATATCTCTCATGAAAATAAATGCAAAGATTCTCAACATAATATTATCAAGTAGAATCCAAAGATGTATTTTAAAAATTATAAACCACTACCAAGTGGGATTTATTCCAGGTATGCAAGCCTGGTAAAACATTTGAAAATCAGTTAATGTAAGCCATTGTATCAATAGGCTAAAGAAGAAAAAAAATGTGATTATATCAATAGATGCAGAAAAAGCATTTATCAAAATCTAACATCTATTACTGATGATAAAAAAATTTCAGCAAACTAGGAATAACGGGGAACTTCCATAACTTGATTAAAAACACTTAGAAAACATACAGCTAACATTATACTTAATTATAAGAAACTTCAAGCTTTTTCAGTAAGACCAGCAACAAGGCAAGGATGTCTCCTCTCACACTCCTTTTCAATATCGTACTAGAAGTTCTAGCTGATACAATAAGACAAGAAAAGGAAATAAAATATATGCAGATGGGGAAGGAAGAAATAAAACTGTCTCTGTTTACAGATGACATGATTATTTATTTGGAAAATTAAAAACTAATTCAAAACTCTCTTGGAACTGATAAGTGATTATAGAAAGTTTGCAGGATATAAAGTTAATATACAAAAGTCAATCAGTTTTCTACATACCAGTAATGAATAAGTGAAATTTGAAATTAAAAGCACAATAATATTTACATTAGCACCCCCGAAGTTAAATACTTAGATATAAATCTATTACAGTATGTACAAAATCTACATGAGAAACTAAAAAATTTGATGAAAAAAGTCCAAGAAGAACTAATTAAATGGAGAGATATTTCATATTCATGAATAGGAAGGCTGATATCATCCAGATGTCAATACTTGTCAACTCGATGTATAGGTTCAATGCAATCTTAATGAAAATCCCAGCACATTAATTTGTACATGTAAACAAACTGTAAAGTTTACATGGAAAGGAAAAAAAATCCAGAATAGCCAACACAGCATTGAAGGAGAAGAGCAGAGTTGGATAACTAGTACTACCTGCCTTCAAGACTTATTATTATATAAAGTTACAATAATCAAGAGAGTGTGGTATTGGCAAAAGAAAAGGTCAATGGAACTGAATAGAGAGCCCAGAAATAGACCCATGTAAATGCATTCAACTTATCTTTGACAAAAAAGCAAAGAAAATATAACGGAGAAAAAAAATTCTGTCAGCAAATGGTGCTGTAATAGATGGGCACATGAGAGAAGGAAAGGAAAGAGGCGAGGAAAGGGGAGGGGAGGGCAGGGGAGAGGAGGGAACAGTCTAGGCACAGACTTTACACACTTCCTAAAAATTAACTCAATTGGATCCCAGACCTAAATGTAAAACACAAAACTATAAAATCCCTAGGAGATAACATAGAAGAAATTCCAGATAACTTTGGGGTGGGCAATGGCTTTTTACATATGACACCAAAGACACTATCTATGAAAGAAATAATTGATAAGCTGAGCATGATTAAAATGAAAAATCCCTGCTCTACAAAGGACACTTTCAAGAGAATGAAAAGACAAATTATGAACTGGGAGAAAATATCTGATAAAGAACTGTTATCCAAAATATGCAAAGAACTTTTAAGACCTAACAATAAGAAAACAAACAACTCAATTAAAAAAGGGACCAAGGACCTCAACAGATACCTCCCCAAAGAAGACATACAGATGTAAAATAAGCATATGAAAAGATGTTTTGCATTATGTCATCAGGGAAATGAAAATTAAAACAACAGTGAGATACTACTACACACTGATTAGAACGGCAAAAATCCAGAACACTAACACCACCAAATTGTGGTGAGGTTGTGAATAAAGAGGAAGACTCATTTATTGCTGGTGGGACTGTGAAATGGCACAGCCACTTTGGAAGACAGTTTGGCAGTTTCTTACAAAACTAAACAAACTGTTGCTATATGGTGTAGCAATAATGTTTCTTGTTATTTTCCTAAAGCAGCTGAAAACTTATGTCCATAAAAGCCTGTACTGAGACATTTATAGCAGTTTTATTTATAATTATTAAAACCTGAACAACTAAGTTGTCCTTCAGTATGTAAATGAATAAATAAACTGTGGTACATTTAGACAATAGAATATTATTCAGAACTAAAAAGAAATGAGCTATCAAGTCAAGAAAAATCATGAAAGAAACTTAATTGCATATTACTAAGCACCAATCTTAATAAGCTACATATTGTATGATTCCAAATATATGGCATTCTGGAAAAGACAAAATTATGGAAACAATAAAAAGATCAGTGGTTGCCAGGGATTAGAGTAGAGATAGAATTGTCACTGCAGAAACTTAAAAAATGTTTTTTTAATGAAGAGACTATTATAAACAACTTGGTGCCAACAAATTTGACAACTTAGAAGAAACAAGAACAAATTTCTTGAAGAATCCAATTTACAAAATTAACACAAGATGAAACAGAAAATCTGAATAACCTTCCATCAATTAACTCAATTGAATTCATTATCAGAAACCTTTTTGACCAAGAAATCTCCAGGCCCATAGGGTTTCACTTAAGAAGTGTATAAAATATTCAAGGAAAAATAATACCAATCTTACACAAAAATCTTTTAGAAAATAGATGGATATGAAACTTTTCACAGCTTATTTTATAAGGCCAGTAGAACCCTAGCACTAAAACCTGACAAAGACATTACAAAATAATAATAATAATAAATAATAATAGACCAATAAACACACAAACCCTTTAAACATAAGCAAATCAATATTTATAATTTATACAATACATGAAGGGATAACACATCATAACTTGGTAAGATTTATCTAAGATAAGCAAAAATCAATTTAATCTACCATAGTGACAAAATAAACGGGAAAAAACATATGCTCATTTTAATAGCTTCAGAAAAAGCATTCATCAAAATGCAATCTTCATTCATTATAAATATTCTCACCAAGCTAGGAATACTAGGGAATTTTCTCAGTCTGATAAATGGCATTTACAAAACTATAGCCAATTCATACTTTATGTAGAAAATCTAAATTCTTCTCTTGTAAAACTGGGAACACAGCAAGAATACTTATTGCAGTAATACCTACATAACATTGTACTGGGGTTTCTAACCATTGTAATAAAGCAATAAGGCATAAAGAGCTGAGAAGAGAAGTAAAACTATCTTTATTTGTATACAGTGTGATTGTTTACATAGAAAATCCAAATTAATGTATGAAATAATTACCAAGACTAACAAATGAGGACTAATAACCTTAGCAAGCTTACAGGATACAAAGTTAATATTTAGTACTAATATGTGAATTTAGCAAGGTTAGAAGATATAAGGTTAATATGCAGAAATCAATGTTTTTATATACTAGTAGCAAAAAATAGAAAATTAAATTTAAAAAATTATTTACAATAGCATAGAAAAACACAAAATATTTCATAGTAAATTGAACAAGATGTGAAAGACCTCTACACTGAAAATTAGAAAGCACTGCTGAACAAAATTAAATAAACCAAAATAAATAAAAAGATATACTATGTTGATGGATTGGAAGACTTAATATTGTTAAATGTCAAATTACCCTACTTGATCTATAAATTCAACTCAATCTCAATTAATACTTGTGATGATTGATTTTATGTGTAAGCTTGACTTGGTTAAGAGATACCCTGATAGCTGGTAAAACAGTATTCTGGGTGTGTCTATGAAAATATTTCTGAGAGAGATTTGCATTTGAATCAGTTGACTGAGTAAAGTTCTACCCTAACCAACGTGGGTGGGCATTGGCCAATCACTGAGGGCTCAGATAGAACAAAAAGGCAGAGAAACGGCAAAATTTTTTCTCTCTTTTTGAGTTATTCTTTCCTGGGACATTAGAGATCCTGGGGCCTTCAGATTCTGGAACTTACACCAGCCCCTCATCTTCTACACTCACCATCCTCTGGGTTATCAGACCTGTGGCCTTGTACTGAATTACAACACCCTCTTTCCTGGTCCTCCAGCTTTCAGGCAGCATAAGACTTCCGAGCTTTCAGAATTATGTAAGCCAATTCCTGTAATAAATCTCTTCTTCATATCTATGTACATCTTATTGGTTCTGTTTCTCTAGAGAACCCTCACAAAATAACTCAATAATTTTTTGAAGATATTGACAAAGATTTCTAAAATGTATATGAAAATGCAAATGATTAGAATTGCCAAAGACAAATTTAAAACTGAAAGAAGCTGGAAGATGTATTAGTCCATTTTCACACTTCTTTAAAGACATACCCAAGACTAAGTCATTTATAAAAGAAACAGATTTAATAGACTCACAGTTCTGCACAGCTGAGGAGGCCTCAAGAAACTTACAATCATGGCGGAAAGTGAAAGAGAAGAAAAGGCACATCTTACATGGGGGCAGGCAAGAGAGAATGTATGAGTGAAGGGAGAAGAGCCCCTTATAAAACCCTCAGATCTCCTGAGAACTCACTCACTCTCAAGAGAACAGCAGGGGGGATACTGCCCCCATGATCCAATCACCTCCCACCAGTTCCCGCCCTTGACACAGGGGGATTATGGGAATTACAATTCAAGTTGAGATTTGGGTAGGGACACAGAGCCAAACCATATCCTAAGACTTATATAAGCTGACTGTAAGATTTATTATTAAGCTACAGTAACTAAGACAGTATGGTTTTGGCAAAAAGATAAACATACACATCAGTGGAAGAGAATACAGAGTCCAGAAAGTGAAACCTGTGTTTCATGATGAATTAACTTTTAACAGAGACACCAAGACAATTTAAGAGGGGAAATGATAGTCTTTTCAACAAAAGATACTGGAATAATAAGACTATCTATATGGGGAAAATGAACACTGACTCTTGCCTTACCTCACACTACAAACAGTAATTAAGTTGAAATGGAACACAGACCCAGAAGTAAGAAATAAAGCTATAAAACATTTGGAAGAAAACACAAAAGAAAATACTTAAGACTTTTACATAGGCAAATATTTCTTAGCTAGAATAAAAACAACAGGAATCATAAGAGAAAAAAAATTGAGAAGTTAGACTTTAACAAAATTAAGAACTTTTGCTCTTTGGAAGACATCAAAAAGTGAAATGGCAAGTCAAAAATGTGGAGAAAATATTGCAATACTTATATTTGACCAAGGGCTTTTATCTAGACTATATAAAGAATTTTTACATTAAGAATAGGAACAGCCCAATAAAATATAAGAAAAATATTTAAACAGACACTTAATAAAAGAAGATATAAGAATGGCTGATAACCACATGAAAAGATGCCCAACATCATGAGTCATCAGGGAAATGAAAATCCAAACCGCAATGAGATATCACTACTCACCTACCCATGGAATAACTAAAATTTAAAAAAGGTTGATAATAGGAAGTATGGGTAATGATGTAGACAACTGGAATTCTCATATGCTACTGTTGGGAATGTGAAATAATACAGCCCCTTTGGAAAAAAAGCCAGCAGTTCCTTAAAAAGTAAAACATGCACTTACCAAACAACCCAACCATTCCATTCCTTTACCTTACAGAAAACATATGCCCACAAAAAGACTTGATCACAAATGTTCATAAAAGCTTTATTTCTAATTGTCAAAACCAACCTCTGCATCTACTTAAAATGTAGAATGCTACGAAGAACATCTCTTTTAACCTAACAATGAGAAAAGGTTAAATAAAAATCATAACACTTCTGGAGCCCATTGGAGAGCTAAGGTTGCAAGACAACCAGTGAACTGATTTTAAAGGACAAGCACTTTTGCAGAGAGATAAACACATGAACCATTTCACTTTTAGCAGAGGATGGGAGAAAGAGGTGGCTTTCATACAAGCCGACTTTATCAACAATCCGCTAGAATTTTCCCAAATACTTAAATGTCATGTGCAGGCTAGAGTGGCAATTAAAAATAGGTAGTGGCCTTCCTTTCAGGTTTTTCAAGATAAAATGAATAAGTTCATGAGACCTATACACTCTCTCATCTGTCCGCAAAGTTCAGATCTTCTGGCCCTCATCTCCTCATCACTTCCTTTTTTTTTTTTAAATTTTTTATTTATTATTATACTTTAAGTTTTAGGGTACATGTGCACAATGTGCAGGTTAGTTACATATGTATACATGTGCCATGCTGGTGCGCTGCACCCACTAACTCGTCATCTAGCATTTATCTCCCAGTGCTATCCCTCCCCCCTCCCCTCACCCCACAACAGTCCCCAGAGTGTGATGTTCCCCTTCCTGTGTCCATGTGTTCTCATTGTTCAATTCCCACCTATGAGTGAGAATATGCGGTGTTTGGTTTTTTGTTCTTGCGATAGTTTACTGAGAATGATGATTTCCAATTTCATCCATGTTCCTACAAAGGACATGAACTCATCATTTTTTATGGCTGCATAGTATTCCATGGTGTATATGTGCCACATTTTCTTAATCCAGTCTATCATTGTTGGACATTTGAAACAGGTGCTGGAGAGGATGTGGAGAAATAGGAACACTTTTACACTGTTGGTGGGACTGTAAACTAGTTCAACCACTGTGGAAGTCAGTGTGGCGATTCCTCAGGGATCTAGAACTAGAAATACCATTTGACCCAGCCATCCCATTACTGGGTATATACCCAAAGGACTATAAATCATGCTGCTATAAAGACACATGCACACGTATGTTTATTGCGGCATTATTCACAATAGCAAAGACTTGGAACCAATCCTCGTCACTTTCTATTACTCCTTGTTGTGTTTAGAAGACTGTAGTCAGTTTTTTTCCCACCCTGGAAGGTAGCTGCCTGACACAGTTGGCATGCTGCCAAGCCTCTTTTTAGGTTCTTAATAAAGAAGGCTTTCTCTGTTCTCTTGCCTCCTGGTTACCCCGAAATTTAGGCACATATTTCAGTGACAGTTTCCTCCAAGACAGATAGTTTTTACTGGAGACATTCTAGATCCCTAGCACTAAAATCCTTAACATAAATTCTTTGGTTTCACTCCTTATACCAAAATGGGTCATCTGTAGTAGAAAGACATTTCACTCTCCAAAGTTGAGATTCTCTTCCTTCAGAATACAGTAAACACACTTGATAAAAACAAAACTGTTTTTAAACAAGCTTGTACAACTTCTCTCAAATTTAGTTTCCCAATTATGTTCCAAACATTCGAAATTCAATTAAAAGTTTCTTTTCTTCAAAGACCATTTCCCAAATGATTCAAAGAGCCTTTTTCCATATTTAATTCTATGAATACACCAACAAGCATTAGTATTAGTGTTGTCTGCTTTAATTGATAAGCTCCCTGAAGAAAGAAAAACATTCTGTTTAATTTACATATTCTTTATTTAGGGAAGAGATTTAAAAAAAGACGAGGATGGGAGTTGGAGGAGGAAGAGGGAGAGAAAGAAGAGGAGAAGCAATAAAGAAGAAGGAAGAAATGAAAGAGAAGAAAGGAAGGAAGGGAAGGAGGAAACAAGAGATAGAGGGTGAGAGGAAGGAAGGAAAGGAGGAAGGGAAGAAAGGAGAGAGGAAGGGGAGGAGGAGGAGAAGGAGTTGGGGAAAGAGAAGAACAAGTTGCTTCCAGACTGGAGAAGGACAGAAATGTTTCAAGTAGTCACTCTGAGCAGTGTTTACAAATGCCCTAGTAAGAAGGAATTAAAAGTCTGCATGAGAGTTATATATTATTTCAGTCTGATTTTCTAAATATTTTCTAAATATTTATGTTGACATCAAAAACTGTTCACATGAAGATCTCCTACACTGCAATATATGTTGTAAAAATCCAATTAAGTTCTTTCTGTAATTTTCATGAATGAGGTTCAATGCTTATATCATGTGGTGGTGATGTTAATTTTATACAGTCAATGATTCTTTCCAATGCAGTGCTTTCTCCTTTAATAGTGATCGGTGACATGAAAACTCAAAATTGAGTGCTGGTACCTGGGACTATTCCCTGTAGTGCTGGTGATACTGGTACTCACTGCTCCCCTTCATGGCTTGGGGAATTCAGCTCAAAAGACTTCCAGAATGAGATGTGAAGGAGACATGCCTGAGCAAAGTGTAGGTGCTAGCCTCAGGATTCACAGCTGAAGGTCAAGAAAGTGATGGCTATTTAGTTTGCTGGAGTGTGGGAAATCCTAGGCTTTAAGAGATTAAGCAGAGTAGCAAATAGGGGCAACTTCTGAACCTGTGCTCTAAGGTTTCCATGGAAAATTCCATAGAAATTTTAAGGAAATTTCTCCAGGACACTTCAGATATGAAGCTCTGTTAGAGCCCTTTCTCTGGATTTGTTCTGGAAAGATATGCAGTCATATCAGCATCCTGGTGTGGATTTGCATTTTCACCCTGGTTCTGTCTTTTCATCGCTCTGCCATTAAGACCACTCTGTAGGCAAGGGTGGGAAGAGCAGAGTTGTAGAAAGTCACATGTAGCCACTATGCCTCATGAAGTTCTGGAAAGTTACCAGGCCTGGTTTAAGTGCTTTCACAATCCAGAAGGAGAAATGAGGCAGTAGACTATAGCCTGCATAATATCACATGGTCCTCCTGACATCACATGAGAAGCCGAGAGCCAACTCAGCCAGTTTCTTTGTCCCTTCCTATTGTTCTCTCTCCCTTGTGTAACATAGGAATTCCAGAACCCATCCCTACATCCATCTGGTGTGCCATGAGGAATTACCAATTATTAATTTCTGAAAATGGAGAACAATATAATAAAATGCCTGGGAAACCTGAATTATTTACGGTTTAATAATTTTGAGAGGTCCTTCAATAAGAAGATGCATTTAATCTGTTTTATTTTAGATATTTGTCCAGGCTCTATAACATACATATTTATTAAGCATAAATTTATTGTGAAGTATCCTCTAGAGCAGAATTTATTCAAACATGGGACTCAAGGTATTACTTCTTTGTTACCACACATTTTTAGTTTTGCTTGAGGGAAGTAGAGTTGAATACATACCTAATATTTTGAACTGATAGAGTGCTTTGGAGAATGCAGAGCTTTCCTGATTTTACATTCTGGATTTAAAGGGTTCTAAATACAAACCTTAATAACACTCCTGGACATCAGCATAAGTAAGATAAAGTGAGTCTTTATTTAGTAACTGAAGCCCCATCATTTGGGTTTGAGCAGCACTCCGCCAGTGACCTTCTGATATACTATAGTTTATTTTTAAATGTACAATGTGACATTAGATTTAAAATTAAAACTGTGATTGCATTACCCTATATATTTTCATACAGCGGAAACATAAAGAGGAACTTGCTCACCATGAGAGATATCCAAAGGTGAACACTGTTACAATGTTCCAGCTGTCAGAGGTGTGAGAGAGGTGGTGGGAATTTAAACCCCAGTGACACTGGTGGCTCATTTAAATTCTAAAATTAGATGACTGTTAATTTCAGGTTTATTTGATTCAAACATGAACATTACACTATTACACTATGAATGTTTATTTCACCACTGCCTTCAATATTTTCCACCCCAAACACCTCTGCTCTTCTCATCTGGCTGTCTTTGTCCATGGAGACTTTTGATTATGTATCTTTTCTTCTCCCCTTCATGTCTAGAGCTTTTATGTTCCTGCTCTAGTCCCCTGGTAGACAGACAAACCCAGAAATGACTAGCAGAAGCAGCAGGAAGTAAGGGACATAGGAGGTGGGCAGTAAATAAAATTTGCCTCTTTTAACTTTAAAGTTTATTGGGCTGGGAAACTGTTAGTAGGAAGGCTCTAAATGGGGTACCAGGACCTTGTAACTCTATTAGTCATTTATGAAATAGGCATAATTTCTGTCCTTCATGGAAGTAGTTTGTCTTCTGCAAGGTTTTCTTCTAAGCTTTTGTATTTTCACCTTTTCACAGGCACTTAGGGCTCTCATGCTGGTTTTTGGTGGTCCAACTTGTATTCACTGACAAAACTATGTCCCATTCCCTCAGAATTATTACCTGTAAAGCTAGCTCCCTAAAAAACTAATCCTAGCAATGAATATTCACAGTTACTGTGCTATTTTTTCTCAAAAAGAATATTATAATATTTTCTAAGTCGACCACAAGGGGATTCACTGGAATTTCTAAATTTCTTTGTGTTCCCATTAGCAGATGGGGCCTGGCTGGAGTAACCATGGAGCCAGATGATACTTGATAAGGTATAGGGTAGAGAAAATTCCAGATGCAATGTAAGGAAAAGGGACACTGCATAAACCTCAATAGATTATGAGAAGAAATTGGAAAATTGGAAGTAGGGAAACAGATTATGAGACATGTTTGCCCTTAATTCCCCACCCCTGGCCACAGTCCTGGAGCAGATAATTATTTTAGATGAATCAAGGGAAAATTCAACAGCAAAGAGGCTTTTGTTTCACTTCCACTTGTGAATGTGGAAGCAGAGAAGACAATACCACTTTGCCCTGCAGGGTCAGGGACTAGATGGAAGTTCCAGCCTTACCTCAAAGGACTTGCCATTTAAGAGCTAGGGAAAATTCCATTGAGCAAGTAGAGATGTCTGATATGAAGGAAATAAATTTTGAGGTAAATGAGCAGTAGATAGTAAGAGGACAGTCTGGGGCAGGAGCAAGGTGTAAAAAACAATTGGAGATTAATAGTCAAGAGTTGATATGTCGGCCAGGCATGGTGGCTCACACCTGTAATCCCAGCACTTTGGGAGGCTGAGGCAGGTGGATCATGAGGTCCGGAGTTCAAGACCAGCATGACCAACATGGTGAAACCCTGTCTCTACTAAAAAATACAAAAATTAGCTGGACGTGGTGGTGCACACCTGTAATCCCAGCTACTCAGGAGGCTGAGGCAGGAGAATCGCTTGAATCCAGGAGGTGGAGGTTGCAGTGAGCCGAGATTGCACCATTGCACTCCAGCCTGGGCAAAAGAGCAAGACTCTGTCTCAAAAAAAAAAAAAAAAGAGCTGACATGTCAGTCTATGATCATCAAAGACCAACGTTTCTTTCATCCTGCTGCTTCACCACCCACTGCTTTCTTCTAGATAACCCTAGATGGTTGCTCGAGTTCCAGCCATTATGTCATGCATCCCAACTAGTGGGAGGAAGAATAAGGAGGGGAAATGTGCACCCATACCTTCTTAAGGAAATAATCTTTTGGGTAATAAACAGTATACTCAAATGAGGTAAGTGAACAGAATTTAATAAAAGGACTATTGACAATAGAATGAGCAGTTAAGAGAAAAATAACAAAGGATAGCCAGATACCTGGGACCGTTACCAGAAAGGGGTCCTGATCCAGACCCCAAGAGAGGGTTGTTGGATCTCGCGCAAGAAAGAATTTGAAGTGAATTCATACAGTAAAATGAAAGCAAGTTTATTAAGAAAGTAAAGGAATAAATGAATGGCTACTCCATAGGCTGAGCAGCCCCCAGGGCTGCTGGTTACCCATTTTTGTGGTTATTTCTTGATTCTATACTAAACAAAGAGTGGATTATTCATGAGTTTTCTGGGAAAGGGGTGGGCAATTCCTGGAACTGAGGGGCTCTTCCCCTTTTTAGACCATATAGGGTAATTCACGGCATTGGTGGGAGTGTCTCTTAGCATGCTGATGTATTATAAATAGCGTATAATGAACTGTGAGGACAACCACAGGTCACTGTAGTCACCATCTTGGTTTTGGTAGGTTTTGGCCGGCTTTTTCACTGCAATCTGTTTCATTAGCAAGGTCTTTATGACCTGTATCTTGTGCCAACCTCCTGTCTCATCCCGTGACTTAGAATGCCTAACTTACTGGGAACGTATCCCAGTAGGTCTCAGAATTATTTTACCCAGCACCTATTCAAGATGGAATTGCTCTGGTTCGAACATCTCTAACATGACTATCAGTTGAGAGATGCATTACCACCACTAGGCCCAAAGAGACCAAGAAAGGAAGTAGCTATTGTAATCTGCAGAGGGAGCTGTATCTGTAGGAGAGGGTGATTATTCAGGAGGCTCAGCTTTTAGTAAAGGAATGTACCATACCAACTCATAGCCTGGCACATGGAGAGAAGACATTTTTCCAAGTGACTTTAAATTAAACTTTTTGAAAGTAAATCCCTAGTTAGAAATATCCTGGGAATAAAAAGAACTGCAAATAAATCATAAATGCATTCAATAATCTTATAGTAAGTAATAGTTCAAATTCTCTCCCCTCCTGTATTAATCTGTTTTCACACTGCTGATAAAGACATACCTGAGACTGGGTAATATATAAAGAAAAAGAAGTTTAATGGACTCACAGTTCCACATGGCTGGGGAGGCCTCACAATCATGATGTAAGGCAAAAGGCATGTCTTACATGGTGATAGACAAGAGAGAACTTGTGCAGGAAAACTCCCCATTATAAAACCATCAGATCTTGTGAGACTTATTCACTATCACAAGAACAGCACAGGAAAGACCCACTCCCATGATTCAATTATCTCCCACTGCATCCCTCCCATGACACATGGGAATTGTGGGAGCTACAATTCAAGATGAGATTTGGGTGAAGACACAGCCAAACCATATCACCTCCCATCCTTCAGAGTCTCCTCTTGGTGCCTTCCTGGCCAAGGCCAAATGGAAGTTGGAGGTCAAGGGAGCCCATTAATGTGTTCTCTAAAATTCCATGTCACAGGGTGGAAAGAATAATGGAGAAGGATATAGAGTTGATTTGGAGAGAGCAGACCCAGGATCTTCCTTCTCATTTCCACATACCACTTAGGCTTACATGTTAAGTCACATGGCTATTTGGAAAATGTAATCTGTCTAATTGGCTCTATGACTGCTAGACATCAGAGTTCTCATTATCAAGAAAGAAGGTCAGAATGGTTCCAAATGGCAGTTATCAATCTCTGCAATGTAGGCCATTTCCTGATATGGAACTATCATGGTACATTTATCTATCTGTTGTCTTTAAATAAATCAGCATATTTTAATAGTGACTGTTTACTATTGTCCCATAGTTAAAATCATGCGTACTATTAGACATTGGTTACTAAACTGTCCTGCCCTTGAATCAATCCTTTATTGATTGATTCAAGGGAGGGGTGAAATGCATAAAAAACCATTCCCAACTGAGTGAAGGATGCTCTTTCATGTACCTAAAAGAGACCTCCCTCCATCTGTCTCCTGGTCAGCAGAGCTGCTTTTCCAATGAGCCAGTGAGTTTAATGTTCCTACTGCCATTTATCATCTTTATTCAGTCAGGGTTTGCATGTGGTTCAATGGTTATAGAACGTAGAATTCCTCCCATACATCACCAATTTTCTGCCCTCCATGCTGACTCACAAGTGTTCCATTTAGTGCTCCAATTCTTCTTCTTAGACCATTTAAAGGGAGTCTGGCTCACATCTTTTTCATTTTTCTACTGATATTCTCCATGCATGTTAAGGTTTGTGACCTGAAAGTCAAGTTAACTTCCTTCTAAAAGCAGGAAGATTCAGCAGGAAACTTATAGGAAGAAACTTCATGCTTTGTAGGTGGAGATTTTTATTTCTGAACTTTGCCATCTATGAGAAATAGGAACTAGGATATTCAAAGCTCTCCACTTGGGGTCATTGGTCTTAGTCCTTGACAATTGTATATTCTGTTGCAATGGAAATCAGCTACTAAAATAGCTCTCCAATGACCTTCCTTGAGGATTTGATATAACAAGATCTTAGAAGCATGAGGAATATATTTAGCCATTTAATAAACTATTTTTCTATGTTCTTTTAAAAGATATGATTAGTAGATAGTCCGGTTTAACAATTAATATCCTTTCAAATTAAGACTGCCAGAAACCAGATTATAAATCTTATCTCAAAAGGGTTTAGGCATGCACATAGAAAAAAAGGAAATGAGAAATAGATGTGGAATAGGGTAGAGTGGCATATTTAATATGCAGGCCAAAAGTTTGGATCGTTGATTAAAAGTCAGATATCTAAAAATTTTTATTCAAATCAGCTTGGTTTGCAAGAGACATAGAAAACTTTAAGGTGAGAACTCATATTTAGCTTTACAGTGTTGTTTGGGGAAGAACAAAGCAAACATCAAATACCTTGCTGGTGTATGCTGATGAGAATTGAGTTACATTTTCACACAATGGCAGATCCGCATGACTGAAATTAAACTGCTGTACCACATCAAAGTAAATCTACAAAAGTGAAAATAAATTGTTGGTTCGTTCTTATTTTCTCCTGGGAGATTCTATAATAAACCATTATTTTTCTTCCCCCCATCTGCCCAATTTTCCTCCCTTTATTTTCATAAATTGATAGGGAAAATATCATAAGCATCTAAACTAATTTGGTCTTGTGGTTGTAACTGCATAGAAGATTAAATCGTCAATTAACAAAAGAGTGACTTAAAAGCCATCTTCTTTCTGTATTCCCTGATGAATCATTTGACAAGATGTCCCCAAAGCAGCTTGGTTTACAAGAACCGTATTAGTGTGGACACAAAAGCAAGAAGCTCGGTGATGATAATTAGCTATAGTATGTCTGCTTTTCGCATAGTGAACGCATCCATTTCTAATGGTTCCTAATTATTGTGACATGCTGATATAGGTTTATAAATGGGAAAGGTGAATTTTACTAACCTCCTTCTAATGCCACACACACAACTGATTATATAGAAATGTAATCAAACAGCACTCCTGTTTTTATCAAGAATAGAGAAAGAGGAATAAAAAGAATAATTGGGGGATAAGGTACAATGGACCAGCAAACAACAGAATGTCTTAAAATTATGGGAAAAAGCAAATTGTGAATAAAGCAATGGGTCCCCCAACCATCAAAAGAGAGTAGGGAAGATGCAGAAAGGCTATTTCCAATATCGGGATCTACGGGATTAGAAAAAAGTTGTTTTAAAAACAAAGAAAATCGTAAAATGACACCACCTGTTAACAAATTAAAGAGCAGTATTCTAAGCCAGGTGCGGTAGCTCATGCCTGTAATCCTATCACTTTGGGAGGCGGAAGTTGGCAGATCGCTTGAGGCCAGGAGTTGGAGACCAGCCTGAGCAACATAGTAAAACCCCATCTCCCCCATAATACAAAAATTAGCCAGGCATGGTGGCATGTGACTGCAGTCCCAGTTACTCGGAAGGCTGAGGTGGGAGGATGGCTTGAGCTCAGGAGGCAAAGGTTGCAGTGAGTTGAGATTGTGTCACTGCACTCCAGCATGGGCAACAGAGCCAGACTTTGTCTCAAAAAAAAAAAAAAAAAAAAGTATGCTGAGCCACTATTTTACGGGACATGTTAAATTTCAAAAAAGCATCCGGCAATGTCAGATATGTATGGGGTGAGTAGGTGAGTATTTAATGTTTGCCAATAGACCCACGTGTTAGCATTTAAACTTGGTGGTTTAAACATCCTCAACTTTTTGGTCTCATAAACTCCAATTCAATGATTTGAATATGATTAGACATAGGGATGCTGAGTCACACCAATCAAAGTCACAAGGAGCTGTTATTTATAAACATCATAACAATTTCATAATTTACAGTGAATAAAAGAGTTCTCATGAGGAGCAGATTATTCTTTTCTGCATGGAAAGCCCATTTTCTTCCTATTGAAAAGTCATACAAAAAGGCAAATAAAATTCAAATGGTTGCTTCATGAGTATGGAAGTTAACTATGGATTACAAAAGCTTAATTTCACTGGAGATGGAGAAACCAGTGTATTCATATTCACAACAGGGATTAGTTGCAAAGTGGGTTTTTTCTTGTCAGGAGATAGTGTTTTTTTTGGACATTGCTTTTGTGGTTGTGGTTTGGTGTTTCTTTTTTGGTTGTTGTTTTTTTTTCTTTTTTTTTTTTTGACTCTCTTTTGTCTGTACCTCATTGCTGCCCACTTTCTTCCTTACCTTTCTGATGTATGTATTCTTTCTTTAGATGATAACAGCATCCATCAGGTATTATTATTGTTATTGCTATTATTATTATTAGTCTTTTAGGCCATTTTCATTTCCTTAAAGTACTCTGAAGCACCTTACAACTCAAAGCGTGGTCTGGGGACCAGCAGCATGAGTGTCACCTAGAAGCTTGTTGGAAAGGCAGAATGTCAGCCCCACTCCAGGTCTACTGAATCAGCTTGCTCATTTTAATAAGGTTTTCAGGGATTTGAGTGCACATTAAAGTTTAGAATGTACTTTTCTACCTCATGCTCTCCATCCCTACCTCTCATTCCTTTTCTCTTCTACTTTTGCCTTTACAACTGGGTTAACTCCAATTCAGTAAGGAGTGTAATCTCTAGTACAATCTCTTCTCTACACTGGCCCACTATGTTTTATGTTTTAGGTCTCAAAGGATAATATTCATTTCAAATTTTTAGAGGCAACTTCACTCTTGCATCTGGGAAAACAAGCTCTCTGAGGACTGGGCCTGAAATTGAGCCCCAAAGCCTCAGAGGTATACCTGAGACAGGTAGACATACCTGAGGCATACCTGAGACATAGCACTATAAATGAATAAATAAACCTAAATTCCAGCTGAGGTCTCCTGTCTTTGGATTAGTCAGAAGTCCACCAGTTGGATATTACAGAAAAGCAGCTAAAACAGCTTTAACAAAAGGAGAATTATTGACTCTCATAACCAGCAAGGGCTGGAGTTTATGTCATTGATGACATGAGAACCCAGGGCATCATGTTGCCATGCTATCGCTCAGCACCTGTCATGCCAGCTTTACTCTCTTCTCCTGCAGAGAGTTGTTCCTTTGACAATGGTTGCCAGCACTTCGCAATTCAACTGGTAGCTTTCAGCAATTCCAATTGGTAGCTTGCACTCTGATTTTCCAGTGTCTTGCAATTTGCAAGACATTTTTTCCTACTACTTGGAAGACTAGAGTTTTGATATATTTCTGATCAAAATTAACTAACTAATTCCATTACCAGTAGAGCCAACCGTGGGAAGCTGAGGAAGATAATTACTAAGTGAAATGCTAAGCAGAGCAAGCAGAAGAAAGGGGTAGGCATGGTGGATGAATCTGGGCTTCATCCTCATTCTGTATTTACATCCAAGGATGAGAAGACTCACACAGGAGTCTTCTCATGATCATAGCATAGGCTTATGATTAGTGGTCACTAAGATAGACTTCTCTTTCTCAATTAAGTGTTTGTACTACTTCAGCTTATAATCCATTCATTATTGAGATTTTTTAAAAAAGATTTTATTGACACATACTATTTGTACATATTCATGTATATAGTGATGTTTCAATACATATAATGTATAGTGATCAGATTAGGGTAATTGGCATATCCATCATTGCAAGCATTTTTATTTCTTTTTATTAGGAACATTCAATATCCTCCTCCTAGCCATTTGAAACTATATGTTATTGTCAACTCTGGTCACCCTACAGTGCTATAGAGTTCTAGAACTTATTCCTCCTGGCTAGCCATGATTTTGTATCCTTTAACAGCAACAACCACAGAGCTGAACTCATAGAAGTGAAAGTAGAACAAGAGGATACTAGAAGATATTCATGGAAGTAGTTAGATTTTTTTTAAATCCAGCAAGAGCCAAAATGCATTTAGCTCATCTGACCCCTCTAAATTGTTTACAATATGTTTAAGATTGAAAGCAAATAGTTTTCCATAACTTTATTCTAATCACCACATCATGGAACTTGCTGTATTGAGGTTTGCGTGTAGCTCCCACAATATAATTTTTACATATGTATGAAAACAAGAACAAACCACTTTGGGGGAAAAGCTGGCCAAGTTTAATCTTATTTCATATTTGGAATGATGTCTCATTCAGGGAATATAAACTTACTTAACAATGCTGTTTCTCCATAAAGATAGCTTCACAAGGAATCACATAATAAAAGCCCAAACTTTATGAATAAAATTATAATCAATCATCCTTGGGAGAAATTACTTGAACTATTTACTAACAAGAACAAGAATGGAAAGTGGATCTCACAGTGACTTAGTTTTTTTTTTTTTTTTAAATTTTCTTCCCCCAGTCAAATGCAGCTTGCTTTTAAAAGCATTTATCTAAGGTTAGGATGGAAGTTTACACTCTGGGTGTAAACTTGGTTGGGGAAAAAAAACATTGATTTGGGGGAGTTATGTTGCTTAATTTGCTGAAATGACGCTGTGCTCAGTTGACTCTGTTTGTCCTATTATAGAATACAGATTCTTCAAAGTATAACTTAGAGGCAATGCAAATATGTTTTTATCACAAAGGTCAGTGGTAGATATGGATATCATTTGATGAAGGCAGGTGCTGAAAAAGTGCATGAATTTGAATAGTGATATTGAAAATGACTGGAACACTCAGCTGTTCAAGCAGCCCTGTTCAAATGAGGCATTTAGAGATGGTCCTGAGGGCCAGCTGTCCTACCATAATAATACTGAAGGTTACATATTGAGTACTTAAAATAAGTATATCGGTCAGACTAGCAGAAGAATACAGATGGCACACTCCAGTTGGGTAATTAGAACAGAATTTAATAATAAATAGGAGTGTGTAGGCTGTTAGAGAACCAAGAGAAAAAATGCAGTGCTCTGAAACTAGCAATAATGGGGCACCTTAACTACTGATAGGTGTAAAAAGACGGGGACCTGAAGAGAGAGCTATGCGTGGTGAGGTGAGTGGGGTGCAAAATTTAAGGAGACAGTCCCAGGGTCCCTTCTCTGGCTCTTGCTCCCTTAGCCCACCTTGCTGAATGACCACCACCCCCTGGAGGTGTTAATACTTGTTTCCAGTTCTATTACATCCTAAGACAAAACCTTGAAGGAGAAAGTAGGAAGACTAACAGAGGAAGCTTGTCACTTGTCCTAAAATGCCGCCATTGTAAGGTCAGTCTTTGGTCACTCATTAGAACTTCTGAGAGCAGAAGTAGGCTGAAGGGACATAGCCCCTGGCCCCATGGCCACACCCTCTCTAGGCCAAGCCCCAAATGGAGAGGTGCCAGGCACACTCATCATCATCTTACTATTTTGCTTTCTGACTCTCCCATCCCCATACCAGCAAGTCCAGAAGATCTCTATCACTTCAGAGACAGATTAAACACACTACTGCATCATGCATTTGGATAGCTACTTTTTTCCAATAGCAAAAATAAAAAAAAAAAAACCTTTTGTTTCAAGCTAATGTCTCTATCACAATTTATGATATTGACTTTGAAACTCAAAAGCTAAGTATTGTCTCTTCATTTCTCTCTGCTGTAACAGCTCTACCCCGAACTGGGGAATGTGGGAGAAGAAGGATCGGAGCAGTGGGACATGTCAGCCAAAGAAGCATGGGTTAATGTTTCAAAATATAATCTGATACCCATATACGTACTGGCAGGCAAAATCATTCATTTCTGGATGTCGTCAGTCTTGCCCCAAGCCCTTGTTTAGTGAAAAGGATGACGGGTTGACCTACTCCATCTACTTCTTCACTGCCTTTTTACCTCCACCCCACCCCAATGAAGGTCCTGCAATGACACACTGACTCTCAGGCTTTCATAATGGAGAATCTGGATGAAAAGAAGAAAAGAGGAACCTGAGAGGCACTTAAAAGGAAGAGTTGGAGAGGTTGAAGAATTGAGTTGAGGAAAGCAACTACACCATGTGATGCTAGTGTTCAGAGCAGAGAAAAAGGGAATTTCAACAAATATTGCTAGAAATAGTGAATCTTTTATAGTGCTCAAGAGATACAGCTAAAGAACTTGAGTTACTTCTAAATTGCTTTTGATTACCTGGATTATGTTCTTTTGACCGCAACTTCACTCTAGGACTGAACCACATGAATCACATCATGTTAGCATTCTCTGTTTCTCCTTTCTCACTTCTCTCTCTTCCTTCTGACATCTCTTTTTCTTCCTATGCTTCTCACTAGGGCACTGCTTTTTAAGGTGAGTTTTTATGGACTTACAGACTGTAAGAGCTGAGGTATTAACATATCCACAGGTTTAGACCATGAAGATGAAAGAAAGGCATTATCTCAGATATCTGTATTTGGCCTTAAAATTTGGCTTTGGAGTATTGTATGTCATATATTGTATGGTACATATTACAATCCTAATTAGTGTTGCCAAGTCTTTATTCCACTTCATTCTCTCTGCCAAGAACCTACACACTCTAAGGGCCACCCTTGTCCTGAACTTGCTTCCAAACCAAGCCCAATATTGGCCAGCATCATCAGCAGCCCTTCTCCTTTGATTGCATGTTTGCATTACAATTTACATTAGATTCCTAGGACTGCCTTCACAAATGATCACAAACTGGATGGCTTAAAACATTACAAATTTTCTCTTCCACAGTTCTGGAAGCTAGAAATCCAAAATCAAGGCTTCAGTAAAGCCCTGCTCCCTCTGAAGGCTTTGGAGAAGCATCCTTCCTTGGCTCTTCCTAGCTTCAGGTGATGGCCAGCAATTCTTGGTGTTCCTTAGCTTGTAGCTGCAGCACTCCAATTTCTGCCTGTGTCTTGACATGGCCTTTTTTTCCCCTCTGTGTGTGTTTCCACTATATCTCTGTGTCTCATCTTATAAGCACACCAGTGACTGGATTTATAGTCATCCAGTATTACCTCATCTGCAAGTTGCATCTGCAAGTATCCTATTACCAAAAAAGGTCAAATATCAAGGTTCCAGGCAGATATAAATTTGGGGGCACCCTACTCAGTACCCAATTTAATGTCATGCAATAAGCACTTCCTTTCTCCTTTACCTGTAGATTCCACACCAGCCCCAGGCTCCCAGCTCCATTGAATCTGTGGTCAAGAACAGACATGGGAGTTAGGTTTGCACACTGCCTGTCTGGACCCTGCTATTAAAATCCAGCTTCCTCTGGTACTTCAGCTTTATCTTTCCAGAGAGGCATTCACCCTACAGGCTGTGGGACCATGTTTTGGCACAGTGTTGAAACCACTTACCTTGGCAGTAATGAGGTTAAAACCTCTCTGAGTAGCTAGATATCCAGACAGGGCACATCAACTCTGAGGCATAATCTAGTTTATCCTTTTATGAAGCACTTCAGAGAATGTGGCCAGATTTGCTTAACAATGCTTTAAATGTTTCTGTGGTACTAGTAAAGAAAGAACCAAATTTGGGAGAGTCAGTATGACTTATTGTTATCTTTCTGTGTTTGTGCTGCCTTGTATGCAGATTTATGAAACTAGATTGAACTCTGAGGCAAAGCCAGAAAGAAAAAAACTAGAAAAAAAAGCAAAGGAAATTATATCTTGCTGTATTGGCCCCTGAATGGAAAAGTGGAAATAAATCAAAGTTTTCTAAATTAATTTACAAATCAAAAATAGAAGATCAATGCCCTTAGCATTTATTTATATATATTGATCCACCTCCTATATATATGAATGTGGCTGCAAATGTCTAGCTGCTGCCCTGAGGTTCCTTTACCACTGAGTATCAACATAGCATGGCGTGGGGCCTATATTGTTGATATTTTGTGTTGATGGCTGCTTTGGCAATTCATTGGGAAGGCTGTGGTGCCCAAAATAATCTTGGCTGGATGGTAACTACAATCAGGCATTAGGGAGCAGTCTCATAAATTTAAGGCAGGGATTGTAAAATATAATGTCTTTTAGGGGCCAAACAGGTAACAAATAAAAGAGTTAGGGTGGGTAAGGACTATGGCCACCAGAGATCCTGGGTCTTAGCTAATTAGAAAAGCTATTTATTTTCAGTGACTGTCACCCTATCAGTGACTATCACCCTATCAGTGTCACCCCATCAGAATGTGAGTTTCAGTGCCAGTAGAGCCAGATATTAAAATTCTTTTTTTTAAATCCCAACTTTTATGTAAAATTCCTGTATTTTCAGATGTAGATGTCATTGAAATTCTTTAAAAACACAGTCCAGGTAAAATAATAATAGCACTAATCCGTACTCCTGGCTTCTGCAAGCATCTACTGATTTACTCTCTCAAAATTAAAGGGAAAATAACCTTTGCTGGAGGAACAAGAACAGCTTTTTATTTTTAACCTTATCATTAACAATAGGTCTGCATTTTAGACAGGAGACAGGTTGTACTCACAGCTCTGACACTAATGAATTCAAAACCCTTGAGCAAGAAGTTATTTTCATTGTTGGGACATCAGTTGCTTTATGTTAGACCAGAGGATCTCTGAGTGTTTCAGAGATATGCTCTATTTATCCTGTGATTCTGTGACTAAGCCCCTCGAAGACAGCCAGTAAGTCTCTTTTCCCATAGTACCTGGCACTCCATCAGCACTCAGTGAGTATTGTTCAATGTAGAACTAAGTTAGGAAGTGAATTAAATTACCTCCACTTTCAAGATGAGTCAACTGACTGAGTCCCAGAAAGGTTAAGTGACATGTCTGGGTCCCTATCATTAATAAAGAAAGAGCCAGGACAGGGAACCTTGGTCTTTCTGCTCATAAAATAGTAAAAGGAAAAGCCTAGAACATTGAACATGGTCCTTCTGCATTATTTTGCTAGAAGTTCAGCTTGGTTTAATTGCTTGCTACTGATCACTTTTTTTCCAATTTTGAAAGTTACCAAGTTATAATTTACATGGAGGAAAAATCCACCCTATTTTTAGTGTAGATTTCTGCAGTTTTGAAAACATGATCATGCAGCCACAACCAAAATCAGATACAAAGCATTCCCATCAAAATTATAAACATATTAGCTACACTTAATTGTCCTACAGCTGATGGTTATTATTTTTCAGATATTTTCCTCTCTGTATTTCTTTTTTTTTTAAACTTCTTTTTTTTTCTATTATACTTTAAGTTTTAGGGTACATGTGCACAATGTGCAGGTTAGTTACATATGTATACATGTGCCATGCTGGTGCGCTGCACCCACTAACTCGTCATCTAGCATTAGGTATATCTCCTAAAGCTATCCCTCCCCCCTTCCCCCACCCCACAACAGTCCCCAGAGTGTGATGTTCCCCTTCCTGTGTCCATGTGTTCTCACTGTTCAATTCCCACCTATGAGTGAGAATATGCGGTGTTTGGTTTTTTGTTCTTGCAATAGTTTACTGAGAATGATGATTTCCAATTTCATCCATGTCCCTACAAAGGACATGAACTCATCATTTTTTATGGCTGCATAGTATTCCATGGTGTATATGTGTCACATTTTCTTAATACAGTCTATCATTGTTGGACATTTGGGTTGGTTCCAAGACTTTGCTATTGTGAATAGTGCTGTAATAAACATACGTGTGCATGTGTCTTTATAGCAGCATGATTTATAGTCCTTTGGGTATCTACCCAGTAATGGTATGGCTGGGTCAAATGGTATTTCTAGTTCTAGATCCCTGAGGAATCGCCACACTGACTTCCACAAGGGTTGAACTAGTTTACAGTCCCACCAACAGTGTAAAAGTGTTCCTATTTCTCCACATCCTCTCCAGCACCTGTTGTTTCCTGACTTTTTAATGATTGCCATTCTAACTGGTGTGAGATGGTATCTCATTGTGGTTTTGATTTGCATTTCTCTGATGGCCAGTGATGGTGAGCATTTTTTCATGTGTTTTTTGGCTGCATAAATGTCTTCTTTTGAGAGTGTCTGTTCATGTCCTTTGCCCACTTTTTGATGGGGTTGTTTGTTTTTTTTCTTGTAAATTTGAATTCATTGTGGATTCTGGACATTAGCCCTTTGTCAGATGAGTAGGCTGCGAAAATTTTCTCCCATTTGTAGGTTGCCTGTTCACTCTGATGGTGGTTTCTTTTGCTGTGCAGAAGCTCTTTAGTTTAATTAGATCCCATTTGTCAATTTTGGCTTCTGTTGCCATTGTTTTTGGTGTTTTAGACATGAAGTCCTTGCCCATGCCTATGTCCTGAATGGTAATGCCTAGGTTTTCTTCTAGGGTTTTTATGGTTTTAGGTCTAACGTTTAAGTCTTTAATCCATCTTGAATTAGTTTCTGTATAAGGTGTAAGGAAGGGATCCAGTTTCAGCTTTCTACATATGGCTAGCCAGTTTTCCCAGCACCATTTATTAAATAGGGAATCCTTTCCCCATTGCTTGTTTTTCTCAGGTTTGTCAAAGATCAGGTAGTTGTAGATATGTGGTGTTATTTCTGAGGGCTCTGTTCTGTTCCATTGGTCTATATCTCTGTTTTGGTACCAGTACCATGCTGTTTTGGTTACTGTAGCCTTGTAGTATAGTTCGAAGTCAGGTAGCGTGATGCCTCCAGCTTTCTTCTTTGGCTTAGGATTGACTTGGTGATACGGGCTCTTTTTTGGTTCCATATGAACTTTAAAGTAGTTTTTTTTTCCATTCTGTGAAGAAAGTCATTGGTAGCTTGATGGGGATGGCAGTGAATCTAGAAATTACCTTGGGCAGTATGGCCATTTTCATGATATTGATTCTTCCTACCCATGAGCATGGAATGTTCTTCCATTTGTTTGTATCCTCTTTTATTTCCTTGAGCAGTGGTTTGTAGTTCTCCTTGAAGAGGTCCTTCTCATCCCTTGTAAGTTGGATTCCTAGGTATTTTATTCTCTTTGAAGCAATTGTGAATGGGAGTTCACTCATGATTGGGCTCTCTGTTTGTCTGTTATTTGTGTATAAGAATGCTTGAGATTTTTGCACATTGATTTTGTATCCTGAGATTTGCTGAAGTTGCTTATCAGCTTAAGGAGATTTTGGGCTGAGACGATGGGGTTTTCTAGATATACAATCATGTCATCTGCAAACAGGGACAATTTGACTTCCTCTTTTCCTAATTGAATACCCTTTATTTCTTTCTCCTGCCTGATTGCCCTGGCCAGAACTTCCAACACTATGTTGAATAGGAGTGGTGAGAGAGGGCATCCGTGTCTTGTGCCAGTTTTCAAAGGGAATGCTTCCAGTTTTTGCCCATTCAGTATGATATTGGCTGTGGGTTTGTCATAGATAGCTCTTATTATTTTGAGATACATCCCATCAATACCTAATTTATTGAGAGTTTTTAGCATGAAGGGTTGTTGAATTTTGTCAAAGGCCTTTTCTGCATCTATTGAGATAATTATGTGGCTTTCGTCTTTGGTTCTGTTTATATGCTGGATTACATTTATTGATTTGCGTATATTGAACCAGCCTTGCATCCCAGGGATGAAGCCCACTTGATCATGGTGGATAAGCTTTTTGATGTGTTGCTGGATTCGGTTTGCCAGTATTTTAATGAGGATTTTTGCATCAATGTTCATGAAGGATATTGGTGTAAAATTCTCTTTTTTTGTTGTGTCTCTGCCAGGCTTTGGTATCAGGATGATGCTGGCCTCATAAAATGAGTTAGGGAGGATTCCCTCTTTTTCTATTGATTGGAATAGTTTCAGAAGGAATGGTACCAGTTCCTCCTTGTACCTCTGGTAGAATTTGGCTGTGAATCCATCTGGTCCTGGACTCTTTTTGGTTGGTAAGCTATTGATTATTGCCACAATTTCAGAGCCTGTTATTGGTCTATTCAGAGAGTCAACTTCTTCCTGGTTTAGTCTTGGGAGGGTGTATGTGTGGAGGAATTTATCCATTTCTTCTAGATTTTCTACTTTATTTGCGTAGAGGTGTTTGTAGTATTCTCTGATGGTAGTTCGTATTTCTGTGGGATCGGTGGTGATATCCCCTTTATCATTTTTTATTGCATCTATTTGATTCTTCTGTCTTTTCTTCTTTATTAGTCTTGCTAGCAGTCTATCAATTTTGTTGATCCTTTCAAAAAACCAGCTCCTGGATTCATTAATTTTTGGAATGGTTTTTTTTGTCTCTATTTCCTTCAGTTCTGCTCTGATTTTAGTTATTTCTTGCCTTCTGCTAGCTTTTGAATGTGTTTGCTCTTGCTTTTCTAGTTCTTTTAATTGTGATGTTAGGGTGTCAATTTTGGATCTTTCCTGCTTTCTCTTGTGGGCATTTAGTGCTATCAATTTCCCTCTACACACTGCTTTGAATGTGTCCCAGAGATTCTGGTATGTTGTGACTTTGTTCTCATTGGTTTCAAAGAACATCTTTATTTCTGCCTTCATTTAGTTATGTACCCAGTAGTCATTCAGGAGCAGGTTGTTCAGTTTCCATGTAGTTGAGTGGTTTTGAGTGAGTTTCTTAATCCTGAGTTCTAGTTTGATTGCACTGTGGTCTGAGAGATAGTTTGTTATAATTTCTGATGTTTTACATTTGCTGAGGAGTGCTTTACTTCCAACTCTGTGGTCAATTTTGGAATAGGTGTGGTGTGGTGCTGAAAAAAATGTATATTCTGTTGATTTGGGGTGGAGAGTTCTGTAGATGTCTATTAGGTCCACTTGGTGCAGAGCTGAGTTCAATTCCTGGGTATCCTTTTTAATTTTCTGTCTCGTTGATCTGTCTAATGTTGACAGTGGGGTGTTAAAGCCTCCCATTATTACTGTGTGGGAGTCTAAGTCTCTTTGTAGGTCACTCAGGACTTGCTTTATGAATCTGGGTGCTCCTGTATTGGGTGCATATATATCTAGGATAGTTAGCTCTTCTTGTTGAATTGATCCCTTTACCATTATGTAATGGCCTTCTTTGTTTCTTTTGATCTTTGTTGGTTTAAAGTCTGTTTTATCAGAGTCTAGAATTGCAACCCCTGCCTTTTTTTGTTTTCCATTTGCTTGGTAGATCTTCCTCCATCCTTTTATTTTGAGCCTATGTGTGTCTCTGCACATGAGATGGGTTTCCTGAATACAGCACACTGATGGGTCTTGACCCTTTATCCAATTTGCCAGTCTGTGTCTTTTAATTGGAGCATTTAGTCCATTTACATTTAAGGTTAATATTGTTATGTGTGAATTTAATCCCGTCATTATGATGTTAGCTGGTTATTTTGCTCATTAGTTGATGCAGTTTCTTCCTAGCCTTGATGGTCTTTACAATTTGGCATGATTTTACAGTGGCTGGTACAGGTTGTTCCTTTCCATGTTTAGTGCTTCCTTCAGGAGCTCTTTTAGGGCAGGCCTGGTGGTGACAAAATCTCTCAGCATTTGCTTGTCTGTAAAGGATTTTATTTCTCCTTCACTTATGAAGCTTAGTTTTGCTGGATATGAAATTCTGGGTTGAAAATTCTTTTCTTTAAGAATGTTGAATATTGGCCCCGACTCTCTTCTGGCTTGTAGAGTTTCTGCCAAGAGATCCGCTGTTAGTCTGATGGGCTTCCCTTTGTGGGTAACCTGACCTTTCTCTCTGGCTGCCCTTAACATTTTTTCCTTCATTTCTACTTTAGTGAATCTGACAATTATGTGTCTTGGAGTTGCTCTTCTCGAGGAGTATCTTTGTGGCATTCTCTGTATTTCCTGAATCTGCATGTTGGCCTGCCTTGCTAGATTGGGGAAGTTCTCCTGGATAATATCCTGCAGAGTGTTTTCCACCTTGGTTCCATTCTCCCCATCACTTTCAGGTACACCAATCAGACGTAGATTTGGTCTTTTCACATAGTCCCATATTTCTTGGAGGCTTTGTTCATTTCTTTTTATTCTTTTTTCTCTAAACTTCGCTTCTCGCTTCATTTCATTCATTTCATCTTCCATCACTGATATCCTTTCTTCCAGTTGATCACATCAACTCCTGAGGCTTCTGCATTCTTCACGTAGTTCTCGAGCCTTGGCTTTCAGCTCCATTGGCTCCTTTAAGCACTTCTCTGTATTGGTTATTCTAGTTACACATTAGTCTAAATTTTTTTCAAGGTTTTCAACTTCTTTTCCTTTGGTTTGAATTTCCTCCTGTAGCTTAGAGTAGTTTGATCGTCTGAAGCCTTCTTCTCTCAACTCGTCAAAGTCATTCTCCGTCCAGCTTTGTTCCGTTGCTGGTGAGGTGCTGCGTTCCTTTGGAGGAGGAGAGGCGCTCTGCTTTTTACAGTTTCCAGTTTTTCTGCTCTGTTTTTTCCCCATCTTTGTCGTTTTATTGACTTTTGGTCTTTGATGATGGTGATGTACAGATGGGTTTTTGGTGTGGATATCCTTTCTGTTTGTTAGTTTTCCTTCTAACAGACAGGACCCTCAGCTGCAGGTCTGTTGGAATTTGCTAGAGGTCCACTCCAGACCCTGTTTGCCTGAGTACCAGCAGCGGTGGCTGCAGAAGAGTGGATTTCGTGAACCGCGAATGCTGCTGTCTGATTGTTCCTCTGGAAGTTTTGTCTTAGAGGAGTACCCGGCCGTGTGAGGTGTCAGTCTGCCCCTACTGGGGGGGTGCCTCCCAGTTAGGCTGTTCAGGGGTCAGGGCTCAGGGACCCACTTGAGGAGGCAGTCTGCCCGTTCTCAGATCTCCAGCTGCGTGCTGGGAGAACCACTACTCTCTTCAAAGCTGTCAGACAGGGACATTTAAGTCTGCAGAGTTTACTGCTGTCTTTTAGTTTGTCTGTGCCCTGCCCCCAGAGGTGGAGCCTACAGAGGCAGGCAGGCATCCTTGAGCTGTGGTGGGCTCCACCCAGATCGAGCTTCCAGGCTGCTTTTTTTACCTAAGCAAGCCTGGGCAATGGCGGGCACCCCTCCTCCAGCCTCACTGCCACCTTGCAGTTTGATCTCAGACTGCTGTGCTAGCAATCAGCCAGACTCTGTGGGCATAGGACCCTGAGCCAGGTGCAGGATATAATCTCCTGGTGCGCCATTTTTTAAGTCCGTCGGAAAAGCGCAGTATTCGGGTGGGAATGACCCGATTTTCCAGGTGCCATCTGTCACCCCTTTCTTTGACTAGGAAAGGGAACTCCCTGACCCCTTGCACTTCCAGAGTGAGGCAATGCCTCGCCCTGCTTCGGCTCACGCACGGTGTGCTGCACCCACTGTCCTGCGCCCACTGTCTGGCACTCCCTAGTGAGATGAACCTGGTACCTCAGATGGAAATGCAGAAATCACCCATCTTCTGCGTCGCTCATGCTGGGAGCTGTAGACCGGAGCTGTTCCTATTCAGCCATCTTGGCTCCAGCTGCCTGTATTTCATTTTAGATAGTTTCTGCTGTATATCTTCAAATTCACTGCTATTTTCTTCTGTAATATCTAACATCTGTGAAATTAATTAATTCAAGCTTGAAGTTGTTGGAACTTTAAATTATTCTGAGCCTTAAGAGGCATGTGGCTGTGCAGCCTGAGTCACAAATCATGTAGCTGCAACTTCTGCCTTTTTCTCCTGTAAATAATTAGGAAGGCCAAATGGTGCTGGAGTTGAGACTTCCTGGGATCATTACCTCACCCCCCATCATGGAGTAATAAAGTAATCTTCCTTATAATGTAGCAATCTGTAACCAAATTGCTATACCCTGAACCCTGGTCTTAAAAAAAAAAAATTGGCTAGACCCGGTGGCTCACCCCTGTAATCCCAGCACTGTGGGAAGCCGAGGGAGGCAGATTACTTGAGGTCAGGAGTTTGAGACCAGCCTGGCCAACATGGTGAAACCCCGCCTCTACTAAAAATACAAGAAAAAAAAAAAAAAAAAAAGGCTGAGTGTGGTGGCGCATGCCTGTAATCTCAGCTACTTGAGAGGCTGAGGCAGGAGAATTGCTAGAACCTGGGAGACAGAGGTTGCAGTGAGCCGAGATCACACCTTTGCACTCCAGCCTGGGCAACAGAGCAAGACTCTGTCTCAGAAAAAAAAAATTTAATCCTGCTAAAATTTGTCTGTCTTAACTAATAAACTGAAGCCCATGTCAGAGACTCACAACATAGAAAAGAGCAGAGCCAAGGCTACAACCTCCAGAAGACTGACGACGTGGACTGCAATGGGAACATTGTGTTGGGCAGCAAGGAGTCTGCAGAGAAAGCAAAAGCTGACCTGCGAAAGCACCTAGGCCAGCACGTGTGGACTTCTGGCTGAGAAGTCTGAATCTTTAGCTTCTACTGTCTGATAAATTTCCTTAAATTTAATATCTTCTATTAATAGTTCTCTTTTTCTGTTCTTTGCCTCACCAAAAACATTTTAATATTCATTTTAGCCTTGGCAAATACAAATCTCACATGTCTCTCATTGGAATCTGGTTATAATCTGCCTCACATGAACGTTTAATAATAGGTGTGTGTAGCCTAGGCTTCTTGTCCTGTCCAATATAGTACTATTCTATCCATATGTTGCTTTTTAAATTGAAAGTTAAATTAATTAGAATTAAATAAAATTTAAAAATTCAGTTCCTTAGTTTCACTAACACATGTCAAGTGCTCACCCACTACATGTGACTAGTGGCTATTATATTGGAAAATACTTAGATCCAAGAGCATCTTCATCTTTGCAGAAAGTTCTGTTGGACAGTGCTGTTCTATGCCTGCAGAACAATCCAAAAATAAATGCAACCAAGAAATCGAGCCTCCTTTACAAGCCCCTTCTTTACTGCAATTTACATTTAGAAAATTTGTATAACTTGTTCTGGGACTCTGGTACTGAAAAGCTCATGGCCTGTCCTAATATTCTCTGAATCCCATTGTATCATTTCCAAAAACCTTGTATACACATTATCTGATATTCAGCCTCAGAGGAAAGTACTCACCTAAGGATGGTTACTTCCACTCACTATGAGGAAAATTAGATTGAAGAGTTTAATCTAATAACTTAGATGAAACTCTCTGTCTTGATGACTAAACTGAAGCCCACAGCAGAGAATCATGAGAATCGTGAGTTGTCTGAGACAAGGTACTACTAAGTGGCTAAGCCACATAATAGTATTCCAAGTGCAAATAAACCAAACTTTTCATTACAACATGTTTCTCCCTGAATAGAAACCACTGGTGTCATCACATTAGCAATATTATAGGAGAAAAAAAATCATACCTATGAGGCATAAGAATCTTTTCCCTCATATCTCTGTTAGCAATAGAAGTTTTTTTACTTGTTTCTGCTAAAGATCAATATTTATTGATTCAATTCCCTGACTGCTAATAAACTTAAGCATTTTTCTTTAAAAAAATGTTTGTCTCTGCTTATATAACTGAAACTTTAACTTCCCCACTCTTGAACAGTGACCTCATTCCTTTGGAGTCTATGTTTCTCAGGGCTCATCTTCATGCTTTGTTCTCAAATAAACTCTGAATCAATTTTTCTGAATTTAATTGTTTAAGTTTGACACATCTTTTTAATCCCATTCTATGCATTTTTCATCTCAGACACTGTGTTTTTCATACCTAGGTGTTCAGCCGGGAACTTTTTCATCTATTCTAGATTTCTCCTTAACATGCTCATGTATTCCTCTGACTTCTTCAACATATAGGATACAGTTTTAATAACTGGTTCAATATACTTGGTATTAATTCTATCACCTCTGTTATTTCCAGGTCAGCTTTGATAAGTTGTTTTTTTCTGCTCATGAATCATACTTTCCTGCTTCTTTGTGTGTCTAATAGATTTAGATGCCAAATGTTTTGAATTTTACATGGCTAGGTGTTGAATATTCTTTTTTTTCAATATCCATAAACTTTTTTCTAGCATCCAGATAAGTTACTTGGGAATTCTTGGATCTTTTTGAGGCTTGCTCTTAAGCTTTGTAAGGTGGGACCGGAAGAGCCTTTGTTCTAGGGCTGATTTTGCTCTGCTATTAGAGGCATAGCCTTCTGAGTACTCTACCTAGTGCTCTGTGAGTTACAAGGTTTGTCTGCTCTGACTGGTGGAAACAGGAATGATCCCAGCCCTGTGCGCATTCCAGGGGTTGCTTTACCTTCTCCTTTTGGGTAGTTCTTTCCCTGAACTCAGGTGGTTTTGTCACATGCATAAGCTAGTTAGCAAGTAGATCTCTCTCTCTCTCTTTCTCTCATTCTCTCTCTCTCTCTCTGTCTCTCTCTCTCTCTCTCTCTCCCTCCCTCCCTCCCTCTCCTCTCTCTCTCTCTGAACCTCCTTTCTCTGGTATGCTAGGCTGTGAATTCAGAATCTCTCAGCCTTGAAAACTCCCATCTCCACTCCTCAACTCAAGGAGAACTCAAGGCTTTCCGTTGCTGTACTGTGGCCTGGAAACATTCTACAAGCTATAGGCTGGGGCAATGGTAGGCCTCACTTTATTTATTTCCACTCTCTCAGAGACCACTGTCTTGCACTGTTTGTTATCTAATGTCTGAAAAACATTTTACAATATATTTTTCTGTTTATTTCACTCTTAAGAGTAGAGGGTGGTGTAGGGTGGAGAGGGAGTATAATCAAGTCCTGTTATTCCATCTTGTCAGGAAGCAGGCCATAGATCACTTTTTGATTTTACTATTCTCTTGTTCAACCACCTATGAGATGGTTCTTTCAATGTCTTCTTTTGTCCTCTAATAATCCCCAAGTCAGATTTTCTTCCTTGTCACATCTCCAGTGCTTAAATAAATTGGAAATGATAATAACGTTATTATTTTATTTCTAGTCAATAACCATGGCTAATTTACTTTTTCAGTTGATCTTTATTGCTTATACATTACCACGTCAGCTACTACTTCAGTTTATTACTGATTCCTCGCACAAACGCATAACCTCTCAGGGCCTGCAGACCTGTCAGGATATGGCTGTGTCCTGGAGTCTGAGTTTAATTCCTGATACCACCTCTAGTATCTCCACTGTCCCATTCATCTCTATAGTCTTTATATTGTTCACATTCATTTGTATTCATTCAAAAACTGTTATGGAGCTTCCACTTATCTGGTCAGTAAACAAATATTCATTTATATGTTTATAAAAATACAACTCTGAAGTCTTTCATTTTTTGCAATATTATAGACTACCTGTACTGAAAATATTATTGTTTCTCAAGACTTGAAAATGCAGAATAAAATTATTTTCCAAACACTGTTTTTAACCATAGCTGACCAGCCAATAAAGTAAGAAGAAAAAATCATAGGCTAGATATAAAATAGGTATAATTGCTTCAAAATAAGCTAAAGAGGCATTAAGGTCTGTATCCCCAGGGTGCTGGAGGCTGGAGGCCACTCTTTTACATATGAGAGGGCTCAAGAAACAAACCTGGAGCTCAAGGAGAAAAGAACAGGTTAGAAAACACTGCAGAGAGCCAAGACTCATAAGAGTGAGACCTCAAGGAGATGAACTAGCCACAACTCCATTCTGTAGAAGTTTCAGTCTTACTCTTGGCTCTGGGTGTATCAGGAGAAAAAAGTCTCCTCTGAGAATTCATTACTATAGCCTTCCATCACCTGATATTGAAACATGGATTTAAATGTGAAGACCAAAGATCCTCAGGCCAAAAATTTAAAGTGTTGCTGATACTTCACAGAAAATATAAATGCAAATGACTCTTTAGCATATGGCAAAATGATACTTTGGTCATAATAAAAGCATACTGAGATAATACTTTGCTGCTACTAAATGGACAAAAAATACCAGAGTGCCTCCTTCTCCACTGCTGTTCTGCTGTAGAGAAACAGACATTCTCATCTATTGCACTTGGTATCACAAAATGCTTCCACCTCAGGGGAGGAGAATATCTAGTACAAAGCATAGGCACTTACTCTTTTACATATCAACCCCATGTCTAAGAATCTATTCCAAAGACATATCAGAAAAAAATACAAATTAATCTCAGCACATGGCTAAATATTGCACCTCTATTTGTAATAGCAAGACTGGAAACAAGCCACGTGTACATTAAACATTAAATGAATAAATTACTATAATAGAGTACGAGTACATTGAGTGAATATACATTAAAAATTCTGCTATATATGGTTTATACTAGAAATATGAAAACTTAAGATGATTGAAAGTAAAACAATAGAAAAAGATACATCAGGCAGATACTGACTACAAGAAGGGAGGAGGAAGTCAACACATAAATTTTAGACAAAATAGAATTTGATACCAAAAATAGTATAAGAGATAAAGATCACAGCATGTTAACAAGTGGTTAATTTCACCAAGAAGATATAACATTTCTAACTTTGAATACCCTAATACTATAGCTTAGAAAAATATAAAGCAAAAGTTAATAGAACTCAAGGAGAAATTGGCAAATCCACTGGCATAGCAGAAGATTTTTAAAACATGCTCAATCATGGCTAGATAAAGCAAAGAAAAATCATAAGGATTGTGACAGTCACAGCTACTTTCAGCCTGATATGTGGAGCTTTTTCCTTTCTTGAAATAAGTACTTGGCTATCCAGAATAAAGACCACATTTCCCAACTTCCCTGATACCCAGGTGTGTTCATGCGACTAAGCTCTTGGTAAAGGAAAAAATGCAGCAGTGACAAGTACCCCTTCTGGATAATGCCCTTAAAAGGAAAATGTGGTCTGTCCAGGTCCCTCCTGTCTTCCTTCCTGCTAGCTGGAATAGATATGTGAAGGTAGGAGTTAGAGATGAACCATGAGATGGAGGCATGTGTCGAGGGGAAGATCAACAAAATAGGAATGTGGGCCCTGGACACTATAAACCTCTTGGATTGCTTATGTGATCGCTGCTACATAAGAGGGAAGTAAACTCCTGGCTGGTTTGAGTCTTTGATACAATATCAGTATCATAACACATGCAGATTTCAACTCTAGAAGTGGAACTGTAGGAACAGAATCTTGATGGCATGCCCTGGGAAGGTGCACTGTAGGCTCTGAGAATGCAGACACAGCAGGCTGGAATCTGCAGGCCTGCAGCAAATCATCTGGTAAATCTATCTCCTGAGATATTTTGGCAGGTTTCCCACATGCTGACACAGCCCTCCCTCTCAATTCCTTTATCTTGAATAACTTCAAGGTAACTGCCAATAGGCTGAAGTAGAGTGGGACTGGCAAAACACAGAGATCATTAATAAAACTCCAGAATTGGAAAACTCTGTTTAGATTAGTACTTTCCAACTCTGTCCACATCATGCCCCTATAACATACTATAACCTTTGTGTCACCATAGGCATGCATGAATGAGGCTACTCATGGCCAGTGGTGACCAGCCTGCATGCTCCAGTCATTTCAAACAGAGGCTAAGGGAAATAATGTCTTGGGTGTATTTGTAACCTGTTTGTGGCTAACCAGTATACCCAGTGCACTACTTGGACAGCTCTGTTTGACATAAGATCTTTGGCTGTGGTCACTCTAACATGAAACTGACCAGAAGCCAGCAGTGTAAGACGCCTAAGAGAATTTTGCCAAAATCCCCACATGTCTAGCCTGCAAAAATCTGTGCTTTTTGACTCCTTTAAGGGGTCAAGCCCCCAAGTCTGGATGAGCAGGAATCGCCAGCAATATCATTGCCTCCCGAAGGAGAAAGCATTTTCCAATAGCCATTTCCATGTGACTGCAGGATGTGTAATAGACAGGAAAGCACCTTCTAATGGCAAAGTCAGCGGACAAAAGACAAAGGAGTTTCTGCCAGAAACATGAAACAATAGGATCCACATGAACTAAGCAAGAATCTTCCTCCACTGCCAGGACAGGAAGTCTCCACAAAGCCTGCCCAGAAGCATTAAACTTTTCCTATGGAGAAGTGACTGCTGGATGTCCCCTATGTTCCCTCTTCTTGGGGAGTTTTTATTGTCATTCTCTTATTTATCTTCCACTACTGTGTAGGAGGGTGATGAGGGTGGACATATAAGTAGCCTGCATTGATGGGTGGCGGGGTCACATAGCCATACCTAGTGGTGTGAACAGGGCATCACTCAGATTCCACACTTCTGCATGGGATTTCAGGGAGGGACTGTGGTCCTTGGAGAGGGAGTGTTGGGTTATATATGGTGAGAGGTGTGTATGCATATGTTTGAATAGGTACAGTAGGTAGCAGCCCGGAATTACTGATGCTTACACTATTTTGGAAGAGAGAAATACTTCTACCTTGTGTAAGTCACAGATCTGTTGGGCTTTGCTACAGTAGCCTGGTCTATATCTTAAGTACTAGTAGAGATAGAGCTGATCTGAATAATGCAACCAAAAGCAACAGAAGACTTGCACCAAAATAATCATAGCAGCTATTCTAAGACTTGTAAAAAAAAACTGTAAACAATTGATATATTCATCAGAACAGAGTGGATAAATTCATTGTAGTTTATCAGACAGTAGAATACAAAATGGAAGGGGGAAAAAAAGAAATAAACTACATGAATCAATCATGCCACAAACCTGATGTTGAGTGAAAGAAAATAACAGAAAAATACATGCAGGACGATTCTATTTATGTAAAGTTTTAAATAAGGCAAAACAAAATATTTATTGTCTTATGTAATTAATATCACATTCATATGTGATATAACCATAGAATGGCTAATTTTGTGTGTCAACTTGACTGGGCCATGGGGTACCCACATAGTTGGTCAAACATTATTCTGGATGTTTCTGTTAGGAACTTTTGATGAAATTAACATTTAACACAGTAGACTGAGTAAAGCGGACTGTCGTCCATAATATAAGTGGCCCTCATCCAGTCAACTGAAGGCCTGAGTAGAATTAAAAGGCTGACCTTCCCCCAGCCAAGTGAGAATTCTTCCCATCTGATGGCTTTAAAACTGGGACAACAGCTTTTTTCCTGCTTTTGGACTCCAACTGAAACATCAACTCTTCCTGAGCATCGAGTCTGCCAGCCTTCACACTATGACAACATCTTCGATTTCCTGGGCCTCCAGTTTGCTGACTCACCCTGAAAATATTAGGACTTGTTAGTGTCCATAATTGTGAGTCTGTTCCTTATAATAAATAGTTTTCTATATTTTATGGGCATCCTACTCATTTGTTACTCTGGACAACCCTAATACAGCCAGCCATTTGAGAAAGTAAAGCAAGAATGATTAACAAAAAATTCAAAGTGGTGATCACATCTGTTGAGGACAGAGAGGAAGATAATTCAGGCGGGGACAGACAGGGGACTGTAAGGTTCATGACAATGCTCCATTGTTTCATCTGGGTGGAAAACTTTATGAATGTTTACATAATTATTAGTCTTTAAAGTTACTCTCATTATATATTCTTTTTATATGAATGATACATTTCACAATAGTTTTTGTAAAATCAAAAAGTTGTAACTTTGAAAGTGCTTTGAAAAGAGAGGATAACGCTTCCATGGGCAGCTAGGTAAGGGTGGTTGGGGAGATGCCACTGATTATTCATGTCAGGCCTTCTGCATCTGTAACTAATGTTCATAGTGTTTGTATTTCTAGCACACGAAGGACTTCCAAGTAAATATGACTTTTGTTTTTTCTCAACATGCAGTTCATTGGGGAAAGAAGAATTTAGTCTTTCCTTGAAATAGGCACTAGTTCAGCAGCTCCGGAAGCTGAGTGAAGCAACACTGTGTGTCCCAGAGCACACATGGAGGTCATATTACACCCACAGAGGCAGGTACTGGAAACATACTCCTTCCCTTATTTGGTTCTAGGCTTCTTTGGTTAATTCCACTGGGATCATCTCAAACAAGAAAACATTCAGTCTGTAAAACAGAGAAATGGTCAGAAGAAAGCTCATGAGAAATCGTTGCAGCAAGCGTCAAGGGATGCAAGTTCTGACCTACTCATGACTCATTAATAAAAGCTTAAAGCTCCAACATTCTTCATGCTGGTGTGGATTGTGAAGCTGGATGTTCCAGTAAGGATACAGAATCACTTACAGCTAACTTAGGGGTGTGAGAACACCTGCCCACCATAATGGAATTTGGCAGGGAAAGTCTATTTAATGTGAAGAAACAAACCACTGGCCTGTCTATTAATTAAAACAATAAAGAAAACAAGAAAAAGGTGATTGTGTATTATGTAGCAATTGGAGGTGATTATGTGTGTATGCGTGGGCTTTGAGGAGTTGATAACACAGCAAAGTAAGACTACTTACCATTTATTAGGTGCCTATTCTGTGCCCAGTAACTATAACTGTATGCACTTTAGGCATATTATCTCTTACTTTTACAAACACCCTATGGTGTAGGCTTTTTATCCGCATTTGACGGAGGCAGTTTCATCATCTCTCTTGGATATGAGAAACATCCCTGACTTGAGGCAGAAAGTATAGAAATAGCTGCCCACTCCCCCCTCTGTGGGGTGCATCACTGAAGTGCTTCTGATGGGGTGCTGCTTTTACCAACCTGGATTTAAAAGGTACCTCTTCCTAAGTAACTTATCCAGCATCTGCTTCAGCTTAAAGTGTCAAAATTCTCCGTTGTTCTTTCCTGTTCCTGGTCTGCATGCTAAGTATTGCCTTTTCCCACACCCTTTCTCCTTTGCATTGGGTCCTAAGGAAGCCTCCTTGGCTGAGTATCCTTTTGTTGTTATGTTAGATGGTTCTTTACCTTCCAGATGGAATGTACTGCCCCTAAAAGATGGATCTTTGCTGCTGCCTCTCATCTCATTCTACAGCAAACAACTGAAGATAGTCTAAAAGTAAGGTTCAAACTCCTTAATATGGTTCATCTAGCAGGAGAGTCATTTTATTGTCTTTCTAAGTCTACTGAAGGAGACTCAAGACAATGAAAAGCTAAACATTTCTTACATTCACATTCTGGAAAGAAAGCTGTGTCTGTCTTCTGGACTCCTTGCCCTAGTAATAGTGGGGACAAATAATTCCATTGTGTTTCTTGAATGTCTCTAAAGATACCCTCAAATGCCTTTGTTTGGGAAGCACTGGTCTATATAAGACAGGATAGAAACAGACACTTTGAGAAAAAGAGGAATTCGACCCAATCTCAGAGAAAGAAGCAATTCTTGGTTACTGTGAAGCTGGGGGTACAGAAGAGCTGTGGGTTTCACGAAAGGCAGGGACCAAGACTTTGCTTATATTCAAGGCCATAAAGGGTGTTAGGACCTTAGATGCATGTGTGTTCTTGAATGCTAAGACCTGAGTGCTGTATCTTGGGATCTATGGAAAATGTGCCTGTCTATGCAGTGCTCATGATGGATAGAGTGATGCTGCTGGCCTTCAAATGGGGAGTGGAGGAAGGATGAAGAGCAGGAGAGCAGCAGCTAGGGTAGACAAAACATCAAAGGTGCCTCACTAACTTTTCTACAATATGGATACTCCAGAATTCAAGTACAACAAGGAAGAGGAAAGAATCAGAAAACTGGGACTGAGAATAGATACCCTCAATCCTGTAGATAGGAACTGAGCTATATTTAGAATTTAGAAATATAAAAAAATATTATTTGTCTTGCATTTCTAGAGTTCTGATGCAAATTTGTATCTCTCCAGCTTTTCTCTATCCATTTACCAGCTTGTATTTTACCTTACTCTAGTTTGGTTAAAAATTTTCAATTTGTCAAGCACACCATAGGTTTTCTTAACTCCAGACCCTTGCATTTGTCATTATATCTGTTTGAAAAACTTCTGTCTTCTCCTTCCTACCCTCGACACATACACATGCACACACACACACACACATACACACGTACACACACATTCATACACACACACTCTGACCCAATATCTCAATATGCTGTCTTCCTTAGGTGGTCGAACTTGGGAATGGGACCATGAGGCCCTAGTGTTGATGGCAAGCCTGCCCATTCTGTTTCATCTGTGTGGCTGACTAGGAATTTATGCCTGCTTAATTTGGTCACTACTAAACACAACATAGAAGATTCACACACACGAAATAAAAATTGTGTGTAGCCCTGATTTGGAAAGAAAGAAAAGTGCTAGCAGAGCTAAAAGGATCTTATGAAGAAATAAGGTTCCAATCAGAGCTGAGAAATACTGTGAACCAAAAGACCGTCACTTACCTTTTATTATAAATCTGATGCACTAGCAAAGGCCTTGAATTTTTCGGCTCTGGTTACATATCCGTAAAATAGTCCTCTCAAAGGAGCTATTTCAACCTTTTTTGTATAACACTCATTATAAATTAATTCTCCCTGACAACTAACTAGGGAAATATTTTAATCTACATAGACAAAACCACACTCTTCTAGGAGGCCACCGTACGTTCTATGTTCTGTTATTAGAAATGATTTTATTAAGGTTCAGGAATGATTTGCAAACTAATGTTGCTTTGATGTTTTTAATGCACACGTAGTTGCTGAGTTTATCTACTGAATTAGTCCCTCCTGGTATGCACTAGATTGGGAGCAATCTTGGGGAATGATAGTGAAATTGAACCTTGTTTCATGTTTTGATTACCTGCATTATTATTACTTTTTCCCCCGAAAGGCTTTAAAAATTAAATTTTTCTTGGGAATAGAATGAGAGCAAATATTATTCTTCTTTGCAGACATACAATTGTAAAAATAACACAAATGTTTCAAAGAAACCAAAGACAGTTCTGCCTGTGGGAGGTTTGCCTTCTTGTCAGATGCCTATAAATTAGGTTTGCCACATTAAAATCAAATAATACGTATTTCAGTCAGGGGATATTGGAAGTAAAATTATTTCTCTGTGTTCCACGCATGAACATCAGCAAATAATTCAGTGGTTGCTGAGCAGTTGTTTCTTTTGGTAGGGATTTTTCCAGTGTGTTTTGTAGCTTTGCAACTCTCTTGAGTAAAGTGATAAAGGTGATGAATATCTATTTTGAATTAACTCCTGTTACAGTGAAGTGCCAGTTGATCCAAGGTTTTTAGTCATGACAATTCACATGTATCTTATTCTTTTTATAAGAATCTGGGGGATACCTGTCTGAAATGCTACAACTCACAAGAAGTACATCTCCCTGGTGATAAAAGATAGATGGGGATCATTGCATTGATTTGTGAAATGTCATTGTCAGACTGCACTGGACTGCCAGCAATCACTCAGTACAAAGTTGCTCCCCGGTCTGTTCTCTCTGTTCTTAACACCAATTCTATGCAAGGCTTTGGAGCTTAACAAAAAGGGAAAGATATGGATTTTTATATCTTCCTGAATCTATTTGTGAAATAGCTTTGACCCTTATAAATAAAACGTGAATAGCATACTTTCCTGGCAATACGTTGAATCATAAAATGTTTAAGAGTTAGAAGAGACATGAAAGATTATCTTGACCCTAAGGAAATAGGCCATAGGAGGTGACATAATTTGCTAGTTTGTTGGTGGAAAAGCCTAACTTGAAACGTAGCACAATGTTTATGTATTAGTCAGTTTGTGCTGCTATAGACTGGGTGGCTTAAACAACAAACATTTATTTATCACAGTTCTGAGGCTGGGAAGTCCAAGATCAAGATCTAGTGTCTGGTGAGAGCCTGCTTCCTATTTCTAGATGGCCATCTTCTTGCCTTGTCTTCATAAGGAGAAGAACAGAGAGAAGGGAAGTAAGTCTCTTCTTATAAGGGCACTCATCTTATCGTGAAGGTTCTACCCTCCTGATCTCATTAACACCCTATCTCTAAATCCCATCACTTAGGGTATGTTTCAGTGCGTGAATCTGGAGGGGACACAAATATTCAGTCCATAGCAATATGGTATTGAATAGTTACTTCATCAGTTTTAGCTGAATTTAACTGAATTGTAATATGTTATTTTAGGCCCTAGCTCAGAATGCAACAACAGTGCTTTAGAAATGTGTAAGATGGCCTGAAAGCCTGGAAAGTTATCTCTGTTCAGGAGAAAAGAGCTAACATATGAAAAATTCATTCTATGTGCCAAGTATTTATATATATGTGTGTATATATATACATATATATACGCACACACGCATATATATATATATATATATATATACAATATAATCAGGTATATCTTCTGTCTCTGTCTCTCTCTCCCTCTCTGTCTCTCTCTCTCTCTCTCTCTCTCTCTCTCTCTCTCTCTCTCTCCCTCTCTCTCTCTCTCTCTCTCTTTACATGAAGAAGCCAAGGATCAGGAAGATTAAGTAACTTGGCCAGAATTACCAAGCTAGTAATAAAAAACTGGGATTCCAACTGGAGACAATCTAACTCCAAAGTTTGTTTTTCTTTTTAACCACTATGCTGTGACCAAGTGTTTTTATTGGCCAAGTTAAAGAGTTAAAGTGTCCACAGAATGGCTCCAAGAAATACCTGTCATGAAATAAAGATTTATTGAGACTAAAAGAGTTACACTGAAAAAGGCAGATAATAGTCTAATTTTACTTTCAATTCTGGCAACTCGGCAAACTAAGCCAATTCAGAAACTCTCATGGAACAAGTATTTGGAGAGCTGGATGGATTTATTTTTATTGTGATACCCCTGAGGCACTTAACAGACAATCACACATGCATACACGCATGTGATATAGCTACCAGCAAAGATGACGGATTCCTATATGGAAAACAAACCTTGTGGAAAAATTAATTCTCACTCGAAAGTTGCAAAACACATGGAAAACTTCACCATGAGTCAAAGTAATCAGACACAAAAAACAACAGGATTAATACCACCAAGAACTTGGAATATACATACATACACACATCTGAAATGATGACAGATATGGAATCCATCAATAAAT